>NC_000011.10:23810000-25060000 GCF_000001405.40 Homo sapiens | reverse complement strand
GTTCCTAATGGAATATCTTGCACATATTAGGTGCTCAATTTGGTTCTATCTTTCATCTCCCTTTTTCATTTTTCCCTTCCTTCAGTCAAAATTTCTCTATATTGCCAATAAGTTTGATTCCTATCATAATAGAAGCACTGATACTCACTTTAAGTTTACACTTCTGTGGTCAACATATTAATTCTGATCATTACAAAATCTAGACATTGCCAAAGAATTTATTGCTGGAGTTTTTCCCCTCAGTTCTTTGTTTCTTTTCCTCTCCTCCTTTTGTGTTTATGATTTAACAGGGAAAGAAAATAGTCTCAGTAATCAAGCATTCATCCTGCCTTGAGTAACTTTTACCTTGAAGGATGCCTTTTATTCTTTTTTCCCCCTCAAGGCAGAAACATCAGATCAATCAGCCCATCTAATCTAACTAAGGCATTCAAATGCTTCAGAAGGTTTTCATTATGATACATGCATGTGTTTGACTTCAGTGCAGATATCCCATTTGGAAATTATTTATGGAAATAAAGTAGTATATTTAGAATGATTTTTTCAAAAGGGCATGATGACTGAATTTATAATCACTGAAATGATTACAAAAAGATAATGTCCTCTTTTGCTTTTTGTTTATTTTTAATTATACTCTATTCCTGCTCTCAGAAATAGAGAATAAAACTTCAAGAATTAAAGCAGATGGAATAACTTTTCAGAAATTCATTGTCAAATTTTCATTTACTTTGTATCGCTGATCTTGCCAATTGCTATGACTTTGTTATTGTTATTAAACGCTTCTTTATACTTCACTAAAGAGATTAGTCATGTCTCTTATGATCTTACTCTAAAAGATTAAAATAACTCAGAATAATTAATGCAAATACACAACTGGTAAATCTGAAATTCTACCAACAAAAACTATTTATGACAAATACAAAAATCCAGTTCATTCTGCATATTTAAATAAGAGATGGGACAAGCTATAGGCTAAAAACAAGCAAAATTTTTATAATATTACAAAAGAGAAACAAAGTAAATCGAGTACCATGCTACTTAGAAACACCAATAGTTTTTGACTGAATTTTTCTATGATGCCAATTTATGCAGGAAATTGATTTTTCACATTTATTACAGAACAATGTTTTAGTGCTGGTTTAATATTTATAAGTTAAGAAACTGAAAAGCAAGAAGTCAAAAGATTGAGAATGTAACATTAAATCAAGACAATGACTCCAAATTCAGTTGATGGAGCCAACGGCAGGAGTGGTCGAGGGGAAGGGAGGAAAGTTCTGACATCAATGTCCCCCAAGCAGGTGCCTCTGGGCAAGTCACCTTCCCTCTCTGAACCTTAATTTACAATACAAATATTTTTATAGCCTTTGCCCTCAAATTACTTATTATCTAATTCAAAATGAGAACCTTATACAAATAATCAAAATACAAGGTGTACTGTGATGAAAGACAAAATACATTCATCCAGCAAGGACAATGGAAACCCAGAGAAGGAAGTCCTTATGTGTCTCATAGGTAAATGGGAGGAGTAAAATAATTATTTATCAGATTATGCTTTGTGTTTGCACGTTATTGTTTGGCCAATGATTTTTATAATATATATTAACACGGTTACTGGGTTATTTTCATTTACCATATTAATAGATTAACCATTTTTCTTAAGCTTTCCATACTATTTATGGAAATAAATCAAATTAGGTTAACATGTTTGGATGGTTAAGTTGTCATAGAAAAGTAAACATGGAGATTTATATGAATAAAATATAACATTTTTCCAAAGACCATTGGAATCTACCTATCATTCCTACACTATTTGGAGGGATTCCTGCTTCTTCTTGAAAAAAATACCACAGTAGGACAATAAAAAATGCTTCTAATGAAGCCAACCTCTTCAGATGTTCTGATGGAATGTAGCCCAGAATGACAGTGCTGTGTGGTCTCTCAGTCCAATTACAGCAGGGTATGACTTGCCTAGAAAATTATGTTAACCAAGCATTGGATCTACCAACAACTCATCCAAACCATCAAATGCCACAAAATGCATGTTGGATATAATAGCAAACTAGATTTCTTATATCTCAGCCAAAATTGTCTTAACATGAAAAAGCTGGCATAATTTTCTACTTGCAGCTCTAGAATTTATTTTCTGCACATTTTCTCTTCTCATTTCCCTAGGCAATATTTTTATGTTGAATAGACTCCCTTTGGTAAGGGACTTGCAAGCAGATGTAATGGCAGGAAATTGAGCTAGTGCTCCCGGTGCTAAACATAAGCCATCCTTGTTTTTCATTTCCTCAGCACAGTAAGAAAAATTAAATGTTTGCTACTTATAGGAGTCAGAAACATTGCAAAACACGTTTACATTGAATATTAACTCTTAATTCCTAAATGAAAATTAAAATACAATGTTCAATGTCTTTAATTCTTGATATGCTATTAAACAATATGAGGCACATTTGCAAGCTGCAGGAAAATGGGATGGAGTAGACACATCCTTTGCTTTCTCAATGTGACTCCAATATTATCATTTAAACAACGCAGCTTTTAGAGTAACTTGTACATACCCCAAACTGATAGTCGAATATGCTGCTAAGAATTTAGTGATCCATTTCAAGTTTCTTAAGTCTTCTTTAAAAAGGAACAAGGAATCTGAGGGCCATTTTCTAAGTGACCCTGCCTGGTTTACATAGGGCATACCATAGGCAGGAAGTGGAACAAAGCAACAAAGATATCTAAAAATAAGCATGTTTTATAATTCCAAGTTTGATTCTTAGGCCACAGAATATTTTGAGACTTTGAGTATTAAAACTTCAGAGCTGCTTCTTAAAAGGAGCTAATAAGGATATCTATGATATGGTTGAATGTGACATATTTAATATCTATATATTTATATAATAATCATAATAAACCTGCAATAAATGAACAACAAAATTTCTCAAAGTGCAGTGGCACGATCTCAGCTGACTGCAACCTCTGCCTCCCAGGTTCAAGTGATTGTCCTGCCTCAGCCTCTCCAGTAGCTGGGATTACAGGCGCCTGCCACCACGCCCAGCTAATTTTTTGTATTTTTAGTAGAGATGGGGTTTCACCATGTTAGCCAGGATGGTCTCGATCTCCTGACCTCGTGATCTGCCCACCTTGGGCTCCCAAAGCGCCGGGATTACAGGCATGAGCCACGGCGCCCGGCAATTTCTCAAAGTGTTTAACATGAAATATTGACAGAAGAAAATCTACGTGGGATTATTACAATAATACACATTCCTGGGCTCTTTACCTGACCAACGGATTAATAATACATGGGAATGGATCTTGAGCATAAGCAGTTTTACCAGTTGACTTGGTGATTCTTAGTATGCTAAAATTTGAAAAATCTTCATCTACCTTATATTGATAAAGGGATCTGAATACAAAGTCCCTTCCCAGAGCGACAATGTTAGGAAACAGCAAAGTCAATATACACATCTAGGTTTTATGTAATTCCCATGCTTTCTCTTCTGTTACTCAGTCTCAGGTATGACCAACAGGAATCAAAATGCATAATCTTTCTTATCTATTTACTGAGAGACTGCATGGGGTCCTATCAGCTGTCAGGGTGGTGAGGTTGCTGATAATTATAGAATCCTGAAATTGAAAGAGATGCTAACATGATCAGTCTGTCCTCCACACAAATGCCTCAATTCCTGACTATATTCCAGAATGGCTGTTTTTCATTATTCTATTATATATTATAGTACTTCCGCCAACTGCTAATTCTAGTTTCAGATACTTTTCATTAAGAGTTCATTTTTATATTTGACTAAAATATTATTCTTCCTATAGCTGTTTCTACTAGCTGCATCTGGTTCTGCTGTGTAAAGTAGCACTGAATAAGGCTACTCACTATAAATACATTACAAATACAATTACAGTATTTAAGGTTGCTTTGCTCATATTTTAAGTTTTTTCATTTGATAAATTAATTAAAGTATATAATTCAAAATACTTATTGAGGTTTTTTGTGAGAGGCATAGCTTTCATAAGGGAATGGAAAGTAGTAATTATTGAGAGCTTGCTGTGCTAGTCATATGCTAACTGTTAAGCTGGGCTATCTCACTGGATCCTTTGGATGAGTTATATTAAGCAACAGATATTTATCTCTCTTTTTCAGAGGAGAAAAAACAGTCTTAAAAGGGTTAAATATTCATGATTACACAGCTGGAAACTGGTTGAAACATAAATTAACACAAACCTTCAATTCTAACTTTTTTCTTCAGCCTTCTATCTCAAGCATTAGAAAACACTTTCCATTCGTCATTGTTGAACCTCAGAGTGTTATTTCTAAAATGAGGCAGAATTTATCGGTCTAGACTGATAAGCGAAATTAGATAAGAGATGTGTCTCCTTTATTCTGGATGTAGCATCGTAACTGCTTAAAATCAACACTGCAACTACCTATAGGTGGTGTGCAAATCTCATCACAGTTTTAACTCAGAGCTCACAGTCAGTTAAAACTCCTCAATCTGATAGATCAATATACAAAAATTACTTGCATTTATATATATAGCAATTAACAATCTGGAAATGCAATTAAAATACTACATTTGCAATACTATGAAAAAGAGAAAAGTACTTAAGAAAAATAAAGACAAAAGAAATGCAAGACTTGTACCCTGAAAAACTATCAAACATTGCTGAAAGAAATTTTAAAAGATTAAAGTAGGCCAGGCACAGTGGCTTACGCCTGTAATCCCAGCACTTTGGGAGGCTAAGGCGGGTGGATCACAAGGTCAAGAGATCGAGACCATCCTGGCCAGCATGGTGAAAGCCCGTCTCTACTAAAAATACAAAAATTAGCTGGTCATGGTGGCAGGCACCTGTAGTCCCAGCTACTCAGGAGGCTGAGGCAGGAGAATCGCTTGAACCCAGGAGGCAGAGGTTGCAGTGAGCCGAGATCGCGCCAGGGCACTCCAGCCTGGTGACACAGCGAGACTCCGCCTCGAAAAAAAAAAAAAAAAAGAAAAGAAAAAAAGATTTAAGAAAATGGAGAGACATTCCATGTTTATGGATTGAAAAAAAAACAGTATTATTAAGACAATGTTTTGGTCTTATTATTTGCAAAGAAATGTAAGGGACTCAGAATAGCCAATACAATCTTGAAAAGGAACAACAAAGTCACAGTACTTTAAATTGTAGACTTCAAAACTGATTGTAAAGCTACAGTAACCAAGGATACCTGTATAAAAACATCTCATGTTTTTATCTCATCCCATAAATATATACACCTACTATGGTAACCACTAAAATTAAAAATAAAAATCAAAACAAGAAAATACGGTATTAGCATAAGGATAAATCAATTAAAAAATTGAAAGATGAGAAATGAACTCATGTTTGTGTCAGTTATTTTTTGACAAAGATACTAAAGAAGTTCAATTAAAAAAAGATATTCTTTAAAAATGTGTTATAAAGACTAGGACAACTGAATAACAACATGCAAATAATAAATGCAAAACCTTACCTAACACCATCCACAGACACACACAAAAAATTGAAGAATATTGATCTAAATGTAAGAAATAAAAGCACACACGTTATATGAGAAACCATAAGAAAAAAAATCAGTGTGCTTAAACAGGTGAATAATTCTTTAGATATATCAAAAGCATGAAGAATAAAATGATGAGTTGAACTTTATTGAAAATAAAAGCTTGTGTGTTTCAGAAGACACAAATTAGGACTTCAGGTTCTGCTCTGACACATAAAGGTCTTGGAAGTCTCCACTTCCACCTTCACAACAAGCAAAAAGCTGAACAGACTGATAATCAATAATTTTTCTTAGATGTATCAAAGAATTAATGTTACAGAAAAACTACCACCCCAAAAACTGGTGAGACCGTGAATACAGAGAACACAGACAAGCTACCTAAGTGAAAGCTGCTGGAGCCAGTAGTTGATGGGAATATTTATGTAATATCTTTAATAAATTTCTGGAGGCCGAATATGGACTAGCATGAAATACAAAAACTCCAAGAGGCTTAGTTTAAGGTAAGGTGAGCCCTCATTACTGAGAATTTTACCTTTCTGAGAACCATGAGGTTTTAATGGTGAAGATGGGAGAATAGAGAAGCACCACTCATGTTTGTTCAAAGGGGGAAAGAATGTACCAATTTTTCAATATAAGCATAAACTTATCATCAAACCCAGCAATTCTACATCTTGGTGCCTACTCAACAGAGATTAAAACATTGCCATACAAAGTGGTTTATGCAAACGTTCATAGCATCATTTTTTCATAATAGCTACAAATTAAAAATAATCCAAAAGACAGCAATTGGTGAATGGATAAAGAAATGTGGTACACCACACAATAAAATGGTTTTCAGCAATAAAAAGGTACAAACAAATACAAAAAGAAACCATGTTTTTGGTTGCCTGAGGCTTAGTGTGGGGATGAGGACTCATTGTATTAAAAAAAAAAAAAAAAAGGCATGTGGGATCATATTAGGGAGATGAAAATGTTCTGAAACTGGATTACAGTCCTGGACTCAGCAAATGGGATGAATGATTGAAACATACACTTATATGGGTGAATTTTTATGGTATGTAAGTTATATCTCAATAAAGCTTTTTTAAAATTATATATTTCAAAAATAATTAGCTTCATTGTGCCTTTCACCCATTCTAATTATTAACAGAGTACCAATCTCTTCTGTTCAGAAGTAAATAGAAAAAAGTTAACCAAAAATATCTCCTACTCTAGTTTTCTTTCTTGATAATGATGATGTAATTATTTAAGCCAATAAAACATACATTTGGGGCTCATGTTACACTTCATCTTTATACCTACATCTTCATTTGATCACAGAATCCTGGGGCTCTCTCTTTGAAACAGACTTTTCATTGTTTGTTCCCAATTGTTTCTGTGATTGCCTAGATTCAGGTTCCTATTTACTCTCTCTTTAATTATTTTTAAAATTTGCTGATTCAGTGGTTTTTGGATTTCTGAATTCATTACAACTGAAAATCAAGTTAAAACAAGAAATAGGAATAAAGTTACTATCAATTTTATTAAGGACATTAAAAACAAAGTAAAACTACATTATATCCTACTTTTTGTCCTTGTTAAAAACTAAATAGCATTCATTCAATATCTGATTAAAGGAAAGTCATATAAAGGCATAGGTTAAGATCCTAAAACACACCCCAAAATAGACAAAATATAAAGGTAGAAATGTGATAAAGAATTTTATTTTGTGATTTAAAAAAATGAAATTAAGTTCTGCCTTCTTATTCAGTTTGGACACTCAATAAAGCAACCCAAATTGCAGCTTAAGTCTCTAGACTGGTAGTCAGTATTTTGATACTGCTACATTAAAATGGAAGCAATACATTTCACAATATTTAATGCAAATCAGAATATTATGGCTAAATTTATACAAGGCAAAAAACAGTCTCTCTAGTTTTATTTATTAAAAATTTCCAGATGAATTGCTCAGAATCTGACTTTCTAAAAGCTCCCCAGAGGGTTCTTATGAATGGGAAATCTATTATTAGTGAAAAATGACCTACATATTTGAATCATCTGGATGAATCAAAAAATTAACACAACTAATGTCTAGACCTTACCTACTGAGGTGCTGAGGTAATTTTTCTGCAATGGGTTGTGGGCATCAGTATTTTGTAAGTACTCTTCGGTTGACACTATTCTGGAGACAGAGCTAAGAAGTACTGGTCTAGAACTTGAAAACTGATGTTCATGCATGTCCCACTAATTCCGATTACTCACACCTGGTTTATGTCACTCATTGTATTACTTTCTTCATTATTATCTATAATTGAATCTGCAGGCTCTGAATACTGAGCACTCTATGTACTAAAAGGTGTAGCTTCTTAGGAGTAGAGACTCCAATACAAAAGTCTAGAGGACAGAAGTCAGGTTAGTGAAATAACATTTATATTTGTTCTGGTGGAGGCAGCTTTTTGAAGAGCCCCAGGTCCAGACTGAGACCAGAAACAGATAGTATCTGCTTCTGGAACTCACTGAGGACAGAAGAGTTATCCCTGACAAAGGAGAACAACACAAGTAGAAGAGAGAAACAAATAACATATGAACAAATCAATTTATGATTTGAAGGAGGCTTCAATAAGAAAAGTAGACCAGAATGTTGCTTTGAGGAATCCTAGCAAACCACACATAAATTTTCTATTT
Organism: Homo sapiens; assembly: GCF_000001405.40. Taxonomy (NCBI): domain Eukaryota; kingdom Metazoa; phylum Chordata; class Mammalia; order Primates; family Hominidae; genus Homo; species Homo sapiens. Next base: position 25,051,818 of record NC_000011.10, on the reverse strand, counting down.
TGCCTCCAATGAGAACATGTTTTTATGTAGTTTCAAAAATATATATCAAGAAATAAAAACACCATCCTTAGAATTAACACCATGGCCTTATCACTCGATTGAATACAAACATTTGAAAACCTGAACTAGCTCCCTTGTTCAAATTAAATTTCTTAGCTTGGGAATCCAGGGCCCCTCATTCTCTAGTCTTCAATGATTGCTGTAAGCACATATCCCGCCATTTTGTGTACTGTTTTTTAGCCATACTGCTGTGATATTTTCCTGCCTCTGCAAATTTGCTCACTGTCAAAGACCTACCCGTGCTTCAAACTATAGTAAAAATCTTCCTTCCTGCCCAAAGTCTTTTTGACTCTCTCCTCCTTTGGAAGTAAATTTCAAGCATTTTATTTATACTTCTTATTAACATTATGCTTTAAATTGTATAGTTTGGATACATGTTTAAATAAACAAAGAGTTGAAGGCAAAACTGTTGAGTAATTCATTTTTCTTTTTTATTTTTTTTGAGACGGAGTCTCGCTCTGTCGCCCAGGCAGGAGTGCAGCGGCGCCATCTCGGCTCACTGCAAGCTCCATCTCCCGGGTTCACGCCATTCTCCTGCCTCAGCCTCCCGAGTAGTTGGGAGAGTAATTCATTTTTCTAAATCCACTTTGGCAGCCAGAAGAGAAAAAAGAGAACACTTGTTTAACTTACTTTTCTATTCCTCCTTATCATCATTATATATTTTTAGCTGCAGCCTGATTTCTTTCAAGCATAGTTTCATCAGACACTTTTCAAGTTGGATTAAAGCCTAATTTTGAACACAATTGTTGTCATTTGCTGTTCTCAAATCTAAATGTAATAGATCCATTAGCTCAATTTTGCCAAAGTTCAAAAAAATAAAATTCCATTGCACTTTTAAAGAGTGAAAAGACTCATTGAACAAATTCCATATTTCCTATCATTTGAAGGAAATGAATCTCCCTTCCTCTACAATGATGTCTCTGTATGCTGAGTGTATTTGCTTTACATGGAGAAGTACATCCTATAAGGTTTTTTGTTGGCTTTTGTTTTTTACATTTTAACAGCTTTCTTTCATGTAGCTGTGGGAATGAGCACCTTGCTTAGCCTGTGGTCCTCCACTTACCTCTCTAAAAACTCATATTCACAGTTGTCCTAAGAATCTAGTTGCAATGCTTAATGGAACACTTACCTGATTCATAACAAAAGAACATTTACGGCCAGGCTCAGTGGCTCATGCCTGTAATCCCAGCCCTTTGGGAGGCCGAGGTGGGCGGATCACGAGGTCAGGCGATCAAGACCAGCCTGGTTAACACGGTGAAACCCCGTCTCTACCAAAAATACAAAAAATTAGCCGAGCGCGGTGGCGGGCGCCTGTAGTCCCAGCTACTCGGGAGGCTGAGGCAGGAGAATGGCGTGAACCCGGGAGGCGGCGGAGCTTGCAGTGAGCCGAGATTGTGCCACTGCACTCCAGCCTGGGCGACAGACCAAGACTCCGTCTCAAAAAAAAAAAAAAAAAAAAAAAAAAAAGAACATAAAGAACATTTACTTTCTTATATTTAAAAGTACAATCCTTAGATAGTAGATATTACATATAAATAGTTTCATGGTGGCATGAATTAGAATTGCTAAAATGCTTGTGCTTTTTTCTCCTGTCTAATACTGTAAAAAGCATCTTAAGTTTTTCTTACATCTTGAGAGTCACAGGCAGTGGTACTTGGATTTCCTTCCTTTGTTGACTCAACTTGAGAGCTCTCATTGTTTCCAGAAGCACTTTGTTGAGGCTTAAAAGAGACGAAGAGAGATAGAAAGAAAGAAATCACTAAATACAAGAGAAATAGTTTGAACAAATAGATCCAAATCGTTTTATTGTAACACATGATATAATATTATAGCAACATTACAATCAAAATAAAACAAGAAAATGGAAATTTGTATATATCAGAGACCATAAAATATACCTTGAAAAATTCTTAACTTTGAAATTAAATAAATAAATTATATTTAATTTTGCATTAGTGATGTCCATTGGGATTATTTTCTTACTGAAAATATTTATTTCTTCCATGGTAAGATTTTATTTTAAGGATTCTAGTCCCCCACAAAGTATATATCCTGTCCTTTCTTTTTATTTTAACCCCCAGTATATAGAGAAATAATATGTGAATAAGAAAATAACTGATTTTCTCGATAGAAAGAAAATGATTCGTAACACTTCATAATATACATAGTGGATTATATTAACTCCAATATGTATACTAACTAATCAAACTCTGCTTTATATTTCCAGAAACCCTAAATATTATTCTAGAATTCATCTCTCTAGAAACACAATTGAAAATAAAAGAAGAGAATAAAGAAAAGAAAAGAAAAGAAAAAGCTGTTTCCTAGTTCTGGTCAGAGAAGGGTATGCCCTAATTGTTGTATAGAAATACCGCTATAGGTAGGTTTAAGATTATCCATTCAAATGTGTATGTGTTTCTTGGGAAGAGCTAATTTGAATATTGGTGTTTCACTCAGCTCCTCAATCCCTGAGGGTACTGTTTTAGGGCACACAAAATAAACTAGTAAATGCTAATTTGCCTGAGTCTGAGACTTTGATCACACTGCTTCACAGGAGAGGAAGAAATTAGGTTTCTATCCATTAGGGGTCGAGGAAAACTAAGACAGGGTCTGGAGAGAGTAGTCAAATCTCACCCAGGTATTTTTACCTGCGCTACTTTCTACACAGCATTCTCCTGGTTTTTCACAGGCAAGTACGTTCTTTAGCAGGAGAACATTTTTACAAAAACAATATCTTTATAAAACTAAACTCCAAGAATAGTTAATAAAGCTGATAGAATATTAAATGTAAAAAAGAACATGAATAAAGCAACTAGAATATTAGAAAAACAATAGAAAATAAAGTAACTGAGTTCACTAAAACTGATCCTATATAAAGTCACCCAAATGCTGGGCTCTGGGTATAATAATAAATAAATAAATTAATTAATTAAATAAATAAATAAAAAGTAAATACATTCTTCTTAATTTATACCTAAAGAAATTTAACTTCACTGGGTGAAATCCAGAAGGCATTTATTGTTTTCCACCTCCCATACTCTCTTTTTCTTTCCTGTCTTTCTTTTGTTTAGGAATCCTACGTCTGACCTCCCCTCTAATTTCTCTAGGATTAAAAAATAATTAAACAGGAAAACAAAAGTTATTCTTTCTAATCCTATTAAATTTATTCAATAAATTTGCAGTTGCCCTTTAAATCAAGCCAATGAACAAGCCAGTGTTCTGTTTTAGATGCCTTTGGTAAATACAAAGATGACAAAGGTAGCATTTGGGTCTTCATAGAGTTCACCTAATCTGATTGTTATTCACATAAGTAACTCTAATATAAAGCTTATTAAGTGCAGGGAGGCAGAACAGACTTGTGTATATTTTAAAAGAATCATGGTCAATTCCATTTGGGGTAATAAGAAAAGTTCTAGTGAAGAGGGTTATTTTTGAAGTGGGTTGCTGAATAACTATGGCAAGAATGAGGGAGGCCATCCAGGTGAAGGAAAACATTTAAGCAAAGAAACGGAAGAATGAGACTTAGTTGTTGGCTTGTTGGTCTATAGGGTAGAAGGAGCAATAAGCATGATTTAAAATACTAAAAAGTAGAGAGGAGATCCCAAAATTGAGCTACAAATTTTATACTTAATTCAGCAGCCAAAGGGGGGCTGGGTGCAGTGCCTCAGGCCTGTATTTCCAGCACATTGGGAGACAGAGGCTGGAGGATCTCTTGAGGTCAGGAGTGCAAGACCAGCCTGGATAACATCATGTGTCTCCTGTCGCTACAATTTTTTTTTTAATGTGGTAGTTTACACCTATAATCCTAGCTAATGAGGAGGCTGAGGCTGGAAGATGGCTTGAGTCCAGAAATTCTAGGCTGCAGTGAGCTGTGATTGTATCACTGCACTCTTACCCGGCATAGGGTCTAACTTAAACAAAAATACCCAAAGCAGGGGTCCCTTGGATATTTCAAATCAGAGGTATGATATGGCTAGAGCCCCTGTCAGCATGATATGGCAACAGTACATAGGCAAAAATGAAACAGAAGAAAATGAGAGTGGGAAACTAATACAGAAGCAATTAAAATGACCAGGTATATGGCAACAACAGCTGAACTGAGATGTCAAATCCTGGTGATGGAAGAGATTGAATAGTAATTGTATGTTCTGAACAAGGGTTAGAATCTATGCCATTTGAAGAATTCTATGTAATATAGAATTCTGAAATATAGAAACTGAAGAAAAGGTATGTTTTTAGCAAGAAGGGCAATTTTATATTCCTAATCGAGAGTTTAAAGCACTCGCAACTCCTAATAGGTAAGTATTATTGGATACCAGTGTTAAAAACAATACCATTCTTAGAGTATAATAAAAAAAAAATTAAAAAAAATTAAAAAAAATAAAAAAAAGAAAATTAAAAAGTAAAAAAAAAAAAAATAAAAAAAATAAAAACAATACTATTCTTAACAAGAGTCAAAACAGCTATTTATTCTACCTAAGATCTACTGAACATCCACCACCTGTCTTCCCATAACCACAAACTTGCAGATGCTTTGAGGAAACAGGTTAAAAAGAACAAGAGTAATAAATAAATAGTAATACTGGAAGTCTCCCCTGGCAGTCACAGCCAGAACCACAGCTGCAAAATCATGAAGAATGGATTGAATCACACTAACAGGCAAGGGACAATTTCAATGTATTTTGTTTCTAAACAATCAGATGACAGAATAAATAGTCCCAAAATTTCCTTGCAAATTTCTTTTCACATATAGTGGCATTAAAGGAAATTAAAAAATAAAACACATCCATTATTCTAGAAAATCTACTTTTATTTCTGTTACCCTCCCAGTCTTTGTTAATATCCACATAAATTAATATCTTACACAGTCACAATTATTGTCTCCATGCCATTTTTATTCTGCTTTTACATATAACATGAAATGATGCTATATATGGTTTGTATCTATACTTTACAGGTCTAAAAAATTATAAGATTTTAAAAAATGTATATTATAGTTGATGATTTTTTAAATTTTCAATTTTGAGTTTTATAGATAATATTTTGGTGAACATTAACCTTCTTGGTACCAGTCTGCATAACTCATATCATTCTAATCACCGATCCAAACATCAGGCTATTATAGGCTTGGGGCTCCTTAAAGGAAGATAGTGTGTGTTATTCATTGTTTCATCTTGGAAGCTAGTACATATTTTTCATTCACAATTTTTTGTTTCCTTCTCTTTCCTTTTCATCATTTATTTATGATTTTTTTAGGATTAAGAGAAGGTAAAATTAGGGTCAGTACTGAAGCAAGGGTAGTGGACATGTTTATTGCTGGAGAAATCTTTCTAAAATGTAGCAATTTAAATTGTATTTCCCAATATGAATAAACAAATATTTATTATGCATCCGCTCTACAACAGTATTATGTTTAGAACTGAATCAAATATTTGAAACAGATCTGTATCTCAAAGAGCTCCCATTTGCTCCTCAGTAGCTGCTCATCTTTCCTTCTACCTTCCTAATAATCATTGACTCATTTTTTTTTTTGGAGGATTACTTTTCTCTCATGGTATGGTATATCCCAAGCATTGTTTTGTGCATTTAATTTCCTGACCAATTCAAGATATGGGCACATACATAATCCAAGTTAGGTCATTAGAAGCCTTGGAACTTAGCTGACCAGATTCAAGACAGGCTACCAATGGTTAGATATGTTAATTTCAGCAGTGTGTCTTGTACGAGTTGTTTCTACAATAAAACCATTTTTGTGATTCATGTGTCCCAATCTAATGAAGCAAAGTTTATTTCTGCCTGTGCCCAGGCTTGTTTCTCCCATCTTCTTGCTAATACTATGAGTTATAATGGTCAACCAAGAAATCTCCTTTACTAAAATTGGTAAAGATCAGTATTTTTTGCATGTAACCACAGAGGCCTGGATGATACAGGGAATCAAGTCAATAAAGTGAAACTGACAAACAAGTTCTGAGATAGTGTTTTACCATAAAAATTACCAGAAGGAAAACATCAACCAGTTATGAAAGCTCAAAAGAGTAATAACAGGCTCAGCAATGATGGAAATTTGATTTTAGCATAGATATTCAGTAAATTCCTAAAAATAAAACTATGTAGCAGATGGATCCTTTTCATGCTCACTTAATTATGTTTTCTCATGCAAATATTGTGCATTTATTAAAATGTGCCCAGATTTTGAAAGTAAGGCTGAGGCAAAGAATATACTGAAAATAAATTAATTATCATCTATCCATAATTTATTCTTATGGGACTTTGACATTTTAGATGGAAGATAAAAGGGGCTTCATTCACTATTAAGTTCACACAGAGCAAGGAGAAAAGAATGACGGTGTAACTTTCTTTTTTTTTTTTTTCAGTTATTCTTTACGTCCTATTCTGTGAATTAATGAAAGGCTGTCCTTGTGCTCATCTATCAGAAAACTGGGTTGTCTGGTTTACTACTGTTTTTGTACCAATACTGATGCTATTCCACTTAATTTTGCTTTAAATCATGTATATACATTAATTACTTTCATTTTTTTTCTTTTATTATTATTCTACTTTAAGTTTTAGGGCACATGTGCACAACGTGCAGGTTTGTTACATATGTATACATGTGCCATGTTGGTGTGCTGCACCCATTAACTCGTCATTTAGCATTAGGTATATCTCCTAATGCTACCCCTCCCCTCCCCCCACCGCACAACAGTCCCCAGAGTGTGATGTTCCCCTTCCTGTGTCCATGTGTTCTCATTGTTCAATTCCCACCTATGAGTGAGAACATGTGGTGTTTGGTTTTTTGTCCTTGCGATACTTTGCTGAGAATGATGGTTTCCAGTTTCATCCATTTCCCTACAAAGGACATGATCTTATCATTTTTCATGGCTGCATAGTATTCCGTGGTGTATATGTGCCACATTTTCTTAATCCAGTCTATCCTTGTTGGACATTTAGGTTGGTTCCAAGTCTTTGCTATTGTGAATAGTGCCGCAATAAACATACGTGCGCATGTGTCTTTACAGCAGCATGTTTTATAATCCTTTGGTATATACCCAGTAATGGGATGGCTGGGTCAAATGCTATTTCTAGTTCTAGATCCCTGAGGAATCGCCACACTGACTTCCACAATGGTTGAACTAGTTTACAGTCCCACCATTAATTACTTTTAACAATAGGAAGAAAATATGCATTTCTTCATGAGTGTGAGCACAAAAGTATAAAAGTTAATTTTTTAAATACAAACACATAATATTTAATTAATGAACTGCTTGCTTTCAAAAACAATAAATGTCATCCTTCATACATGCCTTTGCCATCAGTGAGATGGCTCCTTGTGGAAAGAAGCCTTATTGAAACTGATTAATTAACACCAGAATGATAACTGAATTTAGGGAAAGATGATGTATATTGGAGTGAAAGGAATATGGATTTCAATTCTGGATCAGTATTTAAATAAAATGGGCATCAGACTATATATATATATATATATATATATATATATATACACACACACACACACACACACATACACATACACACACATATATATATACACATACATATATGCATATATATGTGTGTGTGTATATATAGAGACACTATATCTATAGTATATATACAGCCTCAGACTACATATGTATCTGATATATATAGTCTATATATATCAGATATATATATAGTCTTATCAGATATATATAGACTCTATATATATCAGATATATATATAGACTCTATATATATCAGATATATATAGACTATATATCAGATATATGTAGACTATATATATCAGATATATATGGACTATATATATATCAGATATATGTAGAGGACTATATATATATCAGATATATGTAGAGTACATATATATATAGTCTGAGACCCATTTTATAAAAATGAACAATGAAATGACAACAACAAAAGCAAAAAGCACACTGCAATTTATGTACTTTTTACATAATGTGACAGATATATATATACACACACTATATATATTATATATATACCACACTATGTATATTATATATAGTCTGATAAATATTATATATGTATATATTGTCTGATATATATGATATATATACATCAAGGATTATGAAATATAATCAAGAGCTAGGAAAATGAGTCTCTAGTACATTATAAATTACTAGAAGATGGAGTAATTTAATCAAGGATATATATATATCATATATCCTGGATACATATATCCTTGCAGAGCTTCTTTTTTTTGCAGCTCTGTCACATGATGTAAAAAGTACCTAAATCGCAGTGTGCTTTTTGCTTTCGTTGTTGTTGTCATTTGTTTGTTTGTTTTTAGGAAGGGAGAAATTGAATATGAAGTAGCGTCTGGCATCTGTTACACAGCTATCGCTTGAAGATGTATGATTTACTTGATTCTTACTCTAGGGAGGTGTGGATTAAAAAAAGATTGACCACTGTACTGGGCTAAATGGTAGAATGTGGAGGTCCCCAAAAGATATGTCAATGTTCTACTTTATATGACAAAGGATTTGATGATATTAAGGCTATTCAGATGAGTAGATTACCCTGTGTATTAGTCAGCTTGGTCTACAACAGAAAAATCAGAGTGAGTGGCTTAAAACAACAGAAATCTATTTTCTCCCAGTTCTGAAAGCTAGAAATCGCAAATCGAGGTCCAGCAGGATCAGTTTCTTATGAAGACTCTCCTCCGAGCTTGCAGATGGCCATCTTAGAACTATTCCCACAGCACAAAGGAAACAAGTTCTCTGGTTTACTTTCTTACAATAACACTAATTCTACCAGATCATGCTCCCACCATTATGACTTCATTTAACATTAATTACTTTCACAAAGGCCCTATACCGTGGTGGTTATAGCTTCAACATATTACTTTTGGGAGAACAGATTTCACTCCATAGGATCCTGGATTATTATGTTAGCCCTAAATGCTATCACAAGTGTCTTTATAAGATAGAAGAAGAGGGAGATTTCACACAGAAACATGGAATAGAAGGCAAGGTGGTAATGGGGGCAGATATAGACAGCCACAAGCCCAGGTATCCCCAGACAACTACCAGAAGCTGTGAGAGGCATAGAATGGATTCTCCCCTAGAAACCCTAGAGGAAGTATAGTCCTGGCAGATTTCAGATTTCTAGCCTTTAGATTTGTGAGAGAAAATATTTATGTTGTTTTAAGTCAGCAAGTTTGTGGTATTTGTTACAACAGCAATAGGAAACAAAAACAACCACTTCTTCCAGTAATTTATAATGTACTAGAGACTCATTTTCCTAGCTCTTGATTATATTTCATATTCCTATGCAAGGCAAAATAATTTAATATTCCCTCATCAAAGTATCCAAAGTTTCTCTTAGCTTTTCTGATAAAAAGTTTGAAGCCTACATCTTTTAAATGGTACTCAAAATTCATGTTAAACGTTATGAAAACTTCAATTAAATTAACTGTTTTGTAAATGGATGGAATAAAAATTCCCAAGAGGATAATTATAAAATCAAGAATTCCAGAATAAATGAAATATATTAGTCTTTTTCTTGTGCCATTAAAAAAAATAGCATGCATATTACATAAGTGGTCTTTTTTCTAATTTAACTTGATTTTTTCCATAGTCTGTGCATATTTTTAATATATAACATGAGGAAATTTTAACAAATTGATATATGAAGTTTTTTCCTTGCAGTGCAAATATACTGAAGTGGTGGTCCCCAACCACTTGGCACCAGGGACTGGTTTTGTGGAAGACAATTTTTCCATGAATGGGGAGACGATGATTTCAGGATGAAACTGTTCCACCTCATATCATCAGACATTAGATTTTCATAAAGAGCACATAACCCAGATCCCTCGCACACGCAGTTCACAATAGGGGTTCCCCTCCTATGAGAATCTAATGCTGCCACTGATCTGACAGGAGGCAGAGCTCAGGTGGTAATGCTTGCTCACCTGCTTCTCACCTCTTGCTGTGTGGCCGGCTTCCTAACAGGCCACGGAAGAGTACTGGTCCATGGCTGGGGACCCCTGCGCTGAAGAATACTCAAGGAGAGTAAAAGTGGCTGACATAGAAAAATCCCTTTGATCCTCGACCCACAAGGGTCTTCAAAGTGATAATAAATTGTGTGTGTGTGTGTATAAAATAATACATATTACATATATAAGATACATATCACTTTATATACGTATATAATCAATTCATATATTTCAGCTGATTGGTAAGCACTTTAAATGCAACATTTTATTTAATTGTCTTAAAACAGAATGAGATGGATTTTATTTCTGACCAAGATGAAGTAACAATAATCACATTTACAGTAATACCCCTTATATATGGTTTCACTTTCTATGATTTCATTTACCTGAGGTCAACCAAGGTTTGAAAATATTAAGATATTTTGAGAGAGAGAGAGTAAGAAAGAGAAAGACCACATTCACTTAGCTTTTATTATAGTATATTGTTTTAATTGTTCTATTTTATTATTAATTATTGTTGTTAATATCTTACTGTGCCTAATTTATAAGTTAAACTTTATCATAAGTATGTATAGAAAAAATACAGCGTATAGAGGATTCAATACTATCCAGTTTCAGGCATCCAGTCAAGGTCTTGGAAAATATCCCCTGCAGATAAGGAAAGCTACTGTTCTGTGCCACTTGAAACCATGAAAAAAATGAACAAAATATAAACAATGGTATTAAGAAAACTGACAACAGGTAATGAGGGACAGTGGTTCCAGAGAGAAAGGACACAAATGAAGGGCACATAGCCTGTAGCCACTAGATGCCAGAATGAGGGCAGTCAAGAGCTAAAACAGTGAGAAATGATGGGTACCAAAGATCAATTTTGGTAGCGATACAATTCTTCCAAAGTCCACACATGCAGTGGACTCTCCAGGAATCAAACCAGGGGCTATAGTAAGGATCATGCAGATGAATGAAATGATTGGAATAGTCATTTTGTTTAACTGACTTCATTTAATTTCCTAGAGTCCTGACAAAAATGAGATCATCAACTTCTTTAAAGGCAAAGACAATGCCCCTTTCATCTCTACAACTCATCACATTGAGCATTAAGGCTGACAAAAAGAAGATGCTTAAAACATCACAGAACTCTTGGGATATTGCAACTGAAATCTATGAGACAGATATTATTAGCTCCATATTCTGGGTGAAAAAACAGACTGAGAGGTCCACTGAGTTAGGAGAATCAAATAGCGTTTGGATTATACAGCTAATTATTTAACCCATGCTGTCAGATTCCAATCTATTTGTTCTTTGACTTCCACCTTAATAGGTATTGTGATTTTCTACTTGTGTGAAAGTGGTTGACAGAATTTGTTACTGTTCACCTTGAGTTCCCTCTTGAAATCAGATTTATGTAATGATTTCCCCAGGGGTATTCTGTGCTATTGGCAAAAAAAAAAAAAAAAAAAATCGGAAAGAAAGAAAAGTGGCTCTCTACAGAGAACTATGCATATACAGTATAGTTTGCTAACATATACTTTAATTTTATTAAAGCTTGCTTTATGGCCAAGCAAGTCATTGCTTTGAGAAAATAAAACACACATTTAATGGGCATGAAAATCAAGTTCTGTTTGGAGCATGCAAATGCTCATATGCATTTATTGAATTAAGTTTGCCAAATATATTATTTTATTCTTCTATGATTTACTAATTTTGGTCTTCTAGAAATTTCTGTTGGTTTTATATATTTATAGGTTGTTAATAGATAAAATAAAGTCATATAGAGGGGGTGTGAGGGTGGTCCACCCATGATCCTCCCAAAATCATGCCTTCTTTGACTTTAATTCATGCATATAAAACGAGAAAAAGTGTGATCAGAGAAAGTGTCTGTAGTGATATCTAAAAACAATTTTTCAAAAAAGATGACCTACAGAGTTTGAAAAAAAATTTTAAAGGACAATACTTGTCCTTGCTCTACCTGCCTCTCTCTTCTCAGGGAATAGAGATTTGCTGCAATAAAAAATTTTAAAAATTACAAAATAAAAAAATAATCTGTTCCAACTCTGAATGGTGCTTGAGGAAGATACGAGTGAAGGGACTGGGGGACTACTCATCTCACTTTGGACCTCTAGGATCTTAGTTGCAGGAGTCTCCATACCCCCATGGACATGTGAGCTGGCAGGGGGATCTCCCCAGGTATTAGACAGAGATGGAGCTGCAGCACACATGGATTTGGGTACCTTTGAGTATGGGTCAGCTCCGGCAGAGTTGGGCCATAAGCGCCCTCCCACCAGAGCTCCTATCTCCCTCTAAGAGGCTTTAGCCCCAGCTAACTGCCATGGATAAAACACTGCCTGATTCCCTGCAGGACTGGGGCCCATCAGTCCTACAGGCCTACCTGCCTACCAGTACCACCTAGGGCCTATGCCTGGCTACCCCACAGGTGCATGTACACAGTGTAGCCTCAAGTGCACAGCCTGGGTCCTTTGCTCCACCTGAGTGCATTTTGGCAGCCTGAAAGCCTTTTGCATCCCCCAGTGTACCCAAAACCCAACCCCAAGGATCCACAGAAGGGAGCTGCAAACAGGTCCTAGAATCCCAGGGCTGTGGCCACTAGTTCAGGTCCAATCCCCAAGGGAGCCCCAACACCTGAAAGATCTAACAACAACAATAACAAAAATTGCAAGTACATTTCCAGTGACCAGAGGTATCTTTCTCAAACCCCAAGACCAAGGAGCGGACCTGGTGAGGGGGGTTACCTCTCTCCTATTTACACCACAGAAAACAGCTGTGAATGTGAGGATATGCAAAGATGCTGTGCGGCTAAGAGCTTATCAACCACCCATTGCTCTCAAGTATCCTCTATTGGATTACAGTCCAAATATAGCACCAAAAATCACTTTACTAATTCTACCCCCTGCAAAACCAAGAGCAAGAATTCAGCAACGAAGACTTTGTACAGAGCCTTAGCTCTATGAAAGCTTCCAGAAATAAAGCCAACTGACTATATTCGATTTACACCACAGTTAAAGAAATGCTAGCCCTTCCAGATGAGAAATAGTCAGTGCAAGAACTCTGGAAATTCAAAAAGCCAGTGTCCCCTTACCTACAAATGAGCTCACTAGCTCCACAGCAATGGTTCTTAATCAGTCTGAATTGTCTGAAATGATAGACTGGAATTCAGAATCTGGATGGCAAGGAAGTTCAATGAGATCCAGGAGAAAGTCGAAACTCAGTTCAAGAAAGCCAACCAATTCAGTACAAAGATTTAAGAATAGAAAGATGTAACTGCCATTTTTAGAAAGACCCAAACTGAGCTTCTTGAGCTGAAAGAAAATTGTGCAATTTTGTGATATGTGTGATTTTGACTCTTTCATCCTGTTGTTGCTGGTTGTTATGTAGACTTGATTTCATAGTTGTTTTACAGTGCCTATGGGCCATGAGCTTAAGGATATTTTTGTGGTAGCAGGTATGCCTGGTACAGGAATTTCATAATACAACTGTAAGTATTAACAGTAGAATAGACCAAGCTGAGGAAAGAATCTCAAAGCTCTACTAATGGTTCTTCAAATAAATTATGTCAGACAGAAAAATTTTTTAAAGAATTTAAAAAATGGATAATACCTCTGAGAAATATGAGATTATGTAAAGGGACAAAATCTATGACTCATTGGCATTCCTGGGAGAGGAGAGATAAAAAGCCACTTGGACAATATGTTTAATAATATTAATATAAAAATAATAAAATAGAAATCAATACCAAGAATATCTCTCTCAATACGTGAAAATTTCACTAATTTTGCTAGGGAGGTTGACATACATATCCAAGTAATATAGAGAACCTCAGCCAGAGACCATACAAGTGGACTATCCCCAAGGCATGTAGTTATCAGATTTCACCAAGATGGAGGCAAAAGAAAAAATCTTAAAGGCAGCTAGAGAGAAGGGGCAGGGAACCTACAGAGGAAACTCCATTAGGCTAGCAGCAGACCTCTCAGCAGAAACTTCACAAGCCAGAAGAGACTGGTGGCCTATACTCAGCATTCATGAAGAAAAAAAAAATCCAACAAGAATTTCATATCCTACCAAAATAAGCTTAATAGGTAAAGGAGAAATAAAATCTTTCTCAGAGAAGCATGTGACAGGAAATATGTTTTAACCAGACTGGCCTTATCAGAGGTCTTTAAGGGAGTGCTAAACATAGATTTAAAAAAACTGCACCTGCCACCACAAAAACACACTTAAGCTCACGGCCCCCTGGCACTACAAAGCAACTAACTACACAATCAAATCTACATGACAACCAGCTAACAACACAATGACAGAATCAAAAATCACACATATCAGTATTAACCTTGAATGTAAATGGGCTAAACATTTGATTTAAAAGATACAGAGTGTCAGGTTAGATAAAAAGACAAGACCCAATCATTTGTTGTCTTCAGGAGACCCATTTCACGTGTAACAACACTCACAAGCTCAAAATCAAAGGGTAGAATAAGAGCTACCAAGCGAATGGGAAACAAAAAAGAGCAGAAATAGCTATTCTTATATCACATAAAACAGACTTTAAACCAATTAATAATTAACAAGGACAATTAAGTGCATTACATAATGCTAAAGGATACAATCCAACAAGAAGCCTTAACTATCCTAAATATATGCACACCCAACACTGAAGCACCCAGATTTAGAAAAGAAATACTTCTTGGCCTAAAAAAAGATGTAGACAAAACACAACAATCATGAGAGACTTCAACACTCCATTAACAGAATTAGACAGATCATCGAGGCAGAAAGCTAAAAAAGAGATTCTAGTCTAAAACTTGACGCTTGTCTAATTAGACCTAATAGACATCTACACAATACTCCACTCAACAACCATAGGATATACATCCTCATGTGAATACAGAACATATTCTAAGAGAGACAACATGTTCAATAATAAAGCAAGCCTCGAAATTTTTTTTTAAAAATGAAATTATACCAAGCACACTCCTGGACCCCAGTGCAATAAAATAGAAATCAATACAAAGAATATCTCTCTCAACGCATGAAAATTAAACAATGTACTCCTGATTAACACCTGAGTGAATACTGACATTAGGTCAGGAAAAAAAACATATTTGAAATTAATGAAAATTGGGATACAACTTGCTCAGATCTCTGGGATGCAGACAAAGTAGTGTTGAGGAAAGTTTAATCTTAAGTGCCTCCATCAAGATGTTAGAAGAATCTCAAATTAGCAATCTAACTTTGCACCTAAAGGAATTACAAAAAAAAAGAACAAACTAACCCCAAAGCTAGCAGAATAAAAGAAATAACTAAAACTAGAGAAGAACTGAATGAAATTCAAATGCAACAATCCATATAAGAGATCAATGAAACCGAGTTGGTTCTTCAAAAAAATGAATATGATTGGTAGACCACTAGCTAGACTAACAAAGAAAAAGAAAGAGAAGATTGCAATAAGCACAATCAGAAATGTCAAAGGAGATATTACAACTCATCCCACAGAAATATAAAACATCCTCAAAGACTATGAAAAGCTCTATACACACAAATTAGAAAATATAGAAGAAACTGATATATTTCTAGAAGCATGAAATTTCCCAATAATTTAATCAGAAAGATATTGAAACTCTAAATAAATGAATAGCCAATATCAACTTATAAAATTGAATCAGCAATAAAGAATCTATCAGGCAAAAAAGTCCCAGATCAGAGGTATTCACAGCTGAATTTTAGCAGACATACAAAGAAGAATGGATACCAATCTTACTGAAACTATTCCAAAAAGCTGGGGAGGAGGGCCTCCATCCTAATTCATCCTATGAAGCCAACATCCATCTGATATCAAAATCTGGCAAAGACACAATGACAACAAAAAATGTAGGCCAATATCCCTCATGAACATAGATGTAAAAAGACTCAACAAAATATTAGCAAACTGAGTGCAGCAGCAGATAAAAAAGTAAATATACCATCATCAAGTAGGCTTTACTCCTAGGATGCAAGGCTAGTTCAACATAAGTAAATCAATAAATGTGACTCACCAGTACATTTTTTCCTTCATATTTTAGTATTCTTGACATGAAGATATAAAATTGATGTATATTTTACTGTAATACCCATTCTCCCAGAAATGTCCTTAGATGTTGATAGTTTGATAAGAATAGTGTTTAATCTGTACATTGTTTTGGGCATAATGGTCAATTTTTGATATTGATTCTTCTAAACAATGAGCATGGAAGGTTTTTCAATTTATTTGTGTCATACCTGGTTTTTTTTCATCAGTGTTTTGTAGTTCTTCTTGTAGAGATACTTCACCTCCTTGGTTAGCTGTATTCCTTGGTATTTCATTTTTCTTTCTGGCTTTTGTAAGTAGGATTGTATTCTTGATTTTACTCTCAGCCTGGACATTGTTGATGTGTAGAAATGCTACTGATTTTCGTACATTGATTTTGTATCCTGAAACTGCTGAAGTTGTTTATCAGTTATAAAAGCCTTTTGGAAGTTTTTTTTATGATTTTCTAAGTAAAGAATCATATTATCAGCAAAGAAAAATAGTTTGACATCTTCTCTTTCTATTTGGATATCTTTCATTTCTTCCTCTTGCCCGATTGCTCTGACTGGGGCTTCCAGTACTATGTTGCATATCAGTGGTGAGAATGAGCATCCTTGCGTTGTTCCAGTTTTCAGGGGCAATGGTTCAAGCTTTTTGATTTTCAGTATGATGTTGTTTTGGATTTGTCAAGGATGGCTCTTATTATTTTAAGGTATCTTCCTTTGGTGTCTAAATTGTCAAGGGTTTTTATGACAAAAGAATGTTGGATTTTATCAGAAGCTTTTTCTGTATCTATTGAGATGATCATATGGTTTCTGCTTTTAATTCTGTTTATGTAGTGAGCCCACACAGCCAAAGCAATCCTAACCAAAAAGAACAAGACTGGAGGTAGCACACTACCTGACCTGAAACTATACTATGGAGGCACAGTAGTCAAACAGCTTAGTACTAGCACAAAAACAGACATGTAGACCAATTAAATGGAATAGAAGGCTCAGAAATAAAGTCGGACACCTATAACCATTTCATCTTCGACAAGGCCAACACAAACTTTCAATGGGGGAAGGACTCCCAATTCAATAAATGGAACTGGGATAACTGGCTAACCACACGTAGAAGATTGAAGCTGGACCCCTACCTTTCACAATATACAAAAATTCACAATATACAAAATGGATCAAATATTTAAATGTAAGAACTCAAACTAAAAATCCAGGAAGACAACTTGGAAAATACTCTTCTGACATTGGCCTTGGAAAACAAATTTTGGCTAAGTCCCCAAAAGCAATTGCAACAACAACAAAAAAGACAAGTGAGATATAATTTAACTAAAGAACTTCTGCATAGAAAAAGAAACTATCAACAAAACAGACAACCTACAGAATGGAAGAAGATATTTGTAAACTAGGCATCTAACAAAGGCCTAATATCCAGAATCTATATGGAAATTAAATCAACAGGCAAAAAACAAATAACCCTGTTAAAAATGGGAAAAGGACATGAACATACACTTTTCAAAAGAAGATATGCAAGTAGCCAACAAACATATGAAAAAAATGCTCAGCATCATTAATCATAAGAGAAATGCAAATCAAAACTACAAAATTATTTCACACACCAATTAGGATGGCTATTATTAAAAAGTCAAAAAACAAGGGATGGTGGTGAGGCTGTGAAGAAAAGGGAATGTTTATACACTGTTGGTGGGAATGTAAATTAGACCAGTTGCTGTGGAAAGGAGTCTGGAGGTTTCTCAAATAACTTACAATATAGCCACCATTTGACCCAGCAATCCCATTACTGGGGATAGATCCTAAAGGAAGATAAATCATTCTACCAAAAAGACACAGGTACTCCTATGTTCATTGCGGCACCATTCATAGTAGCAAAGATTGGAATCGACCCAGGTGCCTGTTTTTCAATGGTGGATTGGATCAAGAAAATGTGTACATGAAAACCATGTACACCACACTGCCATAAAAAAAGAAATAAAGTTATGTCTTTTGTAGCAACATAGGTGGAGTTGGAGGCCATAATTCTAAGTGAATTAACATGGGAACAGAAAACCAAATACTGCTTGTTTTCACTTATAAGTAGGAGCTAACCACTGAGCACACATGGACATACATACGGAAGTTATAGACACTGTGGATACTGGAAGTTGGAAGGAATGTGAGAAGGTTGTGTTCAAAAACTACCTATTAGGTACTGTGCTCACTACCCAGGTGACAGGATCACTACCCCAAGCCTCGACATCACACAATATTCCCATGTAACAAACGTACACATGTACATCATGTATCTAAAATAAAAGTTGACTTTTTTAATCCTTTGATTCTAACATGTTTATTTTTATGCATTCAATACAAATATTTAAAAAACCTAAATGGTCACTAACTGTACAAGAAAATCCATGCTTTCCTTAGCATACCGGGCACCTAGCTGGACTGCGAATAAATACTTCTAAAAAAGAAAATCTGGTTAATATACAGTTTTCAAAGCTGAATTAATATCTTCCTATTTCTGTGTTCCTTATTCTGCTAAAGTTCTTCTTATATGTTTCTGGAGAAAACACATGCACCATTTGTCCTTAGTTACTGCTCTATTCCCCACCCTTATGGTATTTCAGGACTAATGGCTGTAACCTGAAGTAGCTCAAATGTTCCCGGCGTTTTGTTTCTTTCCAACTCTCCATCTTCAGAATGTTTGCCAAAGTTAGATGATTGTTAAGAGGGAAAAGCAAACCTTCTTATGGGATTCTGTATAATAGAGTTATTTCTAAATTAGAGCCAACAAATAATTCCCTAAAAGTTGAATAGCTGTCTTGATTCTTAACAAAATCTTGGATTTTTCTCAAATTTTTCTTTGATCTAACTTCAGAATAAATAGTGGTATATAGTAAGATAAGCACCATCACAATTATCAACAATGAATGTATTGTATAAGGCCCCCTTGCAACAAACTATGGGAATTCATATCTCTTGAATAAACCCTACAGCATCCTTTCTGTGCTTTTATTCAATTTGATATTTCTCTACCAATCTGCTTTCTTTCCTGACTATAATCATGAATTTTATCAATGCTATTTGCCCAGAGCAATCACCTTTCCCTTCACAAGCACTTCCTGAAAGTTAAGGCAGGTATGAGAGCTTCTCCATGATTCTAAGGGCATGAAAATAAAATAAAATAAAAGACTCAACAACATCTACTGACATTTCTGGGTGAGGGAGTATCAGAGTAAAAGGAGTATCAGAATATTAGAGCAAAATTATATCTTCATGTCAATAATACTAAAATATGAAGAAATAAGGGTGTATTAGAATCCCCATTTTTGCAGGAAAAAAAATTGAAACTCATAGTGATTAAGTCACTTGTCCAAAATCATGGTGTTGCTAAATTTGTTGTCATACCAGCGTTATTAGTTTCCTACTGCTGCTGCAACAACTTATAACACAACTGTGAAAACACACAAGTGGTTTAAAACAACACAAATTCATTATCCTAAAGTTCTGTTGGTTGGACATCTTACATGAATCTCAATGGGCTAAAATCAAGGTGGCCCAGAAACTATGTGTGTTTCTGGAGGCGCTAGGGAGGAATACACTCCCTGGCCCTTCCAGCTGTTAGAGCCTAGTCACATCCTTTGGCTTATGGCTTCTTTCCTCTATTTGCAGACCCAGCATCATTGTAACCCTCTATGCTGTCCATAGTCACGATGCCCTCCTTTTGCCCTCCCTGTCCAATTTTTAGGTCCCTTGTCATTACTTAGGGTCCATTCAGAAAATCTAGGGTATTATTTCTACTTTAAAATCAGCTGATTGGTAATTTTAGTTGTTCTTTGTCACGTAATCTAACAAAATCCACCATATATTTGTAAATTTTAAAATGTACTTATAAATAACTTATACATCCAAGAAGAAATAATAAGGGATTTAAAAAATTTGTAAACTTTATTTCTAATAACAATGGTATATGTTAAATGTTAGGAATGTAGCTAAGGTAACCCTTTGTAGGAAGATGTATAATTTCTAAATGCCCATATCAAAGAAAAACAAAAGGCAAAAAAAAATTTAAAAGCTGGGAAAACAACTCAAATAAATTAGAAAATGCTGATAGTAAAGAGAGGGACACAAATTGTGGGAATAGAAAACAAAATTAGAATGAAAAGTATAAACAGAAAAATTAACAATTTGAAAACAATATAATACACATCTTTCAAGCAATATTGATAGGCACAAATAAGCTATTTGGAATGAGAAATTTGGCATAAAATGTTTGCAGCTGAAGTTTAAAAGACATAAAGGCAACACCACATAAACTTTAAATCCATTGGAAAACACATAAGCAATTGAGAAATTTCAAGAAAAATATAATTTTGCAATATTTACTGAAGAAATAGTGGAAACCTATTTATCAAACGGTATCAAAAATACAGTAGTCTGGGCATGGTGGCTCACGCCTGTAATACCAGCACTTTGGGATGCCGAGGCAGGTGGATCACAAGGTCAGGAGTTCGAGAGCAGCCTGGCCAATATGGTGACACCCCATTTCTACTAAAAACACAAAAATTAGCCAGGTGTGGTGGCACGTGCCTGTAGTCCCAGCTACTCAGGAGGCTGAGGCCAAAGAATCGCTTGAATTCGGGAGGTGGAGGTTGCATGAGATGAGATCACACCACTGCACTCCAGCCTGGGTAACAGAGTGAGACTCTGTCTCAAAAAAAAAAAAAAATATATATATATATATATATAATATATATTGTATTATATATATATAATATATATTGTATTATATATATAATATATATAATATATATTATATATATATAATACAATATATATTATATATATATATAATATATATAGTAACACACATATACACAAACACACGCTACACATACAAATTGTGAGTAGCTTTTTGCAAATCAAAAGATTAGTATTTAGAATTTGTAAATAATACTTATAAAGCAATAGGTAAATGAAAAAATTTAAATAAGAAAATGGTAAATACATAGTCATATCTCAAAATGAGGAAAACAAATTATGTATTAAATTAGGAAATGATGGTTTTATCTCTTATGTAATTAAGAAAATGCAACTTAAGACCCAGTGAGCTACAATGCTATAGCAGATCAGCAAAATTTAAGGCTTAAAGTAACAAGTATTGGTGAGTACATGGAATGGAATAAGAGTGGTCATCCACAATATTTATATAAATAAATTTTAAATAACTATTTTTGGAAAAAGAATTGTCAATATTCTTTAATGTTGATAGACACTTGGCCTTTGATCTTACAACTCACTTCTAGTTCTATATTCTAGGCTATGTTTGTAGAGATATGAAACAGAATGGTTTTAGCTGCATTGCTAATAAGAGCAAAAGCTGAATTATCCTTTCTATCAATAGGAGAATAGAGAAATAAATTACAGTATTATCTCATACTTTAATTTGTTAATGAGAATTAATTGAACTACAACTACCAGTAACAAAGATATCCTTGAAATAAATATTCAGTGAAAAATGTGAGTTCCAAAAATTAGAGAATATTACTGATTCTATAAAATTCAGAATAATCAATACTAGCCATATTTCTTAAAGACAAATGTATATGGGAGAAAATGCACACAAATATGCAAACACACAAAGGTTGGGAACGATAAACACAAAATTTAGGACAAGCATTTTGCATGAATACCCATCTAATGTCAGTAATCTTAATAATGCCCCAAATCATGTGGTTATGTTGGTTGGTAAATCTATGTGTGCTTGTTTTATTATGTTATGTACACACCTTACATAAAAATAAAAAATAATTACTTGGTAGTTACAAAATATATCTATTGACATGGCAATTGTTTATACTTCTATAAAATAAAATGTATCACAAAACAACATATACAATAGTATCCTGTAAAAATGTGTATATGTAAAGCAAATTTTATGAGAGAAAAAATAAAATGTAAGGTACTTTTTTCCTTCTTGAAATAATTATACTTTTTTTTTTTTTTTTGAGACAGAGTCTCTCTCTGTAATCCAGGCTGGAGGGCAGTGGCTAAATCTTGGCTCATTGCAACCTCCGCCTCCCGGGTTCAAATGATTCTCCTGCCTCAGCCTCCCAAGTAGCTGGGATTACAGGTGCCCACCACCATGCAAGGCTAATTTTTGTAATTTTAGCAGAGATGGGGTTTCACCATGTTGGCCAGGCTGGGCTTGAGCTACTGATCTCAAGTAATCTGCCTGCCTTGCCTCCCAAAGTACTGGGATTACAGGTGTGAGCCACTGCACCCAGCCGATTACACATTCTTTATTTCTTTTTTAAAGAGTGTTCATATTTGAAGTATTGTTTTTTATTTCTTCTAAATTTATTTTTAAAAATTGTGTGGGTACCTAGTAGATGTACATATTTATGGAGTACATGAGATGTTTTGATTCAGGCATGCAATGTGAACTAAGCACATCATGGAGAATAAGGTTCCCATCTCCTCAAGCATTTATCCTTCGAGTAACAAACAATCCTCTTACACCCTTTATTTAAATATGTTAAGTTATTATTGAGTATAGTCACCCTCTTGTGCTATCAAATAGTAGGTCTTATTTATTCTTTCTATTTTCTTTTTGTAGCCATTAACCATCTCCTCCTACCCACCAGGTCCCCACTACCCTTCCCAGCCTCTGGTAGCCATTTTTCTACTCTCTATGTCCATGAGTTCAATTGTTTGATTTTTAGATCCCACAAATATGTGAGAACATGTGATGCTTGTCTTTCCGTGCCTGGCTTATTTCACTTAATGATCTTTTAAGTTCTTTGTTGCCTTTTGTTTAGCTTTTGCCTTTTGCCTAATATAGTATAGTTTGTTTCCAAATAAGCAAAATGATTTAAAGAATATAAAATACTGTGTGTAAGAACAAGATTAATTATAGTCAAGAAAAATTTTAGGAATATGACAGAGGAATTGAGGCTAGAAACTAGACCCTAGGACTATCTTATGGATGAACTGGATTTTCAAATGAGACAGATCAAACAATATAAAATGGAAAGAAAGTAAAAAAAAAAAACATGCAAATTAAAAATGGTACATAATTCTACTCTACTGAAATAAAAAATGGTACACGATTCTACTTTCTAATTAAAAATAGTACATAGAGTTCAATTGTTTTAATTTTTAGCTCCCAGAAATAAATGAGAACGTGCAAAGATGGTCTTTCTGTGCTCAGTTTATTTCACTTAACATAATGTTCTTCAGTTCTATGCTGTTACAGATGAAAAAATCTCATTCTTTTTTATGGCTGAATGATCCTTCATTATTATATACACCACATTTTCTTCATCCATTTGTCTGTTGATGGACACTCAGAATGATGGTTCCCATAAGCTGGGAAGGGTAATGGACATGGGGAGTGGGGATGAGAAATGGGTATAAAAATATAGTTAAATATAACGAATAAGAGCTAGTATTTGATAGCACAACAGGGTGATTACAGTCGACAATAATTTATTGCACATTTAAAAATAAATGAAAGACTATAACTGGAATGTTTATTAACACAAAGAAAGGATAAATGCTTGAAATGATGAATACTCCATTTACCCTGATGTGACTATTACGCATTGTATGCTTGTATCAAAATGTCTCGTATAACCTATAAGTATACACACCTACTAGTACCCCCAAATTAAAAATTAATTAAAAATAAATCAAAAGTTAAAACTGGGATATGAATATTCTCCACGTAGCAAGTTCCAATAGACGGAAAGTATATTATATCAAATACTAGTTGATAGATTTGAACTCCGAACTGGGGAACTTAGATTTTATCCACTAGCCAATGGAAAACATTGATGGTATCTAAATCTAAACACCTTTTTTTTTTTTTTTGAGACGGAATTTCGTTCTTTCGCCCAGGCTGGAGTGCAGTGGCGTGATCTCAGCTCACTGCAACCTCTGCCTCCCGGGTTCAAGCAATTCTCTGCCTCAGCCTCCCGAGTTGCTGGGATTAACAGGCACCCACCACCACGCCCGGCTAATTTTTTTATTTTTAGTAGAGATGGGGTTTCACCATCTTGGCCAGGCTGATCTTGACCTCCTGACTTCGTGATCCACCTGCTTTGGCCTCCCAAAGTGCTGGGATTACAGGCATGAGCCACTGTGCCCGACCTAAATGCTAATTTTTAACATTGCAACAGCTGTAGAAATAATAACTGATAGAGTTCGTACTGGTAACTTCAGCAATGGCCAGATGATTCAGTTAAAATTTTATATAGACTAAAAATAAAAACTATGAAGGCAGAGAAAAGAACAATGAAGAAGTTTATGGGTGCTTCTAAACTTAATTTTTAACTAACATAAAGTTGATAATAAAGTATAAATAATGTAAATGATGACACATATTATTAATCAAGAGGAGAATTATTCTAAATTAATCATGAGAAATAGAATATTAGCACTCCCAAAGTGATTTGAAGATAAATATCACTGTACTAAGCTGTATTATGAATTATCCCATTATTAATAAATGTGTATAATAATATTTCAAAATAACATAAATCCTTGTTACATTAGAGGAGCTAATTTAGCAATGATTTATTTTCTTTTGCTAATAATTTCTGAGAAATGATCAGTAAATATATTGCTTGTATACAATGGTATTGTTAAAAAATTTAAGATCCTGTAATAATTCAGGAACCCATTTGATATTATGTTTGTGGATGGTTGTGATCTGTATGCATAGGTGATTATTTGCAAATGGAAGAACACAGGCAAATGTTTAATTAAAATCTGGGACAGTGAATCTAATTTAGGAGAGGGTCAAGATTTTACTGGTTTAAAACTTAAAGTATAATAATAAAAAAATAAATAAAGAAAGAAAAAAAATAATAATTAAAAAAATAAAAAAAATAAAAAGGTGAAATAGTACAACAAATCCTCTGAATTACTTTTTCTTCTTTTCTCGGAGATAGGGTGGATAGCAATGACAGTTGTTATATACAGAACTCTTGTCATGTGTCAGAAAAATATAAGTTCACTGTGTACACTGTATCATAGCAACCAATCATGCTACCTTTTAAAAATGAGGGAACTACAACCCAGAGTTTAAGAAATTTGTCCAAATTTAACAAAGCAAGTAAATAATAGAGGCCACACAAATAATCACCCCTTAATTAGTCAATGCTAATACTGGACATTTGTAAAAATTAATTAGAAAAAAATAATCACATTTTAAGGCAATAAGCTTAAGTTCTTTTAACCTACATTTCTTACACTCTACTTTCCAAACACAGCATCTCTGAAGCATATTAGAAGGAATAGTATTCACAATCTAATAATTTATCTCTAGAGGATAGTTTGTAAATACCAAATGTTAAGCATTCAATTTTCATATACATTCCAAAATTTTCTGTTATAACTTCAAATGATTGCTTTTCATCTTATTTTATTTTATTTTTACATGTTTTTATTATACTTTAAGGTCTAGGGTACATGTGCACAACATGCAGGTTTGTTACATATGTATACATGTGCCATGTTGGTGTGCTGCACCCATTAACTCATTATGTACATTAGGTATATCTCCTAATGCTATCCCTCCCCCCTCCCCCTACCCCATGACAGGCTCCAGTGTGTCATGTTCCCCACCCTGTGTCCAAGTGTTCTCATTCTTCAATTCCCACCTATGAGTGAGAACATGCAGTGTTTGGTTTTTTGTCCTTGCAATAGTTTGGTCAGAATGACGGCTTCCAGCTTCATCCATGTCCCTACAAAGGACATGAACTCATTCTTTCTATGGCTGCATAGAATTCCATGGTGTATATGTGCCACATTTTCTTAATCCAGTCTATCACTGATGGACATTTGGGTTGGTTCGAAGTCTTTGCTATTGTGAATAGTGCCACAATAAACATACGTGTGCATGTGTCTTTATAGCAGCATGATTTATAATCCTTTGGGTATATGCCCAGTAATGGGATGGCTGGGTCAAATGCTACTTCTAGTTCTAGATCCCTGAGGAATTGCCACACTGTCTTCCACAAGGGTTGAACTAGTTTACAGTCCCATCAACAGTGTAAAAGTGTTCCTAGTTCTCCACATCCTCCCCAGCACCTGTTATTTCCTGACTTTTTAATGATCGCCATTCTAACTGGTGTGAGATGGTATCTCATTGTGGTTTTGATTTGCATTTCTCTGATGACCAGTGATGAGCATTTTTTCATGTGTCTGTTGGGTGAATAAATGTCTTCTTTTGAGAAGTGTCTGTTCATATCCTTTGCCCAATTGTTGATGGGGTTGTTTGATTTTTTCTTGTAAATTTGTTTAAATTATTTGTAGATTCTGGATATTAGCCCTTTGTCAGATGGGTAGATTGTAAGAATTTTCTCCCATTCTGTAGGTTGCTTGTCACTCTGATGGTAGTTTCTTTTGCTGTGCAGAAGCTCTTTAGTTTAATTAGATCCCATTTGTCAATTTTGGCTTTTGTTGCCATAGCTTTTGGTGTTTTAGACATGAAGTCCTTGCCTATGCCTATGACCTGAATGGTATTGCCTAGGTTTTCTTCTAGGGTTTTTATGGTTTTAGGTCTAACATTGAAGTCTTTAATCCATCTCGAATTAATTTTTGTATAAGGTATAAGGAAGGGATCCAATTTCACCTTTCTACATATGGCTAGGCAATTTACCCAGCATCATTTATTAAATAGGGAATCCTTTCCCCATTGCTTGTTTTTCTCAGGTTTGTCAAAGATCAGATGGTTGTAGATGTGTGGTATTATTTCTGAGGGCTCTGTTCTGTTCCATTGGTCTATATCTCTGTTTTGGTACCAGTACCATGCTGTTTTGGTTATTGTAGCCTTGTAGTATAGTTTGAAATCAGGTAGCGTGATGCCTCCAGCTTTGTTCTTATGGCTTAGGATTGACTTGGTGATGCGGGCTCTTTTTTGGTTCCATATGAACTTTAAAGTAGTTTTTTCCAATTCTGTGAAGAAAGTCATTGGTAGCTTGACGGGGATGGCATTGAATCTATAAATTACCTTGGGCAGTTTGGCCATTTTCGCAATATTGATTCTTCCTATCCATGAGCATGGAATGTTCTTCCATTTGTTTGTGTCCTCTTATTTCGTTGAGCAGTGGTTTGTAGTTCTCCTTGAAGAGGTCCTTCACATCCTTTGTAAGTTGGATTCCTAGGTATTTTATCCTCTTTGAAGCAATTGTAAATGGGAATTCACTCATGATTTGGCTCTCTGTTTGTCTGTTATTGGTGTATAGGAATGCTTGTGATTTTTGCACATTGATTTTGTATCCTGAGACTTTGCTGAAGTTGCTTATCAGCTTCAGGGGATTTTGGGCTGAGACGATGGGGTTTTCTAAATATACAATCATGTCATCTGCAAACAGGGACAATTTGACTTCCTCATTTCCTAATTGAATACACTTTATTGCTTTCTCTTGCCTGATTGCCCTGGCCAGAACTTCCAACACTACGTTGAATAGGAGTGGTGAGAGAGGGCATCCCTGTCTTGTGCCAGTTTTCAAAGGGAATGCAGATCAACGAGACAGAAAGTTAACAAGGATATCCAGGAATTGAACTCAGCTCTGCACCAAGCAGACCTAATAGACATCTACAGAACTCTCCACCCCAAATCAACAGAATATACATTCTTCTCAGCACCACATCGCACTTACTCCAAAACTGACCACATAGTTGGAAGTAAAGCACCCTTCAGCAGATGTAAAAGAACAGAAATTATAACAAACTGTCTCTCAGACCACAGTGCAATCAAACTAGAACTCAGGATTAAGAAACTCACTCAAAACCACTCAACTACATGGAAACTGAACAACCTGCTCCTGAATGACTAATGGGTACATAACGAAATGAAGACAGAAATAAAGATATTCTTTGTAACCAATGAGAACAAAGACACAACATAGCAGAATCTCTGGGACACATTTAAAGCAGTGTGTAGAGGGCAATGTATAGCACTAAATGCCCACAAGAGAAAGCAGGAAAGATCTAAAATTGACACCCTAACATCACAATTAAAATAACTAGAGAAGCAAGAGCAAACACATTCAAAAGCTAGCAGAAGGCAAGAAATAACTAAGATCAGAGCAGAACTCAAGGAGATAGAGACATAAAAAACCCTTCAAAAAAATCAATGAATCCAGGAGCTGGTTTTTTTGAAAATTGATATACCGCTAGCAAGATTAATAAAGAAGAAAAGAGAGAGGAACCAAATAGATGCAATAAAAAATGATAAAGGGGATATCAACACTGATCCCACAGAAATACAAACTACCATCAGAGTATACTATAAATATCTCTATGCAAATAAACTAGAAAATCTAGAAGAAATGGTTAAATTCCTGGACACATACACCCTCCCAAGACTAAACCAGGAAGAAGTTGAATCCCCGAATAGACCAATAACAGACTGTGAAATTGAGGCTATTAATTATTGCCAAAAAAAAAGTCCGGGATTAGATGGATTCACAGCCGAATTCTACCAGAGGTACAAAGAGGAGCTGGTACCATTCCTTCTGAAACTATTCCAATCAATAGAAAAAGAGGGAATCCTCTTAACTCATTTTATGAGGCCAGCATCATTCTGACACCAAAGCCTGGCAGAGACACAACAAAAAAAAGAGAATTTCAGACCAATTTCCCTGATGAACATCAAGCAAAAACCCTCAATAAAATGCTGGCAAACCGAATCCAGCAGCATATCAAAAAGTTTATCCACCATAATCAAGTGGGCTTCATCCCTGGGATGCAAGGCTGGTTCAACATATGCAAATCAATAAACATAATCCATCATATAAACAGAACCAAAGACAAAAATCACATGATTATCTCAATAGACACAGAAAAGGCCTTCAACAAAATTCAACAGCCTTTCATGCCAGAAACTCTCAATAAACTAGGTATTGATGGGACGTATCTCAAAATAATGAGAGCTATTTATGACAAACCCATAGCCATTATCATATTGAATGGGCCTCTCATCTTATTTTAATAGAAATATAGAGAATCTGTAAGCCTCTGTCCAGTACTATTGATTTAGGAACACAGATTTCCTAGATAACTTTTATCTTCCCACAATCTAAACTTGATTGTATAATTTTCTAATAATAATAGTTTTTAAAATGAGATTTCTTAAACTGATGTTTACTGATACTAAATTACAGATTTTTTTGGTGAAGAGAGCCCATGGCTTTTATAAAATTATTAGTCTGCAAAATCCCAAATGATGAAGGACAATTGATATAAATTGCATTCCCTATTTAAGTATTTCCACAACCCTAATGCCTTATACATACCCTTCCATTTCAGGCTAGTAATAAATGTTTCATTTACTTGTTTATTTTTTCACAAACTACTTATTGGGTAAGCATGATATGGCCAGAACGTGGCATGTGACAAAACAGACATGGTCCATGTGTTCATGGAATACCCAGTCTGGTGGATGAACTACATGTAAAAGAGGTACTTTCATAAAGCTTTATTTAGATACAATTTGAATAATTATAATGAAAGAAAATTTTACAATACTTTGAGGACACAGCATATTAATACAGTTAGCTGACCCTTCTGGGGTCAAGTTTCCCCCAAGCAAAGGCATTAAAAATGAGACCTAATAGATGAGCATTGGTTCTCCAGATAAAGAGTCCAGGGAGAGTGTTCCAGGATGAAAGAGTGCAACAAGTACTGGACTGAGGAGGGAAAAACATTTCTAACCTTAATGAACCAAAAGAAGGTGATATGCCTGGAGAAGGATGAAGAGTGGTGAAAAATACAGTTGGAGTGGAAGACATGAGTGTCTCATTAATGCCTGCTTAATCATCTCTCCTCACTTTGAATTTTAGTCCTACCCCAGAGTCATTCACATTAGAGGGTAGTAGCTTCATATCTGATCTCCATGGGCTCCAATTCCACCATTCTTCTTTGTCACTGCCCTTCACAGACTCTCTATATTCCCCTATATTGCATTCTTCAAATGCTGAGAACAACATAATAAAAGAAACAACTAAAGCTGATCATGATACTCTTCCTATCCTGGCTCCCTTCCACATTCAGTTAACATGAAAATTCCTGGGTCTTGGAACAGAAGCTCTTTCAAACTTTCTCTTTAATCTCTCTTTCTATCCCTGCCCAGTAGCTCAACTATTCTTCTCACCATTAATACCTCAAACACACACTAATCATGATCTCAAGCACCTACTGTCCCTATGTCTTTGTCTATGTTTCCCTGTGTGCATTTTTCTATCTCTTCTCCTCCCTCTCATTCTTTCTCACCTGCATGTGTACACACACACACACACACACACAACCTGTGTGCACATGCATGGACAATAATTTTGTGTCCTGCACTACTTTTAACAGTTTCTTCCTGATCTTGTTTTTTTGTGCATGGCTATTTCTTCTACTTCCCAAAACATCCTTTTTTTTTTTCTGACAAATTCCCAATTATCCTTGAAAACACCATTTGAATATAACCTGGATTAATAAGTCTCTGAGAGAATGCTTGCCCATCAAGATTTTCTTCACCTTTTGTGCTTTCATAGATTTTGTCATGGTTATCATTTATTTTTATTGGTTTAGTTATATTTTCCCTACTATAATAAAACCTCTTTAACAGTTAGAAACTATTTAGCTGCAAGTTATATAAGCCCCAACTAAGAAGAGCTTGAACAGAAGGGGTTTATCATCTTACATATAAAATCTTAATGTAGAAGAGTTCTAGAGTTGTTTAATTTTGCAATTCAGTAATGTCACCAGAATCCAGGAACTTTTCATCTTTCTGTTCTGCTGTACTCAGAATGCCCCTTCATAATTATAAAATGTTTGTAGCATTTCTAATTTAATAACATTCCAAATTATTCTCTTGGATATACATTATCATGTGCCTATTACAACGTTTATCTATCATAGCAGAATACAATCAATTGAATAATTTTAAGTTATTAAATTAGACCCCAAGTAAAATTATTTATTAGAGGGTCCTAATTTGTTAAAGAAATGTAAAAGGCATCAAAAAAATCTGAGAATTCAAATTACTCTTAAGAGATAATTTTGTGCTAGAGTAGCAGGAAAGAAAATAGTGTTTTCAGGTGATTAAATGTAGAATCAAAACTGAACAGAATCAATTTATTGCTATATACAACACCACCAAGAATATAACTCTGCAAAAATGACAACAGAAAGATGTGACTAGTGAAACATAAGAGGATGCATAGTGCTGCAAGAATGAGTGATTCCTCAAATTAAAAAGAATGGAGCTTTGCCCTAAAATCTTCATTCAGATGCAGTCCATGCTGAAATAAGCTACAAGTGCAGCTTCACAAAATAGGCTAGGTTGTAGCTGGCTTTTCTGGAAGACAATAGGGTAAATGGGGAGATTAATTATCACAATTTATTAGTAAATCACAAATGGAAGATGGTCTTTCTTAGACATTTCTTATTAAAAAAAGAGGTCTAGCAAATGATATTAGTAGCACTAGACAAAATAGTATATGTGGTACTAGACCATAATTTTCCCCAAAGTAAAATCATCCTTTTTTTGCTATTGCTCCTTTCTGTGACCATCAGAAGGTTACAGTGGAGGTTACTGTGAAGTTATTCTCATTTTTATATGTTAAAATGATAAACTTTAGAAAATATGTTAAATTTTCAAGATTCTAGAACCTTGATCATGTGTTTGCTGCAGTACACAGATGGTTGTTAAAGTGGAACCTATAAATTCTCTCAAATTATTATGAGGCTTTAAATATTATACCAAAACACAATCCAGGATGTGAAAATCTGGAGTCATTTTTAAGAAGATAAAGTATATGACACTACATCAAAACAATATGCCAATATGTGAAAATCTAGAGTCATTTTTAAGAAGATAA
Organism: Homo sapiens; assembly: GCF_000001405.40. NCBI lineage: Eukaryota > Metazoa > Chordata > Mammalia > Primates > Hominidae > Homo > Homo sapiens. Next base: position 25,019,860 of record NC_000011.10, on the reverse strand, counting down.
AGTATGTGACACTAGATCCAAACAATATGCGATCCTACTCACATTCCTGCCTCTGACAGTAGCCTCAAGAAACCTCAGAAGTCAGGCTCCCATAACGGCAGTTTAAATAGTGTGCATGATAAAATCTTAAGCTCAATAACATATTAGATAATCATTCATTCAGCAAACAATAATCCATCATCTATTCTGCTAGTAAAAGTTCTATATTAAATGCTATTGAGTTGAACGGATCAATGAGGAAGAAAGGAGGACATAAAAATGAAGAAACATATTTTCTTTGCAGACTTTATTGTTTTGGTGGAGTATAAGGCAGATGTTTAAATCAACCAAACCATGCTCATTTAAATAAAAATAATAATAATTAAAAATTCATAAATAAGGAGATAAATTGTTTATGGTATGTATCTATAAGACAATGGTATATGATATAGTTCAAATCAAATTTACAATTAATTTTAATGAAATGCATTATATCATTCACAAAAAGTTAAACTGTGTCACCTTTTGTGAGCAACTTATTATTTCTATGATTCTGTTTACTCTCATGTAAAATGAAGATAAATCTATGTTAGATGATGTATGACATTCTATATGATAGATTCATGTGATAGAATTCTATATGATAGATTCTGTTTACTGTCATGTATAACGAAGATAAATTCTATATGATACTATAAGGTGGGACACATGTCAAAATTGTCAAAAGTCATGGAATATACAACACCAAGAGCAAACGCTAATGTAAAATATAGACTTCAATGACCATAGTGATGTGTCAAGGTAGTTCATTGAGTGCAACAAATGTGCCACTCTGGCGTAAAATGTTGATAATGTGGGAGGCTGCATGTTGAGAGGAGGGTAGCAAAATTTTGGGAACTCTCTTTACTTTCTGCTCAATTTTGCTGTGAGTCTAAAACTGTTCTAAAAAATAAAGTCATTTAAAGGGAAGATAAGGCTGGACTTATTGGCTTACTTCTGTAATCCCAGCACTATGGGCGACTGAGGCAGGTGGATCACTTGAGGCCAGGAGTTCAAGGCAAGCCTGGCCAACATGGCAAAACCCCACCTCTACTAAAAATACAAAACTTAGCCAGGCATGGTGGCATGCACCTGTAATTCCAGCTACTTGAGAGGCTGAGGCATGAGAATCACTTGAACCCAGGAGCTAGAGATTACAGTGAGCTGAGATCATGGTCCTGCACTCCAGCCTGGGCAACAGAGTGAGAGTGTCTTTAAAAAAAAAAAAAAAAAAAAAAAGGAAAAAGGAATTAATAATGATAGTATTATATTATAGCTCAAAGACTAAAAGTAACTATAAGTCCATGCTAATATGCATTGAATAAATGAATGGAGGAGAATAAATGATTGAATAAATAAATGGAGGAGAAGAGATAAATATTCCTTATGAGAGAATTCTAAATAATGCATGCTGACACTCCATCTTTCAGAAAGTGGAGTTTAAATTCCTTTCCCTTGAGTGTAGGCTGAACTTAGTGATTCTGTTCCAAAGAATAAAGTTTGGAAAGGAGGAAGTCCCAGCCAGAACAATCAGCCAAGAGAAAGAAATAGAGGGCATCCAAATTGGAAAAGAGGAAGTCAAACTCTCTGTTTGTCAATGCCATGGTTGCATACCTAGAATATCCTAAAGATGCCTCCAAAAGACTCCTAGATTTGATCAATGAATTCAGAGAAGTCTCAAGTATCAATGTACACAAATCAGTAGCAATGCCATATACCAACAACCACCAAGCTGAATATCAAATCAAGAAGTCAAGAACTCAATCCTTTTTAAAACAGCTGCAAAAAAAAAAACAAAAAAAAAACAGAAACAAAAAATCCTACCTAGGGATATACTTAATCAAGAAGGTACAAAATCTCTACAAGGAGAACTACAAAACAACTCTGAAAGAAATTATAGATGACACAAGCAAATGGAAACACATTCAATCCTCATGGATTTGAAGAATCATTATCATGAAGATAACCATGCTTTACAAAACAATTTACAGATGCAGTGCAATTCCTATCAATCTACCACATCATTTTTCACACGATTAGGAAAAACAATCCTAAAATTCACATGGAACAAAAATAGAGCCAGAATAGCCAAAGCAATACTAAGCAAAACACATAACAACAACAACAACAACAATAAGCAAACTTGGAGGTATTGTGTTACCTGACTTGAAATTATGCAATAAGGCTATAGTCACCAGAACAGCCTGGTGCTGGTATAAAAGATACATAAACGAAAGAAACAGAATAGAAAACCCAGAAATAGAGACAAATATGTAAAACAAACTAATCTTCGACAAAGCATATGAAAACAAACTGGGGAAACAACACCCCATTCAATAAATGGTGCAAAGAAAACTGGATAGCCACATGTAGAAGAATGAAACTGGCTCCCTATCTCTCACCAAATACAAAGTTCAACTCAAGATAAATTAAAGACTTAAACTTAAAACCATAAAAACACTAAAAGAAAATCTAGGAAAAACTCTTCTGGACATTGTAGTAAAGAATTTATGACTAAGTCCCCAAAGGGAAAGCAACAAAAACAAAAATAAATAAGTGGGATATAGGTAAACTAAAAAAGCTTGTTCATAGAAAAATAAATCATCATCAGAGTAAACATAAAACTCAGAGTGGGAGAAATATTTGCAAACTATGCCTCTGTCATAGGACTAATATCCAGAATCTACAAGGAACTTAAACAAATCAGCAAGAAAAAACAAATAATCCCATTGAAAAGTGGGCAAGTGGCATGAATAGATACTTCACAAAATAAGATATACAAATGGCCAACAAACATATGCAAAAATCCTCAGCATCACTAATCATTAGGGAAATGCAAATTAAAACCACAATGAGATACCACCTTACCACAGCCATAATGCCCATTACTAAAAAGTAAAAAAAAAATGATGTCGGCAAGGAAGTGATGAAAAGGGGATGCTTATACATTGCTGGTGAGAATGAAAATTAATATAACCTCTATGAAAAACGTGTGACGATTTCTCAAAAAACTAAAAGTAGATCTACCATTCGATCCAGTAATCTCACTACCGTGTATCTACCCACAGGAAAAAAAAGTCATCATATGAAAAAGACACATGCATATGTACGTTTATAGCAGCACAATTTACAATTCCAAAGCTATGAAACCAAACTAAGTGAACATCAACTGATAAGTGGATAAAGAAAATGTGGTACACACAGACACAAACACACACATATGTAACACGTGTGTTTGTATATATATACACATACTGCACCATATATAGGTACACCCACACCATGATATGTATGTGTGTATATATATACATATATATGTATATATACCATGGAATACTATGCAGCCTTAAAAAGAATGGAATAATATATTTTGCAGCAACTTGGGTGAAACTGGAGGTCATTACTCTAAGTGAAGTAACCCAGGAATGGAAAATAAAATAACTTAGGTTCTCAATTGTAGCTGAGAGTTAATCTATGAGTACACAAAGGCATAGAGAGTGGTACAATGGGCATTACAGACTCAGAAGGGGGAAGGTTGGAAGAAGGGTGAGGGATAAATAATTATATGTTGGGTAAAATATATACTACTTGGATGGCAGGTGCATTAAAATTTCACACTTGATGGCCAGGCATGGTGGCTCACGCTTGTAATCCCAGCACTTTTGGAGGCCGAAGTGGGCGGATCATGAGGTCAGGAGATCGAGACCATCCTGGCTAACACCATGAAACCCCGTCTCTACTAAAAATGCAAAAAATTAGCTAGGCGTGGTGGCGAGCGCCTGTAGTCCCAGCTACTCAGGAGGCTGAGGCAGGAGAATGGCGTGAACCCGGGAGGTGGAGCTTGCAGTGAGCCGAGATTGCACCACTGCACTCCAGCCTGGGTGACAGAGAGAGACTCCATCTCAAAAAAAAAATAAATAAGTAAAAAATACAAAAAAAAAAAAAGAAATTCACACTTCACTACTATACAATTCGTTCATGTAACCAAAACCCACTGATACCCCTAAAGCTATTGAAGTAAATACATAGTAAATGAAAAACAATTGGACAAGAATCATAGTAACTTTGTGAATAAATTTTCAGTAGACACTATTTTAACCAAGAGATAAGGTTTAACAGCTCCATTTAGGAATACATGTAGATACCATGTATTCCTGGTGGGATGTTGGCAAATGTACCACACCTCTGTCGTGTTATTTACAAAAATCTGTAACTCCAGTCCAAGCATGAAAACCCATTTGACAGATCTGTATTGGGAATGCTCTATAAAATATCTCACTACTACCCCTCAAATGTATCAGGCCATGAAAAACAAGGAAAAACTGAAAAACTGTCAAAGACCTGAGGAGACTAAGGACACAGGATGACTTAACACAATGTGGAATCCTGGGTTAGATCCTAAAATAGGAAAAGGATATTAGTAAGAAAAACTGATGAAACCCAAATAGGGTCTGTAGTTTGGTAATAGTATTGTACAAATGCTAACTTCTTTGTTTTGATATATGTAGCATGATTATATAAGATGTTAACATTAGGGGAAGCTGAGTGAATGTTACACAGGAATTCTCTGTACTATCGTAACATTTTGTAAGTGTAGAGGTATTCCAAACTAAAAGTTTATTTTTAAAACAGGATAATAATGTTTCTTTCTTTTAGTGTTTTGTGAGAATTTATACGGATATAGCATGACTAAATAAATCGCAACTACTCAATATAATATTAATAACATTTTCTAAAATTATACATGACAAAAATATTTTATAATAAATACAATGCATATCTACAACTATCTGATCTTTGACAAACCTGACAAAAACAAGAAATGGGGAAAGGATTCCCTATTTAATAAAGGGTGCTGGGGAAACTGGCTAGCCATATGTAGAAAGCTGAAACTGGATCCCTTCCTTACACCTTATACAAAAATTAATTCAAGATGGAGTAAAGACTTAAATGTTAGACTTAAAACCATAAAAACCCTAGAAGAAAATCTAGGCAATACCATTCAGGACATAGGCATGGGCAAGGACTTCATGTCTAAAACACCAAAAGCAATGGCAACAAAAGCCAAAATTGACAAATGGGATCTAATTAAACTAAAGAGCTTCTGCACAGCAAAAGAAACTACCATCAGAGTGAACAGGTAACCTACAGAATGGGAGAAAATTTTTGCAACCTACTCATCTGACAAAAGGCTAATATCCAGAATCTACAATGAACTCTAACAAATTTACAAGAAAAAGACAAACAACCCCATCAACAAGTGGGCGAAGGATATGAACAGACACTACTCAAAAGAAGTCATTTATGCAGCCAACAGACACATGAAAAAATGCTCATCATCACTGGCCATCAGAGAAATGCAAATCAAAACCACAATGAGATACCATCTCACACCATTTAGAAGGGTGATCATTAAAAAGTCAGGAAACAACAGGTGCTGGAGAGGATGTGGAGAAATAGGAAGACTTTTACACTGTTGGTGGGACTGTGAACTAGTTCAGCCATTGTGGAAGACAGTGTGGTGATTCCTCAGGGATCTAGAACTAGAAATAGCATTTGACTCAGCCATCCCATTACTGGGTATATACCCAAAGGATTATAAAACATGCTGCTATAAAGACACACGCACACGTATGTTTATTGTGGCACTATTCACAATAGCAAAGACTTGGAACCAACCCAAATGTCCAACAATGATAGACTGGATTAAGAAAATGTGGCACATATACACCATGGAATTCTATGCAGCCATAAAAAAGGATGAGTTCATGTCCTTTGTAGGGACATGGATGAAGCTGGAAATCATCATTCTCAGCAAACTATCGCAGGGACAAAAAACCAAACACCACATGTTCTCACTCATAGGTGGGAATTGAACAATGAGAACACATGGACACAGGAAGGGGAACATCACACACTGGGGCCTGTCATGGGGTGGGGGGACAGGGGAGGGATAGCATTAGGAGATATACCTAATGTTAAATGATGAGCTAATGGGTGCAGCACACCAACATGTCACATGTATACATATGTAACAAACCTGCACCATGTGCACATGTACCCTAAAACTTAAAGTATAATAAAAAAAGAATAATAAATAAATAAATACAGTTAATGTAATTTTTTAAATGTTGAAATTAAAAATTATATCATTGGGTGACCTTATGTCTATAAGCATGAAAATATGACAAAGGATTAATACTGTATCCATATTAAAATAATAGTTTATCTCAGAGACATTAACAAATAGCTAAAAGTGAAAAAAGAAACAAGGAAATAAGCCATAGTTATATTAAATATATCTTCACGCATTTCAAGAGATCAAACATTTTATCTATTTTGTACCAATAAACTAGTAAGCATATGGGTAAGCTAGTGTAGGCCTGCTTTTTAAACTAATTAATTAATTTTCATATGTAAAAATTTATAAAGGTACATGTGAAATTTAAATAATATATAGTGATTTGGTCAGGGTATCTAGGTTGTCCCTCACCCAAGTACACTACATTTTTGTATAACTACAGTCACTCTACTCTGCTGTTAAACATTCATTTTTTCTACGTTAAGTGTATGTTTGTACCCATTAACCCACTCCTCTTCATCCTCCTCCCCTCCCCCAACTCACCCTTCACATTCTGTTTATCTGTCCACGCTCTACTTCCCTGTCATCAAAGTTTTAGCTCCCACATATAAGGGAGAACATGCAATATTTGACTTTTGGTCCCCGGCTTATTTCACTTAAGATAATGACAACCGGTTTCATCCATGTTGCTGAAAATGACGTTATTTCATTTTTGTTTATACCTGTGGAGTATTCCATTTGGGTATACCTAGTACATTTTCTTGATCCACTCATCCATTGATGGACACTTAGGTTGATTCCATATATTTGCTATTGTGAAGAGTGCTGCATAAATATCTGAGTACAGGTATCCATTTGATATATCTCTTTCTTTTCCTTTGGGTTGATACCCAGTAGTGCGATGCCTATATTGAAGGGTAGTTCTAGTTTTAGTTTTTTGAGAAATCTCCTTAGTGTCTTCATAGTGGATGTACGAGTTCACATTCCCACCAACAATATATGAATTACCTTTTCTCTGCATCCTCACCAGCATCTATTAGTTATTTTTTGTCTTTTTCATACTAGTCATTCTGACTGGGATAAGATGATATCTCCCTGAAGTTCATATTTGCAGTTCTCTGATCATTAATAATGTTGAGCATTTTTTTCATAATGCAGTGGAAATAAAAGCTTAATAAGACTAAGGGCATGCTTCTGACTGCCTCAGTAGTGGTGTCATCACATTTAGGACTTTAATGGGTTTTGAGAACTTCAGCAGCACCAGCAGAAGGGCAAAGAAGGAAGTAAAAATGCATCAGGGAGATAGGAACACCTTTCTAGTTCTAAAGAATAGATGTAGACGGAAGTCCAATATTTACAATGTCTAATGGGTTTGGCAAGTTTAGCCATGCTTGGGAAACAGTGTGGGGAGTTTGGGAGAAAAAGATTTAAGTCAGGGAGATGAAAGTTAGTTTTACAGGCAGCAGTTAATAATAAAAGCATCTTGATTATTTATACTACCTGGTTATTCACGTCAGAGACTCATAAAGATGTAGAGACTAAGAGGTTATTATATTTTGCGTAAGTGAGAGACCTGGGAAAGTGTCACTCAGTGTTTATTAAATGCTCAGCAAAGCAGATTACCCTTCAAGGCAGCTAATTAGAATGACTTAATTCTAATAATAATAGGAAACACATTGCTAACCAACAAAAATAAGTGTATGTGTTTTCCTAAAAATGAACCATTTTGTTAGAAAAGGGTAGGGAATGCTGCCTTTTGTGTCTATACACAAGCCTTCAGAAAACTTTCCTGTTATTAACCATCTCCATTTTGTATTTTAATCAAGGTCTAGATAATTTTGGTAAGGTTATTAAAATATATATATTAAATTTTAAAATAAAAACATATATATTCTCTCTCTAGAAAAGAGAACTTGAAATATTCCCAACAGATATAAATAATAAATCTACAAGGTGATAGATGCCCCGAATACCCTGACTTGATCATTACACAATCTATGTTTGCAACAAAATATCACATGTGCCTCATAAATATGTAAAATATTATGCATCAATAAAAAAATTTAAACAAAATTGAAAACTGTTTAGTGTGTCTTCAATTACTTAAATATAGTCATTGTACCACCATCCATAAAAAGGCACTCAGAATTTCATGAATTTTATGTCTTGTTTTAATATAAAAATTAGAATATTTTACATACCCTATAGAAAACTAAATGGCCTGAACCTTATGTTCGCTTTTCTATTCACTGTAGTCTAGTCTTAGAGCAGATAACTAACAAGAGTAGGAGGATGGATTAAAGCAAAGTTGTCCCTATTATGGGCACTGAAATTCACAGCATATACATGACTAGTGATGAAATATGAGAAGAGCATAAAAATGTTCTTGTGTCTAATGCAAAAGTTCAAAGCCATGCTGTCACTATAATGAATATGTTTACTCAACATGATAGAATAAGTTTATGGATATAAGGAGAGATACAGATGCTCATGTACATATTATAATTTGTCTACTGTGAAGCCATTCCTTTTCTCAGATCATTCATTCATTAACTTAGTAATTGGTTTGTTCATTGAGCATTCACTGATAGTCACAATATATTGTGCTAAAAATTAAGGAAACTAAAATAAAATATATATGCCCCATGCCCTCGAGGGTTGCTGTTCAGAATTAACCCATTAACTATGATGTGCCCATTTGATGACATCAATATTGGATTCCCAGAAACATCAGTGACTCTAATTTTAGCCTCTAATGGAAAGATACGCTCAATTGATATTCACTTATCTATCTACTTATAAGAAGCTCCTATTAATTGGGAGTACTTGTGACTTTGCTGGATATGTATTATTTCATTCAATCCTTCCTACCACTTCGCAGTGTTGTTATTATTATGTTATTATTATTATTATTTGGATGGTATCTCACTCTGTCACCCAGGCTGGAGTGCAATGGTGCGATCTTGGCTCACTGCAACCTCCCCTTCCCGAGTTCAAGTGATTCTCCCACCTCAGCCACTGGAGTAGCTGGGACTACATGTGTGCCCCACCATGCCTGGCTAATTTTTGTATTTTGTAGAGATGGGGTTTCACCATGTTGGCAAAGCAGGTCTTGAACTACTGATCTCAAGTAGTTCAAGCCTCCCTCAGCCTCCCAAAGTGCTGTGATTACACGTGTGAGCCACCACTCCCGGCCTTATTGTTATTATTACTGAGATGGACTCTTGCTCTGTCATCCAGGTTGGAGTGCATTGGTGTGATCTTGGCTCACTGTAACCTCTGCCTCCCTGGTTCAAGTGACTCTCTTGCTTCAGCATCCTGAGTAGCTAGGATGACAGGTGAATCCCCTTGGCCAATTTCGTAGTTTTTAGTAGAGACAGGGTTTCACCATATTGGCCAGGCTGGTCTCAAACTCCTGACCTCAAGTGATCCGCCTGCCTCAGCCTCCCAAAGTGCTGGGATTACAGTCATGAGCCACAGTGCCAGGGCAGCAATGTTATTAATACACTTATTTTAGAGAGCATAGATTCTTAAATATGTTAAAATAATTGCCAATGATTTTATAACTAGGAAATAGCAGCATATGCTTGAATTTAAGGTTACTTGAATAGAAATTATTGGTCTTAACTATGCTAGACTGCCTGATAGTTTTAAAAAACAGTGTAAGCTAGGAAATTCTGGAATGGTACCACATGGGGATTGACAAAGAGAAATGTTAACAAACTAATGTACTTTAAAAATCATAATTTACTGTATTTTTAATATTGTTCCAATAATATTTGAGGAAGAAATTTAAAAAATATTTTTAAGCCAAGGTAGACTAAAATATCCTTAATTGGCTCAAAGTGAAAGTAAAGATGAAGGGGAAAGGAAAGGTCATGGGTGAGGATGAAGAAACAAGGAGTAGTACTAACTGCTGAGTTAATAGGCCAATTTATCAGAGACTGAGACACTAAGATCATGTTATTTTTATTGCATGAAGATAAAACATTCATTTTCTTTTCATGAATTCTTAAATACTTGACTCTTAAATGTAAAGAATGTGTTAAAATCACAATGCCTTTGGTTAGTCATAGACATTTCAGATAATCTCAAAATGAGGTAAAACGAAAAATAGAAAGTTTTTAAAAAATAATATTCGTCTCAAATCTCTAGTGAGTTATAATGACATGGTGATCCCTTCTTATACATATTTAAAAGAAAATGAAACGCTATAAAGATTAGTTGATACTTGTATGTTTTCTTTAGTTACTAGATAAAAGTTACTATGAAATTATGAAGTACTAACACTAATATTCCAATAAATACATATTTTAATTTATTACACATTGATTAGATATTTCAGAGCATATTACCACAATATATATATGCAATGCAAATAATTATTTATGGACATAACTCATAGCCAAAGTCATACAAACTATAATTTAATTTTAGAGAATTTCAAAAATGACAACATTTTTGCTGAAGTTTAAGTAAAAGATCATTTAAAGTACGTATCTCACTTTCTTTCTGGTTTATATGTAATCATAAACAAATGAATTATGATGAGCTATATGGATACTTTAACATAGCAATGTCCTCTGTTCCTCCCTCCTCAAAATTGTTGGAATGTACACAGTCCTAAAATGGTATTTGGACAAATTATTCTGGACTTTCACATTAAGGCAAAGACTGAAAAGTTTTTACCTTTTTGTATATTAGTGTTTATGACAGTGCTAAGAGGCAGATAAATTCCTAAGAAGACAAAGGAGTGGTCCCCTGTGAAATCCCACCTTCAAGCCAAAGACAATTTAAAGCCTGAAAAGTTGAGCAGCCAGTTCCAGGAAGAGCCTACTACCAGAGTGAGAACTTCCTTGATGCCTTTTAGCCAATTGAATGGTATTTTTCCCAGGCCCGCCCATGGGCCAATCAGCACACACTTCCCCTTTCTGAATCCATATATACCCTGGACTCAGTCACACATTGGGCCTCCTGCTTCTGGGACCCCTCTCATAAGAGGGCTTCCCCTCTCATGGTGGCGAGCTTTTCTCTCACTCAATAAACTTCTTCTACACTGCCTTACTTACTCTCGTGTCCACATAACCTCATTCTTCTTTGTCCCAGGACAGGAACCTGGAGCCTGAGGAAAAGCAGCTGGGAAAAGACCTGTAACATTGTAACCCTCCCTCCCACTTGCTGAGCAACAGGGAATAAAAAGCTGCTGGGGTGTCACATGCCCCAGTTCACCAAGCTGCAAATGGAGGAACCAAATGAGCCGTGATAGGCCCTTATTCGCTGCACTGCAGGTGATGGGAACAAACAAGCTGTAACACAAACAAGCTGGAACACGCCCCCTCAATTCCCCCTGCCATCCCATTCGCTGCACTGTGGGTGTTGGGCTCAGGCCTTGGGACTGCCCAAGCAAAAGCAGTAACACACCTTTGGCCTCCATGGTTGCTGCCATCTCTCAGATTTGGGGTTCCACCACTTTTCCCTCATCTACCCACCATTGACCAACATGAAAACCTCCTCCAGCACATCTGGCTCAGCCACGGGCTGAACACAGAGTCCCTGTGGACATGCAGAATCCAGGCCAGTAGCATGAGCTGAGTGCAGCCCAATAGGCCGAGTGGGCAGAGCAAGCCCAGTAGTCAACCCAGAACTGAGCCAAGCCCAGGTAAGGACACGACTGGTCACACAGATTTCCATCTTGCAAAGTGGCACCGAAAGGATCCTGTGTCATTTCTATTTAAATGAACGTTTATTAAATTATTATAGATTTGAAGACCTTTGTTAATTATACAGCATCAATGGATATTCAAAAGGAACTGTTTCTGTTCACAAGCAATTATTAGGGCATATTAGTTACAACATAAATTATAGTAATTTCTGACCAATGTTAGTACTAACTTACAGTACTTTTTAAATATTTCACAGCAAAATTTTAATAACCATAATATTTTATATATTCATGATTAAGTCCACACCTTGCAGTAGATACATATGTATATAATAGTAAACATTGCCCTTCCTCCTAATTAAACAATCTGGGTATATTTGAGGATTAGTTTATGATAACAGTAAACACCAACTCTGAAACCAGATTACAGATTCACACCCTGGATTCACCATTTAATAGTGTTGTTTTGTTTTGTTTTGTTTTGTTTTGTTTTCTTGAGATGGAGTCTTGCTTTGTTACCCAGGCTGGAGTACAGTGGTGTGAGCTCGGCCCACTGCAACCTTTACCTCCCAGGTTCAAGTGATTCTCCTACCTCAGCCTCCTGAGTAGCTGGGATTACAGGCACATGCCACCATGCCCAGCTTATTTTTGTATTTTTAGTAGAGATGGGGTTTCACCATGTTAGCCAGGCTGGTCTTGAACTCCTGACCTCAAGTGATTTGCCCACCTCAGCCTACCAAAGTGCTAGGATTACAGGTGTGAGCCACCAAATCTGGCAAATTTAATAGTTTTACAACTTTTATAGGATTTCAGGTTCTTTGTTGTTTGAGTTGTTTCTATAATTTGTACAATAACAATAATAGTGAGAGGTGAACCCGGCTGGGCTTCTGGGTCGGGTGGGGACTTGGAGAACTTTTCTGTCTAGCTAAGGGATTGTAAATGCACCAATCAGTGCTCTGTGTCTAGCTAAAGGTTTGTAAATGCACCAATCAGCACTCTGTAAAAATGCACCAATCATTGCTCTATGTCTAGCTAAAGGTTTGTAAATGCAAAAATAAGCACTCTGTAAAAACAGACCAATCAGCACTCTGTAAAATAGACCAATCAGCACTCTGTAAAATGGACCAATCAGCAGGATGTGGCTGGGCCAAATAAGGGAATAAAAGCTGGCCAAGCAAGCCAGCAGCAGCAACCCGCTTGGGTCCCTTTCCACGCTGTGGAAGCTTTGTTCTTTCACTCTTCACAGTAAATCTTGCTGCTGCTCACTCTTTGGGTCTGCACTACCTTTATGAGCTGTAACCGTCACCACATGGGTCTATGGCTTCATTCTTGAAGTTAGCGAGACCAAGAATCCACCAGAAGGAACCAATCCCAGACATATTTTGGTGACCCAGATGGGACTATCGACTATCGCCAAGTGGTGAGTGCCATTGGACTCCTTTCGCTTGCTATTCTGTCCTATGTTTCCTTAGAATTTGGGGGCTAAATACCGGGCACATGTTGGCCAGTTAAAAGCGACTAGTGTGGCCGCTGGACTAAAGACACGGGTGTCAGGCTTTCTGGGAAAGGGCTAACAACCCCCAAATCTTTGGAGTTGTGAGCATTGGTTTGCCTGGAACCAGCTTCCACTTTTTCTGTACTTCTAGGCTGAGCCAAGGGCTGACAGAGAGGAAAGCCATTCAGCTCCAGGGTCCTGACAGAAAGTTGGTTGATCCTGTGGCCATGAGCAGAACTATCAAAGTCATGTCGCCCAAGCGAGACTTGCCCATCTATCCTATCTATCCTGACCCTTGGCTCCTGGGTCCTAATGCCTGTCAGACAAACTTCCTCTCACCTCTCTTCTCCAAGACTAGTCCTGCTTCTAAAAACCACTCTCTGGGGCTTTTCTCCTGTAAGAATGATTTCTAGTATAAACTTCAGGACTCTGTTACCTTCTTTAGGCACCCGGGCTCACCAATCAGAAAGACATAATTTTTGCCCAAAGCACAATCATAGGGGGGACTATCTGGAATTTTAGGATCCCTTCTCAGACAAGCAGGGGATATGGGGAGCCTCAGAAATTGTATCCTTCCTATTCATATAAGTAAGGACATAAGGCATCAATCTTCCAACTCTGGAGATCCCTCCCCTCACTCAGGGTTTGGCCCTCCACTTCATTTTTGGGGCATAACATCTTTATAGGACAGGGGTAAGATCCCGATACTAACAGGAGAATGCTTAGGACTCTAACAAGTTCTCGAGAATGTGTCGGTAAGGGCCACTAAATCCGATTTTTCCTGGTCTTCTTTGTGGTCTAAGAGGACAGGGTACAGGTTTTCGAGAATGCGTTGGTAAGGGCCACTAAATCCGACCTTCCTCAGTCCTCTTTGTGTTCTAGGAGGAAAACTAGTGTTTCTGCTGCTGCGTCGGTGAGCACAACTATTCCAATCAGCAGGGTCCAGGGACCATTGCGGGTTCTTGGGCAGCGGGAAACAAACAAACCAAAACCATGGGTGGTTTTGTCTTTCAGATGGGAAACAGGCATCAACAGGTTCACCCTGGAAATGCATCCTAAGTCATTGGGACCAATTTGACCTGCAAACCCTGAAAAAGAGATGGCTCATTTTTTTCTGCACCATGGCCTGGCCCCAATATTCTCTCTCTGATGGGGAAAAAAGGTGACCTGAGGGAAATATAAATTACAAAACTATCCTGCAGCTTGACCTTTTCTGTAAGAGGGAAGGCAAATGGAGTGAGATACCTTATGTCCAAGCTTTCTTTTAATTGAAGGTGAATCCACAACTATGCAAAGCTTGCAATTTACATCTCACAGGAGGACCTTTCAGCTCACCCCCATATCCTAGCCTCCCTATAGCTCCCCCTCCTATTAATGATAAGCCTCCTCTAATCTCCCCAGCCCAGAAGGGAACAAGGAGAGAAATCTCCAAAGGACCACAAAATCCACCCGGCTATCAGTTCCCCCTTCAAGCTGTAGGGGGTGGGGAATTTGGTCCAACCTGGGTACATGTCCCTTCTCCCTCTCTGACTTAAAGCAGATCAAGGCAGACCTGGGGGAAGTTTTCAGATGATCCTGATAGGTACATAGATGTCCTACAGAGTCTAGAGCAAACCTTCGATCTCACTTGGAGAGATGTCATGCTCTTGTGAGATCAAACCCCGGCTTTTAATGAAAAGAATGAGGCTTTGGCTGCAGCCTGAGAGTTTGGAGATACCTGGTATCTTAGTCAAGTAAATGACAGAATGACAGCTGAAGAAAGGGACAAAGTCCCTACTGGTTAGCATACCATCCCCAGTATGGATCCCCACTGGGACCTCAACTCAGATCTTGGGGACTGGAGTTGTAAACTTCTGTTGACCTGTGTTCTAGAAGGACTAAGGAGAATTAGGAAAAAGCCCATGAGTTATTCAATGATGTCCACCATAATTCAGGGAAAGGAAGAAAATCCTTCCACTTTCCTCGACTGGCTATGGGAGGCCTAAGACAATATACTCCCCTATCACCCTAATCACTCGAGGGTCAATTGATTCTAAAAGATAAGTTTATTACTCAATCAGCTGCGGATATCAGCAGAAAGCTCCAAAAGCAAGCCCTGGGCCCTGAACAAAATCTGGAGGCATTATTAAACCTGGCAACCACAGTGTTCTATAATATGGACCAAGAGGAACACACCCAAAAGGAAAAGCGAGATCAGAGAAAGGCTGCAGCCTTTGTCATAGCCTTCAGGCAAACAAACCTTGGTGGTTCAGAGGACAGAAAATGGAGCAGGCCAATCATCTGGTAGGGCTTGTTAGCAGTATTGTTTACAAGGACACTTTAAAAAAGATTGTCCAGTGAGAAACAAGCCACCCCCTCGTCCATGTCCGCTATGCTGAGGCAATCACTGGAAGGTGCACTGCCCCAGAAGACAAAGTTTCTCTGGGTCAGCAGCCCCCAACCAGATGATCCAACAACTGGACTCAGGGTGCCCAGGTCAAGCGCCAGCTCATGTCATCACCCTCACTGAGCCCCGGGTATGTTTAACCATTGAGGGCCAGGAAATTCACTTCCTCCTGGACACTGGTATGGCCTTCTCAGTACTAATCTCCTGTCCTGGACAACTGTCTTCAAGGTCCGTTACCATCCGAGGAATCCTGGGACAGCCTGTAAACAGGTATTTCTCCCACCTCCTCAGTTTTAATTGGGAGACTTTGCTCTTTTCACATGCCTTTCTTGTTATGCCTGAAAGTCCCACACCTTTATTAGGGACAGATATATTAGCCAAAGCTGGAGTTATTATCTACATGAATATGGGGAACAAGTTACCCATTTGTTGTCCCCTACTTGAGGAAGGAGTCAACCCTGAAGTCTGGGCGTTGGAAAGACAATTTGGAAGGGCAAAAAATGCCTGCCCAGTCAAAATCAGGCTAAAAGATCCCACCACTTTTCCTTATCATAGGCAATATCCCTTAAGGCCTGAAGCTTATAAAGGATTACAGGATATTGTTAAACGTTTAAAAGCTCAAGGTTTAGTAAGGAAATGCAACAGTCCCTGCAACACCCCAATTCTAGGAGTACAAAAACTGAATGGTCAGTGGAGACTAGTGCAAGATGTTAGACTCATCAGTGAGGCAGTAATTCCTCTATATCCAGTTATACCCACCCCTATACCCTGCTCTCTCAAATACCAGAGGAAGCAGAATGGTTCACAGTTCTGGACCTCAAGGATGCCTTCTTCTGTATTCGCCTGCACTCTGACTCCCCAGTTTCTCTTTGCCTTTGAGGATCCCACAGACCACACATCCCAACTTACGTGGACCATCTTGCCCCAAGGGTTTAGGGATAGCCCTCATGTTTGGTCAGGCACTGGCCCAAGATCTAGGTCTCTTCTCAAGTCCAGGCACTCTGGTCCTTCAGTATGTGGATGATTTACTTTTGGCTACCAGTTTGGAAGCCTCATGCCAGCAGGCTACTCTAGATCTCTTGAACTTTCTAGCTAATCAAGTGTACAAGGTGTCTAGGTTGAAGGCCCAGCTTTGCCTACAGCAGGTCAAATATCTAGGCCTAATTTTAGCCAGAGGAACCAGGGCCCTCCGTAAGGAATGAATACAGCCTATACTGGCTTATTCTCACCCTAAGACATTAAAACATTTGCAGGGGTTTCTTGGAATCACTGGCTTTTGCTGACTATGGATCCCTGTATACAGCAAGGTAGCCAGGCTCCTGTATACTCTAATCAAGGAGACCCAGAGGGCAAATACTTATCTAGTAGAATGGGAACCAGGGTCAGAAATAGCCTTCAAAATCTTAAAGAAGGCCCTACTATAAGCTCCAGGTTTAAGCCTTCCCACAGGACAAAACTTCTTTTTATACATCAGAGAGAGAGCAGGGATAGCTCTTGGAGTCCTTACTCATACTCGTGGGACAACCCCACAACCAGTGACATACCTAAGTAAGGAAATTGATGTAGTAGCAAAAGGCTGGCCTCACTGTTTGCAGGTAGTTGCGGTGGTGGCCATCTTAGTGTCAGAGGCTACCAAAATAATACAAGGAAAGGATCTCACTGTCTGGACTACTCGTGATGTAAATGGCATACTAGGTGCCAAAGGAAGTTTATGGATATCAGACAACTGCCTACTTAGATACCAGGTGCTATTCCTTGAGGGACCGGTGCTTCAAATACATATGTCAATGGCCCTCAACCCTGCCACTTTTCTCCCAGAGGATGGGGAACCAATTGAGCATGACTGCCAACAAATTATAGTCCAGACTTATGCTGCCCGAGATGATCTCTTGGAAGTCCCCTTAGCTAATCCTGACCTTAACCTATATAACGATGGAAGTTCATTTGTGGAGAATGGGATATGAAGAGCAGGTTATGCCATAGTTAGTGATGTAACCATACTTGAAAGTAAGCCTCTTCCCCAAGGGACCAGCACCCAGTTAGCAGAACTAGTGGCATTTACCCAAGACTTAGAATTGGGAAAGGGGAAAAGAATAAATGTGTATACAGATAGAAAGTATGCTTATCTAATCCTTCATGCCCATGCTGCAATATGGAAAGAAAGGGAGTTCCTAACCTCTGGGGGAACCCCCATTAAATACCACAGGGAAATCATGGAGTTATTGCACTCAGTGCAAAAACCCAAGGAGGTGGCAGTCTTACACTGCCAAAGCCATCAAAAAGGGAAAGGAGAAGGGAGAACAGCAGTACAAGCAGCTGGCAGAGGCAGCAGAAAGGAAAGAGAGAAAGAGACAGGAAGTCAGAGAGAGAGAGGAAGAAACAGAGAAAGATAGGAAGTCAAAGAGAAGGAGACAGAGAGGAAGAGATAGAGAGACAAAGTCAAAGAGAGACAGAGGAAGAGACTGACAGAAAGTCAAAGAAGGAAAGAGAGAAAGAGATAGACAAAGATGAAGTCAAAGAGAAAGAGAGATATAAGCAGTAAAGAAAAAACAGTGTACCCTATTCCTTTAAAAGCCAGGATAAATTTAAAACCTATAATTGATAATTGAAGGTCTTCTCTGTAACCCTATAACACTCCAATACCACCTTGTTGTCAGTGTAAACAAGGCCATAGCCTGAAAACACTGAGGTCACTGACAACCCATAGCTTTCCTATAAATAATCCTTAACCCAGCAGGTTTCCTAACAGGGGATCTAAATCTTAATTAATTACCATACAAAGGTCTGACAAATCTAGGAGGAACTCCCTTCAGGACAGGACTAGATGGTTCCTCTGAGGCGATTAAGGAAAAAAGACGTAATAGGTATTCAGTAAATGATAAGGAAACTCTCCTAAAGCAGAGTTAGGAAAATTGCCTAATAATTGGTCTGCTCAAATGTGTGAGCTGTTTGCACTCAGCCAAACCTTAAAGTACTTACAGAATCAGGAAGGAGCCATCTATACCAATTCTCAGTTAATATGGACTGAATGAGGTCTTATTAATAGCAAAGAATAATTGAAATCCCAAACTTACAAGGTTTTCAACAAAAGTAGAGTTTGCTAAAAGTTAACAGTGTAAACATATATTATCCTAACTTCTAATCTTATGGAAATCAGAACCTACCAGTGCCCCTCAAAGCTCAAGTCCATCAGCGCAGGGCCATACAACTAATACCTCTACTTATAGGGTTAGAAATGGCCACTGCTACAGGAACCAGAATAGCCAGTTTATCTACTTCATTATCCTACTACCACACACTCTCAAAAGATTTCTCAGACTGTTTGCAAGAAATAACAAAATCTATTCAGTAAGGATAGTAACTACAATCCCAAATAGACTCTTTAGCAGCAGTGACTCTCCAAAACCACAGAGGCCTAGACCTCCTCACTGCTGAGAAAGGAGGACTTTGCACCTTCTTAGGGGAAGACTGCTGCTTTTACACTAACCAGTCAGGGATACTAAGAGATGCCACCCGGTGTTTACAGGAAAAGGCTTCTGAAATCAGGCAACACCTTTCAAACTCTTATACCAACCTCTGGAGTTGGGCAACATGGCTTCTCCCCTTTCTAAGTACCGTGGCAGCTATTTTGCTGTTACTCACCTTTGGGCCCTGTATTTTTAAACTGCTTGTCAAATTTGTTTCCTCCAGAATTGAGGGCATCAAGCTACAGGTGGTCTTATAAATGGAACCCCAAATGAGCTCAACTAACAACTACTACCAAGGAACCCTGGACCAATCCTCTGGCCCTTTCCCTGGCCTGAAGAGTTCCCCTCTGGAGGACACTACAACTGCAGGGACCCTTCTTTGCCCCTATCCAGCAGGAAGTAGCTAGAGCAGTCATCAGCCAAATTCCCAACAGCAGTTGGGGTGTCCTGTTTAGAGGGAGGATTGAGAGGTGAAGCCGGCTTGGGCTTCTGGGTCAGGTGGGGACTTGGAGAACTTTTCTGTCTAGCTAAAGTATTGTAAATGCACCAATCAGCACTCTGTGTCTAGCTAAAGGTTTGTAAACACACCGATCAGCACTCTGTAAAAATGCACCAATCAGCACTTTGTGTCTAGCTAAAGGTTTGTAACCGCACCAATCAGCACTCAGTACAAACGGACCAATCAGCACTCTGTAAAATGGATCAATCAGTGCTCTGTAAAATGGACCAATCAGCAGGATATGGGCGGGGCCAAATAAGGGAATAAAAGCTGGCCACTAGAGCCAGCAGCAACAACCCACTCTGGTCCCCTTCCACACTGTGGAAGCTTTGTTTTTTCACTCTTCACAATAAATCTTGCTGCTGCTCACTCTTTGGGTCCACACTAAATTTATGAGCTGTAATACTCAACACGAGGGTCTGCAGCTTCATTCTTGAAGTCAGTGAGACCAACAACCCACCAGAAGGAACCAATTCCGGACACAATAAGACTTAATTAACAAGGTTGTGAGTTTAAAACAATTTATTTGTGAGAAGTGCTTAGAAATATATATAACATTGCATGTGTCACTTAAAATGTAGCCACTATTTTGGGCAGAGAGGCTCACACCTGTAATCTCAGCACTTTGGAGGCCGAGGTGGGCAGATCACGAGGTCAAGGGATTAAGACCATCCTGGTCAACATGGTAAAACTCTACTAAAAGGAGTGTTACCACTCCTTCTCATCTTCTCTTCCTCCTCCTCTTCTTCTCCTTCTCTTTCTCTCTTCTTCTTCTTTTTCTCCTTTTCCTTCTCTTCTTTCTCCTTCTCCTCCTTCTTCCTCCTCCTCCTCCTTCTTCTTCTCCTTCCTCCTCCTCCCCATCTTCCTGCTCCTCCTCCTTCCTCCTCTTCCTCCTCCTTCTTCTTTTTCCTCTTCTTCTTCCCCTTCTTCTTCCCTTCTCTCATTGCAATATCTGTATCTCCCCATGGTTTACTATACCTCTGGAAATTATCATTTCTGCTGGTTTTTAGAAGTATAATTGAAGGTCAATAAAGAACTAAATGTAATTAGTCATAATTAGAGTTGGAGGCTATAGAAAGTGAAAATTCTTAGGCATGAGACATTCAAATTTTGAACATCATTAAATGAAATGTAACATTGAAATTTTGAACATCATTAAATGAAATGTGATAAGGGCTCAATGACCATGTGTTGCATTAGATCATTATATATGATGAGGCAGTTAAGAGATTAAAGACATTTGTTGAACTAGGAATAACCTGAAGGAAAATGGTGGTGATGACTTCTAACAGACAGCAAATTTCACACAAAAACAGTTTTAAAATTTTAAACTATTTTAAAATAGTTTTAAAATTTATGAAGTAACTGTTTTTAGTTATCGACTGCATGCATGACAGTATTGTGATCCCTGAGAGAAAGAAACCAAAAACAAAAAAAAATGAAAGGTGAGTCTTTTATCATCAAGATTTTATGCCTGGAAGCAATTCTTTGGCTGAAAGTCCAGGTTTGAATACCTGAAAGAGAGCCCAGAAATCCTATTAAGTTGGGTATAGGTAGACAGGATTTCAAAAAAGCTGAACTACTAACTCTTGTGAAATATTTCTGGAAAGTAGAGGATTAAGCAGAAAGATTTCTAAAAATCTGATTTTTATTTCATTAAGTTTTTCCTGAATATCATGTTCTGTAGAAATACGTGGAACTCCACAAGACGAGAAAAACCCCATTGTCTCACCCAAAATCTCCTTAAGCTGATAAGCAACTTCAGCAAAGTCTCAGGATACAAAATCAATGTACAAAAATCACAAGCATTCTTATACACCAATAACAGACAAACAGAGAGCCAAATCATGAGTGAACTCCCATTCACAATTGCTTCAAAGAGAATAAAATACCTAAGAATCCAACTTACAAGGGACGTGAAGGACCTCTTCAAGGAGAACTACAAACCACTGCTCAATGAAATAAAAGAGGATACAAACAAATGGAAGAACATTCCATGCTCATGGGTAGGAAGAATCGATATCGTGAAAATGGCCATACTGCCCAAGGTAATTTACAGATTCAATGCCATCCCCATCAAGTTACCAATGACTTTCTTCACAGAATTGGAAAAAACTACCTTAAAGTTCATATGGAACCGAAACAGAGCCCGCATCGCCAAGTCAATCCTAAGCAAAAAGAACAAAGCTGGAGGCATCACGCTACCTGACTTCAAACTATATTACAAGGCTACAGTAACCCAAACAGGATGGTACTGGTACCAAAACAGAGATACAGATCAATGGAACAGAACAGAGCCCTCAGAAATAACGCTGCATATCTACAACTGTCCGATCTTTGACAAATCTGAGAAAAACAAGCAATGGGGAAAGGATTCCCTATTTAATAAGTGGTGCTGGGAAAACTGGCTAGCCATATGTAGAAAGCTAAAACTGGATCCCTTCCTTACACCTTATACAAAAATTAATTCAAGATGGATTAAAGACTTAAATGTCAGACCTAAAACCATAAAAACCCTAGAAGAAAACCTAGGCATTACCATTCAGGACATAGGCATGGGCAAGGACTTCATGTCTAAAACACCAAAAGCAATGGCAACAAAAGCCAAAATTGACAAATGGGATCTAATTAAACTAAAGAGCTTCTGCACAGCAAAAGAAACTACCATCAGAGTGAACAGGCAACCTACAAAATGGGAGAACATTTTCGCAACCTACTCATCTGACAAAGGGCTAATATCTAGAACCTACAATGAACTCAAACAAATTTACAAGAAAAAGACAAACAACCCCATCAAAAAGTGGGCGAAGGACATGAACAGACACTTCTCAAAAGAAGACATTTATGCAGCCAAAAAACACAGGAAAAAATGCTCACCATCACTGGCCATCAGAGAAATGCAAATCAAAACCGCAATGGGATACCATCTCACACCAGTTAGAATGGCGATCATTAAAAAGTCAGGAAACAACAAGTGCTGGAGAGGATGTGGAGAAATAGGAACACTTTTACACTGTTGGTGGAACTGTCAACTAGTTCAACCATTGTGGAAGTCAGTGTGGCGATTCCTCAGGGATCTAGAACTAGAAATACCATTTGACCCAGCCATCCCATTACTGGGTATATACCCAAAGGACTATAAATCATGCTGCTATAAAGACACATGCACACGTATGTTTATTGTGGCACTATTCACAATAGCAAAGACTTGGAACCAACCCAAATGTCCAACAATGATAGACTGGATTAAGAAAATGTGGCACATATACACCATGGAATACTATGCAGCCATAAAAAATGATGAGTTCATGTCCTTTGTAGGGACATGGATGAAATTGGAAATCATCATTCTCAGTAAACTATCGCAAGAACAAAAAACCAAACACCGCATATTCTTACTGATAGATGGGAATTAAACAATGAGAACACATGGACACAGGAAGGGGAACATCACACTCTGGAGACTGTTGTGGGGTGGGGAGAGGGGGAGGGATAGCTTTAGGAGATATACCTAATGCTAAATGACGAGTTAATGGGTGCAGCACACCAGCATGGCACATGTATACATATGTAACTAACCTTCACATTGTGCACATGCACCCTAAAACTTAAAGTATAATAAAATAAAATAAAATAAAATAAAATAAAATAAAATAAAATAAAATAAAATAAAATAAAAAAAGAAAAAAGAAAAATAATATCTGAATAATTGTAACGTGAGAATTCTTAGAAGTTGCACAGGGTGGGAAGACAATTACAATGGAAAATCCTAGTTCTAATCTGTGGCATTTTGTGGAAACCCCAGAAGTTTCATAATTTAATAGAATGTAAGAATTATTCATGAAGTGAAGGCTACATTAGATCCATTCTAGAAAATTTAAAAACATGCCTTGAGAGTTGAATCTGTTTTACAAGTAGTTAATTGGAGAGAGAGAGAGAGAAAGATAGAGGAAATATGAACAGGGAGAGAGAGAGAAACGTATTATTTATTTAATAGAAAACAATGAAATCCAAGTTTAAATAAAATAATGACCAGTCAAAAAACATGAAACATGTCAAGAAGAAGAAAAATATGATTGATAATCAGGAGAAAATTCACTCAATAAAAAATGACCGAAAAAAACTCAGATACACAATTTGTTGTTAAATATATTATAATAGATAATATTTTTATAATCAATATGCAGAGGAAACCAATAACAAAGAGAAAATAAAATATATAAAAATAATTAGAACCTATAGATAGAAGAATATAACATTAACAATAAAAATGAATTATACAAAAAATTTTACTGGATTTTTAAATAATAAGTAATGTAGAAAAAAAAGATTGGGTCATGTAGCACTAACACTGAATTTAGAATGACTTTTTTCTCCCTTATCAGAGTTGGAATTGACTTTCTAGAAAATTCTGGAAACAAGTAAACAGCAAGTGAAAACCAAACCATTGACCTTTCAATTGTGAATTGAATTTAGAGCATGCTGATAACCATTGAAAAAAGAAAACAAAATTTAAAGCATTCAGAGATAAAATACATATTAAATACAAGGCAAAAAGGAAAAGATAATCACATAATTTATTATCTGAGCTATGCCAGCTAGAAGGCAATGGGGTGACATTTTTAATCTACTAAATTTAAAAATCTGTCAACCTAGCTTACTAAATTCAGAAAAAAAAAACTTTAAAAAGCAAAATGAAATAATTTCAAGTAGAAAAAAATGAGGTAACATGAAAAGTTAAATTTATACTGATGAAAGATGAGTCCAGAAATGATAAATATGAGTCCCCTTAAAAGAGCATTTTTTCTCAATTTCATATGCATAAATATATGTTATTAGCTTTTTATTTTTATTTTCTGAGGACAAGGCCTTGCTCTGTCACCCAGTCTGGAGTGTAGTGGTGCAATCTGTGCTCACTGCAATCTCTGCCCCCCTTGCTGAAGCCATCCTTCTCCCTCAGCCTCCCAAGTAGCTGGGACTACAGGCGTGTACCACCACGCCCAGCTAATTTCTGTATTTTCTGTAGAGATGGGATTGAGCCGTGTTGCCCAGGCTGGTCTCATACTCTTGAGCTCAAGGACAAGGCTCACCTGCCTCGGCCTCCAAAAGTGTTGGGATTACAGGTGTGAGCCATCACATCCAGCCTGTAATTCATTTTTAAAAGCAAAACCTATATCAATTTATTTTGTGGTTATAACAGTTATACAATTGAAATGTATGACAATGAAAAATGAAAATAAAACGTTTTATGGTATTCTTATTTGTGTAATGTATAACAGTATAATATAATTTCAAAGTAGATTGTGCTAAGTCAAAGGTGCTTATTGGGAAATCCTAGAATGACACCTAGAATATAGAATATTACATACAGGACTGACAATGGCAGTGTAGATGAAATGAAAAGCAATATATTCAATTTATTAAAAATGTGGTAAGAATTGTATTTTATACACTAGCAAGGACATTTTAAAGATTAAATTACCACCCTGAAAAAATAGAATATTCGAAGATTTAATATTGTTAAGACGATAATAGTCCCTAAGTTATCTAAAGACTCAATGTCATCCCTTTAAAATCTGAGCTTTATTTGTTTTTCTAGAAATTGAGCAGGTAATTCTCAAACTTATTTGAAAAATGCAATGACCAAGAATAGCCAAAGCAAACTTTAAATACAAAGAACTAAGCTGGAGGAATCCACTTCCTCATTTTAAAATACACTACAAATCTACCATAGTCACTGCAAACACTGTCAGATAGATAGGCATATAGATTAATGGAACTGAATTGAGAGTCCAGTCCCTTGCATCATGATCAACTGTATTTAGACAGGCCATTATGCCAATTCAGTGAAATAAAACAAGTCTTTTCAACAAATGGTGTTTAAACAACAAGATGCCACATGCAGACAAATGAAGTTTGATCACTACCAAATACAACATATAGAAGTAAACTCAAATTAAATCATATGCCTAGATGTAAGAGTTAAAATTAAGTCTCTGAATAGAAAAATAGGAGATAATCTATGACCTCACACTAGGCAAAGTCTTATTAAACATAGCAATATCACAAGTGCCAAAAAAAAAAAAAAAAAAGGGCCAGGTGCAGTGGCTCAAGCCTGTAATCCCAGCACTTTGGGAGGCTGAGGCAGGCAGATTATGACGTCAGCAGTTCGAGACCAGACTGATTAACATGGTGAAACCCCATCTTTACTAAAAATACAAAAATTAGTCGGGCGTGTTGGCACGTGCCTGTAATCCCAGCTACTCAGGAGGCTGAGGCAGGAGAATCACTTGAACCCCGGAGGCGGAGGCTGCAGTGAGCCAAGTTTGCACCACTGCACTCCAGCCTGGGCAACAGAGCGAGACTCTATTCCCCCACACCCCCCCCAAAAAAAAGAAATGGAAAAATATATTGGACTTCATCAAATTTAAAAACTTGTGTCTTCTGTGCTGCAAATGAAATCTTCAATAAAGTGAAAATACAACCCCCAGAATGGAAGAAAATATTTGCACAAAGACACAGCTTAAAAATAAAATATAATAATTTGAAAAGGATGTAGTATTATTGATGTAAAAACTGGTGTGGCTATCATAAAATTAGGCAAAATAGATATCAGGACAATAAACATTAAAAGGCACAAAAAAGGCATCGCATAATGGTAAAGGGTGAATTCATTAAGAATATATAATATTTCTAACTGTGTATATGATTAATCATACAGTTTTATCTACCCAGTAATAACTGGGAGATACAGAAGCAAATGAGAGCATGTTTTACTAAAAGATAAAACAAGACTGGCAATAACTATGATTTCCTTAATATATTTCCCAAGAGGCAGAATACCTAGAGGAAAGATGTAAATAACCCAAATAATGACATTGATAGAGTTTTGGTATTGACTGCTTTTACATTATGACATTTTAACCTTCTCTTTTTTAATGTAATAGTTGTTAATTTCCTTATAATTGAAAACAAAGTAAAACAGATTTACTGGGATTGATTTTCTCCCATTATATATCACCTAAGTTTTCAGGCCAGATCAGTCAATGTAGTGGGGCATAGAGACAAGAACTGTAGTTTTCCAGACAGATAATGGTAATACCAAATTCTAACTTTACAATTTACCATGTTTCTAATTTTTAGCAAGAGTCTAATTTCCCTGAAAATTCAGATAATTTATATATCAATAGAATATTGAATTCAATTTGTTGTAAACATAAATAAAATATTGTTGTGAAGCAGAGAATTTTCTTTGAAACTTAAAAAGTAATTGTATATTTTGAATCTTTTCACTTCAGGTAATTTTCAAATTCAAATAATGAAAAGATTTCTGGATAAAGGAACAAGAAGCTCCAGAATTGTGAACTGGCATTATGTATACTTAAATTAAATATGCTTAAATTTGTGCTTTACTTCACATAAAATGTAATAACACAGATATACAATAAATTCAATAGGGAAGTCATCAAATAGATAGTACAACTTGTATGTCACAATGTCTTGGAAGCAGTATTATACATCAAAATGAATTATAAATGCAGATGTCAGGGAAAATAAATAAATATTTGTATTTCAGTCAGAAAATTTTTAGGTATTGGGAGCAATGCTTCCTGGAAGTAACTCTGACATGTCCTTTTAAATAATTCATTTATTCATTCAACAAATATTAATTGAATAGTTTCTGTATATCACATTGTTTTGAAAGTTTGGTATATGTTAGTGAGCAAAAGAAACTTAGTTGCCTATTTTCATGGAGCTTATGCTTCAGGTAATTCAATTAATCTAATTCCATTAAAACAGCCAGCAGCCAATACCACCTTATTGTATTTTATCATATTTATAGTCCTAAGAAAATCATGGTAAAATGGTTCACCCATCCCCCATCACACATAGACACAGACACATACACACACAATTATCTTTTCCAAAATAGAGTACAATAAATGTTTGCCTACTGTTTACTGGACTAGTTCACCAATTCTAGTAGTTCAATTTAAGTATTCAATCCCACTAAGTGTGATTTTCTTACAGCCTGTTTTT
The DNA here is from genome assembly GCF_000001405.40 of Homo sapiens. NCBI lineage: Eukaryota > Metazoa > Chordata > Mammalia > Primates > Hominidae > Homo > Homo sapiens. Next base: position 24,992,211 of record NC_000011.10, on the reverse strand, counting down.
GGAGTATTGGTGATGCAATGGAAACTTGCCAATGTATGTATTTATGAGGAGCTCACAGGCTAGCCAGGGAATTTAGGGCAGAGTCTCAAGGTTAAATTTTTCACAAATGCCATATAAATACAATAAAAATGCTGAACCACAATAGATAAGAGCTTTTGCACCACAAAAGGAACAGTCAGCAGAGTATACAGACAACTCACAAAGTGGGAGATAATCTTCACAATCTATAAATCTGACAAAGGACTAATATCCAGAATCTACAATGAACTCAAACAAATTAGGAAGGAAAAAACAAAGAATCCCATCAAAAAGTGGGCTAAGAACATAAATAGGCAATTCCCAAAAGAAAACATACAAATGGCCAACAAATATGAAAAAATGCTCAACATCACTAATGATCAGGGAAATGCGATTCAAAACCACAATGCAATACCTCCTTACTTCTGCAAGAATGGCCATAATCATAAAATCAAAAAATAATAGATGTTTGTGTGGTTGCAGTGAACAGGGAACACTACTACACTGCTGGCGGGAATGTAAACTAGTACAACCACTATGGAAAACAGTGTGGAAATTCCTTAAACAACTAAAAGTATAACTATCACTTGATCCAGCAATTCCATTACTGGCTACCTATACAGAGGAAAAAAGTCATTAAATGAAAAAGATAGTTACACACGCATATTTATAGAAGAACAATTTGCAATTGCAAACTGTGGAACTAACCCAAATTCTCATCAATCAACAAGTGGATAAAGAAACTGTGAGAGATATATGTATATATATGATGGAATATATATATATATATATATATACACACACACACACACACACATATATATACACACACATATATATATACACACACACACATATATATGATGGAATACTACTCAGCCATAACAAGGAATAAATTAATGGCATTCGCAGCAACCTGGATGAGAACTGAGACTATTATTCTAAGTGAAGTAACTCAGGAATGGAAAACCAAACATCGTACGTTCTCACTCATAAGTGGGAGTTAAATTATGAGGATGCAAAGGCATATGAATGATACAAAGGACTTTGGGGACTCAGGTGGAAAGGTAGGAAGCAGGTAAAGGATAAAAGACTACAAATAGGGTGCAGTGTATACTGCTCTGTTGATGGGTGCACCAAAATCTCACAAATCACTGCTAAAGAACTTACTCATGTAACCAAACACCACCTGTTCTCCAATAACCTATGGAAATAAAAAATTTAAAAAGGAAAAATAAATAAAAATAAATGCTTAAACACAATAGAAACTCAAGGAAGTAGTCAAAAAGAGTTGACATTTGAGATGAACCCATGAAAGGGGGGTAGAAGTTCACCAGCATTATGAGTGATGGTTGTTGGGTGGGGGTTAAAAATATATATAGAATAAAAAGGCTAGAATTATGTAAGGATTTGAAAAATATATATTCTTGACTTTTATTTAGATTCTTTATATTTCTAACTCGAATGAGTCTTTTAAAATCTTGAACTCTCAGGTTGTCTAATAAGATCACCAAATATGTGCCAACTCTATTTACTGTCTTTCAGCTTCTATGTTCTCACCAGTTGCTGTTTTAATGGAAGTTTTGTAATTTTTCCTTAGGATTAACCAAGGAATCCCATATAAATGGTTTTCCAGTCTTCATCTCTGCATTTACCTTTCAATTCATCATTTTGCAGTATATACAAATAGTAAATATTTGAACCATATATTACCAATGGTTAGTCATATATTTTCCCCATCAGTGAGACAAGATTATGTTCAAAATCTAAAGATTTGTCCTTGACTCAAATTAACCTTTGCTGAAAAACAAAATGGAGCAGTTAAATTTAAATTTTACATATAAAATTCATAAAACATATACAAAAATTATAAAGGTATATGTATATATAAATTGTAAAATACATGTTTGTATGTGTGTGTGCATGTTTAAACAGTTGGAAAACTTCAGGATAACCCATTCAATAGTCTTTTGAGTCATGCTAGATATAAGCAACCTGAACTACCTCGAAAAAGGTAGTAAAATTTGAGTGCATTCATTTAGGTTTAGGGGAGATGAACAATCTGTAATTTTGCTAGCATTGTCAGATAATTACAAACTTGCCCAGATTGTAAGAAAGGGGGCATAGACCCCATATATTGATGGACGAATATCAGAGAATATGTGGCAATATTTTAAATGATCCCACCTAAAAGTAGGATTAAATGGAGACAGATGACAATTGCAATTTAGGTGCCCAGTGATTAGGAACTGATGGAAAAATAATGAATCAATTTAGTTTGTATATTTATAATAATTAGCAATACTAGTATAGAAAAAAAACAACCTGATTTTAGAACTACCAGACCTTAGTTTAAATCTTGTTTTCTATTAGTTGGATGACGTAGGTCAAATATCTTAACCTTACATTGTTTAGCTTAGTGACTTGAACAAATGGGCCAGCATATTCTCTTTGAATATAACCCAAATGCTGGACATCTAGAAATTTGGCAAGCTCAGTTTCACCGTATCCCAGTTGTTCATATAATTCATTTTGCTTTGTTCCTGACTGAAAGATATAGGAAAGAAATGTCAGCATCAGGATGGCTTTCACAGAGTCCATATTTGTCTGTTCTATCTCCACATAGGAAGCAAGCTATACTGTCTGCAGTTAATGCTACACCTTTGAATTGATATCATGAGTGTCAGAGTTTTGCTATTCTGTGAGTCTCCCATAACATTAGCTTCTTTAGCTATTAAACAAAATAAATAATGAAGATATCCTAAATTTTAAAGACATTATATTTCCCTGAGATGTAGAAGCCATAGTTTAGCAAGAAACTGACAGTCTTTAGGAATGTGAGATTTGTTCCACCATAATGAGCAAAATACAGTCCACCAACATGGAACCTCTCAGATTTCCCACTGCGGGGAGCATAATTGACTGAAAGCCCCATTTGCTAAACTGTGACTTCCCCCGCATGTGATGCAACAGGGCTAGTAAGGTAGCCCATTCCCATAAAATATGGGGACTCATCTGATGGATGACTTTTATACGATGGCTTCCCATTGACATTTGCCAAAGTTGTTTTTCTTTTCTTTTTTTTTTTTTTTAACTGCACAGGAATCTAAGCCTTTTTATATCTAGATCCTCTTTCTTCCCTCACTGCTCCAGAATGATCAGATCTGCACTGGGGCCTGATGGCTCTTCCGGCCTCCTATGGCTGCCTCCCTATTTTCTCTCACAGGCATTTTTCCAAATAAACCTCTTGCAAATATAATTCTGTGTTGTGTCTTCTTGGAGGACACAACACAATACAAAAATCCTAGAAGATAACCTTCTAAAACTCCGATATCCAGCTTCTTGAATGTAAAAAAGATATTGTCCTTATGGATAGTCACAGTAACTAAAAGAAATATAGCACGTATATCCCTAAGCATTGCTTTGTATACTCAAATTACTTAATACATAGTTATTAAATGTATGATTCAGGAAAAACATATTCAAGTTTAAGGTCATACTGATGCTTATCAGGGCTGTTAAAAGAATCTTATAATAAAATGCATAATCATGTCTTCTTTAACACTATTTCATAAAGGACCACATTACATAGTCATATTTTATATAGTTAATTAAATTACTCTTTGCATATAGTCACGGTATTTTACATCCATAGATTCTTCTAACATTCAGTAACATGTCTCATAATAAAGTAACAAGAACATTGGCTGTGATGCCTTTAGAAAGTTGTGAGGAAACATTATTTTATCTCTGAACTACAACTTCCTTTGCAGAAACCTAGGGAATAGAGTTTGATTAGGGATATCTAGACATAGACTCTCTTGTTTCCCACTGAAAAAAAATTTTACCTTCTAATGCTATTCATGTTCTTTCTTCCAGAATGGTATTATAAGCTTTGAATATTAAAAGGAGGTTGAAAAGGAAATATTGGCTTTAACACATACTGTGAGATCTCACCTCCCTCATGCATCCTTTCACATGGAGGATAGTTCATGGGATGTTGGAGATAACTAAATGGTTAGTGATTGATGGACAGCAGGTGGAAAAACAGAACTGTTTAAAATTGATCACCTCTGTATTATTTGAGAAATCTCTTCTAGAAGCAGAGAAGTAGAGAGATAGGGCAAGCTTACTTCTTAGAGTCCTTTCTCATTTCTAAAATAAGGATCTTACTCATGTTCAACCTTGGCTCTAAATTAGAATCATCTGTGATTTTTGAATAACCTCCAAAACTAGCCTAAACTCCTGCTAAATTGTATCAGAATCAGGAGTATTGACACCCAGGTGTGAGCATTTTTGAAGCCCATAATAATTTGAAGATGCCGCCTAGGCTCAGAACCTTGGCTTATGATGATTCCAGGTGCACTGTTTTGAGGTTTCTTAAAAAACTACTTTGTAACAGATTTTTGGCAGAAAAGAGGAAAAGAAAAATGTACCTTGATCTATCTAAACTTCCAGGCACCAAGAAAAATGCAGTTTTCACTTGCATGTCTTTAAGCTCCTAAAGAGAGCCCCATTCGTTCCAGGGCCTCCTGCCCTGGAAAGACTTTGGCATTTACAACACATTTAAACAAAAATTAACAAATCATCCTTTTCCAATTAAGTAGATACCACAGTTGTGACCTTCAACAATATAAACTGCAACTAAGGCAGTGAGTTGAAAAGAAAAAGAAAAGAAACAGTAATAGCCTGGGATGGCGTGACATATGGGTTTTCATAGCACAGTTTCATTGCTGTTTATCTGCATTGCTTATCTGAATTGCTTTTCATTTCTGGTGTCTTTAAACATTCTCCTTTCTTTATGACATGTACTATTATGATCCCTGACACTAAATGGATTGTAAGGATTCTGCTATACTTTTATGATAAAAAACTGAAGTTACACTTATTTGAATTAATGTATTCTAACACTTGAAAAATAATACAATGTAAATAGTGTAGCTTTATTCAAAGTTAAAGTAACATCCCACTAAAAATTTTCTTCAGGTGTTTTCATGTTATCCTGGCTTTAAGAGATCCTAATACTTGTTTCACGTATTTATTGACTGCTTTATGTGTGTCAGGCACCACAACATATGCTAATGTTTTATGTGAATTTTTGTATTTGATCTCCTCAACAACTTTCTAAGGTTGGTGCTGTAATTATCTCCGTTTAATAGACACGAAAGATGAGTCTTAGAAAAGTTAAGTAATTTGATCAAGGTATTAAAATTAAAAAATAGCAGAAAAGAGATTTTTACTTAGTCTGACTAATGAATCCTACCTCTTAAACGTTCTATTATGCAAATATAAACACCAAACATATTACTGTGTATTAATTCATATCTTTTAAACTAAAAGTGGTAGGATTCTTGGTGATATGTTTTCTGTTCTTCCTTTTATATTTATTTTTTCCAAATTCTATAAAGCATATATTTTATAAAAAATGAATATAATTAAATATTGCAATAGATATACAAAGTGAGTTTTTTCAGAATGCTATTAATTACACAAGCCTTTTTGTTTATTAATTTGCCTTTTCTGAGCACTACTGTGCATCTAGCTCTACCACATAGCAGTAGAAAAAATGTTAGTCACTTTTTTTGTATATTATCTATAATGCCAAGTAATCCTATCTTAAATGTTACACACACACACACACACACACACACACACAGAGGCATGCTATTCACTAGCTCTGTGGGTTAGGAGGACCCTGATTTATAGTGTTAGTCAATTTCTACAGTATAAATGTTACCAATTTCAATCTGATAACATGATGTCATTGAACACAAATTGCAAAGAGATATACAGTAGTATACTATTATATAGTATTTCCACTATACAGATTCAAAATATACAATATCCTGAACAGCACAGATTATGGCACTATATAGTAGCTTTGGTATTTACCACATTGCCATTGGTAGAATTTATTTAATTGTAAGTATATATAATATAATATTTAATAATGCCTGTATTTAACAGTTGAATAGTACAAATTCTGTAAATTTAACAGTCAACTTTTGCAAGCATGTATAAGCCAGCTCCAACAGACCACTGGAGTATTTATCATTCTGAATAAACACAGTGACATGCATGCTCTATTTTTTGCAATAGCAAAATAGACATAGAAAAGTCATGGCTCTCAGCTTAAATATACATTAGAGAGTATCTCAGCAAAATAATGGGAATAAATGCACTTTTGTCATAAACATTCCCTCTGTTAGCTTACACACAAAACCATACTCATGTTACTTCTCATGTCTAGTGACTTTGCAGACCTCATCTCTTTTCACTCCATACTGTCTCTTCAGGTAATTTTATTTATTTCCAATATTTAACCCTATTCATTGTGATGATATCTAATCTAATATCCTTATTCAGATGTCTTCCCTCAGTTCCAGATTTAAATACATAATCATCTACTGGATACGGGCACTTGGTTTTATGACAGAAACCCAAAACATAGCAGGTTAGAAACAAACCAGTTTGGCTTCCCTTTTAAAACCTCCTCTTGCCCTTTACATCATAGTGAATGAATGCAAGGACTTTTATTCTTGATTTCCTGCCTTCATGCTTCCCATTTAGTCACTAGGTCATGACAATTATTATGACTCAATAACATTTCGAATACTATTTTCAGTGTTGGTGACATAAAGTAGGTCACCATCCTCTCCTACATAGGTCAGAAGATTGTCACATGGTTTATTTGTTTCTACTTTAGTTTGGGAGTTGGGGTCGTTTTACGCAAAATGCAGATCAGATCCCCTGGTTTCTACCTTGACTTTTTATATATTCGAAAGAATATTATTTTCTACATAACAAATATATAATATCATAACAAAGACATAAAAGATACGTCATCTCCTGTGTGTTTGTATCCAGGTATCTAGAAAACAAACAAGGAAACAAACAGAAGATGACCTGATCTACTACTAAGAACAAATCCGGCAGTTTTCTTGTTGTCTCTTGCAGAAAATTAGGCTGCAATCTCCAAAAGTTGAGGGCTGTGTCACTTGAAATTTGCTGTCTTAGTTACTAGCAGAGTACTGGTACATAGAAGAAAAACAATGTAGTTGAATACAAAACACTAAACAAACAATAATGTATAATTTTCTAAATTCCAAATAAGTAAAATTTATAAGAATTTATACGAAAATTTATAAGAAGAAGAAGGGTATACCACAAGTATTTCAAATGAATTTTCTAGAAACATCATTCTGGACACTAAATAACATTAAACAGATCAATGAGCTAAGCACAGACATCTCTCTGAAGAAGGAAGACATAGGCAGAGGTAACATTCAAGGGATGACCAAGGGCCAAGAGTAGTAAACACTCAGCTGTCAAAGCAAGCACTGAGGAAAGAAAAAATAATTCTAACTGGGAGGGTAAGAAATAATTCACTCAGAGAGAAACCTGCATCTCGATTTTATAAAGGGTAATGATGAAAGGGTATCTGAGGGACTTCGTTGAAGACTCTCAGCAGAAACTTAAGCTATAGTTCTAACAGTGAATGTAACAGGTATGCACCATAATAAAAACAATAAATTTAAATGGTGGGGGTACTGATATATTAATTATTTTTAACCTTTTTCTAGTAAACCCTTGCAATTTTGTACTCCTCCCTTCGTGAACTTGTGGCTTTTAAAATTCACAATTATATATATATATATATATATATATAAAATATGTAATTTACATATAAAAACACAGACAATAATATAATATAGTTGAATACATTGTTTTGAATAATTTTTAAAAGAGAAACATTAATATTACATAAGGATCTCATACAGACTAAATCTTTGTAGTTCATAAGTTGACTAGTTACACATAAAAACAGTATATCAGAAGATTTACTTCATTCTATTATTTATGACTCTCCATCCTGAAAATAGCATTTCCCTAATCTACCCACTTTAATTCAAAAATAGGAAATCTCAGAAGTAAGCAGTAAGAAAGCCAGATGTAACACATCATTAGGTATTTGCATTAGTGGTTCTTAAGTTTTTCTGCACTCAACCCTTGAGATTTGCATTTAGAAGTCAGGCTGGTATCCATAGCACTCATTTTAATAACAAGTGATGCTCAGACAAGTGATCAGAGAACTAGATCTTTCCAACATACTGCCCAAAACAAAACTCCCTCCCCCAAAGATTATTTCTGGCTCTCAGGATTTATTTCAATGTATGTAGGGCCTACAAATTGAAGTTTTTGAAGATTGAAACAAAAGCACCATTAAATGTTCTTTGTTTTGTCTAAAGTAGGTTGGTGGAGGGAATTTGGAGGAAGATTTGCTCAAATGAGTTGTCCTTAAACTTGAACGCACCTTAAAATCCCCTGGGACTTTGAAAAATTACTGATAACTGGAGTCTAACTCAAAAAAAAAAAATCTAATTTAATAGGTCTGGGAAAAAAAACCCCAGGAGTAAGGCTTTTTTTTAATGTAAATACACCTAAACACACTTTTAAAAATATTTACACTAAGATTCTAATGTGCAGCCAGTGTTGAGAGTTGTGGACTTAAGAAAAAAAAAATGATTTACCTTTCTGAAGATACTTGTGCCCCAGAAGAAAATATTCCCCATATCAAACCTGTGATGTTTATTTCAATGTAATACAAGATATTCTCTTTTAACTTATTCCAACATTATTAGTTTTTGTTTTGTGTTAAACAATTAGATGATTCTGCCTAAGAATCAGCTAGGCTCTCTATGAAAGAAAAGCTCCCTTCCAACATTCTTCTAGTGACTATGGAGATTTTACAAGCTGGGTTACTACCTTCCATTTTCCTCCTAATCTTTCAATGGATTTGTTATCATACTTGAATCCACTCTGGTGATTATATATACTGGGCTTTAAAGACAACACATTACTTGCTGTTACTTTACAAAGCGCAAATAAAAGGTAGGTACCTTGCTTTTGGCCGCTGCATCTGGAAGCTTAGAGGCAATATTCCTGGGTGGGAGTAACATCCGAGTTGGATTTGATGTGATTAAACTCAAAGGGGGAGGAGGCTGATCACGGAAAACAGATGTCAAGCAGAGCTGCACAGTCTCTTTCATTGCTTTCATCTGTGACTCCTACAAAAAAAGAGGCATTAACATATTTACATTTAGCTATGCTCATCAATTATCTGCTTGCATTCTCCCTTTCCTCTTAGCCTATACTCCCCACAAAAATACATATCACTTTTCAAATGTAATTGCCTAATTTATAAATTTCATTATGACATACTTTTATATCCACACTCAGTCTGTTTCTAGGAGCTAATGCATTTCATGATATATTTTGAACACTGAAATACAAAGATATGTCTTATTACTTTCTCTTGAACTGACATGATTTCCACCATGATAGTTTGCAGGAAAGGAAATATACTCTAGGTTACTCTGATGTAGAAAATATCCTTTTTTGAAAGTTACCATCTTTATTTAACTTTTATTTTAGGTTTGGGGACATGTATGAAGGTTTGTTAAATAGGTAAATTTGTGTCATGAGGGTTTGTTGTACAGATTATTTCATCTCCCAGGTCCTCAGCCCAGTACCCAGCAGTTGTCCTTTCTACTCCACTCTACTCTTCTCCCTTCTCTCATCCTCCACCCTCAAGTAGACCCCAGCATCCGTTGTTTCCTTCTTTGTCTTCCTAAGTTCTCATCATTTAGCTCCCTTGTGGGAGTGGTGGGTATTTAGTTTTCTGTACCTGCATTAGTTTTCTAAGGATAATAGACTCCAGCTCCATCCAAGTTCCTGCAAAAGACATGATCTCATTCTTTTTTATGGCTGGATACTATTCCATGGTGTATATGTGTCACATATTATTTATCCAATCTGTCATTGAAGGGCATTTAGGTTGATTCTATGTCTTTGTTATTGTGAATAGTGCTGCAATGATCACTCACATGCATGTGTCTTTATGGAAGAAAAATGTATATTCCTCTTGGTGTATACCCAGTAACGGGATGGCTGGGTCAAATGATAGTTCTGCTTTTACCTCTTTGAGGAATCGCCATACTGCTTTCCACAATGGCTGAACTAATTTACACTCCCACTAACTACATAAGTCTTCCCTTTTCTCTGCAACCTCACAACCATCTGTTATTTTTTAACTTTTTAATAACAGCCATTCTGACTGGTGTGAGATAGTATCTCATTGTGATTTTGATTCGCGTTTCTCTAATAATTAGTGATATTGAGCTTTTTTCATATGCTTGTTGGCCACATGTGTGTCTTCTTTTGAAAAGTGTCTGTTCATGCATGTCCTTTGCCTATTTTTTAATGAGGTTGTTTGTTTTTCTCTTAAAAATTTAAATTCCTTGTATATGCTGGATATTAGACCTTTGTCAGATGCATACTTTGCAAATATTTCCACCTATTCTATAGGTTGTCTGTTTACTCTGTTGATGAAACTTGCCATCTTTCTTTCTGCATCAACTTTCTGTATTTAGAATCGTTGCCATAGCAATGTAGATTCTTGTGTTTCTCAGATTAGCCTATATCTCTACTCGATTTCCCCACATAATGGTAAAAACAAATTTGTCTCTGATAAAACTCTCATTTCCTCTGGGCCTTGTTAGGTAACAGCGTCAGGGGCGTTTGAACCAGAGCAACTCCATCTTGAATAGAGGCTGGGCTTAGACCTACTGGGCTGCATTCCCAGGTTAGGCATTCAAAGTCACAGGGTGAGATAAGAGGTCAACACGAGATATAGGTCATAAAGACCTTTCTGATAAAACAGATTACAGTCAAGAAACCAGCCAAAACCCCCAAAACCTAGATGGCAATGAGGGTGACCACTGGTCATCCTCACTGCTCATTATATACTAATTACAATGCATTAGCATGCTAAAAGACACCCCCACCAGTACCATGACATTTTACAAATGCTATGACAAGGTCACAAAGTTACCCTATATGGTCTAAAAATGGGGGAAACCCTCAGGTCCGAATTGCCCACCCCTTACCTACTGCCCATTAAGTTCCTCTAACTTAACAGAGCCTATTACTCATACTACTCAGGTTTGGCTTGACTCAGTTCCATGAGCAAAACCCAGAGGATGATTTTACACCACGATGGCATTACATTTTTATTTATACTGTTAGGTGTCATTTGTTTTCAACTGCAGGCTACTGTTTACTTTGAAGTTTGCTAAAACAAGCTGTCACCTAATGAAATATGATGTAAACCATGTACAGCCAGTCTTGTTTTTGCTCTGTCTTTCCGCTCCCTGCAGCACACCACTTTTCCTACTTGTTTTAAAATGTGATAGTAAAATGCAAGTTCCTTAATGAAAATGCCCTGTTTATCACAATATCCTTTGTGTATAGACCCTCAAGCATCCCAAACTCATTTCCATATTAGAGCCTTTACAAATGCTGCTTCCTCTGCTTGCAGAACCCTTCTTCCAAATACCCATATAGAAACTGCCACTTAAAATGTATGTCTCAGCTCACAAACTATTTTCATGCAAACAGCCCCTATCACCCTTTCCAGGAATGGTTCTTTCCTAAAGTTGTTATTATATTTTCTACCTTTATATCTTATTTAGTCCTTACCATCATTTCAAATCATCTTGTTGTTTTTATGTTTAATGTTCACTTTTAACAAACTTTTTTGAAGGCTGGTATCCTATCTGTGGCATCATCAGTTTCTAACACAACACACGCTTGTTATATAAAAAATTAAGCAAACCCTCCAGAGAATATAGGTTAGTGTTTTGTTACAAGAGAAAATGATGAAATATTTATCATTTTATCTTATATATTAGATAAGAAATTATTTCATATATTAAAAAATACTACCATTTACACTGTATAATATGAAAATTTTATAAGAAAGTATTTCTCATATGTGATCTTAAGATGGTGGAAAATTTAGGAGGTAGATTTTTTTGGTGTGTGTTAGTACTTTTCTCAGAAAAAATGCATTTTGTCTGGGGACAACAAGATATACCTTGCAAAGACAACTGTGCCCCTAATATCTAAACTCTACATAAATGAAACTTTACAAGATGTTTTTCATGTTACCTTAACTCTTTTAAATGAAGACACCAAGTCCTGAACTGCCAGCTTTGGAAAGACCATGAGAGACTGTGAGGCCAAACACTTTCTCCCTAACTTTATTTCTGCCATGAAATCAGCTCAGAGAGCCCGGGAAAGTCATTCAATATTTTGAGACCTCTGCTCCAGTGATATTCAGGTCCCATGTATGTGGGATGACTAGAATGTTTATTCATTTAGGTCAGGTCTTTATTTTTAATTAAGAAGTATTTATTATATTCCTGCTATGTGCCAGACACTGTGTGGTTGCAAAAAGATTTCTCATTCTGTATTACTCAGTCATTGGAGTCTGTGTAGGTCACTTACCCTACCTATGTCATCTGTAATATGGATGTAATAATGTATGCTTTCCCGGGTGTGAGGGACAGATACTATATAAACATTTTTAGTGTAAAAGTTTGAGAGATTTTTCTTAGCATAAAGCTTCTTTTATATTCCAGTAGCTGAGGCCAACTATATATAATTCATAAGATACTGCCAAATAAATAACTGATGGGAAACTCAAGGCTGATTCTTAGCTCTTGATATTATTATTGTTTATACTGAGATACTAAACTGAGACTTCTTTCATTAAATATGTCATAAGAATCAAGTTGAAGTGTTAAGAGTTTTTCATAATACGTATGAAGTACTTAAGGTTATTTAAATTCCAGATATTATATTCTTGGGAACTAAATACTCAAATAGTATTTTAAAAGCCTCATATAAAGATGATGGAGAGAGGGGAAAATCTATTTCATTAAACTGTAGTTTTTATCCATTTTGAAGTCAACTAGCATTTCTATCTAACTTTATGGCTATAGTTTATGAACCTCATATGTATCTTACATGAGATTTGTTAAAATCAGCCTCCAGTAATATGAAAGGCATTTATAGTTACTAAAAGGCGTGACAAGATCTGAAGGTTAAAGAGGGAATTGTTATCACAGAGAAGCAGTCTGTGATCTCATTCAGTAACAATAATAACTTCTAAGCTTATTTAATGAATGTTTTCCAGGCATTGTACCTAGTACTGTAATTTTTGGCTACGTGTAATTTTCTCATCACCATTATAAATAAAGTTTATTGTTATTTCCAGTGAGACATAAAGATTTTGAGGAATTTGAACATGGTCATTCAGTCAAAGAGTCATGATTTGAACATAAGTAGACTATCTCTGGAGACCATTATTTAACCACTACAACATCAGCCTCTCATCCTGAAATTTAGGGACATAATGACAGGGGTTGGGAGGTGGAATTGGGAGGAGAAGAGCATTGAATGGGTAAGAATATGTACAACTAAAGATGGAGGAACAACTCTACACTAACCCTGAGCTCTGTGACTCAGGCCAAATTCCAGTTGCAAAATAAAGTGTTTTGTGACTATACCGTGCCCTATGACCCACAGGTACTTAGAAAATACATATCCATTCTCTGTGCTTCTGTTGCCTCATGTCTCAGTATACAATTATTCCCTAATTGTTAGTGCTAAACAAAATTGTGAGAGATATGGGACCCAAGACCTTGTGTCATATATTTTCTATTTTCCCTTGTACCTAGCATAGGATGGCCACAAAAAAGGCATTTCAAAGCTATTTAGTCATTGACTGACTAAAAGGATTATGTGAAGTCAAATCGGGAGAACATTTAATATAACGAAGAATATTCCAAGAACCAGAGAGGGTAACAACTCAGAGAAGACCAGACTGCTTCAGAATCATGGGAATCTAATGATTTTCTAGGATTTAAACAATATTGCAGCGACTGTACAGGAATGTCAGAGAAAGGACTAAAACAAAGGTGGCCTACTTGAGCTTTAGAATTATATATGCCTCTGATTCTCTGATTCCACCAATGTTATAATGAGTTATATACATTTTTTAAAAGTAATAATTGGCATAAGTTGGATATGGTCAGAGATTAGCTTAAATTGGTATAAATTTGTTTTATATAAATTTTTTTAAAATCTTATAATGCTGGGATCTTAATAAGACAAATTATACTTGATCTAATTCACAAAATAGGGGGCAAGCTCCCCTCTATTTTATACTAAAATAACTATGGTACAAACTGATGGTTAGAAGGTAAGCTCCTTTCCTTACAAAATTGCTAAATGTATACAGTGTACTATTGCAAAATAAATGAATTATTGCAAAATAAGTTTATAATTGCAATCATCTTACTTGCTTAATTTTCGCAAATAAATGGTTACTAAGCTGTGACCACAAAAATAGAAAGCCCTTGACATCAGAGTATTTCCTTTAATTAAAAAAAAAATTAAAAACAATAGAAGCAGATAGAGAGAAACATAATAAATATCAAGTAAATATCTATCTGAATTAAGTGTTAAAAGCAAAATTTTGATAATAAAATACATATATACTTGTTACATATATCATTTTCTATAATGTTAAACATAGTGTATATATACATACATATTATGGGCATATGTGCAACATACATATATTTATTACCTATATCTAATGTATGTATACATACATATGTAAAGCATATATGTAATGGAAGTTTACATGTATACATATATAATGCATGTATGTAATGGATAAAATGTACATATATGTGGTGTATGAATTAAAGATTGCTTGTATATGTACAATTATTGGAGGATAAAATATTTATGGTACAGCAGAAGTGCTCTTTGTAAACATCCCTGGTGTTATTTTACTGTTTTTCCCCAAACGCAATTGTATCCATGAATTTTATGTGACTGTATCTTTCTATATACATGTCAAATTTCTACATACACATTATCTTTTTACATTGTATGTAATTTTTAAAAATGTGTTTTGTGTATTTAAACAACTGTTAAATATTATACATATAATTCTGCTTTTCTCATTGAACATTATATGTTGTAGGTATATCAATATTGATAAAACACATTTATGTATATTTGTTAATATTATATTTTAATTACTATTTCCAAATTTGAGTATAGAAAATATTTAAAAATAGGTGCATTAATTATCTTACAGTAAACAGTTAAATTACTTCCATTTATTATTAATATAAACATTGCTATATTCAGTGTTCTTGTGCATGTTTCTAAGTAAATATAGATAAGTATAAATTATAAGATACATGCATTCAAAAACTGGTTATAACAATTTGATGCCAATAATTACTTCCTTTTGCTTCATAACTCATTCACCTAGAGTTAATATATAGTGCCTTAGTTGATGCTTTAAAGCATGTTTATTCATGGTATTATGGAATAAATATACCAGTGAGGTGAAAAATGGAGCCATGAACTCACAAAGACTGAACCTTCAGTCAGTTTACTGTAGCAGCAAAAACAAAGAAATAGTTGGATTCCAAAGAAGATATCAAACCTTCCTGAATTCTGTAACTATCTTATATACACAGCATCTAGAAACACATTAATAAATCAAGAAAAGCAATGAGCATACTTTAACTTTTTTTTTTTTTTTTTTTTTTTTGCTAAAACTACAGTTGTAATGGTTCATGAATGTAGACTTACCCTGTCAAGAGCTGCTTTCTCCAGTTCATTTTTGGCTACAGCTAATTTTTGTTCCAGATCAGTAAGCTGCTGCGCCTGTAAAATAAGAGATAAATCTTCTAGATAAATTCTGCAATTTCCCTCTGTACTTTAAGCATCTGTCATATATTGCCAAAGAATTGTAAAAAGAGAGAAAAGAAAAAAAAAAAAAACAGTGTCCTGTAAGATTCATTTAGAATTCAGTTTAAAAATACTATATATCATGATAATTTGATGTGCAGAATATTTAATATGCAGAAAATGGTAGTTCTGGATGAATATGCACTAAATGCTTCACTAGACCAAAACATCTAATTTCAAGGACCCAACTCAAGTCCCTAGGAATACCTGTGATTTAGATCCATCACTTATATTTCTAGTTGATATAGACTGAATTTTATGCCCCCAAAATTTATACGTTGAAGGCCTAACTCATTATTGTCACTGTATTTGGAGACAGAGCACTTTGGGGGTAATTAAAATTAAATGAAGTCACAAGAGTGAGGCCCTAATTCCATAGGACACATGTTCACATAAGGAGAGGAAAAAAACAACAGAGATATTTATTTGTGTTCACAGGTGGATAGGCCAAGTGAGGGCAGACAGAGAAGGCACTGACTACAAGCCAGGAAGAGCCTTCGCCAGAAACTAAATATATGGACACCTTACTCTGGGACTTCTAGCATCCAGAACTGAGAGATAATAGATTTTTATTTTTACACTAGTCGATGGTATTTTGTTATGACAGCCCAAGCAGACAAATGTACTAATATGTACTCTATTTTTGTTGTTGTGTTTTAATCCCATACACTTCTCTATCCTACCATACCTCTATACCATTACAAGTATCATTATTGTGCTATTAGAATAAAAAAGCAGTACCTTCAGATTTGGAATTCATATATTCAAATCCTGCCTCCACCCCTTCCCAGCTATGTGATATTGGGCAAAGCCCTTGACTTTTCTAAACTAGAGATGGCAATACTTATTCTACACCATAATAGCCAGGTTCAAATTAGGAATGTGAAGAGTTGGAAGTTCCATTATCTGTATACATATAGCATTTGCACCACTTTGCTTTATTCCATTATTGTTCCATTTATCCATTCATCCTTTGATTAATCTCTGTGTTCTTCACTATGCCAGGCACTGTGCTGGGCCATGAGAATTGCCAAGATGACTTAAAACAACAACCACAACAACAACAGCAACAACAAATACTTTCTCTAAATAATCTACAAACTTATATTCTTAAATTGTTTACATCTTCCAGTTGATTGTGGTATCTGCTGAGAGCAAGAATAATAAAATGCATTTAATTTTCTATAGGAAAGCTGCCATTTTATTAGGTGTCAACATTCATTCAATAATTTTATAATTCAGCAAATATTACTCATCTTTTAATATAAATCAAAAACCATTCTCTGAACTAATTGTAGAATAATGAAGAAAAAGAAATCCTTCTCTTTAAAAAGAGACAGAATATACATATATAAAATCAGATAGTGACAGTTGCTATCAAGAAAGTGAAGCTAGAAAACAGAATAGAGCATGTGAGAGGTTATATTAATCAACATATTAATATTTTAAATATTTACAATAAACCCAGCTTACAGTCAAACTGCTGGTGGATAAGCAAGCTGGTGGATCTCTAGAGTCATACTTCAGCCCAGCCAAGATCACTGACCCCCAGGCAACTCACATATGCACATTTTCCCTATTTATTCATTGATTTAAAAATCATATGTTTTACCATAATAAATAATGCACAACATTATTTTCTCCTTCTCAATCTTTCTTTCCTACCACTTGCCCCTTGCTCAATATGCTTTGGATATACTGGCCTTATTTTTACCTCGAAAGTGCTAAGTTTATCTATATTGTAAGGTCTTTAAAATTCCAAGCATAATTTTCTTCTTATCGTTTAGATATCTGGTAAAATTTATTTAATCACAACAGTATTCCTGATAAGCCATATCTATATGGGTTAATTTGCTTCTCTTGTGAAACAGAAACCCAAATTCAGAGGCTGAAAGAAACAAGAATTTATAAATTATATTTAAATCACATGTATTTCATTTTATTGGTAGAAAGATTATCTGTCATAAATACATAGAACTATTTATGCAAAAATTCCCTTTTTAATGTGTAAGAAAATGCTAGTTTCAGCATCATGACAGAATCAAATTCACATATAATAATATTAATCTTAAATGTAAATGGGCTAAATGCCCCAATTAAAAGAAACACAATGGCAACGTTGATAAAGAGTCAAGACCCATCCATATGCTGTCTTCAAGAGACCCATCTCATGTGCAAAGACACACATAGGTTCAAAATAAATGGATGGAGGAAAATTTACCAAGCAAATGAAAAACACAAAAAAGCAGAGGTTGCAATCCTAATTTCTGACAAAACAGACATTAAACCAACAAAGACCAAAAAAGATAAAGAAGGGCATTACATAATGGTAAAAGTTTCAATTCCACAAGAAGAGCTAACTATTCTAAATATATATGCACCCAATACAGGAGCACCCAGATTATTAAAGTAAGTTCTTAGAGACCTACAAAGAGACTTATACTCCCACACAATAATAGTGGGAGACATTAACACCCCACTGACAATATTAGACACATCACCAAGACAGAAAATTAACAAAGATAATTAGGAACTGAACTCAGCTCTGGATCAAGCAGAGCTGATAGATATCTACAGAACTCTCCATTAAAAAACAACAGAATATACATTGTTCTCATTGCTGTATGGCACTTACTCTAAAATTGATCACATAAGAGGAAGTAAAACACTCCTCGGTAAATGCAAAATAACTAAAAATCATAACAAACAATCTCCCAGACCACAGCACAATCAAATCAGAACTCAAGACTAAGAAATTCACTCAAAACCACAAAACTACATAGAAATTGTACAACCTGCTGCTGAATGACTTCTGGCTAAATAATGAAATTAAGACAAAAATGAAGAAGTTATTTAAAACTAATGAGACAATGTACCAAAATCTCTGGGATGCAGCTATAGCAAAGTTAAGAAGGAAATTTATAGCACCAAAAGCCCACGTCAAAAAAAGTAGAAGAATCTCAGATTAACAACGTGACAACACAACTTAAAGAACTAGAGGACCAAGAGCAAACAAACCCCAAAGCTAGCAAAAGACAAGAAATAACAAGATCAAAGCTGAACTGAAGGAGCTAGAGACACAAAATAACCTTCAAAAAATCAATGAACCCAGGAGCTGTTTTTTTGAAAAAAAAAAAAAAAACTAATAAATATATAGAATACTAGCTAGACTAATAAAGAAGAAAAGAGAGAAGACACAATAGAAATGGGATCATGGAGATACCATCACTGACTTCCACAGGAATACAAAAAAATCAGAGAATACTATAAACACCTCTATGCACATAAACTAGAAAATTCAGAAGAAATGAATAAGTTCCTAGAAACAAACACCCTCCCAAGACTGAACCAGGAAGAAACTGAATCCATAAATAGTCCAATAATGAGTTCTAAAATTGAGGCAGTAAGAAATAGCCTACCAACCAAAAATTTAAAAAAAAAAAAAAAACCCAGGACCAGACGGATTTACAGGTGAATTCTACCAGAGGTACAAAGAAGAGCTGGTACTATTTCTACTAAAACTATCACAAACAGTTGAAAAGGAAGGACTCCTCCCCAATGCATTTTATGAGGTCAGCATCATTCTGACACCAAAACGTGGCAGACATACAACAAAAAAAGAAAACTTCAGACAAATATCCCTGATGAACATTAATGAAAAAACCTCAATAAAATACTGGCAAACCGAATCCAGCAGCACATCAAAAAGGTTATCCACCACAATCAAGTTGGCTTTACATCCAGGATCCAAGGCTGGTTCAACATACACAAATCAGTAAATGTAAATTCATCACATAAACAGAACTAAAGAAAAAAAACCCACATGATTATCTCAATAGACACAGAAAAAGGCCTTTGATATAACTCAGCATCCCTTCATGTTCAATAAATTAGGTATTGAAGGAACATACTCAAAAATAGAAGGACAACATTGTTGTCTTTCACTATAGAGAGACAGCAAAACAAATATGGTAGGAGATGAACACTGGAGTTCACATTGAAATTGGAGTACTAGTTTTTACCCCTTATTAATTTTTACTACTTAAATATTTAATCTCCCCATGCTTCAGTTTCCTCTTCTTTAAAGATGAATAATAGTACTTAACTTATAGGCTTGTTGGGAGAATTAAATTAGTCAATATCTGTAAAATACTTAGAGTAGTACCAGTTCAATAGTAATATATGACTATATGATAAGTAATACAGTTTATATTACTTGTCATAAATTCATCATAAAGGCAATCAATAACAATTCAGGAAGCTTGTATCAGGGCAGGAAGAATAAATTCTAACAAAAATAGCAAATTTGCCTTTGAAAATTTTATTGTCATTCATGCCCAAGTGTTTTTTTTTTTTTTTTTTTTTTTCGGAGTCTCACTCCGCTGTCACCCAGGCTGGAGTGCAGTAGCATGATCCCGGCTCACTGCAACTCCACCTCCTGGGTTCAAGTTATTCTTGTGCCTCAGCCTCTTAAGTAGTTGGCATTGTAGGTGCATGCCACCACACCCAGCTAATTTTTGTTCTGTTTTAGTAAAAACAGGATCTTGCCATGGTGGCCATGCTGGTCTCGATCTTCTGACCTCAGATGATCTGCCTGCCTCAGCCTCCCAAAGAGCTGGGATTACAAGCATGAGCCACTGCACCTGGCCATGCCCAGGGTTTTAATGATTTACCTTTTTTTACCTGGTAAAAATCCAGCCAAGAGATCTTGGGAAACCAGAGTTGACAAAAAGAATAAGAAAAAGTAATAAAAGGACTTGCAGATACCATCCCATGTTGTAATACTTTGATTCCAGTTTGGAAAGGATTAGGTACTGGATTAAATCATACAGAGTAGCCATAATTATTTTTTATAATTTTTTTTTAAAACTTCTATTTTAGATACAGGGCGTACGTGTGCAGATTTGTTACATGCGGATATTGCATGATGCTGAGGTTTGCAATATAGATCCCATCATGCTAATAGTGACTATCCTACCCAGTAGGTAGTTTTTCAACCTAACCTCCTCCCTCCACCCTCTAGTACAGTGGTCCCCAGCCCCTATGCCACAGACTGGTACTGCTCTGTGGTTTGTTAGGAACTGGGCAGCACAGCAGGAGGTAAACAGCTGGCAAGTGAGCAAAGCTGAACTTCACCTCCTGCCAGGTCAGCAGCAGCATTAGATTTTCATAGGGGCATGAACCCTATTGTGAACTACGCATGTAAGGGATCTGGGCTGCATGCTCTTTATGAGAATCTAGTGACAAATATAATGCACTTGAATAATCATGAAACCCCTCCCCGACCCCATCTCAGGTACGTGGAAAAATGGTCTTCCATGAAACTGGTCACTGGTGCCACAAAGGTTGAGGATAATTGCTCTAGTAGACAACAGTGTCCATTGTTCCCATATTTATGTCTATGTGCACTCCATGCTTATCTCCTACTTATAAGTGAGAATATGTAGCATTTAGTTTTCTGTTCCTGTATTAATGTGCTTAGGATTATGGCCTCCATCTTCATCCATGTTGCTGCAAAGGACATAATTTCATTCTTTATATGGCTGCCTACTATTCCGTGGTGTATATGTACCACATTCTTAATGTAAATTCTTAATACACTTTATTAACAATTACAAAAATGTAGAACTTCAAATTTTTACAGACCATAAAAAGCTGGAGCTTGGTTTTGTTTCTGGCTCACTCTAAGTGTAGTGCTCCAAGGAGGTGTTACTTGTTATTTTTTCTCAGAATGGACCTTAAGTAGAGCTAGATTCTAAAGGATAGCACCAGTAGCGTGTTCTGTGCACAAACTCTGTTTTCTTCTGGGAAACATGAAGGTATAACTGTGTTGGATGAAGCAGAAAAGAAAAAGGATGTGAGGCTAGATTATTACATTTTATTGAAATTTCAGTGAATAATTTTATAAAATTTTGGCAACTAGCTAAATTTGCGAAGTTCTGACTCATCAGTCATACGTTAGATTTGTAATTCAATGATTCTGAAATAACTCTTTGATACAATTTTTAAAAATTCTCCCTTCACCCCTTTCCCTCTAGGTAAAACTATCCAGTTGTCTTTATTTTAATTTCTCTGATAAATTTCACTGAGGTTTATAGAATATAAAACTATACCTTACTTTCCTCTGAAAAGGATGTGAGACAATTTCACATTAAAAGTAATAAAATCTTAAAGACATATCAGGTTTATGGAAAAAATATATGATAATATGCTGCATGAATGTGATATAAAGGTAGGGTAGGGGATGCAACAGCAGAAAAAAAGCACTGATAGTGGAGCCTTAAAACTTATTTGTCTTGGCTGAGCTGAAAATTTTGTTCCAAGACCTCTAGTAGCTGCTTGTAAAAAGTAATGCTGTTGGCTCCAAAATTCTCATTATCAAAGATAGTAAACCTACCAGAGACACAGAAGATGCAGGAGTTTTCCAAGTAGTAGTTTCTAAAATAAAATTCTAACAGATTTTATAATTCAGCTCGGTAAACCATTTTTAAGGCTCTAAGAACATAAAGTACAAATGCATGGTTCATCTTAATTCCTAAGATAATTCCTAGAATTCCTCAAGAAAGAGAAAGTGTATGCGTGTGTGTGTGCGCGCGCATGTGTGTGTTCCCACCAAAACTCAGAAAACCAGATGAACAAGTCATGAGATGGACTGGCCTCCTAAAATGTGAGTAATAACTCCACTCTTTCTCATCCATTCTGCCTCACATTCTTTTGTAGCCATACATGCTAGGTGAGATCTCAATGCTCAGTTGCAAAGATGGAGACGTAATTTCTTAAAGCAATCACTCTATCTCTTAACTCTCTAGTTAAATAATTGAAAATTGATTTAGGCACTTAAATGACTTTATGCAGAAACTAGAAGATATTTACTGATGTTTTCTGGAATAAAAGCTGTCTCTTCTTCATCTAAGGGAAGATACAGTATATTATTTCTCTTTGCAGAGTAATATGAAGATGTTTAGGCCTAAACTCAAATATACATTGTTGCTGGGATAAAAGAGAACAGCTATACTGTCCTATAGAATAAAATAAAACATAAAAAATAAGAAATAAATATACAGCAGGCTTTGGTGACATGAAAAACTCATTCAAACCATGCCTGAAATCAATGAACCCTGCATTTTCAGTTAATGTGAAGAAATATTTTTTCTTAAATTCTAGTTAGATATTTATATTTCTTGATATTTAAAGAAGGATTAGGCTATTATCCTTAGCAAACTAACACAGGAACAGAAAACCAAATACTCCATGTTCTCACTTATAAGTGGGAGCTAAATGATAAGAACATAGGAACACAAAGAAGGAAACAACAGACACTAGAGTCTACTTGAGTGGGCAGGAGGAGTAGAAAGGAGGGAGAGAAGCAGAAAAGATAACTATTGGGTACTGGGATTAAAACCTGGGTGAGAAAATAATATGTACAACAAACCACCAGGACAAGGGTTTACCTATGCAACATACCTTCACATGTACTCTCAAACCTAAAATATAACTTAAAAAAAGGATTCAAATTATCTGCTTCTAGACATGTCAGAGATGACAGGGTAATCAATATTGGACTAGCCCTCCTCCTATAAACAACTGTGAACCAATTGTGCCAGGCTACGAACCTTGAAATATAGGAAACTGACTAGGTAAGCCCCATGACTGCACCAGCTTTCTGCCTGATGGCAATTTCTTAACCAAGGTGCGAAGAGCAATGGCCCAAGATGATCACTGTAGTTGCACTGAGCAATTGAAGCGGAAAGCAGAGTTTAGAACAGATTAAATGGCTACAATATGCGGGACAGGGCATCAGAGAAATATGAAGTGAGCAGGGGTGGGGCTCCCAAAAATCAGCTTGGGTAACAGGAGTGTTCCTGTACATCCTTGGCTGAGAGTTGGTCTACACATACCAGGGTAATAAATTATACAAGGGCAATAATAGAACAAATTCTACATGGCTGAGAGGAGAAGAGAAAAACTCAAGGTTAAGCACCGTAGAAGGATAGTAGAGCTCCAGAGACACCCATAAACTCTTAATACCACAGGCAATCAAAACAGCAGTCTTTAGATTAATAGCTAAGCACTAAAGAGTTGTTGGCAAACTACAGCCCACAGTCAAAATCTTGCTTACTGACTGATTTTGTATGCAAATTTTATTAAAACACAACCACCTTTATTTGTTTAAGTATAGTCTACTTGCTTTTGTGATACAATGGTGGAATTCAGTAGTTAACCATATGGTCTGCTCAGACTAAAATATTTACTGTGTGTTCACTTACAGCAAATGTTTTTTGATCCCTGCCCTAGAATAAGGCCTATTTCAAACCTACCTTAAAAAAATCTAAATCAAACCTAGACAGAACTTGGGAGGGGTGGGGACACATCTTTGGAGGTTTAGCTCAATTAAATAAGAGGAGCTTGGGTACTACCTTGAACTTTTTAAGTACTGGCAATAGGCAAAGAATAAAACAAACCGTACACAAATCAAGTTGATTACCAGTATTTTAACAGCATTCTAGAACAACAATTAAAAATATTCAAGAGATAAAATACAGAGTCTCTGTAATATATCAACCACAATCTCCATCGCAACATAAAATCTCACCAGTTATTAATATATGTATATATGATTCAAAGTCACACACAAGACTAGATGATGATAACCAATATCTAGATAGTCTATATGTTGAATATAGCAGAAAAACACTTTAAGGCAGCTATTAAAAATAGGATTAGGAACTTATAGGTAATGTGTTCTTGACAAAAGAGGAAATCTTAACATAAAAGTTGCACAATGTTATTTTTAAAAGCAAATGAAAATTCTAAAAAGAAAAATGAAATTGGATGCACATTAAAAAAATGAAGATGGCAGAAAAAGGGCCAGTAGATATGACGTGATACTAATAGAAATGATTCATTCTGAAGAACAGTGAAGAGAAAAAAAGTTTGAAGAAACATGAACAGGGCCTCAAAAATGCTTACAATAATATTAACCACTTCAACATATGTACACTGGAATACTAGAAAGAAAAGAGTATGAAAAAAAGAGAAAAAATGCATTCAGAATTGTTAGGAAAAAATTTAATGAAGAATGTTAAAAACATTTGTGTTGAAAATTACAAAACATTACTAAGACTAATAAAAATTTTAAATAAACAGAAAGATATACAATGTCTATGAATTAAAATATTTTTGCTGTTGAACACGAGATTTAATATTCTTATAATGTCTGGTCTCCCTAAATTAATGAATGTACAGATAAAATACAAACAGACTGTAATTCCCACAGGATTACTTTGGTAAATTTGACAAGCTATTTTTAAAATGTGTCTCCAACATCTTTAGAAAAGCACTAGCTGTAGGACTAATGCCATCTGATTTTAAGACTAACTCTAAAGCTATATTAATAGCAGTGTGTTGTTGGCATAAGCATAGACATATATGACAATGGATCAGGACAGAATCTGGAAATTGACCCAAATATATAGTCAGTTGAAAACATACATAGTTATTTGATTGTTGAGAAAGACAAACTGTAATTCAATGCATTAAAAATACTAAGTTTAATAAATAGTGAGAAAGCAATTGGAGATTTTATCATATATTATATATATATAATATATATATTAGACATACTTTACACATGCACACACATTATATATGTATATATCCATTATATAATGTATACATATATATTTTTACATTATATAATGGATATATCAACTGATATAATGAATATATTATATCCACTATATATATAAAATATATAATGTAAAATATATATTTTGCACATGCACACACATTATATGTGTATATAATATAATATGCATATAAAATATATATTTCACAATGTATAAAATATGTTATATATCTTATATATAATATATCAGCCATTATATATATAAACGTAATGCATGTGTGCATGTATAAAATCAACCTTGATCTTTTCCTCACACTATTCACAAACAAAAATTAGAAATGAATTATTGACCTAAATGTAAAAGCTCAAACATAAATCTTCTAGAATAAAATTACTGTGACTTTGAGATAGACAAATATTTCTTAAATAGACAAAAACCCCAAACATTAGAAAAATGTAAATATAATTTTATTATATATAAAATGTTGTTCTTCAATAGACACTACAGAGAGAATGAAAAGCCAAGTCATAAACAAGAGAAAATGTACATCAGTGAAAGGACTCGAATCCAAAACATACAAATGAAACTTACAGCTCAACAATAAGAAGACAACCATTAAGAAAAGTTAAATAGACTTAGGTAGTAAATAAATTAAAAATACAAACAACCACATTTTTTAAAAATTGGTCAAATAATTGAATAAATGAAAAGTGGTTTATTTATATGTAAAATGGTTATATTCAAAATACAAAAATGCTCATGAGAATATGTTCAACCTAATTATTTATCAGATAAAGCAAGTAAAACTACAATGAAAAACCACTTCCCCTAGAAAACTTAAGTGTACTATCTTATCTTAAGAATATCTAAAAATTACTCCAGGAGAGATTAATGATCCATGAGTCACAGTTATTGCATTATCTTTGCCACTTACTGTTTGATCTCAGATTCCCTGTGTGCAAAGTAAGAATTTTTGAGTAGATGATTTTTAAATGTTCCCTCTATCTAAAGGAATTTATGATTCCTTGGGTGCTATCTATAGTAATAGACACATCTAGTCAATGTACCAGAGTAGACAAAACAACATGTGATTTTATTTCCTAATATTTATTTTTTAAATGAGCCATTTAATATTCTACATACATTTCATATTGTTCCTTCTTTAAACTCTCTTCCTAAACCTCTCTTCAAAACAGTAGGTATTAATTAAAAAATTTATATGTAAAATTATCATACTAGTTTATTAATCATTTTAATGACTAGACAGACACTTTCTAAATTTTGTTAACCTATAACTTTTCCTCAAAATTGCTTTCAAAGTTTATAATCTCATGTTTTATATTTCACCCAGAGAATGCTTCAAAAACAAATAATTTATTCAGCCTTTTTGTGAGTTATTAAAGCACAAACACATTGATTTCAATGGCTATCAAATTTTGTTGATATTCTTTCTTGGTAGACAGAGATATTCCAGAGAAGCTTTGAATATGAATCAAGGCCCTTGGCAGAGAGAGTTTTCTGTGGAGAAAACTGAAGAAATGGAGATTTCAGCAGAAAACTATCTCTTTAAAATTTACTTTTAGGCCAGGTGAATTTCATCAAACATCTAGTATGCAATTCATAAACTTGAATTACATGTCTAGAATTGATAACAAAGAAAAATGGTGAAAATTATGCAGAGAGGAAGAATGACAATTTTCACATGTCCACTCTTTATTATTAGAAATTAGATGATTGCTCTTTGAAAATTATTTGGTTTAGACGTCTTCCTATATAGGCTGTTGTTCCTTATATTAATCTTGGGAATCTTAATGGGACTTCTCAGCTACTTTACTGATACTCTACATAGCTTTTAAATCTTAATTAATAGGTTCTAGACTCTGAACTACACATCTAGAAATTGTACTTTCTGAAAATGTCTGAAACTTTTACTTACTCTATCATTAAAAATAAAACATGTTTGTCTTCATGAAAATGAATATCAGGCATTTCCTTTTATACCATGCATTGAGAACAAGAAATTTCAGTGATATATATGAACCTGGATTGACTATCTAGGTAAATAAATACAGTAAAAAAAAATGCTTTGAGATATAATCTAGAAGCATCTAATATTTCTTTACTATAGAATTTATTGATTTCATAAGGACAAAATTCTATCAAAAGTTACTATTAATCCATTTTGCCTTTGTCTACTTGAAGTGTTCTAGGAGGTAGTAATTGCTAGGAGGAATAGCCACATAGTATAATATACCCTGTAGTTATTAATTTTAAAGAGATTTCAAAGAAGTGAAGATTATCTGATTGTTCCTTACTTAGGCAGATATTATCAGCTCAATATACATATGCATCTTTTAAAATCCTGGATGAGATGTGGTCCTGTAAACTACATAGGTAGTTTGCTGATCAATTATGAAAATTAATACTACCTTAACTAATGTTGGGCTGGGTATAAAGTGAAAAAACTTGCTGTTTCTATATTACTATATTTATGGTTATCCCACATACATCCTGTTATCTAATAATGCTTTTAACTTGACTTTTATTCTCATTTTCTCAGCCTCTTTTTCTGAGATTATATAAAACAATCACCACCATTATGTAATTACCAGCATGTAGCAGGTAAATGTGCCAGTTACCATGAATTAACATCTAAATATTCTCATTAATCCTAAGAGATAAGTAATTATCCTCATCTGACAGTTAACAAACATTGGCAGGAATGTGGTGAAAAGGGAATCCTGGCACACTGTTGGTGGTAGAGTAAATTAGTACAGCCATTGAAGAAAACCATATGGAGGTTTCTCAAAACACTGAAAATAGAATTCCTGTGTGACCCAGTAATCCTGCTTCTGGGCATTTATCCAAAAGATTTGAAATCAGTATGTCAAACAGATATCTGCATTCCCATGTTTATTGCAGCAATATCTACAATAGTCAATTTAAGACATCAACCTGGAGGGGAGGAGCCAAGATGGCCAAATAGGAACAGCTCCGGTCTACAGCTCCCAGCATGAGCAACGCAGAAGACGGGTGATTTCTGCATTTCCATCTGAGGTACCGGGTTCATCTCACTAGGGAGTGCCAGACAGTGGGCGCAGGTCAGTGGATGCAGCGCACCGTGCACGAGCCGAAGCAGGGTGAGGCATTGCCTCACTCGGGAAGCACAAGGGGTCAAGGAGTTCCCTTTCCTAGTCAAAGAAAGGGGTGACAGACAGCACCTGGAAAATCGGGTCACTCCCACCCGAATACTGCGCCTTTCTGACGGGCTTAAAAAACGGCGCACCAGGAGATTATATCCCGCACATGGCTCGGAGGGTCCTATGCCCACGGAGTCTCGCTGGTTGCTAGCACAGCAGTCTGAGATTAAACTGCAAGGCAGCAGCGGGGCTGGGGGAGGGGCACCCGCCATTGCCCAGGCTTGCTTAGGTAAACAAAGCAGCCGGGAAGCTCGAACTGGGTGGAGCCCACCACAGCTCAAGGAGGCCTGTCTGCCTCTGTAGGCTCCACCTCTGGGGGCAGGGCACAGACAAACAAAAAGACAGCAGTAACCTCTGCAGACTTAAATGTCCCTGTCTGACAGCTTTGAAGAGAGCAGTGGTTCTCCCAGCACGCAGCTGGAGATCTGAGAACCGGCAGACTGCCTCCTCAAGTGGGTCCGTGACCCCTGACCCCTGAGCAGCCTAACTGGGAGGTACCCCCCAGTAGGGGCAGACTGACACTTCACACGGCCGGGTACTCCTCTGAGACAAAACTTCCAGAAGAATGATCAGACAGCAGCATTCGCGGTTCACGAAAAACCGCTGTTCTGCAAACACCGCTGCTGATACCCAGGCAAACAGGGTCTGGAGTGGACCTCTAGCAAACTCCAACAGACCTGCAGCTGACGGTCCTGTCAGTTAGAAGGAAAACTAACAAACAGAAAGGACATCCACACCAAAAACCCATCTGTACATCACCATCATCAAAGACCAAAAGTAGACAAAACCACAAAGATGGGGAAAAAACAGAGCAGAAAAACTGGAAACTCTAAAAAGCAGAGCACCTCTCTTCCTCCAAAGGAACGCAGTTCCTCACCAGCAATGGAACAAAGCGGGACGGAGAATGACTTTGACGAGTTGAGAGAAGAAGGCTTCAGATGATCAAAATATGAGCTACAGGAGGAAATTCAAACCAAAGGCAAAGAAGTTAAAAACTTTGAAAAAAATTTACACGAATGTATAACTAGAATAATCAATACAGAGAAGTGCCTAAAGGAGCTGATGGAGCTGAAAGCTAAGGCTCAAGAACTACGTGAAGAATGCAGAAGCCTCAGGAGCCGATGCCATCAACTGGAAGAAAGGGTATCAGTGATGGAAGATGAAATGAATGAAGTGAAGCAAGAAGGGAAGTTTAGAGAAAAAAGAATAAAAAGAAATGAACAAAGCCTCCAAGAAATATGGGACTATGTGAAAAAACCAAATCTACGTCTGATTGGTGTACCTGAAAGTGATGGGGAGAATGGAACCAAGTTGGAAAACACTCTGCAGGATATTATCCAGGAGAACTTCCCCAATCTAGCAAGGCAGGCCAACATTCAGATTCGGGAAATACAGAGAATGCCACAAAGAAGTAGGAGTTGCTCTTCTACTCCTCGCGAAGAGCAACTCCAAGACACATAAATGTCAAATTCCCAAAAGTTGAAATGAAGGAAAAAATGTTAAGGGCAGCCAGAGAGAAAGGTTGGGTTACCCACAAAGGGAAGCCCATCAGACTAACAGGAGATCTCTCAGCAGAAACTCTACAAGCCAGAAGAGAGTGGGGGCCAATATTCAACATTCTTAAAGAAAAGAATTTTCAACCCAGAATTTCATATCCAGCCAAACTAAGCTTCATAAGTGAAGGAGAAATAAAATACTTTACAGACAAGCAAATGCTGAGAGATTTTGTCACCACCAGGCCTGCCCTAAAACAGCCCCTGAAGGAAGCACTAAACATGGAAAGGAACAACCGGTACCAGCCACTGCAAAATCATGCCAAAATGTAAAGACCATCAAGACTAGGAAGAAACTGCATCAACTAACGAGCAAAATAACCAGCTAACATCATAATGACAGGATCAAATTCACACATAACAATATTAACTTTAAATGTAAATGGACTAAATGCTTCAATTAAAAGACACAGACAGGCAAATTGGATAAAGAGTCAAGACCCATCAATGAGCTATAATCAGGAAACCCATCTCACATGCAGAGACACACACAGGCTCAAAATAAAAGGATGGAGGAAGATCTACCAAGCAAATGGAAAACAAAGAAAGGCAGGGGTTGCAATCCTAGTCTCTGATAAAACAGACTTTAAACCAACAAAGATCAAAAGAGACAAAGAAGGCCATTACATAATGGTAAAGGGATCAATTCAACAAGAAGAGCTAACTATTCTAAATATATATGCACCCAATACAGGAGCACCCAGATTCATAAAGCAAGTCCTGAGTGACCTACAAAGAGACTTAGACTCCCACACATGAATAATGGGAGATTTTAACACCCCACTGTCAACATTAGACAGATCAACAAGACAAAAAGTTAACAAGAATACCGAGGAATTGAACTCAGCTCTGCACCAAGCGGACCTAATAGACATCTACAGAACTCTCCACCCCAAATCAACAGAATATACATTTTTTTCAGCACCACACCACACCTATTCCAACATTAACCACATAGTTGGAAGTAAAGCTCTCCTCAGCAAATGTAAAAGAACAGAAATTATAACAAACTATCTCTCTGACCACAGTGCAATCAAACTAGAACTCAGGATTAAGAAACTCACTCAAAACCGCTCAACTACATGGAAACTGAACAACCTGCTCCTGAATGACTACTGGGTACATAACGAAATGAAGGCAGAAATAAAGATGTTCTTTGAAACCAACGAGAACAAAGACACAACATACCACAATCTCTGGGACACATTCAAAGCAGTCTGTAGAGGGAAATTTTTAGCACTAAATGCCCACAAGAGAAAGCAGGAAAGATCCAAAACTGACACCCTAACATCACAATTAAAAGAACTAGAAAAGCAAGAGCAAACACATTCAAAAGCTAGCAGAAGGCAAGAAATAACTAAAATCAGAGCAGAACTGAAGGAAATAGAGACACAAAGGACCCTTCAAAAAATTAATGAATCCAGGAGCTGGTTTTTTGAAAGGCTCAAGAAAATTGATAGACCGCTAGCAAGACTAATAAAGAAAAAAAGAGAGAAGAATCAAATAGACACAATAAAAAATGATAAAGGGGATATCACCACCGATCCCACAGAAATACAAACTACTATCAGAGATTACTACAAACACCTCTACGCAAATAAACTAGAAAATCTAGAAGAAATGGATAAATTCCTCAACACACTCTCCCAAGACTAAACCAGGAAGAAGTTGAATCTCTGACTAGACCAATAACAGGAGCTGAAATTGAGGCAATAATCAATAGCTTACCAACCAAAAAGAGTCCAGGACCAGATGGATTCACAGCCAAATTCTACCAGAGGTACAAGGAGGAACTGGTACCATTCCTTCTGAAACTATTCCACTCAATAGAAAAAGAGGGAATCCTCCCTAACTCATTTTAAGAGGCCAGCATCATCCTGATAGCAAAGCTGGTCAAAGACACAACAAAAAAAGAGAATTTTAGAACAATATCCTTGATGAACATTGATGCAAAAATCCTCAATAAAATACTGGCAAACCGAATCCAGCAGCACATCAAAAAGCTTATCCACCATGATCAAGTGGGCTTCATCCCTGGGATGCAAGGCTGGTTCAATATACACAAATCAATAAATGTAATCCAGCATATCAACAGAACCAAAGACAAAAACCACATGATTATCTCAATAGATGCAGAAAAGGCTTTTGACAAAATTCAACAACCTTCATGCTAAAAACTCTCAATAAATTAGGTATTGATGGGACGTATCTCAAAATAATAAGAGCTATCTATGACAAACCCACAGCAATATCATATTGAATGGGCAAAAACTGGAAGCATTCCCTTTGAAAACTGGCACAAGACAGGGATGCCCTCTCTCACCACTCCTATTCAACATAGTATTGGAAGTTCTGGCCAGGGCAATTAGGCAGGTGAAGGAAATAAAGGGTATTCAATTAGGAAAAGAGGAAGTCAAATTGTCCCTGTTTGCAGTCAACATGATTGTATATCTAGAAAACCCCACTGTCTCAGCCCAAAATCTCCTTAAGTTGATAAGCAACTTCAGCAAAGTCTCAGGATACAAAATCAATGTACAAAAATCACAAGCATTCTTATACACCAATAACAGACAAACAGCCAAATCATGAGTGAACTCCCATTCACAATTGCTTCAAAGAGAATAAAATACCTAGGAATCCAACTTACAAGGGACGTGAAGGACCTCTTCAAGGAGAACTACAAACCGCTGCTCAAGGAAATAAAAGAGGATACAAACAAATGGAAGAACATTCCATGCTCATGGGTAGGAAGTATCAATATCATGAAAATGGCCATACTGCCCAAGGTAATTTATAGATTCAATGCCATCCCCATCAAGCTACCAATGACTTTCTTCACAGAATTGGAAAAAACTACTTTAAAGTTCATATGGAACTAAAAAAGAGCCCGCATCGCCAAGTCAATCCTAAGCCAAAAGAACAAAGCTGGAGGCATCACACTACCTGACTTCAAACTATACTACAAGCCTACAGTAACCAAAACAGCATGATACTGGTACCAAAACAGAGATATAGATCAATGGAACAGAACAGAGCCCTCAGAAATAATGCCACACATCTATAACTATCTCATCTTTGACAAACCTGAGAAAAACAAGCAATGGGGAAAGGATTCCCTATTTAATAAATGGTGCTGGGAAAACTGGCTAGCCATATGTAGAAAGCTGAAACTGGATCCCTTCCTTACTACCTTATATAAAAATCAATTCAAGATGGATTAAAGACTTAAATGTTAGACCTAAAACCATAAAAACCCTAGAAGAAAACCAAGTCATTACCATTCAGGACATAGGCATGGGCAAGGACTTCATGTCTAAAACACCAAAAGCAATGGCAACAAAAGCCAAAATTGACAAATGGGATCTAATTAAACTAAAGAGTTTCTGCACAGCAAAAGAAACTAACATCAGAGTGAACAGGCAACCCACAAAATGGGAGAAAATTTTCACAACCTACTCATCTGACAAAGGGCTAATATCCAGAATCTACAATGAACTCAAACAAATTTACAAGAAAAAAACAAACAACCCCATCAAAAAGTGGGTGAAGGACATGAACAGACACTTCTCAAAAGAAGACATTTATGCAGCCAAAAAACACATGAAAAAATGCTCATCATCACTGGCCATCAGAGAAATGCAAATCAAAACCACAATGAGTTATCATCTCACACCAGTTAGAATGGCAATCATTAAAAAGTCAGGAAACAACAGGTGCTGGAGAGGATGTGGAGAAATAGGAACACTTTTACACTGTTGGTGGGACTGTCAACTAGTTCAACCATTGTGGAAGTCAGTGTGACAATTCCTCAGGGATCTAGAACTAGAAATGCCATTTGACCCAGCCATCCCATTACTGGGTATATACCCAAAGGACTATAAATCATGCTGCTATAAAGACACATGCACACATATGTTTATTGTGGCACTATTCACAATAGCAAAGACTTGGAACCAACCCAAATGTCCAACAATGATAGACTGGATTAAGAAAATGTGGCACATATACACCATGGAATACTATGCAGCCATAAAAAAATGATGAGTTCATGTCCTTTGTAGGGACATGGATGAAGCTGGAAATCATCATTCTCAGTAAACTATCGCAAGAACAAAAAACCAAACATCGCATATTCTCACTCATAGGTGGGAACTGAACAATGAGAACACATGGACACAGGAAGGGGAACATCACACTCTGGGGACTGTTGTGGGGTTGGGGAGGGGAGGGATAGCATTGGGAGATATACGTAATGCTAGATGACGAGTTAGTGGGTGCAGTGCACCAGCATGGCACATGTATACATATGTAACTAACCTGCACATTGTGCACATGTACCCTAAAACTTAAAGTATATTAATAAAAAAAAAGAAATCAACCTGTGTTCACCATCAAAGAAAATGTGTTATATATAAACAAGGAAATATTATTCAGCCTTTGAAAAGAAATAAATTTTGTCATTTGTAACAACATGGATGGAATTGAAGAGCATTATGCTAAGTGAAATAAGCTGAGTAAGAAAGTCAAATACCACACGTTCTCACTTATATGTAGTCTCTGAAACAAACTCAAAGCAGAGAGTTGGACGGTGGTAAATAGAGGCTGGGAAGCATCGAGGGGATGGAAAGATGAAGTCAAAGGGTACAAAGCCTCAATTGGAATATGATTTTTTTTCTTGGAGGTCTGTTGCACAATATGATGAATATAGTAAATATTATGATACATATCAAATTTGCTAAGAGTAATTTCAAGTGTTCTCACTATAAAAAATGATAAATATTTAGAGAAATTGACATGTCAACTAACCTGATTCAATTATTCTACATTGCATTCATAAATACTAACATGACTTTGTATCTCATACATATATACAAGTATAATTTGCCAATTTGCAATTTAAAAAAGAATTAGGATCAAAGAGAATAAGCGAAAGATAACAGCTAGGTTTTGGTACCGCATTTTTCTGACTCCAAACAGGGCTACTTTCACTCCAACAGTTTAAAAGCCAAGTTGAACAAGACAACAAGACAGGCCCTTAGTATACCTACAAATAAAACAACTTCAGTCCATGGCACACTTTTAACATCTTTACATTGTCTCCCATTGTAATGCTACCCTACCCCAAGGAACAATTATTTTTATGACTTCTGTGGAATATTACTTTAGCAAAAATGTTGGTGTTTGTATTCTAATTTTTTTTTATTCCATGAATTGGAAAGCACTTTAAACTAGAGATTCTTCAAATATGGAAAAACCACAGTCCTCACTGCCCTGGAAATTTGTGTAGCATGTGAAATAGCTGATCATCAACTCTTCTGGTAATTTTCCCATTAAGATTTCTCTACCAAATCCCACTTTCTTTCATTTTTCACCCCTGTTCATCTTTTTCTCACTACTTCCCAGCCTTCTCTTATTGTTCTTCCTTCTTGTTTTCTACCCAAACATAAGAAATCACCAAAATCTTTATTTCCTGTTACACCTATGACTCATTTATGAGTGCTATCTGCATGTTTTCCGTGAACAGAACTCCATTATGTTTCATTTGTTGAAAAACATTTTCACTCAGCACATGTTTCTGATTCCTCCAAAACAGCATGTATAAAATTGAAGTCAGGACCTTCTCTCACTCTTTATATTACTGCCAATAGCAGATTATATTAGTTTCCTATGGCTGCTGTAACAAATCATCAAGCTTAGTGGCTTAAAACATCGAAAACGTATTGCCTTAAAATTCTAGAAATAAGAAATCCAAAATATGACTTACTGGGCCAAAGTCAAGGTGTCAGCAATCCTGGTTCCTTCTGCAGGTTCCAGGGAAAAATCAGTTCCTTGCCTTTCCCAGCTTACAGTGGCTGCCTGCATTCCTTGCTTGTGGCCATATTATCCCACCTCTGCTTGCACTGACCCAATCACATATCCACATGTTCTAGGAATTAGAATGTGGACTGCTCTCAGGGGTCATTCTTGTATGTCCCACACATATGATCTCTGTTCTAATGTCAAAAGTAGTTTTATGCTCATGTCCATTCAGTCATAAATTCCATTTGTTTCTTCTTTGCTGTTTTTAAGACTAATAAAGTTAGGTATTTGTTTCCACCCTTGACTAGATTGCTGCAACTATCTCATTGAGTTTTGTGCATTTTCTCTCTCTCGCTGTCTCTCCTTTCCCCTTCACAAAGTCATTCTGCATGATCCAACATATTTGTTTCTCATGAAACTTTATTTTAACCCATTTCCTCTTGACAAAACAACTTCAGTGATTTCTTATTGTCTTTACAATAGAACACAAACTCCCCTATCTTCAGTTTGAGATTTTAAATAGTTTGTCACAATATTATCTTTAGAGGTCATTAAGTTTGTTTGTCTACACAGTGCACACCACCCAAGGTACGCCGATAATAATGTTGCCTTATATCCCTGGTCATGAAATTAGTTTAGAATGCACCCACGTTTTTTGTTCAAATCCCCCTGAACAAGCCAACGAGAGGTGAATTATTCCAGGAAGATTGTGTAAAGTCACATCACAAGTGTGTGTTGGTACTTTGGAATTTATATATTATCAGGGTTAATTATTTAAGACTATAAATTATTTTTATTTCTTTATTATATTTTTCATTCCATGTAATTTTTATTACATCTTTCTCCTCTCTCAATCTTTTGAAAGGCATTTACTGCAGGCCTAATATATCCCAGCCATTTTATAAATTTTATACTCCTCTAAAATAAAAGACATCCTTCTCTCTCTTTTTCCTTTCCTCCCTCTCTTGGTTCCTTGTTTACTTCTTTCCTTCTCTCACACCTTCATTTACCAGATATTTTTAACACTCAGTATAAGGTCAGTTATAAATGCAACACAACATAAAGCAACATCCCTATCTTTATGAAACTTATAGACAAAAAAGTCTTCAAATTTTTTTTTATTCCTCACTAAAACTATCAATATGTCTTTCAAATAGTGAGACAACAAAATTATACGGGCGTTCCATTTGGGAAGTCTCAGAACTCCATCTTTACGGGTGTAAGTACTAGTGTTTTGCTAGGCTGCCAGGGAGATATTTTGACCCACGTGTACAGTATAATTTCTCTTTGGCCTTCTTTATAGTTCATTGAATGAGACATATTCTTACATACCTCACCATCTTCACATGTACCTGACCCTTCTTCCTAAAGTTGTGGAAAATTATTTGGTACCCTATTCTTTCTGGTCCGTTCCTACTCATTCCTCAGATCCTAGTTGAAATGCTAATTCCCACAGAAATTCATTTTGCACTACGAATATCATTTTAGCGTCTATGTTATACTATCTTGTAGAATATCATATTTTTCTTCCTAGTACTTTCACGCATTGTGATATTCAAAATATAAAATGATTGGTATGGTGTGGATGTACACCAATAGAATGTTACTCTTCCCTGAATGCTGGAGCAGGGTCCTGTTAGTTTCCTGTATTGGCAGGTTTCAAGCAGTTAAGCAGTCTCCATGCAGCAGCATGGTGGAGGCTCCTAAGCTGACTTGACACAGTCTCATAGATTCAGCTAGAAAGGAGGCAATGAGTCCAAACATATTTGGACAGTTTATTTCTCACAATGATTGTATAAGGAACATCAGAATGGTGTTGGCAACCCACACTCCCAGTCTCTGGATGACATCAGACCAGGGGTGCCAGATGACAGACAACACAAGTGGTAGGTCTCTCTGCCATTATGGATCAAACTCTAAATTACAGCCAAACAATTTAAGTCTATAGCTGTACCCAAAGAAGGGGAAGAGGTGCACTGTGGAAAGTGTCATGCTCCACTGGCACAAGAGACAGATAAAATATTGCTTCATGGCAACCTCCTGCGAGATAGGGAGGTAGAAGAAAAACAGTTTTGTAGCATCTCATAACAAAATACCTGTCCTCCTTTTTTTTCCTTGGAGGAACACAGAACACTGTACAAAGATTTGTGTTAAACTATAGGTTACCCTTGCTATTGTGCTATGTGGAGTCTTGCAAGGTTATCAGAGTGTTATGGCAAAGCCATTGTGCTGTAACAAGTGTTTGCCATTTATTACTGAGTGGCAGGGAAAAGTGAAGGGTTCCAGAAGATGGGCCAGGAAGAAAAAAAAAAAGATGATTATTTACCAGTTGGTACAGTAGTGCTTTAATAGTTGAACCATTTATTTGTATGGTTATATTAATACATAATGTTTAACTTCCATCTGTACTTGTTATAGTTGTCATTTATCCATTTACCTGTCTGTTTAATATCTCATTCTCTCACTAGACAATAGGGATTTGCAACTGTTT
Source organism: Homo sapiens (assembly GCF_000001405.40). Classification (NCBI taxonomy): domain Eukaryota; kingdom Metazoa; phylum Chordata; class Mammalia; order Primates; family Hominidae; genus Homo; species Homo sapiens. The sequence goes on along the minus strand of NC_000011.10, from coordinate 24,953,834 downwards.
TGCTAATCATTGAATAAATAATTACCAGAATAGTGCCAGGTATATAGTGGATTCTAAATCAGTATTGGATGAACAAATTAGCAAGTGAATGAGTTTGACGTAGGTGCCACATACTGTACAAAGAAAACAGGATTCTTATATTCTTCCAAAGCACTTTTTTTGTTTCTGTATTTTTACTGAAAAGTCTCTGTATTTACAAGTGCTCTATATCTACTTAAATGTTTTGAGGTTTCAAGTCCTCTCTTTTAAGTCCAAGAAGTGTTCCTTTAGGAGCTTTTTCAGTCCCTCCTCTAAATCTCCTTTTTCTGACAGTTAATTGACATGGCAGACAATGGCTGCATTTCCATCCAACAGGCACAGAAATTGGTGGTTTATTAACTTTAATGACAAGTGTGCTGAGGAGACAGTGGATACAATCCAGCATAAAATTTTGTAGATGTCGGGATTAAGTCAGTGGAAATATTTCCCACAGGTATTTTTTTTTCCTGTGTGAATCTGCTTGAATATCATGGTCCCCTAGGGCTATTTGTGCCAATCTTTCTGCCATTTGAAGGCTAGATTAAGCCAATTGTTTAGTTTTGCCACTGCCAAAGTACAGCAGCTGCACTAGATGCTTATTCCAAAAATCATTTCAAAAATTGTTTTCTACTAAGTGAATTTTGTTGAAAGCAGCAGATAGTGAAACATCTACATATCAGCTTGTTAATTCCCTACTACTCTAAATGTGTATTTTTTCTTAAATTTATTTTAATGCATTTTAGTAGAGATTTTTAATGCATTTCTGTAGTCTATTTCTCGACAGACTTTTTTGTTATTTTCACTTGAATTCATAAGTGGAGCTGAATGACACAGAATTTGGCAAATTTGCTTACAGGAGAAAGAAAAACTCTAGGAAATATTGAAACCCTAGAAATGTGAGGCCACAGAGATGGGCCAAAGAGCTCTTCAACCCATGACAATATCTCACCTCTCATGTAATTGTACATAACATGAGGTACATTTCTTAGCACATTCTATTTTTAACATGCATTAAATAACAATTAGTGTTACACAGCAAGTTCTGATCAATTTATATAAGTCAAACAGTAGAACAAAAAGTATTATTTTCCTTACTTTTTAGATGTGCAAACAAAAGTCTGCCAAGTCAAAGAAACATATATAAAGGTAACTAAAGGAAGTAAAAATAAAACTCAGGTACTGATGATTTCAAGACCACATTTTCGAATCTCTCACTTCTCAAACTCCTCACCTCTGTCAATTATTGGCTCCTGTTGCTCATTTAAAGAGGTTCACTCTAGACTCTTAGCACTGTAAACTGCCTCACTTCCCACCTGGAAATCTCAATTCCCCATTCCTTTCTACCTTTTCTTTGTCCTATAACATTTAAATTTCTAATATACTACATATATTATTATTCTATTTATTGAATATTGCTTATCCCATTCACTTCAATATAAATTCTACCAAAGTAGGGAACTTTTGTTTACTAATAAATTATATAGGTGCCTGCAAAAACACGTGCCAACATTATATTCTCTAAAAAATGTTAATTGAATGCATCATTTTTATATTATAATATGATTTAGAAACACTTTTAAATGTGATCACGATACATAGATGGTGGAAAAATAACGATGGCGATGATAACAACAATAATTTATATTACAATTAAAGAAAGATGTTCTTTTTTTATAATAAGGCTGCTTCCACATTATTTAATATTTGTTCATCTTATTATCAAATCTATGATTCTCCTCAACCTCAGTTGCCAGTAAATACATCTATTGAATTGTTAGCAAAATAATGACTTGTATTCAAATCAATTCAGGTCGATTCCAAAAATATGTATCAATTATCTACCATGTGCCAGTCAATAGGCAAATTGTGATAGTGATAATGATTCATAAAATAGAGACCTCATCCTCCAAGAATGTATGCTGCATTGGAGAATATAATGAACTAATCATTATTTCCCATTGTAAATAGAATATGTGCTATGATCAAGGATGGTGTAAAGTTTTTGTAAGGGTTTTCAACTTTGACATACTTTTATTACATTTAGAATGGCAAGAAGGATGTAGATTTTCTTCCTCTGCAACAAAAAACTACCTCCCAAATTGTACAACTGGAAAGGAAAGGCTAATTGAAAACCTACTGATCTCTAGTAGCATAAATCTTTATATATATATGTTTAAATATATTTTACTTGAGCTAATTAGGATAATGACTAAAGCCACGAGTGAAGATAAAATATAATTGGCTCCGAAGCACAAACGTGGAACAATCACATAAACTTTGTTAATTCATTTACACAATCGTAAATGCTTATAATTAATTAAATTCTTATAATTAGGGGTATTAGAAAAATAATCGTAAAATATAACTTAAAAGCATTGTTCTTTTTCTATTTATTGGCTTTAAGCTAATGGACAAGGCCCTTATTTTCTCAAATCTTCAGTTTTTCAACTGCAACAAAATAGGAATAATACTTATCATATGCCAAGAATTGTGCTGACATTTGAGTGTATTATCTGCAGTAATAAATAATATTTTTATAATCATTTAACAAGGAGGGCAAGAGAAACTTGAAAAGGCTAAAAAGCCTGTGTGGCCCAACGTTGCTTTAATAGTATTTGGCAGTTGGTACCCATACACCTGATACCCAGCATTCAGTAATTAAGTATATTCTCGCAAATCTACATAAGATAATGTACATTTTATTCCCAGTTATTATGTTGTTCAGGGCTTCATTGCCTCCCAAATGAGAGTAAACTAAAATGAGACATGAAACTTATATCTTCTCTCTCTTATTGAAGGAAGACAAAAATGAACATAAAATGTTGAAAGACAAATTGGGGGTTTCTGCTGAGATATTTTATGAAGCTATCACTATAACACAAAAAAAAACTAAAAAACTTTCTTATCAATGTCTTGATTAATGGATTTTTCATGTGACAGATGTATCATCATCTTAGAAACCTTAGAAAGATAATTAACCTAATTCCTCACTGAGATTTCCTTCTCAAAAAAAAGTACTAAAATATTTCACTATGTCAAAGGGTTGTTCTCAAGCTTAAATGAGGCAATAAATGCAAAAGAATAAAAACAAAAGCAAAAAAAACTGGTGCTTTTTTTCTTTGGGGTAATTATCGGGAAGTTTGAGCTATAACTTTGGTTTCAGCAAAAAATGGTCTTTATAATGCAATTCATTAGCTGTATTGCTTCTCTAAAGACAAAAAGAACTGCTAAATTTCTGTTGGTCTGTCTCACATGTCACTAGCTTATCCTTACGGTTAGAGAGGTTGCATGCCTCATAATTGTATCTGTCAAAATAGAGATCAAATATTTATTTCACCTGGCTTGGAGCTGTCACTTTGATTTTTCTACCTAGCCCCCACAGGGCTTAGTGGACATTCCTATGATCTAATTATGAAGCATTCACAACTGGATAATTAATAAATTAAATCTCTTCTAAGCTACACATTTTTTACTGAACATAGGAAATCATTTTTGGGGGTTAATTTGGTAGATTAAACATTGCAAGAAGGTGTTAACATTTCGTTTTCCTCTTTCTTGCATTTCTTTTATTCCTTCATCCATCCATTCATTTATTTGTCTCACCATTCATCAATCTAGCTCCTAGTCAACCCATCCATTCATCATTGATCTGTCTACTCACTACCCTATATTCTATTATCCATAAATTCCTCCACTTACTTACTCATACATCTATCTACTTATCTAACTTTCCACCCATTCATCTCTCCCTCCATATACCCATCCATCATGGGTATCCACCCATTACTGCCCCTCCTAGTAATTTAGCCAAATAGCTTAAAGACTCCATCTCAAAAAAAAAAAAAAAAGAAAAGAAAGAAAGAAAAAGGGCGGGGGGAGCATTTGAGTTACAAAGAAGAGTTACATTAAGCTTATCTCAGGCAAGAAAGAAGAAAAGCTGATTTCTCCTTTGTCAGAGAATTCAGAAAAGTTCGCAAACTAATTTCAAAGAGTTCTGATCACCTGCGTGTTCTACACATTTAAATCATTAATCCTTCTATCAATGTCATTGTGTATGAAAATATCCACTCTCCAACTCGAACCTTCTGAGGCAGAATCTCAAGTGATTTAGCCTGGCTTCAGTGTTTCGAAATATCCATGTATAAAATTTCATTCAAATCCAGTATTACGAACCGCTGCCTCTGAGGAAGCACACAGTACAGTTTGTATTGAAGATAATGTTTACTCTGACATGACTCAATAGAACACACACATGTTCACTTACGCATAGCAAAGAATACACAGTCCATATATTCTAAGAAGAAAAGAAACATCAACATCAGTGTACTCAAAATGTTTTATAAATTTTCTTGCTTAAATTACTTGCTTAAATTAAACTAATACAACCAATGGTGTTAGTGAAGAGAATAAAAATATACTTTGAAATTATGTTTGTCATAGAAATCATTTAGGTCTAAATCATTTAGATCATAGATAGATAGAGAGATAGATAGATAGATAGATAGATAGATAGATAGATAGATAGATAATCTAGATAATAGATAGATAGGAAGAAAGAAAGAAATAGAGGATGTAGGTAGACATCATCCAATCCATTGAGCCCTAAACAAAACAAAGAGTGGAAAAGAGGAATTTACCCTTTTTGCATCCTGCCTGCCTTCTGAGCTAAAACATATGTTTTTTCCTGCCATTTCACTGGGATTTATACCACTGGCTCTCCTAGTTTTCAGATGTTTGGATTCACCCTGGAAATACAGCACTGAGTTTTGAGGTTTTGTTTTTCTTTTAGTTTTAATTATTTTCATTTTTGCGGGTACATAGTAGGTGTATATATTTATGGGGTGGAATTACACCACTGGCTTTTCTGTAAACATATATTTTCTATTGGCTCTGTTAATATGGTTCTGCTGATCTATCTATCTAAGTATATCTAGATAGATGGATAGGTAGATAGATAGATAGATAGATAGATAGATAGATAGATAGATAGATGATAGATAGATAGATAGATAGAGTTTCAAGAGGAAGCTGCTACTTCATTCTCCAAGAGTCAACAATGTGGAAGAAATACTTCTGGATCTTCTTATCCCTGTTTTTCATTCAGAGAAGAGGAAATTTTATAAGCGGTGGGTTCACAAGGTTCTAAAAACCCATGAGTTATACTGTCTATATTCAGCAGGATTAAGAAGTGTTTCTTGTTGTCATATCATATACTGTAAAACAACAACAATGATAACTTTAGCCTGTGAATAGCATGCTTTAGTGAATTTAGGGCCCAGGGCTTGCCTTTAAGAAACAATTCTGGTGCTAACCCTGCCCTGCTCTTCAGACTCTATACATATTTAAGAAACAGATGGCATTGTAGCAGGGCATATAAATTACCTTTGAGAAAGCCCCATGGTGGATATTGCAAATAAATAATTTAAAAGAGTTATTATAAATATGTTCAAAATACTAAAGAAAATAATATTTAAGTAATTAAATGAAGGTATGATGACAATGTCTTAGCAAATAGAGAACAGCAATAAAGAAGTTGTCATTACTGAAAAGGACAATATGAAAATTTTGGAGTTAAAAGTACAATAAACAAATGAAAAAAAATCACTCATGATGCTCAACGCTATATTTGTCCTGGAGGAAAAAATAATAAGGAAAATTAATAATAGATGAATAGAGATAATACAATTGAGGAAACAGAGAAAAAAGAATTAAGAAAAATAAGCAATGCCTCAAATGTGGGACACCATTAAGCACACTAACTTATGAATTACGGAATACCAAAAGAAAGGAACAGAAAATATTTTAAGAAATAATAGTTGAAAAATTCACACATATCCAACAAGATCAACAATCTTCACATAAGACAAACGCAAAGAATTGATGCTCAGACATATCACAGTCAAAGTGTTGAAAGGCAATCATTAGAAGAACATTTAGAAAGCAGCGAGAGGAAAACAACTTAGCATGGACAAGAGACCACACCAAGACTAACAACAGCGGCTTTCTCATGATAAACAATGGAGAGCAGAAGTAGTGTGTTAAAATATTCAAAGTATTGAAGGATAAAACAGATATCACCCAACGATTTTATATCCAGCAAATTTTTCAAAAATCAAGGCCAAAGAAAAGGTATTACCAGATGAACAAACACTGAGAATTTGTTGTGAGCAGGTCTGCCTGCTCTATTTTAGTATTTCACAAGAAACACTAAAATAATTTATTTAGACTAAACCAAGTGATGAAAGACAATAATTCAAATACACTTGGGGGGAAAAAAAGAGCACCAGTGAAAGTAATAAAATAAGTAATATATAAAAGATTATATAGTTAACACTTGAACAACATTGGTTTGAACTTCACAGGTCCACTTCTATGTGGATATTTTTCTAGTGTAAGCTATTCAGTGTGTCTGCCTCTACTGCCTCCCTTTCTACCTCTTCCTCCTCTTCCATATCTGCCTCTCAGAGACAGAAATACCAACTGCTCCTCATCCTCCACCTCCTCATAGTATTCAGTGTGAAGAGGACAAGGAGAAAGACCTTTGTGATGATCCACTTCCACTTAGTGAATAAGGGTAAATATATTTTCTCTTCCCTATGACTTTCTTAATAATATGCTCATTTTTCAAAATTACTTTATTAGAAAAATACAGTCTTTAATACATGTAATATACAAAATATATGGAAATTGACTGTTTATGTTATTGGTAAGGCTTTCAGTCAATAGTAGGTTATTACTAGTAACTACTTGGGGAGTCAAAAGTTATATGCGGATTTTTGGCCATCCATGGGGTTGGTGCCCCTAACTTCCACATTGTTCAAGGGTTAACTGTAGTTGTATATCTCTCCTGCTGGCTGCTTTAAAAATAACTGCATCAAATTATACATGAATATGTATGCATATATGAATATATAGATATATATGTAACTGTAATATATAGAAATCTAATGTATTTGACAATAATAGCACACAGAAGACATTGAAAAATAGCTAAATTGGAGTAACAAAATGACAATAATTTGTAATTTGAATTCACAGGAAGAAATAAGGAGAAGCAGAAATTGTAAATGAGGTCAATACAGCACATTCTAAAATTATGCACTTACTCTACATTCTCTCAGCTTCATTAGAAGACAAAAGGTAACATACGTGGTCATGATATGTAAAAAATATTAGAAAAAAAAGAAGGGTTGGGGCAAAGGAGCTATATAGGTATAAGATTTCTATTCTTCACTAGAAATAAATTAGTACAAATCTGAAGTAGAATCTAATAATTTAAGAAGTATATTATAAGCCTTAGAGGAAGCATTAAGAACACAGCTCAAAACATATAATTAAAAGGAATTAAAAATTTTATATTAGAAAGCATCACATTATACAAAAAAGACAGTAAAATAGCATCAGGGGAACAAAATAGTCATGAGACATATCAGAAACAAAAAGAAAAATGACACACAAATCTAATTATATTAATAATTGCATCAAATATGAATGGGCTAAACAATCAGGAAGCAGCAGTTATCAGACTGAATAAAACAAAAACCAAATATATTGTCTTGGCACTATTTATATCTAAAAAGTAGAGGCAAGCTAATGTCCATATTCTAACAAACGGATGAACAAGATGTGTACATCCACCCAATGGAATATTATATGACATTTAAACAAAATGAAGTATGAATATATAACATGAATGAACTTTGAAAATATTACCCTAAGTGAAAGAAGCTAGTCACAAAATACCAATATTGTATGTTTCTACTTATATATGAAAAGTCCAAAATATGAAAATCATCAGGGACAAAAATTAGACTATCTTTTCCCTGGGTCTAGGGAAAAAGGGGAACAGGCAGTGACTGCAAATGAATATGAACATCTTTTTGTGATGAAGACAATTTTCTAAAATTGAATTCTAGTGATGGTTGCACAAGCCTGTGCATATAATTAAAACATAGAATTGTACATTTTAAATGGATTGATTTTATATTATATAAGTATATCTCAATAAAAGTTTTTTAAAAATCGTAAGAACTAGCAATGTGAAGAGCACTTGTAAAGACATGGGAGGAAAAAACACAAATATTGGGAAACAACAGATAGAAGAAATGGAAAACCATGAGAAATGTAACACCTCTATTATCCAATGTTCAGTGCTGATAAGACTGAAGATATAGATAGAGGTTGTTCATAGAGAGCCTTATAAGCTATACTAAGGAGGTTGAAACTATTTCTATAAACACTGGAAAGATGATAAGATGATAAAGAAAGATAAAGGTAGGACTGGAAAAAAAAAAAAAAACAGGCAAATTTGAAATTTAAACAGACAACCCTTCTTTTGATAGTGTGGAATACAGCTTGGAGGAGAAGACTGAATTCAGGGAGCCCTGTCATAATTCAGAAGAGGTGAAGAGAGCCTGAGTTAACACAATGAATGTAAGAATGTAGAAAATATTTAGAAGAAAAATGTTACAATCACTTTTCTGTGTGGTTATAAATAAATGGGCATTCCTGTTGGAAACATCTCTCTGTATCTTATTGTGGGCTTCTGAGTTCCAGAATAAGTAAGATCACCTACTTTATTTTTTTCAGGTTTTGCCATTATGAAAACAGCAGGAGGAGCAGAGAAAGATGCGGAAAGGATGCATTTTGACATCCAATTATATTGCTAATCTCTGGAACTGGCAAATAGAAGTCTATTCAGGGAAATGTGCTTCTTGCCAGTGGCATCTGGCAAGTAATGATGAAATGTGGTTTCCAGCTTGCAAAGAACTTACAATTTCGCTGCACAGATTTAAAGAGAATTGGCACTCACTACTCTACCTCAGTGTCTTCAAACTCAAAACTATGCATAAATGTACGTATGAGCATATAATGTGCATTGAAGATAAATCTATTCATAATAATCTTTAATTAAATTCACCACAGCTTTTAAAAAATAGCACAGTTTAAAGCCTTTATCCTGCAACAGAAGGCATTCTAATACTTGACTTAGGCATGTCTTTCAGCTCTGACTACAGGTCTCAGCTTTTGCCAGGTCACCACTAGCTCCTTTCACTATTTATCAAACTGAAACTCCCTATTCTCTCTCATGCCTTGAGTTGTTTGACCATGCTACTCCATCTGCTCCCGAAGAACCTTCCCCAATCCTTGCAACTGCATTGCTACTTCTCCTTCCAATCTTGAGTTCAAATCTCAACTTCTCTTCAAAATATTTCTTAAGTAACCCAACAATAACACTATGTCCCCAAACACCTCTAAAAGTGGTATTAGGTTTTCCATTTTTTCTACTCTCTACTGGATATCAATTCTCACACATATTTCCAGTCTCTCTTTCTCTCTGCATATTTTATAAGTATGTTTTATGTGTTCCAACTATATATTTGTGCATACAAAAATTATATGCATATGTTTAGAATTTTCATTTAATTGAAAGTTTTATAATGTATTGTTTGGGAGCACAGGGTCCTAGAGTCAGAATGCCTTAACCTCTCAGAGCCATGGTTACCTCATCTGAATACTGAGGTTGGTAATATTACAACTGACCTTAAAGTGGTGGTTCCCAAAATTGTTGCATATTAAGTTAACCGAGGAGCTTCAAAAAATATTTATGCCTTTGACCCCTTCTCAGACATTTTTATCTAATGGTCTGGGGTGTTGCCTGGGCTTCAAAAAATTTTAAAGATCTTCAGATGATTCTAAAATGCAGACAAATACAGATACCATTGCCTTAAATAGTTATTGTATTAAAGGTGATCATGTGTGTGTGAGTTAGTTGCACATTGCCTGGCTATGTACATTTAAAATAATACTTGACATTATTATACATGGACTTCTTGAAAGCAGAAACCATACCATACCTTACTTATATTTTGTCCACAGCACACAAGTGAGACACTTAATAGACTGTGGCACTTAATGATTTTTTTTTTTTTTTTTTTTGAGATGGAGTCTCCCTCTGTCGCCCAGGCTGGAGTGCAGTGGCCCAATCTCGGCTCACTACAACCTCTGCCTCCTGGGTTCAAGTGGTTCTCATGCCTCAGCCTCCCAAGTAGCTGGGATTACAGGCATGCACCACGACACCCAACTAATTTTTATATTTTTAGCAGAGACGAGGTTTCACCATGTTGGCCAGGCTGGTCTCGAACTCCTGACCTCAAGTGATCTGTCCACCTTGGCCTCCCAAAGTGCTGGGATTACAGGCATGAGCCACCATGACCAGCCATGAATATTTTATTGACAAAATAAGTTAGAATAAATTATTATTAGATGGACTTTCCCCAGAATAGCAGCTTATAGTCCTACAGGAAAAGGTGACTGACACTCAAATAACCGCAGTAGATCCCAGCATGGGACACTTCACTCAGAGTGCTATGGCAGTACAGAGGAGAATTAATTGGACAAATACAATGTTTTCCTAATTGAACCAAAGAGCTAATGAAGAAAATGAAAGGGAGAGAGAGGGAAAAAAAATAAAAAACAGACAGTAAAAAGGGCGTACATTTATAAAGCATTTGTTTCTCTGCTACGTTTGCACAAAACTATGAATTACCCCAGTCTAACAGATGAAGAAGCTGAAACCCTGAAGTTGAAAAATTTGCTCAAAAATTACTCTATTCAGCGGCAAACCCAGAATTAATTTCTGATTTTTTTACATGTCATATTCAGAGTGCTTAAATAATGTCCTGAACTGCAAGAACAAAGAATTACCATACGAATCCAATCAAAGGAGCTTTATATGGACTTCTCATGCAGAAATCCATGAAATAAGTGGCATAAGAAGTTGTACACAGTTCAGGGTATTTTACTATACCATCAGTTGGTCTTCTCAGCTCAATTATTACTATGTTAAAAATAAATTATGATGTAACTGATCTCATTAAATAATAAGAAAAATCTGAAACCATCAACTCACATTTTATATAAAACGTAAATTCAGGTAAATCATAGATGTAAACACAATAGCCTACATATATGAAACATCCAAAAGAAAACACAAGGACAAACTTTATGACCTTGTGTTAGAAGAAGACCTTTAAATAGACACAGAAAGTTCTAAAATCAAACAAACAGGTATCATTTTGACTTCATCAAAAATAAAAGTTTTTTTTCCCTTTGAAAGCTACGTTTAAGAAAATGAAAAGCCAAGCCACACATTGGCAAAAAAAGTTTGTGAAATATATATCTGATAAAGAACTATTATTTAGAATACATGAAGGATGATTATAACTTAGTTATTAGAAAACAAAAAATCCAATATAAAAATAAAACACTTTTTCTCATTAAGGAGAAAAACACGTGAACAGCCACTTCAACAAAGAGGATATACAAATGAAAACTAGGCACATGAAAAGTATTCAACAACATCATTCTCAGGGAAATGTAGGTTATAACCATACGCTCGTCACTACTCATGCACTAGAAAGACTGAAACTCAGGACTGACCAAACCAAGTATTGCCAGGAAAGCAGGACATGTGGATTTTTCATACACTGGTGGTGGAAATGCAATGGTACATTCAATTAGAGGATAATTGGCAATTTTTTATACAATTTAAAAAATAACATATGCCCTGACTATTCTACTCCTAATTTTTCCCCAGAACAAAATAAAATTTTGTGTTTATACAAAGATCTCTGTGTGAGACCTCATAGCAGCAGTATTTATAATAGTCCCAAACCTAAAGCAAGAAAATGCCAATCAGTTAGCTAACAGGGAAACAAACTGTGCTGTATCTATTTATGAAATGAAATTAGCATTAAAAAGGGAAAAATGACTGACATATCAAACAACATATATGAACTCAAGCATATTATGCTAAGTGTTTTTATTTCGTGATGTTCTAGAAGAGGCAAAACAATAGTAAAAGAAAGCAGGGCATGGAGAGGGAATTGACTGCAAATTGTTCCATGGTCAGTTTTTTTTTTAAATGATGGCACAGTTATATATCTTGATTGTGGTGACAGTAACACACTATTTATATATATTAATCAAAACTCAATAAATTGTCCAACTGAAATGATGGATTTTATTGAACACAAATTATACTTATAGCTGACAATAAATACATTAAATTTTTAAATACATTAAATTTAAATACATTGAATTTTTTCTTTCTGATGGGGATTCAGAGCATGTGAGGTGTTAGACTATGAAAACATAAGAGTACAAATGATGGTGCTTTGGAGAGTGGGATACCACCCAAACTACTCAAAGTTTCTAACTATCTACATTAGACTATAAATGCCCTGCAGAAAGTGTTGTTATATTTGAATTGTTTCCTGACATATGAACTGCATCCAACAGTGTTGGACACGCTGAAGTTGCTTCATCTGTTGAATTCATCTGTTGAATGAATTAATTTCTGCTTGACACAGCTGATAAACTCTAACTTGCAGACTAATTTTGCTTTTTTATATTTGCGTATTTAAAGTTTGTGATTTATATATTTTTCTCTAAATGGACACATTAAAGAGGTGAAACATAAATAAATAATGATGACATGATATATTTTATAAAACTTTCAACAAAACTCTACTAATATTTTGGAAAAACATACTTAGTATTAAAAATAAGTAAAACCTAACTATGATATGAGTTAAAGTTTGTTACAGTTACGAAGCATAAAGCATTGATAGCCAAAACCTTTAGATGCCATAGCACCTTCATCCACACTTTCCAGATAATGAGGGGACTCATGATGGCTATGCCCAGTGGGTTACCCTGAGAATTCTATTTATGCCTCTTCTATCTAAACGCAACAGTAAATCTCAATCCTATTTCCAGCTTGCCTAAGAGCAAAATGAAAAAGAGGGAAAAATACTTTATTTTTCTATTTCTGTCTGCATATACTAAACATGCAAAACAAAACAAAACAAAAGTGAAAGAGAAGTTGAAGGCAACTACATTTGCTGAGGGCCTATTAGTTTGTAGATTCACATACCTTATCTCTACACATACCACTTCTGTAGAGTAGTGATGATTTCTATTTTGCAGTTGGGAAAATAGCTCAGAGGTTATGCAACTCACTCAAGAATAGGAAAAGCTTAGATTGAATTCAAGGTTCTATTAGAACCCAAAAGAATTGGTTAGCAATATTAAGATCAAAAGAAAGTAAAATTGTCTCTTTTGTTTGAACAATAATAGCTAATATTATTGTGCACTTAATATGTGCCAGAAGCTATTATAAGTTGATAATTTATTTGTATTAACTCATTAATTTGCAAAATGACTGTATAACATAGAAGCTATCATTAATTTCATCTTACAGATGAGAAAAAAAGAGAAACATAAGGTTTACTTACCTTGCTCAAATTAATACTGTTATTGACAAAGTATTAAACACAGCAGGCTTGGATCCAGAATCTCTCCTTTTAAATGCTACACCTTCCTGCCTTTTATATGGGTTGAGGATAAAGAGAATGAGCCCACTTGTGGATAAAATACAGGCTTAATGAGTGTCTAAAATATTGAAGACCCATCAAAGTGCTCCTATTTTTTTTCCTTACTACCCTGAATATGTGAGTCTACTTTTCCTTTCACAGCCAAGTAGTTAACTTTAAATTAGAAAAGTTTTACACTCCATTAAGCAGCAATATAGTTTCCATTCTCATTAAATTGCTTATTTAAGAGAAATATGAAAGTAGTAGATTTCAATGTGTGTGTTTTTTGTGGGGGCTCTGTTTTCTGGGTAAAATATTTCTATATAATTATCCTCCAATCCTTTCTCCTTTTTTTCTATATTCACCATACAGTCAAAAGACACTTAAGGTGGTAACCAGTAAAAGAAAAAAAAAAATAGAGCCAGAACCAGTGGACCTGCTGATCAGTCAGAAGCACCTCCATGATGCCAAGTTGTCACTGGCCAGCCCTCATTGGCTGCAAGGATAAGTCATGCCCAGGAACCACAGGAAGAGAAGGGAAAATCTGAGAAGAAAGGTGATGTCCATATTTACAAGCTAACAGGAGCTTGAACATTTTTTCCTACCAACACAAAGAAGCACTATATATATAAAATTACAGACATTTTTTTCCAAACCTTGTTAATATCACCATCATTGACTCTCATGATTTGACATCAGCCTATCTCCCCAATCTCTTATCTTGCCTGTCTCCATATATACCACATATTTCAGCAAGTTTCTATGACAATTTATTAAATAGTGATTCGTGTCCAAATGGCAGTCCATTTTGTTAGACGATTTTCTTAATAAATACTGCATTCCTCACTTAATCACTGGATTTTTTTCTCCCTTTTTTTCTTCCTTCCTTCCTATGAATATTTAGTAAATACCTACCAAACATTGGTGCAATGCCTTCAAGGTCTAATACAAGTCAGTCTTCCATAAAGCTAGTAGGAAGGTACTAATAGGTTTACTGAACTTTGATTGTCCCCTCAGTGATCCCTTCCCCCGAGAGTGGTAGAAATACTTGTAAAACTCTTACCATGTTGTATTAAAATTGATTGCAAACTAGACCCTCTCCCTTACTAGACTGAGGATCTGAAAATTTGTCATTCAAGTTTGTTTTTCCTGCACCTACCAGAAAATGTCAACTGTGTTGAGTGAACAAAAAAAGTTAAACAAGTACGAGTGCACTTTTTTAGAAGTCCGTACACTTCTATATTTCTATTGGAAATACTAGGAAGCTAGTGAAATGACTAAAAGAGAACCGAGATAATTTGATTTCCAAATGCTGGTTCTTCCTACCACACCAGTGTCTACAGAATTTTAAAATTAAAAAAAAAGAGAGAGAGAGAGAGAAAAATCCTTTCAAATCTGATTAATCAGATTGCTAGGCCTTCCAATTTAAAGTGTGGCTAGACCATTAGACTCAGCACCTTGCTGGGGCTTGTTTGAAGTGTAGAATCTCAAGCCCTCTCCGAGACCTACTAAATCAGCATTTTCTTTCAACAAGATATACAGGTGCTTTCCTACACGTGTTCAAATTGTCAAACACCAACAAAGCATCTTCATTCCATGTAGCTAAAGCTAAGTATTGTTATCAAAATAGCCAGAATTGAATGGGCAACCCCTAAGACTGTGTTTGATTGCTACCGTACTCCTGCAGACTACCATTAAAATCCAAGCCACAAGCAAATAAAAGGGTTCAAATAAGTGAAAATATTAATATGGTATCATTTTCCTCAATCCATCTAAATTAAAAACAAATTTAATACATGAAGAAGGAGGAAGTGGTGCAACATTGAGTTAACATAGTTTCTGCTCAATTAGAAAAAAAAAAATCCACAGAGCTATTTTCAATATTATTTTAGTAGATTTTACATATTTTAATGAATAAATTTTCAGTATATCAGCATATCAAATTTGCCCAAGATAGAACAAAGTATAAAACCAAATTATTATAGCAAAGGAGTCTGATGCATCTAAGATTAAAGAATTTCTGACTATTATTCCCACAAATGATATATATGTTAAAGGCAGTTGAAAAGGACAATGTACTCTTTCAGATCTCTGTTTCCAGACAAATGGTCAACTGCAATTGTGCTAAAAAAATCATATTTAGCTGTTGGTGTTTGCATTTATTTCTTTTCTTTAATTAAAAAATAGATTTAAAAACTTTATTAGAAAAAAAATGTATCCCAATAATTCATTTCTGAAAATAATACTATGCCTTTAGTACTTGATTTCCACAAAAATACTAAAACTTAGAACCTGTGTTTTCTCAAGAATGTTATTTGGGTTTTTTTCTTCTTATTAATAAATAAATTAAACAAATACATTTGTCTAAAATAAAAAGAGATAAACTGATTCTCCCCTGGCTTCAAAGGTGGCTAGACATCTTGAAGGAGAAAAGGTGGGCAATCTAGTTTTACATATGCCAGACGATGGAAAGTATGAGGTCCTGAGTTAAGAACATATGACGTATTTTTTTTTCTTTCTTTCTTTTTTTTTTTTTTGAGAGGGAATCTTGCCCTGTCGCCCAGGCTGGAGTGCAGTGGCACGATCTCGGCTCACTGCCAGCTCCGCCTCCCGGGTTCACACCATTTTCCTGCCTCAGCCTCCCATGTGTCTGGAACTACGGGCGCCCGCCACCACGCCCGGCTAATTTTTTGTATTGTTAGTAGAGACGGGGTTTCGCCGTGTTAGCCAGGATGGTCTTGATCTCCTGACCTCATGATCCGCCCACCTCGGCCTCCCAAAGTGCTGGGATTACAGGCGTGAGCCACCGCGCCCGGCCACATATGACGTATTTCTTGAATGAGACTAAGACCAATAATTGTTTAGACTCTAAAAAAGTAAGCTGGTAATTTCTTGTGAAATAAATTTCCCCGAGGAAAAAATAAAACAATTCATTGATAATTCAGCATGTCTAAAATATTTTGTACAATGTATTTGCATATACAATCTCATTTGATCCTGCTACATAACTTGGAAGTGTGTGTTTTTTTCATCTCATTCATATTTTACTGACAGGAGCTGATATCCAACAAGTAAAGTGACTTTACTTAAGCTTAGTTTCCAGGTAAGTGAAAGACTTAATAAAGAAATTAGATCCCCTCTTTTTGACTATATTTTATTTTTACCACATCAAGCTACATCTACTAAGCAAGAAGGAATGAACAAAATATTCAGTAGACAATGCTTCTATTTAATATAAATAATAACTTTTATATGTCAGTTAATCAAAGTTGTAAATTAGTTTTTCTTAGAATTGCTTTTCTTTGTCCCTTGAAGCATGTAATGCAGTCCTAGACCCCAAGATAAGTGCTTCTTACTTTTACTCATGTGTGTGTGTGTGTGTGTGTGTGTTTCTCATTGCAGGAGGCACTGATTGAACAAAAGGATTTACCAAAAATACAAAAGCAGTTTTCACATATGATATAATATATATACCATATAGGTATTTGCAACCTTAATGAAGTTTTACACATCTATTTGTGGAGGAGTAGTAGCAATGACTGAAGCAGGGTGGGAAGATACGCTAGTTATGAGCTTGACAAGAGTTGAGATTATGAAATTGGAATGAAAAATTAAAAATATGTGTTGGTTATTGTGAATTTTGGCCTCTGACTAAACTGCACGAGTTCAGAGTACTGAAATGATTTCATTGCCCACTCAAATCCTGCACCACACAGATAGAAACAAAGACTATAGAAAAAGTGAATACAAGAGGACCATGGGGAAAAACACACATTACTTTATAGACAGAGAGAGGGCTGGCGTCTCTGTGGCAAGCAGGTAGGTATATAAAACAGCTACGATCAGGAATGAGAGGGGCTTCTCCAACAGTCATTATTGTATAAGGAAAAAAAAAAATTGCCTTACTCTTTTGTGAACCTTAAACACTGGATATTTACAATCAGAGGCAATGTTTTTGAGGAGATAAGCCTCTATTGAGTAAGAGACTGAAATTGCAGCTATTTGCCGGCCTTCCATTGTGAAGGTTCTAAGTCCTTGAAACTTTATATAATAAATTAATCTGACTTATTCCTCAAATGGGATTTGTTATGTCCAAATGACAACGGTAGGGGCTAAGGTACCATAAATCTTTTCTTTAAAAAATATGTACAAGTATAATGATTTAATTGGTAGTGTTGTCACTAGTAAAAGACTCCCAGTTTATACCACTTAGGGGTTCAGCCCTTGCTTCCATGAGCTCTACAATTTTTTTCATAAACTATAAAATTTGTGAACTTTTAAAAAATTGTTCTGAACTGTGTCTATTGTAGCAACTTTCTATTCAATATCGTAAAAGGTAAATGTCTTCTTCTCTTTTATTAGGTTAACAAAAACACTAGCAACTCACTAACAGTAATGAAATAAAGTGAAATAAATCAAATAAATTCACAAATATGCTTTTGAAATGTCTCCATTCACGACAAAAAGGGAACATCTAAACATGTTGCCCAAAGAAGAAGTATTCAAAGGAGAATAATAATTTGCTCTTGTCTTCTGAAATTATATTGGCATCACCATTAGGATAAAAGATATAAAAAGGCTCTTTTAAAAATTATAAAATTTTATAACTTGGTAACCATTTTACCATTCTTTCCAAATTTTACCATTAATTCATGATTTAAAAAAATGTTATGACATGTTACATAACAAAACATTTAATATTATATACATCAGGACTTGTAAGTACATTAGTGAATTACTATTTTTTCACTAATCTTTCTTTTTTATTTTACTTTCATAATGAAATTGTTTTAGAAGAACAATACTACCATAACTGTTTTATATTTTAATAGAGATGAGAGCTACTTGAAGATGCAGTAAATCCCTGAGAAGTAATTCCAGGGCACTCAAATGCAATTTTACAAAAATCCATAATTTTTAATCCATAATTTTAGAACCTAAAATGTCATCTGATCAGAATTATGTGTTGTACTTTCTTTGTGCTCAGAAGAAACAAATGTCTCAAACTGAAAAAGTAATTTTTAAACAGGTACTTAATAACAAAGCATTTAGTATTTAAAGAAACCAGTTCACTGAAATACCAGTAGCCCAGGCAACTTCACAAAGGGAATGATTTTCCCCAAAGGACTCATGATTGCATCACTGTTCAATATTTACTTTAAGCAAGGAAATATGCAGATCAACTCTACTTAGCATAAAGTTAAGGGCCCCTCTCACTGTGAGGGCAGCTTGCTAAGCCAGGACATACATACACAACATATACAACGTGATGCACAAGAAAAGAATATGTAAAGAAGGTCAGCAATTCATTGCTCAACACACCCTCTCAGAAGCAAGGAGACATGTTCTAGAATTAATCTTTGTTTTGATTTTCTGCACAAGCATCCTGACTTGTGCCTTATTCTTGTACATTATTTAGCTTACATATACTGCTCTACAAAGCTTTTTTTCAAAAATAACAAATAGTATTCACTGCCATAGTAAGACAATAGTAAACAAATCCTGGTAGAGTAGCTCTCTGGAGGCTGAACACTGGCCACAGGCTAAATATTTAAAAGCTCATTCAGAAGGCAAATAGGTTGTATCTTGAGTACCAACTCTGACAGACTTTTAGGAGCTACTTCAAATATGAGAATGAGAAAGAGTTTGAGGCTAGATACAAACAATGGAGAAGAGCATCATATAACCTATTAGCAAGGTCTGAAATAGGCACAGCGTGTCAGATTGGGGAAACACAAATATATTCATAATTTTAAATGTATTTACAAGTCCTGACATATAACATTTTAAATGTTTTGTTTTCTTATGTAATATGTCACAACATTTTTTTTTCAAATCCTGATTTAATGGTAAAATTTGGTGAGAATGGAAAAATTTAAAATAAGAAAGGTAAAATTTAAGTATGTTATTAAAGTTATAATAATATTTTCTTAAAATTAGTAATAAACCATAAGCCTGGCAGTTATGGAACACATTCAGTTTTCAAATAAATGAACAGAGTAAGAACGGGAAATAATAGAAACTTGGAACAAGTGTGTTTTATGCCCAAAGATAGCCAGAGAAACCTCCTTTTATCAATACCTAAATGTGTTTAGAATGACAGAAGGTAAGGGGAAATCTGTAAAGCAATGGTTTCTAAATTGTTAAACTTTGGATGTATGTGTCAGGCCTCCGAGCCCAAGCTAAGCCATCATATCCCTTGTGACCTGCATGTGTATATATCCAGATGGCCTGAAGCAAATGAAGATCCAGAAAAGAAGTGAAAATAGCCAGTTCCTGCTTTAACTGATGACATTCCACCATTGTGATTTGTTCCTGCCCCACCCTAACTGATCAGCTGACTTTGTGACAATACACCTTCCCTGCCCTTGCGATAATGTACTTTGTGATATTCCCCTACCCTTGAGAATGTACTTTGTACGATACACCCTCCCCATCCTTGAGAAGGTACATTGTAATATCCTCCCCCCAACCCTTGCCCTTAAGAAGGTACTTTGTAATATTCTCCCCACCCTTGAAAATGTATTTTGTAAGATCCACCCCCTGCCCACAGAAAATTGCTCCTAACTCCACCGCCCATCCCAAACCTATAAGAACTAATGATAATCCCACCACCCTTTGATGACTCTCTTTTCGGACTCAACCCTCCTGCACCCAGGTAATTAAAAAGATTTATTGCTCACACAAAGCCTGTTTGGTGGTCCCTTCACACAGATGCGCATGACAGTATGCAAGCCATTTAAATAGTATCTGAAACATTTGACAAACTCTTCTCAAAAAAAGGCCTTATGTAAATCTATAATCATTATGAACAAATTCTGCAGAATTAATATCTTCCTGAAATGCATCCATTGACTCTGAAGCCCTTACTAAAGCATGAAGGCATCATGGTCAAATAGAAAAAACAATTTTCTCAGTGCCTGATAGATAATACATGCACAATAAATACTTTTGAACAAATGAATAAACCTGGTCAGGAGACTTATATTGAAGTTTTGTAGTCATAAATAAGTTACTTTAAAACTCTGAGCTTAGTTTCTTTACCCAAATTCTCTTTAAAATTTCAATACTTTGAGATTCCAGCGAAAATGGTGGATAGGAGGCAGGACTAACTTGCAGCTCCCACTCAGACGAACAGAGCTACATATGGAGACTCACATCATGAAAATTTCCTCCACAAACTACCACAGGAACTAACAGGAAAGCAAAGAGAATCCCCAGATACTTTGAAGGAAGCAGATCACTCCTGCAGGCTCCAAGAGACAGTCAAAAAACTCTGAGCACCGAAAGTGTGAAAGTGTGAAAGGAGGATTGTGCACCCCTGAACACACATCCTCACTGGGGAAGCTGAACGTCCAGATCATGGGAGAATGATTTGACCTTATCTGGAGCTGAGACAAATTTAGTGAGCTGAGTGAAATATAGGGGTAGGGGAAGCAGCAGGAAGAGCCCTGTGGGCACATTCAGTCCCCAGGGAAGCCATTTCTGACATGGTCTCACAGGGGTCCTTGGGGAAGGCTGCCAGAGGAATTGGGAAAAGACCACAGGGAGAAGGAAACGTCCAGCTGTACTTTGTAACAATTCTGACTGAATGCAGAGTTTCCTGGACAGAACCCGAGAGAGAGGCAAACAGAAGGTGCAGCCACTACACAGAAGCTGCGGCAGGCAGGGAGGCGTGAAACCTGAAAACCCAATTGCCTTTTCAGTGGGGAGGCCAGTAGCCTGGGGCAAGTTCTCAGTCCTGCTTACCTGCTGCCTGGATATAAATTTGATGATGTTGAGGGGGCATGGTGAGAGTGAGAGCAGCCTTTTGAGCTGTGTGCGAGCTGGGTGAGGCTGGTTTCACTGCCAACTTTTCCCCACTTCCCTGGCAGCCTGCATGACAGCATAGGCAGCTATAATTCTTCTGGGAACATAATTCAATTGGCCTGAGAACCACACCCCTATCCCTCATAGCAGCTGCCGCAAGAATCACCCAAGAAGAGCCACAGCTCAAACAGGCCTAAACCTGCCCCCGACCTGAAGGTCTTTCTCTACCCCCTGTGGTAGCCAAAGACAAAGTACATAATCTCGTGGGAGCACTATGGCCCCACCCACTGCCTGAGACACCCGAATATTCTCCAGGAGACCCTACAGCAAGCTTGTATCCTCCATGTACTACTGCAGCTGATGATCTCTTGAATGTGCCATTTCCTGGCTGGCTGCCAACCAACACAAAACCAGTGTAATAAACAAAACTATAACCAAGAACCCTCACAGAATCCACTTCTCTTCACTGCTACCTCCATTGGAGAAGGTGCTGCTATCCATGGCTGAGAGACCTGAAGATGGATCACATCACAGGACTCTTTACAGACACTTCCCAGCAGCAGACAGGAGCCCAGTAGCTCTGGTGGGTGGCTAGACCAGAAGAGAAATAACAATCACTGCAGTTCAGCTCTCAGGAAGTCACATCCCTATGGGAAGAGGTGAACACCACATTAATGGAGAACCCCATGGGATAAAATCATCTGAACAGTAACCCCTGAACCCCAGATCTTCCCTCTGATATAGTATAACCAAATGAAAGAAAAAACAAAAACAAACAAAAACAAACAGGAAAACAATTCCAGTGATATGACAAAACAAGGTTCTGTAACACCCTCAAAAGACCACACTAGTTCAGCAGCAATGGATCTCAACCAAGACAAAAATCTCTGAATTGCCAGAAAAAGAATTCAGAAGGTCAATTGTTAAGCTACTCAAGGAAGTACCAGAGAGGTGAATACCAACTTAAAGAAATTTAAAACAAACAAACAAACAAAAGTCTAAGGATATGGAAAAAGAAATCTCCAGAGAAAAAGACAGCACAAATATAAACAACCATGGCTTCTGGAAGTGAAGGACACACTTAGAGAAATGCAAAAGACACTAGAAAGTCTCAGGAACATGGGTCCTCTGTATGCTGAATGCCAGTCCCCTGGGCCTATTTTTCTTTCTCTATACTTTGTCTGTCTCTTTCTTTTCCAAGTCTCTCATTCTACCTAACGAGAAACGCCCACAGGTGTGGAGGGGCAACCCATCCCTTCAGGAATAGAATCAAACAACAAGAAGAAAGAACTTCGGAGCTCAAAGTAAAGGCTTTTGAATTAACCCAATCCAACAAAGATAAATAAAAAAGAACTTTTTATTTTATTTTATTTTATTTTATTTTATTTTATTTTATTTTATTTTATTTTATTTTATTTTGAGACAGAGTCTCACTCTGTCATCAGACTGGAGTGCAGTGGCGTGATCTCGGCTCACTGCAACCTCTGCCTCCTGTGTTCAAGTGATTCTCATGCTTCAGCCTCCCGAGTAGGTGGGATTACAGGCACGCGCCACCATGCCCAGCCAATTTTTGTAGTTTTAGTAGAGACAGGTTTCACCATGTTGGCCAGGATGGTCTCGATCTTCTGACCTCGTGATCCACCCACCTTGGCTTCCCAAAGTGCTGGGATTACAGGCGTGAGCCACTGTGCCCAGCCATGAATTTTTAAAAAATGAACAAAGCTTCCAAGAAGTTTGGGATTACATTAAATGACCAAACCTAAGAATAATTAGTGTTCCTGAGGAAGAAAAGAAATCTATAAGTTTAGAAAACATATTTAAGGCAATAATTGAGGAAAATTTCCCCAACCTTACTAGAGATCTAGATATCCAAATACAAGAACCTCAAAGAACACCTGGGAAACTCATTGCAAAAAGATTATCACCTAGGCACATAGTCATCAGGTTATCTAAAGTCGAGATGAAGGAAAGTATTTCAGGAGCTATGAGGCAAAAGCATCAGGTAACCTAGAAAAGAAAACCTATCAGATTAACAACAGATTTCTTAGCAGAAACCCTACAACCTAGGAGGGATTGGGGTTCCTATCTTTAGCCTCCTTAAACAAAACAATTACCAGCCAAGAATTTTGTATCCAGTGAAACTAAGCTTCATAAATAAAGATGAATCTTTTTCAGACAAACAATACTGAGCGATTTTGCCAATGCTAAGCCAGCGCTATGAGAATTGCTAAAAGAAGCTCCAAACCTTGAAACAAATATTCAAAATACATCAAAATAGAATCTCCTTAAAGCATAAATTTCACAGGACTCATACAACAATAACACAATGAAAAAAAACGTATTCAGGCAACAAATAGCATGATGACTAGAATAGTACCGCACATCTCAATAGTAACATTGAATGTGAATGGCCTAAATGCTTCACTTAAAAGGCATAGAATGGCAGAATGCACAAACATTCACCAACCAAGTATCTACTATCTTCAAGAGACTCACCCAACACAAAAAGACTCAAATAAACTTAAGGTAAGGGGGTGGAATAAGACATTTCATGCAAATGAACACCAAAAGTGAACAACAGTAGCTATTCTTATATCAGACAAACAAACTTTAAAGTAGCAGCAGTGAAAAAAGTCGAAGACAGACATTATCTCATGATAACAGGACTTGCCCTACAGGGAAATGTCACAATTCTAAATATATAAGCACCTAACACTGGAGCTCCCAAATTTATAAGACGATAACTACTGATAAGTACTATACCTCAGAAATTATATAGACAGCACGACAATAATAGTAGAACACTTCAGTACCCCACTGACAGCACTAGACAGGTCATCAGGAGAGAAAGTCAACAAATAACAAATGGACTTAAACTA
The DNA here is from genome assembly GCF_000001405.40 of Homo sapiens. Taxonomy (NCBI): domain Eukaryota; kingdom Metazoa; phylum Chordata; class Mammalia; order Primates; family Hominidae; genus Homo; species Homo sapiens. The sequence goes on along the minus strand of NC_000011.10, from coordinate 24,929,749 downwards.
TACCCTAGAACAAATGGACTTAACAGATATTTACAGAACATTGTACCAAACCATTGCAGAATATATACTCTATTCATTGGCACATGGAACATTCTCCAAGATAGACCATATGACGGGCCACAAAACAAGTGTCAGTCAATTTAAGAAAATCAAAATTATGTCAAGTACTCTCTCAGAAAACAGTGGAATGAAATTGGAATTCAACTCCAGAAGGAACCCTCAACACCATACAATTGCAAGGAAATTAAATAACCTACTCCTCAATGATCACTGGGTAAACAATGATATCAAGATGGAAATTTAAAAATTCTTTGAACTGAATGATAATAGTGATATAACCAACAAAAACCTCTGGGATACAGCAAAGGCAGTAATAAGAGGAAAGTTCATAGCATTAAATGCCTACATAAAAAAGTTTGGAAAAGCACAAATAGACAATCTAAGGTCACACCTCAAGGAACTAGAGAAACAAGAACAAATCAAACTTGAACCCAGCAGAAGAAAAGAAATAACAAAGAACAAAACAGATTTAAATGAAATTAAAACAAACAATACAAAAGATAAGCAAAAAGCTGATTTTTTGAAAAGATAAATAAAATTGATAGACCATTAGCAAGGTTAACCAAGAAGAGACAATCCAAATAAGCTTAATCAGAAATGAAAGGGGATATATTATAACTGATACCACAGAAATACAAAAGATCATTCATTCAAGCCTACTATGAACACCTTTACATGCATAAACTAGAAAACCTAGAGGAAATATTTAAATTCCTGGAAATATACAACCTTCTGAGATTAAACTGGGAAAAAATAGAAACTCTGAAGAGACCAATAACAAGCAGTGAAACGGAAATTGTAATAAAATATTGCAAACAACACAACAAAATCCAGGATCAGACAGATTCACAGCTGAATTCTATAAGACATTCAAAGAAGAATTGGTACCAATCTTATTTGCACTATTCCAAAATGTTAAGAAAGAGGAAATCCACTCTAAATCATTCTATGAATCCAGTATCACAGTAATACCAAAACCAGAAAAGGACATAACATTTTAAAAACTACACACCAAAATCCTTGATGAACACAGATGCAAAAATCCTTAACAAAATACTAGCTAACAAAATCCAACAGTATTTCAAAAAGATAATCCACCATGACAAACTGGGTTTCATACCAGGGATGCAGGGATGGTTTAACATATACAAATTAATAAATGTGATACATTACACAGGAAGAATTTTTCTAAAAAATTACATGATCACCTTAATAGACACAGAAAAAAACATTTGACAAAATCCAGCATCCCTTTATGATTATAACCCTAAGCAAAATCAGCATAGAAGGAACATACCTTAATGTAATAAAAGCCATCTATGAGGACAAACACAGTACTAAACAAGGAGAAGTTGAAAGCATTCCTCCTGAGAACTGGAACAAAACGAGGGTGTCTACTTTCCCCATTTCTACTGAACATAGTACTGGAAGTTCTAGCCAGGGCAATCAGACAAGAGAAAGAAATAAAGGGCATCCAAATTGGTAAAGAGGAAGTCAAACTGCTGCTGTTTGCTGATGGTATGATTTTATAAAAAACCCTAAGGACTCCTCCAAAAAGCTCCTAGAACTGATAATTAAATTCAGCAAAGTTTCAGGATACAAAATAAATGTACACAAATCAGTAGCTCTGCCATACATCAACAGTGATCAAACTGATAAATAAATCAAGAACTCAACTTTTTTTTTACAATAGCTGCAAGAAAAATAAAATACATAGGAATATACCTAACCAAGGAGGTGAAAGGTCTCTACAAGGAAAACTACAAAGCAGTGCTGAAAGAAATCATAGACAAAACAAACAAATGAAAAGACATCCCATGCTCATGGATGGGTAGAATCAATATCGTGATAATGACCATACCACCAAAAGCCACTTACAAATTCAGTGTAATTTCCATCAAAATACCACCATCATTCTTCACAAAAGTAGAAAAAAATTTCTAAAATTTATATGGAACCAAAAGAAGCCCACATAGCCAAAGCCAGACTAAGCAAAAAGAACAAATCTGGAGGCACCACATTACCTGACTTCAAACTATACTCTAAGGCCATAGTCACCAAAACAACATGGTACTGGTATAAAAATAGTTATATAGACCAATGCAACAGAATATAAAACTAAGAAATAAAGCCAAATACTTACAGTCAACTGATCTTTGACAAAGCAAACAAAACATAAAGTGGGGAAAGGACACCCTAATATACAAATAAGCCACATAATAGGAGAATGAAACTGGATACTCCTCTCACCGTATACAAAAATCAACTCAAGATGGATCAAATAGTTAAATCTAAGACCTGAAGCCATAAAAATTCTAGAGGATAACATTGGAAAAACCCTTCTAGACACTGGCTTAGGCAAAGACTTCATGACCAAGAAACCAAAAGCAAATGCAACAAAAACAAAGATAAATAGATGGAACTTAATTCAAATAAAAAGCTTCAGCACAGCAAAAGAAACAATCAGCAAATAGATAACCCAAAGAGTAAGAAAATATCTTCACAATCTATATTTTTGTATTTTTGACAAAGGATTAATATCCAGAATCTATGAGGAACTCAAACAAATCAACAAGAAAAAAGAAAAAAAAAAAGATCCCATCAAAATTTGGCTAAGAACATGAATAGAAAATTCTCAAAAGGAGATACAGAAATGGCCAACAAACATATAAGAAAATACTCAACATTTCTAAAAATCAGAGAAATACAAATTAAAACCATAATGTGATACTGTGATACTACTTTATTCCTGCAAGAATGGTCATAATCAAAAAATAAAAAAAAAATAGTTGTTGGTGTGAATGTGGTGAAAAGGGAACACTTTTTACACTGCTGGTGGGAATTTGAACTACTACAACCACTATGAGAAACAGTGTGGGGATTCCTTAAAGGAACTAAATGTAGATCTACCATTTGATCCAGCAATCCCACCCCTGGGCATCTAACCACAGGAAAAGAAGTCATTATGCAAAAAAGATACTTGCACACACGTTTATAGCAGCAACACACACACACACACACATATATATATACACACACATATATATATATACATATATACACACATATATATATACATATATACACACATATATATACACACATATATATACACGTATATATATACACACACATATATATACACGTATATATATACACACACATATATACACGTATATACACACACATATATACACATATATATACACACACATATATACACGTATATATATACACACACATATATACACGTATATATATACACACATATATATACACACGTATATATATATACACACGTATATATATACACACGTATATATATATACACACGTATATATATACACACGTATATATATATACACACACGTATATATATACACACGTATATATATACACACGTATATATATATACACGTATATATATACACACACGTATATATATACACACACATATATATATACACGTATATATATATATACACACATATATATATACACATATATATAACATTGCCTTTATGCACTTATTGATTTATGGGCCTTTGGGCTGGTTCCATAGGTATGTATACACACACAAACACACACCATGGGATACTCATCAGCCATAAAAAGGAACAAAATAATAGCATTTGCAGCAACCTGGATGGATTTGGAGACCATCATTCTAAGTGAAGTAACTCAGGAATGGAAACCAAACAACGTATATTCTCTCATAAGTGGGAGCTAAGCTAGGAGGATGCAAATGCATAAGAATAATACAATGGACTTTGGGGACTCAAAAGAAAAAGTGCGAGGGAGGTGAGGGATAAATGACTACACATTGGGTACAGTGTACTCTGCTTGGGTGATGGATGCACCAAAATCTCAGAAATCACCACTAACAAACTAATTCATGTAAGCAAACACCACCTGATCCTCAAAATCCTATTGAAATAAAAAAATTAAATTAAAAAAATAATTAAAATAATTTTAAAAATAAATTTCGATACTTTTAGTCATTCTATTTGAAGAATTCTCACATTTTGGAGAAAAAAATTCATGTTTATTAGAATTTCACTTGTCATTGTTTCTGATAAGAAATGTGTGAACTTTTAAAACCTGCATCTCCTCTCCATTAGCTAGTGAATAATGAAAAAAATAAGTGAGGCTAGTAGGCTTTTGTGCTTTAAGCATGCAAGGAATAAGGCTACAAAGTTGGGTTGATTTTGACAAGCCAATTTACTTTCTCTTGTTTCTTATGCACAGAATTTACTTCTAAGCTGTTGGTTCTTTTAAACTGGTAGAGTATAGGAGCCAAAAATAAAACTCTAAGCCCCCTGACCAATTGAATGGACTTTCCTTTTGGCCAAGGGCATTCCTAAATTAACCTGAAAAATTAGTTCAGGCCAAGATGAGAAGATGGGGGTCAGACATGCCTCATTATCCTCTCTTCCTGTTGAAATCCAGGCACAGCTGTCCAGCATTTACCACTAAAATAGAAACCTTAAGACTGGCAAAGCAGACTCTTTGTAGCAATAAGAGATACCAACATGATAAATAGTAGGCCCTGAAATAAATTAAAATATTTTACCACAAAATATATTTCTTTGACGTATTTTGAAATGGCCATGCAAAGCTGTCTATTGTGGGAAAAAATCTATATTCTGTAAAGAATCCTTTTCCCTTTCCAGATTTTTTTTTCTGAGCCAGGAGAGAATTAACTAAGAGTTTGGCACCATAAGTTTGATAGACTTTTACAATCTATTCTCTCTGAATCCTGCTACATAGAGGCTTCATCTGCATATTAAAAAATTTAGTATCCACAAACCCTTATCTTAACATTGACACTGACTTCTGTTGATTCCAGGTCTTTAGATAAACTCTTTTAACCAATTGCCAATCAGGAAATCTTTAAATCCACCTATCATCTCCCTAGCCTAAGCTTCAAGTTGTTCCACCTTTCTGAACTGAACCAATGAACATCTTACATGTATGTATTATATCTCCCTAAAATGTATAAAACCAAGCTGTAGCTCAACCACCTTGAGCACACATTCTCAGGATTTTCTAAGGCTGTGTCACAGGTATGCCCTTAACCTTGGCAAAATAAACTTCTAAATTAATTGAAACCAGTCTCATATACTTTTTGATTTACAGGTGGATTTTGCCAAGGTTGAGTAAATGTCCAGGAAAAAGGATCATAAAATCACAGAAACATCTGTGATCTGTGCTTCTTCCAAACAGCATTTGGGAGATTTCAACATTCTACGGGCAGGAACGGGCAGTAAAGAGGAAAGTAAAAAGGGGAGAGTAAATAAAAGGGGCAAGCGGGCTGGGTGCGGTGGCTCACGCCTGTAATCCCAGCAATTTGGGAGGCAGAGGCGGGCAGATCACCTGAGGTCAGGAGACCGAGACCATCCTTGCCAACATGGTGAAACCCCATCTCTACTAAAAATACAAAAATTAGCTGGGCGTGGTGGCACGTGCCTGTAGTCCCAGCTACTTGGGAGGCTGAGGCAGGAGAGTCACTTGAACGCGGGAGGCAGAGGTTGCAGTGAGCCGAGATCACGCCACTGCACTCCAGCCTGGCGACAAAATGAGACTCCGTCTCAATTAAAGAAAAAAAAAAGCCGGGGAGTGGGGGCTGGGTGTGGGGGGGCAAGCAGTTGCATTCTTTTGAGGCTTTGATCAGCCCTCACTGAATCCATATTTTAAACGAAGAAAGAGAGGGTAGAATAACAGTCAACGAGGTATTCATCTCCTTCTTAGTGAATCTGCATTTTTACTTAAGATAAAGTAAACACAGAGTAGAGGAAGCAGCAAAATATGAATTCATCTCAAGTGAGCTGAGAGATGACTCCTAGTCCTATTTTTGTCCCTTACCTGTGAAAATAAGCTATTCATTTACATTGTCAGGGTGACTTTCAACCATTTTAGGATAAAGACCTTGGGGCCCACAAGGAATTATCTTGTAAGCACATTGAGAGGGAGCACCCTGGGGAAGTTTGTAGCCTGTCTTTTTTTCTCGTCTGTGCCAGGCTGGAGTGCAGTGGCGCGATCTTGGCTCACTGCAACCTCTGCCTCCCGGATTCAAGTGATACTCCTGCCTCAGCCTCCCAAGTAGTTGGGACTACAGGCATGCGCCACCAAGCCCAGCTAATTTTTGTATTTTTAATAGAGACGATGTTTCACCGTGTTGACCAGGATGGTCTCAATCTCCTGACCTCAGGTGATACCCCCACCTCGGCCTCCCAAAGTGCCAGGATTACAGGCGTGAGACACCGCGCCCAGCCGAATCCTGTCTTTGTAGCTATGGCTTCAAGACAAAATGGGAGGCAGTTTGGAGAGACTCAGTTTTCAAGTTTGACTTTTTCCTTTGGCAAATTGAGTTTGGGGACCGAAGATTTTGATTTTTCTTTCACAGATCTTTGAGTACATTAGAAGAAATAACTTCTAAAAGATATAATCTGTAAATCACCTTAAAATACAAAGTAGAAATTAAGCTAGGAAAAATACGATATCGTGGAATCAAAATACTTCGATTAAGATATAACTGTGCTGGCCGGGCGCGGTGGCTCACGCCGGTCATCCCAGAACTTTGGGAGGCCGAAGCAGGCGGATCACGAGGTCAGGAGATCGAGACCATCCTGGCTAAAACCGTGAAACCCTGTCTCTACCAAAAATACAAAAAATTAGCTAGGCGTGGTGGCGGGTGCCTGTAATCCCAGCTACTCAGGAGGCTGAGGCAGGAGAATGGCATGAACCCGGGAGGCGGAGCTTTCAGTAAGCCGAGATCGTGCCACTGCACTCCAGCCTGGGCAATGGAGCGAGACTCCCTCTAAAAAAAAAAAAAAAAAAAAAAAAAAAAAAGAAAAAAAAAAAGATATAACTGTGCCACTTGGTAGTCCCATAATTTCAGAAAACTCTTATAACTTCTCTGGGTCTTGGTTTTCTAATCCATAAGATAACAATATTGTCTTCCCTGTCTGACTCATATAATTATTTTGACGCACAAATGAATGTGATTTGACAAGCTTACAGCTTCTGGAATCATGTAAGAAAATAATATTGTTAACCCCTCACACCTCATTTGTAAGTTGCCTACATTTTGGCACCAAACCTCATTTAACTGGAAATAAATTCACACTTGTTAGAAGTAAATGGCACTGAAAAGCATTTTGCTCATTAAAAATTAGTTTAACATGTGGATGACATAAGTTTAAATTAATGAGACAGATGCACAAAAATTAAATTACTCAAGAGTTTAAAAATTAAGGAAAAACTACTTTACAAAATTCCCTTATAGATATCTGGAATCATCAGGAAATAATCTGACACTCTGTTATACATACATGGAAATTCAGGTTGCAATGCCCTCTCTTCAAGAGCAGATGACAATAGAGGTACCAAATTAAATAACTCTAGATTTAGAGAAAATAACAATGATGACACATGCCACTGTGGTGTCTGAATTTCAGCAGGTATGAGTGCATCTAGTCTATCACCACACATTCCAGAACAATTAAGACAGTATTTTAATCCAATGATATAAACATATGCTATAGGGATAGTTATCAAAGGACTAAGTATAAAACCCTGCAAATGTACTTAATTCATGATGCCCCAACAGGTCAGCTCTACTTAAAAAAAAAATAATTAATATCCATGGCGATAGCTTCACTCTGCTAGTAAAAATGCTTTACAGGTAACATGTTAGTGGCCACAAATGTCAAATTCCTCTAGACTTCAATTCTTTCATTGTGAAAGAGATCACATAAATTTTCCTGTCTCATAGGGGTTGTGTTGAGGGTCAAATGAAGTGACACATTACAGACCTGAGTAAAGTAAAAACGCTAAATATATACGGTACTCCTCTGATTACACAGGGAATTGATTCCAGGAACTCCACGGACACCAAAATCTGTAGACATTCAAATCTCATATTTAAAATGACATATTATATGCATTTAATATATGCACATCTTCCTGTATATGTTTTAATGCCTAGATTGCATATAATACTAATATAGGAGTTATTAAGAAATAATTTTTAGGGAGAAAGTAAGGGTAAAGGTTCTCAGTGGAAATGTTCCTGTAATAAAAAATAACCCCCAAACCATTTCTTTTCTAACAAAAATGCGGCTTTAAAAGCCAGGCTGGCAAGCTGTAATACGCACATGCCGGCGATTAGAAAGTAGGTCCACCTAACATGGACAACATGGCAATTCCCGCCATCTTCTCCTTGTCGCCACCTGTGCCAAGTGTAATGGCCACCTCCAGATAACACCAGGTGTTCAGAACATCATGGCGACCCTCATTTGCATATTAAAGGACTAAGGTGGGAGGGCCAGGTTTCTGGAAGCTACATAAATGACACACCTGGTCAAACCAATCCCCTGGGCCCTGTGCAAACAAAACACCGCCTCCTCCAGCATCCCAATATAAGCAACCACTTTTCTGCCGCACATGTGGTTCCTCTTTGTTCCGAGCCCCCCTCCCTCTGTCTCTGTATGGGGGAGCTGTTTTCTTCTTTCTTTCTTCTTTCCTGCCTATTAAACTTTTCATTCCTAAAACCACTCCACCTGTGTCCCTGTCGTTAATCCTATCAGTGGGAGACCAAGAACCCTGGTGTTCCCCCAGTCATCAAAGCCATATTAATACCTAATACAATGTAAGTGCTATGTAAATATTGTATTTTTACTGTATTATTTTTAATGGATATATTATTTTTATGTGTTTTTAAAAATATTTTCTTTTTTATTTGTATACATTTAAGGGGTGTAAGTGCAATTTTGTTACATGAATATATTGCATTGTGGTGATGTCTGGGCTTTCAGTGTATCCATCACTCAAATAATGTACATGATACACATTAAATAATTTCTCATCTTCCAGTACCTTCCTTCCCCACAACCCTTCTGAGTACTCATTATCCATCATTCCATACTCTATGTCCATGTGTACACATTATTTAGCTTCCATTTTTAAGTGAGAACATGCAGGTTTTTTTTTTTATTTCTGTGTCTGGGTTGTTTCACTTAATTAAGATAATGGCCTCCAGTTTCACCTGTATTGCTGCAAAAGACATGATTTTATTTTTTATAGTTGAATAGCATTCCATATGTGTACATATGCCACATTTCTTTATCATCTGTTGATGAATATTACAATTGATTCTGTATATTTCCTACTGTGAATAGTACTGTGATAAACCTGTGAGTGCAGATAAGTTTTGATTTAATTATTTCTTTTTGGGGGAGTAGATACCCAACAGTGAGATTGCTGAGTTAAATTTTGTTCAAATATTTTTGATTCACAGTTGTATGCATATAGAAACTAACAATACACAGGGAAAAATGTATCACTATAGTATATTTTTAATAACTGGACTACCAATTCCCTGAAGCAGTAATTTAACTAAGCCACTATTTTATTTCAAACACTGAATGACACATGGTATTTTAAAATTGTTTTTATTCAATAAACAACAAACACAATCACAAAACTATCAAAATGTCTGCCATTATGTATCTCAACAGAGAAGTTGATAGATTGAATTTTTTGTGACTTGGGAGTATTGTAAACATTGTTTTTAATTTACCCCTACCTCCCCAAAAAAGTAAGCAAAGAAAATCAAGTGACTTAAATCTTTAAACCATCCAATAATAAAATTTAAAATCAAAATAATCATTTTACTTTATAATCTCTTAAAGGAACACAACTTGTCATGGTTGTGTAGGACTTATTCATTCATAAAATTTCTTAGCTAACCAATTATTTATTTTTGTTTCTTTAATAAAACATCCAGTATAAAATAATTCTTAAATTCAACATTTCTCTTGTTATTATTGTACTGATGGGAGAGTAAACTATTGTATTTCTTTTGAAAATCACCTGTACTAGGTAGCAATAATTAATATTTTAAAATAATTTTCATGAACTACTTGATAGTTAGATAAATGTTTCATAAAAACTATAACTCAAGTTAAAAATAAGAAAGGATTTTTCATCATAATGTAAATTTAAATCATTATATATATATGTATGCATGTATAAACATACCTACACATAAGTGAAAGGTTAAGTAACCTTTGGTATATCTACATAAAATTAAAAGCTATCCTGTGTATTTAAATTAAAAATTATGAATATATATAAAGAATACATATACAGTATATATATAAAGAATATATAGATTATGAATATATATAAAGAATATATATTATATATAATATATAACATATATTATCAATATATGTCATATATAATATATAACATATATTATCAATATATGTCATATATAATATATAACATATATTATCAATATATGTCATATATAATATATAACATATATTATCAATATATGTCATATATAATATATAACATATATTATCAATATATGTCATATATAATATATAACATATATTATCAATATATGTCATATATAATATATAACATATATTATCAATATATGTCATATATAATATATAACATATATTATCAATATATGTCATATATAACTATATATAACATATATTATCAATATATATCATATATAACTATATATAACATATATATAACTATATGTAATACATATTATGGATATATAGTATATATAACTATATGTAATACATATTATGGATATATAGTATATATAACTATATATAATACATATTATGGATATATAGTATATATAACTATATATAATACATATTATGGATATATAGTATATATAACTATATATAATACATATTATGGATATATAGTATATATAACTATATATAATACATATTATGGATATATATTATATATAACTATATATAATATATATTATGGATATATATAAAGAACATATATATATAGATGTATTCCAATGGAGATATATGTGTATATATATCAATGACCAGGCAGATATAATTCATACAAAGGGAAATAGACAGAAATATAAAATATGTTAAAATATTGTTTGCATTTGCTCTGGTGACGGGATTTTAAGTTTGGCTTTATATTTTTTGACACTTTTTTGAAATTTTTCTTCAATGATAAATAATATTTAGGATTTTTTTTTTAAAGAATTACATTTGTCAAATCTAAAAAAAGCATGATTTTGGCTGTGGGTTTGTCATAAATAGCTCTTATTATTTTGAGATACGTCCCATCAATACCTAATTTATTGAGAGTTTTTAGCATGAAGCACTGTTGAATTTTGTCAAAGGCCTTTTCTGCATCTACTGAGATAATCATGTGCAAACCTACTGAATCGGCAAAAACTGGAAGCATTCCCTTTGAAAACCGGCACAAGAGAGGGATGGCCTCTCTCACCACTCCTATTCAACATAGTGTTGGAAGTTCTGGCCAGGGCAATCAGGCAGGAGAAAGAAATAAAGGGTATTCAATTAGGAAAAGAAGAAGTCAAATTATCCCTCTTTGCAGATGACATGATTGTATATCTAGAAAACCCCATCGTCTCAGCGCAAAATCTCCATAAGCTGATAAGCAACTTCAGCAAAGTCTCAGGATGCAAAATCAATGTCCAAAAATCACAAGCATTCTTATACACCAATAACAGACAAACAGAGAGCCAAATCATGAGTGAACTCCCATTCACAATTGCTTCAAAGAGAATACAATACCTAGGAATCCAACTTACAAGGGATGTGAAGGACCTCTTCAAGGAGAACTACAAACCACTGCTCAACGAAATAAAAGAGGACACAAACAAATGGAAGAACATTCCATGCTCATGGGTAGGAAGAATCAATATCATGAAAATGGCCATACTGCCCAAGGTAATTTTTAGATTCAATATCATCCCCAGCAAGCTACCAATGACTTTCTTCACAGAATTGGAAAAAACTACTTTAAAGTTCATATGGAACCAAAAAAGAGCCCGCATTGCCAAGTCAATCCTAAGCCAAAAGAACAAAGCTGGAGACATCATGCTACCTGACTTAAAGTTATACTACAAGGCTACAGTAACCAAAACAGCATGGTACTGGTACCAAAACAGAGATATAGACCAATGGAACAGAACAGAGCCCTCAGAAATAATACCACACATCTACAACCATCTGATCTTTGACAAACCTGACAAAAACAAGAAATGGGGAAAAGATTCCCTATTTAATAAATGGTGCTGGGAAAACTGGCTAGCCATATGTAGAAAGCTAAAATTGGATCCCTTCCTTACACCTTATACAAAAATTAATTCAAGATGGATTAAAGACTTACATGTTAGACCTAAAACCATAAAAATCCTAGAAGAAAACCTAGGCAATACCATTCAGGACATAGGCATGGGCAAGGACTTCATGTCTAAAACACCAAAAGCAATGGCAACAAAAGTCAAAATTGACAAATGGGATCTAATCAAACTAAAAAGCTTCTGCACAGCAAAAATAAACTACCATCAAAGTGAACAGGCAACCTACAGAATGGGAGAAAATTTTTGCAATCTACTCATCTGTCAAAGGGCTAATATTCAGAATCTACAAAGAACTCAAACAAATTTACAAGAAAAAAACAAACAACCCCATCAAAATTGGGCAAAGGATATGAACAGACACTTCTCAAAAGAAGTCACTTACACAGCCAACAGACACATGAAAAAATGCTCATCATCACTGGCCATCAGAGAAATGCAAATCAAAACCACAATGAGATAGCATCTCACACCAGTTAGAATGGTGATCATTAAAAAGTCAGGAAACAACAGGTGCTGGAGAGGATGTGGAGAAATAGGAACACTTTAACACTGTTGATGGGACTGTCAACTAGTTCAACCACTGTGGAAGACAGTGTGGCCATTCCTCAGGGATCTAGAACTAGAAATACCATTTGCCCAGCCATCCCATTACTGGGTATATACCCAAAGGATCATAAATCATGCTGCTATAAAGATACATGCACACGTATGTTTATGGTATCACTATTCACAATAGCAAAGACTTGGAATCAACCCAAATGTCCATCAGTGATAGACTGGATTAAGAAAATGTGGCACATATACACCATGGAATACTATGCAGCCATATAAAAAGATGAGTTCATGTCCTTTGTAGGGACATGGATGAAGCTGGAAACTATCATTCTCAGCAAACTATCTCAAGGACAAAAAACCAAACACCACACGTTCTCACTCATAGGTGGGAACTGAACAGTGAGAACATGTGGACACAGGAAGGGGAACATCACACACCACAGCCTGTTGTGGGGTGGCAGGAGGGGGGAGGGATAGCATTAGGAAATACACCTAATGTAAATGATGAGTTAATGGGTGCAGCACACCAACAAGGCACATGTATACATAGTAACAAACTTGCACATTGTGAACATGTACCCTAGAACTTAAAGTATAATTTAAAAGAAAATAAAAAAAATAAAAAATAAAAAGAGCACTAAAATGGAGATTAGGTATTCTAGAGAATATATCAGCTCCAAATGGAATCAAGGAGGATATAAAGTAACTCAAGTCTCTGGGCAACTAACAGTCAGTTAGGCCTCACCTCTATCTTTAGTGAAGGATTTGTACTTCAGCTAAAAGCCTCTTCCAAGCTAAAGGCAGCTCTCAAGCATTAATAAGGGCACTTAATTCATCATTATGCCTTGCAAGTGCCAGCATGTGTCATTATTTTTAGGATGAAATGTAAATGTTTTGACAGCAAGCATTACTTCTTCAAAGTCTACATTTACTAAAAAAAATAAATAAATAAAAAATAAAATAAAATAAAATCTATTCAAAATTGAACATATCCTAAGGGGAAAGTATGTGAAATAGAATCTACTACTCATCTCAGGGTTCACCAGTTTGTCAACTCATTTTCAAAGGTGCATGGCTGAATGTCTGTGTTAATAGATACTTTTGTGCTATTAGGTTGGTGCAAGAGTAATTGTGGTTTTTACCATTTTTTTTTAATGGCAAGAACCTCAGTTACTCTTGCACTAACCTAACAGTTGAGTTTCTACTGTCTACTTCCTTGACACATCTATCTATCTACCTATCTAATCTATCTATCTATCTATCCATCTATCTATCTATCATCTATCTATCTATCTGTCTATCATCAACATATGTTTATTCAAGACTTAAACCCACAGCAACTCCCTTTCTATTACTTATCTGTAAAAGAAACAGTCTTTCACAATAGAATCTAAAATTGCTAAAAATGCTAAGGTTTTACCTTTGCATGGATGCATAACCTAGTTTGGAGAATCTTCTCGAAAAACTCTCCTCTTTCATAAAAAATAATGACCTTGAAGGACAAATGCCTCCTTTTTCTGCTTTGATTGTGTACATAGTTTGATGAAGACACAATATGTATATCTTTAGCGACCATCATGATTATATGAGGAACCAAGGTTTAGAATAAGTCAGTAAGTTGAGGGTTGTTATATGGAGTGATGTAGAGGACAATGAAAAACAAACCTGAGGTTTGTTGACACTGTTGAGCTATGAAATAAATCATAACATTGTCATGCTTCTGGCCCTTTTGTTATTTGAGTTAATGAAAGTCCTACAGTAGAACAGTTTTTGTGGGTATTGTATACATTAAAGGAATTCTAATTCATGCAACTTCATAGTCTCTTTGTATTCAGGTCTCCTGATTTCATAAAATGTAAAATAACATGAAATAACAAGGTTTACATACAATATATCTCATATTTTAAGTCATAAAAATTTTCAACAAGTCCTGATCTTGATAATATCTGAAAGTTGATGCATTACTAATCTATATTCAACTGGCATATTACATACAAGTAAAACACTGAATATTACTGAACTGTCTCATTGTCTTCTAACATTTCTTTCTAAAATTCTGATTTGAAAAATAAATTTAAAAGATTCAAAAGTCCTTGTATGATCTACCTTTGCGTAAGTCTCTCAGCTTAATATCTGCAGCTCATGAACTCTGGGGAACCAGGATTTGTTTTATACACTCCTAACCTGCTGGAATGAGGCATGCTTTTGATTAAGAATGAATGTAGGAAATAATACTTCCACTTATCTCCATTAATTAAGTTGTCAAGAAAATGAAAGTATTTCTAATGCAGTCAAATGCAACTCCAATTCATGAGAAATTCCAGAAAATAAATTTAACCTAAATAATGTTTTTGATATTTTAGGTATTGAGCTAGCAAGTTTCAGGGAAAAGAGAGAAAAGAGACTCACCTTAAATAATAAATCCTTCTTCCCATAACGAAGCTCCTTCAGCTGGGCTTGGATTTTTTTTGACTGTAAGGCAAAAACATGGATAAGTTGTGTAACTCATTTATATTTTCAAACTTGAAGATTAAAATACTTTCAGACTTCACAGGAATACATTTTGCAGCCAAGCAAAGCACAGTCCAACCAGTTTAGAAGTAAAGCAGAAACCCTTAGCTCTGCTTTGAGAGTCAGACCTCTGGACAACCTAGGCAGAAAGAGAAAAACCGAAGCTTGTTTAAAACATGTTATTTAAAGAAAGTCGATTATTGTTCTTCCTCCAATCCACAACTAAACACACAAAATTTCTGTCACCCAGGCATGGCCAACAATCTAATTTTAGACGCTAATTATATCTGTACATATGCATGCCTCATTTTTTTTACTACTTATTTTCAATTACTTTTTTTAAATTAAATTAGAATAAATTTGAATTTGACATATGTCCAGGTAAAAGCAAATGTGATCGGAAGCAAGAAAAGCTGCTACAATACTAACATGCTGAGCTGAATGTTGTTTGCATTTTAGAGCAATACATTTTTTAAGAGGGCCATCACTAATAGGAAAATACTTAAAAAGAAAATCTTTCTCAGCAGTTTGCTTTGACTACCACATTTAATTACGGTCCCTTAAGTCACAGAGTTATGATCATGTATTTTGAATTTTTCAGGACAGTCCCAATTACTAACATTAAATATAAGGACTTCAGATTATTGTATTTCTGTACCTAAAATTATAGGTACTGATTCTTTACTCAGGCAAAAAACAAACAAACAGAAAAAGAAAACTACTACCACCAATAACCAATAACACACACACACACACACACACACACAAATAAATAGATTAGCATGATCACATGAAGGAAAAATTGATACTTAAAATGTATTTGAGTGGAATTATAAATTAGTATCATCATTTGGGGAAACTGACAGTTTCTGATAAAATTAAACATATGTACATTGCATTACACTGCAATATGTCCTAGGTAATTACCCAAGAAGAATTATAACATATACAAAAATGCTTATGGCATCTTTATTCATAATAGCCAAAAGCTAGATAAAGCATATATGTTTAATAAGAAATGAAGAGATAAATTGTAGTATATCCATGACATGGAGTACTAGACTACTGCTGAGCAATGAAAAAGGAATGAAGTACTGAATTATAGAACAACATGGACAAATTTCAAAAGCATTATACCATGTGAAAGAATCCAGTAACTAGAAGCTATATTTTGTACAATTCCATTTGGAAAACATTCTAAAAGGCAAACAAATAGGGACAGAAATCAGTTTAGTAGTTGACATGGGGATGAAGATTCAGTGTAATATAGCAAGAAGACATTTTGGAGGGTAATGAAAAAATTCTATGTTTTGAATCTATCCATTGGTCAAATCCATCAGACTGTACACTTAAACTAGATAAATCTCAATAAAATTAAATTTTATCTCAATGAAATTAAATTTTAAAAGCAGCTGGCTGCAGTAGGTAATAAACCCATGATCCTTATGTCACTATTACATGCTAGTAAACTGTGTTGATATACAAGCCCTTTTTTAATAAAGAATGTCTGCCTATATGGTAGAAATATAATTTTCCAAGCTTACAATGCATGTATATGTTTTCCACTGAACCAACTGCAAGTTTATTGTGATTCAGTTTTCTATAATATTCAGAACTTTTTTTTCTTGAGATGGAGTCTTGCTCTGTTGCCCAGGCTGGAGTGCAGTGGCGCATTCTCAGCTCACTGCAACCTCCGCCTCCTTGGTTCAAGCAATTCTCCTGCCTCAGCCTCCTGAGTAGCTGGGACTACAGGCGCACACCAGCATACCAGACTAATTTTTTTGTATTTTAGTAGAGACAGGGTTTCACTGTGTTGTCCAGGCTTGTCTCGAACTCCTGAGCTCAGGCAATCTGCCCACCTCAGCATCCCAAAGTGCTCGGATTACAGATGTGAGCCACCATGCCCAGCCCCAGAATATTTCTAATTATGCAGTGTACTCAATTTGTGAAGTTGGAGCTGTGTTATAATGGCACAATAATTTTTCAATCATTGTTCAATGCTATAAGTATGATTGATTCAAGTGGAAACTTGAATTTGTTGTCAATGATGCACCACTACAAGGTTCTAATATTGGAAACACAGTTTTTTCACAGATATTTCTATTATAAGTCACCTGCATTTCATGATCCATTGAATCAGGAAGTTAACAAGAAAGAACAAAAAGAAAACAAAATGAAATAAAATTAAAAAAAAAGAAAAGGAGACAGGAAGAGAAGGAGAGAGAAAGGGGGAGGTAAAGAGGAAGTGGGAGAGAGGAAAAGAAGGAAAGAGGAGGAAAGAGAGGAAGGAAGAGAGGAAAAAGGAAGGAAAGGAAAGGAAACGAAAGGAAAAGAAAGGAAACGAAAGGAAGGGTAAGTTAAGAGTGAGATATGTTAATAATTCTGTATCACTTAACTCTGTACAAAGCAGCAGCAAGAATTTATGGTTTCTCACAGGGTAATTGATTTGTTTTCATTTCCATAGAAAGTCACCTTTCTTTTGATATGGATACTGAAGGTGAAATGCATGATGCATAAGAAGAACAAAAAGACATGATTGAGTCTACCTAGTTGCCAATGGCTTTTATGAATGAAAACTCACATTGACCCCTCAGTACCTTGACTTTATTCTTCTACTTCAGAATCACATTTATTACATCACTGTCTGTCCTCACACAGCTTCCCAAGTGACTCAAAATAATATTTCAAGTACAGCATCTATGTCTTATTATGTTAATTTACTCTCTGTATTAGTCTGTTCTCACACTGCTATAAGGAAATACCTGAGACTGTGTAATTTATAAAGGAAAGAAGCTTAATTGACTCCGAGTTCTGCATGGCTGGGGAGGCCTCAGGACACTTATAATCATGGTGGAAGGCACCTCTTCACAGGGTGGCAGAAGAGAGAGTGAGTGCCAGCAGGGGAAATGCCAGATGCTTAAAAAACCATTGGATCTCCTGAGAACTCACTCACTATCAAGTGAACAGCATGGGAGAAACTGCCTCCAAAATTCAATTACCTCCCACCAGGACCCTCCTTTGAAATGTGGAGATTATGGGATTACAAATCAAGGTGAGATTTGGGTAAAAACAAAAAGCCAAACCACATCATTCTGTTCCAGCCCCTCCCAAATCTCATGTCCTCACATTTCAAAACAGTCCTTCCAACAGTCCCCCAAAGTCTTAACTCATTCCAGCTTTAACCCAAAAGTCCAAGTCCAACATCTCATCTGAGAACACAATTCCCTTCTGCCTATGAGCCTGTAAAATAGAAGCAAGTTAGTTACTTCCCAGATACAATGGGGGTACAGGCATTGGGTAAATATACCCATTCCAAATGAAGAAATTGGCCAAAACAAAGGGGCCACAGGCTCCATGCAATGCTGAAAGCCAATAGCGCAGTCATTAAACCTTAAAGTTCCAAAATTATCTCCTTTGACTCCATGTCTCACATCCAGGTTATGCTGATATACGAGGTGGACTCGCATAGCCTTGTGCAGCTGCACCCTGTGGATTTGCAAGGTACAGCCCCCCTCCTGGCTGCTTTCATGGGCTAGCATTGAGTGCCCATGCCTTTTCCAGGTGCACGGTGCAAGTTGTCGGTGGATCTACCATTCTGGAGTCTGGAGGACGGTGGCTCTCTCTTCTCACAGCTCCACTAGGCAGTGATGCGGTGGTGACTCTGTGTAGAACTCCAAACCCACATTTCCCTTCTGCACTTCCCTAGAAGAGGTTATCCATGTGGCTTCCGCCCCTGCAGGACATTTCTGCCTGGACATCCAGGCATTTCCATACCTCCTCTGAAATGTAGGTGGAGGTTCCCAAACCTCAATTCTTGACTTCTGTGTGCCCACAGGCTCAATACCACATGGAAGGCACCAAGGCTTGGTGCTTGCACCCTCTGAATTAATGGTCTGAGATGTACCGTGGCCCCTTTCAGCCACAGCTGGAGCTGAAGCAGACGGGATGCAGGGCATCATGTCCAGAGGCTGTACAGAGCAGGGAGGCCCTGGACCCAGCCCATGACACCATTTTTCCCTCCTAGACCTCTGGGCATATGATGGGAAGGGCTGCCATGAAGGTTTCCTTGTCCCTTGGAGACATTTTCCCCATTGTCTTGGTGATTAACATTGGGCTCCTCATTACTTATGCAAATTTCTGCCTTTGGCTTGAATTGCTCTCCAGAAAATGTTTTCTTTCTTTTTTTTTATTGCATTGTCAGTATGCAAATTTTCCAAACTTTCATGCTCCACTTCCTCTTGAACACTTTGCTGCTTATGAATTTCTTCCACCAGTTACCCTAAATTATCTCTCACAAGTTCGAAGTTCCACAGAACTCTAGGGCAGGGGCAAAATGCTGACAGTCTCTTTGCTACAGCATAGCAAGAATCACCTTTGTTCCAGTTCCCAACAAGTTCTTCATCTCCATCTGAGACCACCTCAGCCTGGACTTCATTGTCCATATCATTATCAGCATTTTGGTCAAACCATTTGTGAAGTCTCTAGGAAGTTCCAAACTACCCCACATCTTCTTGTTTTTTTCTGAGCTCTCCAAAGTGTTCCAACCTCTGCCTGTTAGCCAGTTCCAAAGTCGCTTCCACATTTTCAGGTATCATTACAGCAGCACCCCATTCCCTGTGGTGCCAATTTACTGTATTAGTCTGATCTCACACTGCTCATAAAGAAATACCTGAGACTGTGCAATTTACAAAGGAAAGAGTTTAATTGACTCACAATTCCACATGGCTGGGGAGGCCCTCTAAGATAATTCTGCTTTACATGGTTATCATTATTTTGTGCTGCTGATTTTAGAAAACAATAATTTATTAAATCTCTCACAATTTCAAATGCACAGTTGATTGGCATTTTCTCCCTGCTTTTCCAATCTGCTGTCTAGGACTCGTTTACAACCAGGTTTCTCAGGAAAACAGACTTTCTTCTTTTGTTTTTTTTTTTTCCCTCAAAATAATGTTGATGAATATCAAGGGAGAGTGGGAGATTACTACCACATATGGTGCACATGAGTTGCCAAACTGCATGTCAATTCTTCCACATAATTGATGCTCTATCTTTCAAGTGTCAGAATGGTTGCCTTTTAACAATTTGAGGTGTTCATTTTTAAAACATAATTAAAGTGCATATTCTGAATGTACAGAATATCATTTAAAATTTTCCACATAACTTGGAATTATTATCAAAACATCAATTATTCAATGATTCATTCAGGAACTACAATAAAACCTTCTGCATTTGATGGCCTTGAATGACTAGATTTTTTGAGCTTTGCTATAATTATATATATATATATTTTTAAAAAATGTTTTAGGGGTTTTCCTCACAGTTACTCATCTCTTTGTTTCTAGCACTCTTGTAATTTTCAGTTAAAAGCAAAATCCTGGCTGGGTGCGGTGGCTCATGCCTGTAATCCCAGCACTTTGGGAGGCCGAGGCAGGTGGATCACGAGGTCAGGAGATCAAGACCATCCTGGCTAACACAGTGAAACCCTGTCTCTACTAAAAATACAAAAAATTAGCTGGGTGTGGTGGCGGGCTAATAGTCCGATAGTCCCAGCTACTCAGGAGGCTGACGCAGAAGAATGGCATGAACCTGGGAGGTGGAGCTTGCAGTGAGCCTAGATCGTGCCACTGCACTCCAGCCTGGGCAACAGAGGGAGACTCAGTCTCAAAAAAAAAAAAAAAGAAAAAAAACAAACAACAAAAAAAGCAACTTCCTGTCTGAGGATTTCAGGAAAGATTATGCAAAGAATAAATGCATTCTGAGTGGGTACATCTCTTTTTTATAATATATATTAATTCAAAACCCAGCTAACACTTAGATCGTTTTATTTAACTTGTTAGCAACATTTTGAAAAGCTAAAATTATCAAAAGGATAACCTTCAAACAATTAGTGATTTTAAATACAGTTCCAGATGTTGGTGACTGTGAGTCATAAAGTTTTCATAAGAAGATTTCACGGCAAAATTAAAGTTGCTAATAATGATAACATTGTCTATATAAAAAGACAAGGACGATGAAAAAGTAGGCAGCCATGATAGGATATTTTAGCTCAGCTTTTTTATCCCATTCAGGAGATTATCTTTCAGTCTGAGATTTTTGCTTCTTATAATTTCATGTTCAAACAGCATTTCTTTGATAAAATAGGAGTGATGATTTTGGTAGATGGTGTTTATAGTAGCTTCCCTTGTGAATATTATCCTCTGGCAAATTAAAACAATGGCAATCTTCTGGGTGTCAATGGGATTTAGATATTTTATTCTATGAATACTGACAGTTGAGGGTCACTGATCTAACAGGCAATCTCCATTTTAGCTCCTAACCAAGAAAATATATTAGTATTTTGTTTTTGGTAGTGATGGTGAATCAAATAATTAAATTTGCCACCATATTGTTTTGAAATTGTATTGTGACAGACAAAAACACATGCCTGCCCCATTACCGAGAATGTTAAGCTCTAAATTTATTCCATAAATACATAATGACATACAGCAAATAAATTGCAATGAACCTATTACAATACATTTCAATAGTAGGCATGACAATACATTTCAATATTAGGCAACACTAATACATGAAGTATCTAACAATTCAGGGATAATATATTCTCAAAGGCATTGAGATGAAGAAAAAATACGAATTATTCTTGAACTGACAGACTAAACAATAAAGGTAAGCCCATTTTTACTTCTGTGCACCACAGATATTTCTCATAGGAGCTTCCTCTCTTTCATATACATGAGTGTCATGTGAACCCTGAACACATATAAATCATATCAGAATATAACTTCAATCTAGATATTTCTTATTCAAAACATCATTCTACCTTGTTACCCTCTTGTAAGTAATACTCACAACCTGCACAAACCACATTTATACTATTTCCAAAACCTAGGAAATATAAACAATGTACAAGTCTATTTGTATTCAAATAGAAAAATACAAAGAAATGAAATGCTACACTAGATCAGATCTACAAACCATTTAGGCTAATTTTTCATCCTATGGAACATCATCTTTTAGTTTTTGTGTATTAAACACTTCTATTCATGCCATATATAATATTATAGGAAAGATATTATAAAATGGATTGTTACATTGCATGTTATTTTGTATTTGTGTTAATGTTTTTTTTTTTTTTTTGTATTTGTGTTAATGATTTTTTCTTGTTTTTCAAGGAGAGTTTTCACCTTCTTTAACAAATCTTAGTTTGGGCTGGACACAGGACCACTGACCTAGTGACATTTTCCAGACTCGCTTCAACTTAGCTCAGCATGTGAGCTAGTTTTAGCAAATAGGGTACAATGAGATAGAAGAGACTATTTCCTGGGTGGACTCCTGAGAAGCAACGCTTGTGCTTCACCAGGTTATCTTCCCTTTCCTTCCTGCTGGAAGAGGATAGTGGCAGAAAAAGATATTTTTGAATCAGTGGTCATGCCATAATTTAAAGACAATAGAGCTGTTTTAGAAACTCTTCGCCTTACTTCTAGACAACTCTGAGACAAAGGGTAAACTTGTTTTAACTTGTGTAAGCAACTTTTCTCATTGCAGCTAAACTTCCTTCCTTCCCTCTACATCTTAGGTATAAGACATTCATCATGATATGAAGCCACTCATGACTGTCCCTTATCATTCATAAGCTATTTCTTGAATATATTTCTCGCACATTTAATATATCTTAGTGTGTGCTTCTTGGAGGATGCAGCTAAAACAGTGACTCTTGTCTCCTCTCCTTGAGTCATAAACAATCACTTATCATGACAGTATCATTCCTATTTCATTGATATTACTAAGGCTTCTATGAGCTACATTTTCACATTACAGAGTCATAAGAATAGACTTGGAGATGAGAAATATAGAAAAATGATTATTTTAGTTAAATCTATGTTAAGCAGAATGACATTTCCCCCTGAGAAATATATGAGACAATTTTACTACACAGCAAATAGAACCAATGAGTGTATTGATTTTGTATGGTTTATGGACAAGCCCGGAATCTTCACTCTGACAGTCACTTGCCACTGCAAAACTTTGTAGACATCACATAGAAAGTACAAGAGAGGGGAAAAAAAAAAGGAAATTTTATGGACTCCCAGTAATTTGCTATTAAGGAAGTTCTGATAGTCCAGATAAGGAAGAAATCCAGAAAAAAAAAAATCTACAAAGGTGATCATTACCTGCCTTTGTTAATTTTTTTTTTTCCTTTTGGCTATTGCAATGTTAAAACACAAAGATACCAAAAGGTTTAAAATATATTATATTTTTCTATTTAAAAATTGGCATTTGTATTAGGAGGAAAAAGAGTTACCAGATGTCTGAGTTGAACAAAAATCTGACAATAATACTGTTTTTATCTGGTTAAAGCTAGAAGAAGCAAAAATTTACTCACCTCTTCTGCGTGAATGCCACAGAGCTTGTTTCCTGACAAGAGTTTGTTTTTCAAGCTTTTATTCTGAGGAAGAAAACATAGTTTTATTGCAAAGAAGAGACAAAATATTAAGAATTCCTTCAACTATGTCAACATTATTGCTTTATGTTCTGTTCAAAAATTAGACCTTCATGATGTAAAATGTAATGGATTGGTGTAAAACTGAATCAAATCTGTAAAGTAAAAGATTGTTTTTTATTCAATTAAAATTTGGCATATTAGCATTAACACATTCATTTAAAAAGGTAATTTCTAGTTTTATTCTATTGTGGGGAGAAAAGATAATTGATATGATTTCGTTTTTGAAAAAAAAAGTTAATTTAATTTTGTGCGTGGGTGTTTGCGTCCTAAAATACAGTCTATACTGGAGAACTTTCCATGTGTATGCTATAGCTGTTGGGCAAAATGTTCTGTCAATGTCCATGAGGTCCATTTGGTCTAGAGCGCAGTTTAACTCTGATATTTCTTTTTTTTTATTTATTTTTTTTGAGCGAAGTTTCACTCCGTTGTCCTGGCTGGAGTGCAATGGTATGATCTCAGCTCCCTGCAACCTCTGCCTTCCAGGTTGAAGCTATTCTCCTGCCTCAGCCTCTCAGGTAGCTGGGATTACAGATGTGCACCACCATGCCTGGCTAATTTTTTTTGTATTTTAAGTAGAGATGAGGTTTCGCCATGTTGGCCAGGCTGGTCTTGAACTCTGACCTCAGGTGATCGGCCTGCCTCGGCCTCACAAAGTGCTGGGATTACAGGTATCAGCCACCGCACCTGGCCTTACTCTGATGTTTCTTTGTTCATTTTTTGTTTGGATAACATGTCTAGTTCTGAAAGTGGGGTATTAAAGTACCCTACTATTCTTACATCACAACAAATATCTCCATTTAGATCTGTTATTATATATATACATATAAAGGTGCTCCAGTGTAGGATGCATATGTAATTGCAATTGTTATATTCTCCTACTGTAATGACCCTGTTATCATTATATAATGGACTTATTTGTCATTTTTTAAATCATTTTTTACTGAAAGTCTAATTTTTCTGATGTAAGCATAGCTACTTCTAATCTGTTTTGGTTTCCATTTGCATGGAATATCTTTTTCCATCCCTTCACTTTCAGTCTATGCATGTCTTTATAGGTGAAACAAGTTTCTTATAAGCAGCATATATTTGAGTCTTTTTTTAGTCCATTTAACCACTTTATATACTTTAATTAGATAATTTAGTTTATTTATAGTCAAGGTTATTATTGATAGGTAAGGATTTACTACTTCTGCACAGCAGAAGAAAACAATACAGTGAAGAGACAAGCTGAAGGATGGGAGAACGTATTTGCAAACTACTCAGCTGACAAAGGTTACTATCTAGAACAAACCAAGAACACAAATCAAAAGCAAAAAGCAAATAATATGATTTATCAAAAATTGGCAAAATAGGTCGGGCGTGGTGGCTCATGCCTGTAATCCCAGCACTTTGGGAGGCTGAGGCGGGTGGATCACGAGGTCAGGAGATCAAGACCATCCTGGCTAACACAGTGAAACCCCGTCTCTACTAAAAATACAAAAAAATTAGCCGGGCGTGGTGGTGGGTGCCTGCAGTCCCAGCTACTCGGGAGGCTGAGGCAGGAGAATGGTGTGAACCCAGGAGGCAGAGCTTGCAGTGAGCCGAGATCACGGCACTGCACTCCAGCCTGGGTGGCAGAGCAAGACTCTGTCTGAAAAAAAAAATGGCAAACTATCTGAATAAACATTTCTCACAGGAAGACAAACAAATGCCAATAGATATACTAAAAATGTTAAACATTACTAATCGTCAGGAAAATGCAATGAAATATTACCACACTCAGATTAGGATGGTTATTATCAAAAGGCAAAAAATAACAAGTACTGATGAGGATGTGGAGAAAGGGGAACTCTTATGCACAGTTGCTGGGAATGTAAATTAGTACAGCCATTACGGAAAACAGTATGGAAGTGTCTCAAAAAATTAAAAATTGATTACTATGTAATCCAGCAACCCCATTACTGGATATATATCAAAAATAAATGAAATCAGTATGTTGAACTCCTTGATTCTCAGAAGCCATTTCTTCTTCCAGGCCTGAGAGGTATACTCTTTCTGAATGAGTATACACAGATCTGTTACCCTTTAAATATCTCATAATTGACCTAGTTCAAAGGCAAATGTTTGTCCCTTTGACACTTATTAACCATCTGAGTCCAACCCCTCGTGGCTATTTAATTATATCTGGCTTATTGCACTCAGGCTTTTCTGTCTTTTACTGCAATAGCTGAAGTACATAGACTGTCTTTAGATGGGCAGGCTAAAGGAGAGCAGATAACCAAAACACACAGGATTCAGACATCATACTGACTCTAGAGGAGTGGACAGTGTCCTGGTACAAGTACATATTATACGCAATAACTCCAAGGAGGGCCAATTGGATAAGCACCAGGAGCAAAATGAACATTTAATGCAGAGTGAATGAACAGATACATCAAGTTTAAGAGTTCCCCACTTAGAATTCCAAGCTAATTTTGAACAGGGTTTTTTATTTTGTTTTCCTATCATGGAGTGAGGGGGTACAGTTGTCCCAGTCTGAAAGAATACTTGTTTTTTTCCTCTTTAGCTAAAATTTGGAAATCTAAAAAGCTCAGTTAGAATTTCAATACCATGAAATGTTTTACACAAATGGGAGGAAGTTATTCTGATTTGTTCAAGTAATGTATTTTTGCAAATATTTGCACTGATCATGCAAGGTACAATATTAGGGTTCTTTTTTTAAAAAGAATCTGATATACATTAATTCCATATTTGAAGAGATGTGTATCCCCAATAAAGGGATGTACACTGATATGTTCTGGCTCTGCAATGTTGCTCAGGTTGTAGCAAAATAAAACTCTTCAAAATGGAGACAAAATAGGGGATGTACATTTGATAGGAGTATTTATGTCCTGCCAAAACCACTCACACCTAAGAAACATTATTAGAATTAAGAAATAACTATGAATTAATAAACAGCGTATTTAAAAGTTGGTGTCTGTAGTATATACTATTTAAAATTTGCATCTCCACTTAAAGCTATTTTTTCTTTCTTCTGTTCATTTATGTATCTATGTTTGTATTCATTTATTTTTGTTATTATTATTTGTTCACTTATTAATGCTGCTAACACTAAGGGGAAATTTTGAATGTTGATCTGAATGATATAAATTATAGCAAATACTAACTTTTATCCTTCAAAAATGATATTATTTTATATTTTTTCTGAGGAAACATAGATGATAATTAATATACACAACAAAAGACTAATTTTTAGCATACTATTTATTTCATTGACCTGTTTTCTCTGCTTCTCACACTGATTTCTCAGAATAGACTATTCCTTAATTACTTGGAGTAGGCTTTTCAATGATCAGGATCTGTCTGTCAAGTTTATAGAGTAGCAAGCAGTGCTAAACATTCCACACCATTAGTGAAGCTAGAGTTTTGATAAAGATGTTCCATAGAACCATTTAACTTTCTTTAATAATATTTACTCTCCACTCCCCCAAAAAAGATTAATGCTACGATAATATGAGTGGAACAATGTTGAAAAAGATTTATTTTCTCCGGATTTCTCAGAGTCTTTATTAGAATATTGTGCTTCATGGACACAAAGAGGGGAACAACAGACACTGGGTTTTACCTGAGTGTTGAGGGTGGGAGGAGGGAGAGGATCAGAAAAAATAACTATTGGGTACAAGGCTTAGTACCTGGGTGCCAAAATAATCTGTACAACAAACCTCTATGACATGAGTTTACCAGTTTATTTTTATAAAAAACCTGCACATGTACCCCTGAACATGTACTCGTGAACCTAATTACTATTATTAGATGTTTTGATAATAATAAAATTGTGTTTAATGTAAATGATTTTCCTAAATTTGATTGACAATAAAACCCTTTGGACTAAATAACTTTTCTCATTACTAGAATTTGACAAATAAAGCGGCAAATATTAACCTATGTTTGATTTATTAAGGGAGACCAAAATATTACACTGCTATATTTTACTGAAGTTCTGTTTATCATGTTTACTTGTAAAATGATAAGAAAGATTTGATTCAGGACTTTTGAAACAAATGTCAAAGCTATTGAAATAAGGGAGAGAGATGGGACTCGACTCTAAATATAGCAAAAATATAGCAAAGACAGCTGGGGATTTATAGCCAATGAGCAGAATTATGGAGGTCAATGGATAGAAAACTACTAATGGGAGCTATCACGGGTAGAGGGATTCTTGCTAAACCTGCCTAATAGAATCCTTTCTGAAAGCCACTTGATCAGGTTTAGATATCAAGGGTGGGGAGTCTCCCTAAACTGACTTAGCTACAACTGGACTAGGCAAGTCTAAGACAAGACCTGAGGAAAAGGCCCATTTGAAGAGCGAACTCAGAGGAGTCTGTCTAAAGTTTGGTCAAGAAGTTTTTGGGAATAATGCTTTCTGTGCCCTAAGAAATGTTTGCCTACTTCAAAGTCATGAAGAATTTTTTCTCAAATAGTTTTCTTAAAGTTTTATAGTTTTGGTGTATATTCTTTTCTATAATCCTCTTCAAGTTACCTTTTTTTTTTTTTAATGAAGTGAGGTAAGGGTCAAAGTTCACTTTTAGTTTTCATTGCAAACATCCAGTTACTTGTGCACCAATTGTTGAAGAAATGCTCCTTTGTACATTGAAATATCTAAGTGCCTTTGTCAAAAATCAATTGAGAAAATAACTCCTTTGGCCAATATGAAGCATCTGGCCTCAGACAAGCCCTCTTGCCATAAACAACTAGATGACTAGACAGAATATAATAAAACAAATGTTTAAGACAGTAGACAGCCACTACTGCCAGACTGTCGTACTAAAGAGAGGAGAAATAGGCAAGAAATCCCTGCAGTTGCTCTTTTTTGTTTTTGTTCTGTTTTGTTTTTATCTGGAGACAATTTATGAAGTACCATATGGAAGAAAAACCCAAGCAGACCACAGAAGTTTTGATTAGTTGAGAAAAAAAGAGTTTAACATTAGAGAAAGGTGATCAGGTATAATTTATGTTACAAAACAGCAGAGGCTTCAAAGCTGTTAAAGGGAAAATCTTAGACAAATTAAATTTAACAGTTTGAGCAAAGAATGATTTGCAAATCAGGCAGCCCCTTAACCAGACTAAGTTCAGAGACACTCCATTGCAGCTATGCGATCAAAGATTTATGGACAGAAAAAGCAAAATGACATACAGAAAATGAAAGTGAGGTACAAAAACAGCTCCTCTGGTTACAGCTCGGTGTTTGCTGTGTTTGAACATGGTTTTAACAGTCGACTTCTCTTCACTGGCAAAAACTCAGTGGCTGGCACAAGTGTAGGATACAGTCTGCTTAACATATCAGCTAGGTTACACTTCACTATGTATAGAGAAACCTTTAGGCCAAACTTAAAATGTGTAAGGAGGCAACTTTGGGCTGAACTTAATTTAAGAATGCAATGCAGAAAAAGAGTACACAGGATTTTCAGGGATGTTCCCTTATGTCTTTAGATGAATGGAAATCTGCATATACATAAACAAACATGCTGCAAGGTCAGCTAAAGAACCACCAGAAAAGAACTGCAAGGTGAAAAATTACTAGAGCTCACCTAGACATTCAATTTCCAACAAGCCAGAATGGAAAGACTTAACCACTAAGATATTTAATAAAAACCCTAGAAAGGCCTGTCTTACAAGCAAGGCCAAAACAGTCCTGTAAAGTCTCATTTAGACCAACCTTATAAAGCTTAAAAACAAAACTCAAAATAACCAAGCTAAACAATTATTATCTACTAGAATGTAATACTCTTAGAAGATAACAAAATCCTGGTGCCCAATAATGTAATATCTACAATTCAGTATACATTCGAAATCATTAAACACAAGAATCAGGAAAATGAGAGCCTTAAGACAAAGGAGGAGGAAATCAGTCAATAGACATAGCTATCATTGGCAAAGATGGTGAAGTTCATTTAGAAATAACATTAAATATATATAACAAAAGAGACTTTCATTTTCAGCATTGACATATAAAGAACTTGAAAGTCATTAGAATTCCAATTTCTACATCTTCTCTGAGTTTTCTCTTTGTTCTATCTATTAGCTTGAAAGGAGTATTAAAATATCCCAAAGTCATTGTGGATTTGTCTATTCCTTTAAGTCTGTCAGTTATTGCTTCATGAAATTTGAAGCTCTTTTAGGTGCTTACAAATTTAAGAATTGTTATGTCTTTTAGAATAAAGGATTGCCCCTTTTAACATTATAATATGCCTCTCTTTCTCTCTGGTAATTTATTTTGTCATGGCTAATTTATCTGATGTGAGACACGCTAAAGCCTTTTCTCTTGCAGTTTGCATAGCATATATTTTCATATTTTACTTTCATCTTTCTTGAGACTTTGTATATAAAGTGCATTTTTAAATAATTGTCAAGTATAATTTGATTGTATATTTTTATATAGTCTGGCGATATCTTTCTCTCAATTAAAGTATTTACATGTAATTTAATATAATCAATATATAATCAGGTTTTGTTTACAACCTCACAGTTTTTTTTTTACCTTCTTGTTTTTCTAGAGTCTAGTATATTTAGAAGTCTATTTAGAATTGATATTGTACCACTTCAAATGTAGGAAGTGGTACAATATCAACTCAAATATCCTACATTTGAAACAAAAGATCACACTCTGCCATACATAATTACTAAATCACACGCTATAAGATATATAATAAATCTGAAGATGAGCGAACCATTATAAAATTATAAAAGACACATAATTTGGTGTAAATGAATCAAAAAAGGTATCCCTGATGAGGTCATTACACATGATATATAAATGCAAGTGAATAAGTTTAGAAATTTCTAAATTTTTCAATCATCCAACGTATGAAAATTTGATAGTTTATTACATCACTGTATCTAGTTTAGATAAAGTGAAAGAAAATTGCCAATATGCGTATGTTATTTTCAGAGAAAAATAAGTTAGTAAAACTACCAATCTCTTAAACAGGTAGAAAAGAATCTTTTGTTTGTTTGTATTCTGTCTCAGGAAATGATGTGATGTCTCTTAACTCAGAGTTTATTTTTAACATTGGTCCCATCTAATAGAACACTGTACTATTCTGCCTTCATTTGCCACCTACTCTTTCCAGTCCATTTCCAGGTACCTCACAAGGGTTTTTGGCATTCACCCCAAAAACGCTAGCAAATAAAAATTTGTAGTATTCATATGAGACTAGAAATGTCTTTTAAAAATCTTATTTTTTACACAAGAAATTGTCACGTTTTATATGTATATGCGCACCACTCTGACCCACCCTGGTTTTAAACTCTTGTTTTTTTTTTTTTCTTCCTGACACAGAGTCTTGCTCTGTCGCACAGGCTGGAGTACAGTGGCACGATCTGGGCTCACTGTAAGCTCTGCTTCCCAAGTTCATGCCATTCTCCTGCCTCAGGCTCCCGCGTAGCGGGACTACAGGCGCCCACCACCACGCCCAGCTAATTTTTTGTATTTTTAGTAGAGACGGGGTTTCACCGTGTTAGTCAGGATGGTCTTGATCTCCTGACCTTGTGATCTGCCCACCTCGGCCTCCCAAAATGCTAGAATTATAGGCATGAGCCACCGCGCCCGGCCTTAAACTCATTTTTTAAAGATGATGTTACTGCTATTTGGCCAGATTACCTGAAAACAGATACAAGGATCTGACATACTTACCTGATTTTTTTTTTTATAATTGTCACTCATAAACTGGATGTCTTAGATATGCTTTACTCTTCCAATTTATGTAAGTTCTTACGTTTCTCTTCATGGATATTTTCTCACAGATATACCAAATATAAAAGTGTATGAATAGGAGTTGTACAATTTTGAAAATACATTCCAGTTTTTTTCTTCTCAATAGCAGAATCTCCTAGATCCATTCAACTATATGTTACTAGGCATCTGTTAAAACTGAACATATTTATATATAAATGCATATCATAGTGTACTATACAAATTTCAACTGCCAATGTATTTTTTTCTGAATTGCAAATTTCACTATGTTATTCTCTTCCAGAAAGCGTAGGAATCCATGTTAAAGGCAAGGCAAAAGGAAGAGGACAAAGATGAAAATCTCCTTGAGAATCCATAAGTAAATCAATTGAGCAAGCAAAAAATAAATAACCCCATTAAAAAAAGGACAAAAACATAAACAAACTATTTTCCCAACAAGTCATACAAGCAACCAACAATCATATTGTGTCCGAAATTGGTGGGTTCTTGGTCTCACTGACTTCAAGAAGGAAGCCACAGTCGCTCACAGTGAGTGTTACAATTCTTAAATATGTGTGTCCAGAGTTTGTTCCTTCTGATGTTCGGACATGGTCAGAGTTTCTTCCTTCTGGTGGGTTCCTGGTCTCCCTGGCTTCAGGAGTGAAACTGCAGACCTTCGCGGTGAGTGTTACAGCTCTTAATGCAGCGCCTCGGGAGTTGTTTGTTCCTCCCGTCCAGAGTTGTTCATTCCTCCCGGTGGGTTCATGGTTTCGCTGGCCTCAGAAGTTAAGCTGTGGACCTTCGCAATGAGTGTTACAGCTCATAAAAACAACGCAGACCCAAAGAAAGAGCAGAACAAGATTTATTGCAAAGAGCAAAACAACAAAGCTTCCACAGAGGCGGGTTGCTACTACTGGCTCCTGCAGCCTGCTTTTATTCCCTTTTCTGACCCCACCTGCATCCTGCTGATTGGCCCATTTTACAGAGAGCTGATTGGCCCATTTTACGGAGTGCTGATTGGTCCGTTTTGACAGAGTGTGATTGGTGTGTTTACAATCCCTGAGCTAGACACAGAGTGCTGATTGGTGTATTTACAATCCTCTAGCCAGAGGTAAAAGTTCTCCAAGTCCCCACTAGGTTAACTAGACACAGAGCACTGATTGGTGTGTTTACAAATCTTGAGCTAGACACAGGGTGATGATTGGTGCGTTTACACACCTTGAGCTAGACACAGAGTATTGATTGGTGCATTTACAAACCTTGAGCTAGACACAGAGTGCTGATTGGTGTATTTACAATCCTTTAGCGAGACATAAAATTTCTCCAAGTCCCCACCAGATTAGCTAGATACAGAGTGCTGATTGGTGCGTTTACAAACCTTCAGCTAGACACAGAGTGCTGATTGGTGCATATACAATCCTCCAGCTAGCCACAAAAGTTCTCCAAGTTCCCACCCAACTCAAGAGCCCAGCTGGCTTCCCCTAGTGGATCCCGTGCCGGGGCCACCGGTGGAGCTGCCCACCAGTCCCGTAGGGTGCACCCGCACTCCTCAACCCTTGGGCGGTCCATGGGACCAGGCACCGGGGAGCAGGGGGCAGCGCCTGTCAGGGAGGCTGGGGCCATGCGGTATCCCATGGGGGGAGGCGGGGTGAGGAGGCTGGGGCATGGGAGGCTGCAGGTCCTGAGCCCTGCCCCCTGGGGCAGTGGCTGAGGCCTGGCGAGAATTTGAGCGCAGCATGGGTGGGCCGGTGGTGCTGGGGACCCGGCGCCCCCTCTGCAGCTGCTGGCCCAGGTGCTAAGCCCCTCACTGCCTGGAGCTGGCATCGCCGGCCGGCTGGCTGCTCCAAGTGTGGGGACCGCTGAGGCCCCGCCCACCCAGAACTCACTGTGGCCCGCAATTGCCCTGCACAGCCCCGGTTCTGGCGGCGCCTCTCCCTCCACACCTCCCTGCAAGCAGAGGGAGCTGGCTCCGGCCTCGGCCAGCCCACAGAGGGGCCCCCACAGTGCAGTGGCGGACTGAAGGGCTCCTCGAGCGTGGTCAGAGAGGAAGCCTAGGACGAGGAGGAACCGAAGGCCAGCCAGGGCTGCTAGCACGTTGTCATCTCTCAATATGGAGAAAATGTTCAACATCACTAATCTTCAGAGAAATGCAAATCAAAATCACAATGAGATCTCATTTCACACCAGTCAGAATTGCTGTAGTTAAATAGTCAAAAAACAACAGATGCTGATAAGGGTGTGGAGAAAAGGGAACACTTATACAGTATTGGTGGGAACGTAAATTGGTGAAGCCACCATGGAAAGCAGTTTGAAGATTTCTCAAAGAACTTAAAAGGGAACTACCGTTCAACTCAGCAATCCCATTACTGCCCAAAGATCCAAAAAAAGAAAACAAATATTTCTACCAAAAGACACATGCACTCACATGTTCATTGCCCCACATTAGCAAAGACATGGCATCATCTTAGGTGCCCAACAATGGTGGATGTGGTACATATACACCATGGAATACTATGCAACCCTAAAAAGAAGGAAGTCTTGTCCTTTGCAGCAAAATAGATGCAACTGGATATTGTTATCCTAAACAAACACAGGAACAGAAAATCAAATACCACATATTCTCACTTATAAATGGGAGCTAAATATTGTGTACTCATGGATATACAGATGGCAACAATGGAAAATGAGGACTACAAGAGTGGGGAGTGAGGGAGGCAGGCAAGGGTTTAAAGACTCTTAGGTACGATACTCAGTACCTGGGTGATAGCATTCATGCTCCAAACCTCAGAATCATGAGGTATATGCAGGAAACACACCTACACATGCACCCCCTGAATCTAAAAGATGAAAAAAAGGATAAATTAAAAAAAAAGTTCTGTTTGTTTTTCTTGCAGTTTTTTTATATATATATACTCATTCCTTAAGTTTTTATCCTCTTGTTCTTCCTCTAGCTTGGCTCCCACTTGCTGGGTTCTTCCAAGAGCGAATTTTCTAGCCTACTCTAAGGTTCACTGTAACTCAACCTACTTAGCACATTTGTTTCAGGGTAAACTTCCTAAACTTCCTAAAATATGGTGAGAATCTTATGCCACCCCACGGAAAATCTGTCATGGAGTTTTATAAATTACAAACAGACTGACTTTCAAGGGATTAAAAATTTGAGAATCTCTCACCAGTCTAATGTCTTGCCTATATAAAAAATTTGCTGTAACCAAGTTAGATTGGTTATTTTTTCCTAAGTCCCAGGAACTTGACTTGAACTAGCCATTATCCTAGTTTGTGTTTTCTCCTCCTCATTTTCTATGTGTCTAATAACTATTTTGATTGTAGTGACTGTTTGCTTCTGAAAGTTTTTTGTGATCTCCCTATTTATTCTAATAGGCATCCCGTTCTCAATTGCCCCCAGTTAACCTATCATACATAAAGTCTAGAGGGTATAATTTGTTTTAAATGGAAAGATTCATTCTTTAGAAAGCTCCAAAGTGCTTTCCACAGTGGCTAAATGGAACAGGAAACCAAATGACACGTTGTCGTGTATAAGAGGGAGTTAAACATTGAATACTCATAGACATAAAGATAAGGATAATAGATACCAGGGACTATTAGATAGGGGAGGAAGGGAGTTAGACATGGGCTGAAAAAAAAAAAAACTACTGGGTACTATGCTCACCTTCAGCATCACACAATATACCCATACAACACATCTGTACAAGTACCCTTTAATCTATAATAAAAGTTGAAATTATCTGGCCGGGCACGGTGGCTCATGCCTGTAATCCCAACACTTTGGGAGGCCGAGGCGGGTGAATCACTTGAGGTCAGGAATTCGATACCAGGCTGACTAACATGGTGAAATCCCATCTCTACTAAAAATACAAAAATTAGCCGGGCGTGGTGGCAGGCACCTGTAAGCCCAGCTACTCCGGAGGCTGAGGAAGGAGAATTGCTTGAACCCGGGAGGCGGAGGTTGTAGTGAGTCAAGACCATGTCATTGCACTCCAGCCTGGGTAACAAGAATGAAACTCCATCACAAAAAAAAAAAAAAAATGAATTACTTTAGAAAAGATTCGTTAAAAATATTTATTTATTCATGCATATTCTATTCACTCATAGATATTCATTGACTTCTCTGTGCTAGACTCAGTGTTAGATCTTGAGAATACAAATATAAAACAGGAGTTATCTGCTTTCAAAGAACTCACCTTCTGAGTTAGAGTGGGCTACAGATATGAAAATAAACAATTGAAACACAGAATGTACAATCAAAATTATATAGCTACCAAAAATCTCTACTAATTGTAAAGCAGGTTTATAATTAGTCTCCTGGATGGATGCTCATATTAAATTGTTCTTAGAGGAAAACAATTTGCAGGGAAATGTCTAAAACTATGATCAAAATTGTAAAAAATAATAAACCATGTGCGTGTGTGTGTGTGTGTGTGTGTGTGTGCGTGTGTATTTGTGCATGTGTTTGTGTGTCAGCATGAAATTGGATGGAAATGAAAAAAGTATATGCCAGGCCTTTAAAGAAGTATTGTAATATTAACTGAAAATATGGAAAATAAAACGCTTTCCATATTCTGAGTCCAAATGTGTAAAGTTTAAATGTGTATATTTAAAACTAGGAGACAAGATAAGCAGATAAAAACCTTCATGCTATTAGGTGATATATTATGTGTAGTCTTCTCCAAGGATCTCTGTTGTTATTTTAATAAAATTTAATATCCCTAAAGAGTTTTCTATGCAAAATAGCATAATAAAAGTGGTATTATAGGGTGTGAATGTATGTGTGTATGTGTGCATGTGTATAGAAATACTCTACAGAATTTCTGAGCACTGAGTTTTGCTACTTTTGTTTTTTTCTGTGTGTTTTGATTTTTTTTTTGCTGTTTATATTCTGTTCCTTCTTCTTCATCTAAACAAAAAATCGAATCTGTCTGATTTTTCTGTGTGTCCAGTGCTGAAAACATTATTCAACTTGTAGTTATTATTTAATGAATGTGAATGAATAGCATTCATGAACGAATAAATGAATAAATGCCTGATAATGAGTATTATGTTATTGCTGAGGATTAAGCTGGCAATCCATTGTCTCTGTGACATTATTGTGACTATTGCTTCATTTGACAAAAGCTGAACATCTTAGACATGTATCTTTAAAAATATTTTTTCTACCTCTTGGTCTACATTGTGCTTCTTGGAAACAAAAAGGAAAAACAATTATAAATATGTGACAAAGTTAGGTGATGTACATTTTCCTAATGTTTTGGGACTCTTGAAAACCAGTGGAAAGTTTACAAACATCATTCTGTTCAGTATTTGCAAAACATCATTTAGTGTCAAGGAATTCTGTGATATTTCATATTTCTCCTTTACTCATTAACCTGTCATCTCTTTGAAGTTTAAAAACTATTATTCTTATGTTGTTATACATTCAGAAATGTCCTCAATTAACAACATAAGATAGATGTTCAAAAATGTTAGTTAAAATAATGAATTTAATAGCCCTTGAAAAGATTGTGACATCAGTCTGTAGCTCTTATGTATAAAATAAATGAAATATACACATTACTTGTTTTTCAGGATACATCTAGTAGTTGACTACCTAATTCAGCTTCATTCAAGAGATTAGCACTTGACTAGAAATAGCATAGGGCTTATCTATAAACAGAATGTTATGGAGAATAGAAACATTAACAAATAGAGTTATATATACGCTTTATTGAAGAGAAATAGGCTATTAATATATTTTAACTTTTTCTGGATGGTATAAATGTTGAATTATAAATTTTAATTTTTATAATAAGTGCTAATCGAGACATCACTGGGTATAATTGAGAGTTGTAAGAACTTTTAGGTCATCTACT
Source organism: Homo sapiens (assembly GCF_000001405.40). Lineage (NCBI taxonomy): Eukaryota > Metazoa > Chordata > Mammalia > Primates > Hominidae > Homo > Homo sapiens. Next base: position 24,892,355 of record NC_000011.10, on the reverse strand, counting down.
CCAGTGGTGGCTAATTTGAATGTCTTTCGAGGCCAGACAGAGAACTTCAGCCAACAAGTCTTCAGGTGCTCCTTCCTATAGCAGATGGTCCAGTTCACAGCCACATCAGGATAAATATAGGCTGAATCTGGGAGAAATACACATTTTTCCTCACAGATCACAACCACAGAAGGTAAAAAAGGAGAAAGATACAGAGATTCTTAAGAAATAACAAGCAAACGAGTCTAGCTCCACAGTGAGAGCCTATCAAACTAGTAAGTCACGAGTGACCATGAGCCCTGGCTTCAGCTCCCAGTGGAACAGCAGCCAACCAGCCTGGAATACATACTCCTTTCCAAGAGCCAGCCTGCACTACCAGTCCCATGCCAGCTATACCTACTGTACTGGACACCCTGCTGATAATCAAAGCAAATAAGCCATTTTTCACCTCTTTTCCATTATAAATTCTCCCTTAGTAATCCTTTTGTGATTTTTGTATTGGAAATTGAGGGTTGGCTAATTGAAGTCAGATGTTCAGTGCAGAGTGTTGCAGCGTATCCCAATTTGTTGCCTTGTTTCTCTGTTCTCTCTTTGTATGATCTATGGAGACTCCAAAAAGTTATCTGGGGAAGAACAATGGCACATTTAACTCAGATTCTATTCCAGACAAGCTTATCAAACAATTTCTGTGGAACAAGTACAGTGTTATTCCTGATAGAATTCTGTCGAGATAGATAGGACACATAGGACTTATCAAAGAGGGAAGCCCGTCACCTTTATTAGTCTGGAACTTCTTTTTCTTCAATCAACAACATATGTGAACTTTCTTTTCTTGCTAGAAATATAGAATATATCTTCCTTTTGATTTTCGCATAAAGTATAATAATATAGCTTTATAGTAAAGTATTTAAATCTTCCCTTATTAGGAACCAAAAGGTGTTTTCCAGTTGTTCTTTAATTTCATAATGATATAATGAATGTGGGTGTATGTAACATAGTGTATATATGTGTATGTGTATATGTACATGTCAGTATGTATATATCTCCATATGTTTGTGATATGGCTTCCTTATAATTGTATTAGAGAAGTAGAATTGCTATGACTAATGATATTTTCACTTAAAATTTTTGTGGAAATGCTAAATTGCCTTATCACCAAAGTTGACAAGGGTATGCTTCATCACACTCTAGCTCACATTAGATACTGTCGGTTAAGTAGACTTTTGTCAATTTTAGGGGAAATAGTATTCTTTTGTTCTAATTTGTATTTCTTTTCTCACTGCATTAGCCAACCTCATTTTTGAACGTTTCTCAGCTATTTATAACTTTTTAACATTTGAGTTCCTTCCATGAATAAACGTAGAGTGATAATGTAAAGCAGTGTAACTGAAGAGATGCTTGCCATTTCACTGCAGTTGTATTTTCATCATAAGAGCAATAGAATTAAATTTGTATCACCTGCAAAAAAAAAAAAAAAAAAAAGAACTTTTACTCCTCCTGTAAATGGCCCTAAAATGCTTTATATTTTTTCTATATGTGATTTTAGAAATTTCTGTTAGCATATTCATATAAATATGTACATATGTATTTTCTTATTTGCACAAATTTTCATTGTGCATTATTAAACATGTGACTCTTATCTATGAAATAATATATCTCAGGATAAAGATGAATAAATCCAGATTGTGTGACTATCTCAAACAACCAGTTCATTTTTTGATGCCAGTAGGTAGAGTTACTAACACATTAGGAATTCATGTATGAGAACTTTTGATGATCCTCTTTAATGCTCCCCCACCTCCTTAACTTCAGCTTTCACAGCCGCAAAATTCTTATTCATAAATCAAGCCTACAAGATTGATTATAGTCAATGACTGCTAGTCAGTCATCCCAAGCAAATAACTAGTTTTAAATGGTGATTCCACTTGTTTAAGAGATTGCATCTGCATAGCTGAATACTGCTAGAATATCTGAAAACATCTATATTCTAGATTTTTTAAAGGATCTGCTAGAATTTGAATTAATCATGTTATTATTGTCATGTACTTCTTCTGTTTGTCATGTAATTAAGTTTGATAAACAGTAGAATAATTATTTTGATAACTACATATAATTGGTTTGTTATCACCTCTGTATTAACAGAATTTGAGACTCTGTATCTTTTCTCCCTGAGTATATGCTTGGTTACATTTTTATAATATATTTGCTCATTTATTAATTCACAATTACATGTTACAGATTATACACTTCTTAGAGGGAAATTCGTATATCATGTAATCTAATCTCCATCTGAATATACGGATTTCCATGGGGGTGGGGGAGAACAACTATTTCTTCATTATAGCAAATAAAATTTCACTTGAATTCCCTTTTGTTTATTCTGTCCAATTCTAAGGTGTTAAAGCAGAGAAATGAACATCATTTAACTTAAAGCATTTATGATATACTTGTACAATGCACCTGGATGAGCACAGGAAAGACTGTCACTCCACAACATAGATATCTTTGTGGCCATCCATAAATGGACAGTGATTATAATGTATGTCCATAATTTATTCTGGCAGTTGGTAATTCTGGGCAACAGTGTAAAGAAATGTTTCCGTAAAGCTAAATGTCATTGCCAGAGTTTAAAAATCAGAACATTTCAGTATTTTGAAATGCATCCAGAATTTGGGGATAATTAATTACAAGCAGCCTCAGCTGAGCCAACTGTGGGGCACAGGGGAGACTGTCCTCAAAGACCATACTGAGATTCTTCTCAGATGGTATATGCTTCAAAAACATGGTGGCACAGGACACTGAAAAGGGAATTCTGATCCTCAGACAATTTACCAATTTAACCTTTTCACTTATGATTAATGATCATTCTTCTTTATTTCTGAAACAATTATCATTTGACATTACTTAGGCATTGAAACAGATCACATAGTTTATCTGAGAATAGATTTTACTTAGAAAAAGAAGACCTGAATATGGAGAGAAAAATTTGGAACCTGGTAATGTCGTTTGCATCACCTCCTCACCTTGATAAAGCCTTGTCTTAGTACTAGTATATCCCAGATTTTTTAGTTACACGCCTCCAGTACATGCTTGATGTCATGCTTAAATATTTTTGCCCCCCACCCACATGTTACATAATCACATAGTTTTGTCACTTTCTTACGGTTAAGAACAGCAAGGAAGAACATTCAAGTAACCAAATTTATATTTTAGGCTAATGCCATATTTTACCAGGGTGAGTGAGAAAACATCCATCCCCTTTTGGCTTCTGTAAGTGGAAGGTAGACCCTGCATACCACCTATTTAGGGAATACCTCTCAATTGGATGGTGTATTAGTGTGTTTTCATAATGCTATAAAGAACTGTCTGAGACTGGGTAATTTATAAAGGAAAGAGTTTTAACTGACTCACAGTTCAGCATGGCTGGGGAGGCCTCAGGAAACTTACAATCATGGCTGAAGATGAAGGGGAAGCAAGGCACCTTCTTCACAAGGAGGCAGGAAGGAGCGGTGCCGAGTGAAGTGGGAAGAGCCCCTTACAAAACCATCAGATCTCCTGAGAACTTACCATCATGAGAACAACATGGGGGAAACCATCCCCCATGATTCAGTTACCTCCACCTGGTCTCTCCCTTGACACATGGAGATTATGGGGACTACAATTCAAGATGAGATTTGTGGGGGGACACAAAGCCTAACAATATCAAATGGTGTTCAGGTGTTGGTTAGCTTAAAAACAAATATTCCTACAACTTTTTGGGAACTCAGCATGCGTATGTGTCAGATCTGCCTAAAAATGTCGTGTAATATTTCCCACTCCTGTGTGGTAAAACCTGAATTTAAGTCAGAGGATGACAAAATATTTAATATAATTATATCCTCAATCTCATTTTGATTTTTGACTGGAAACTTAAAATATCATATTTGCAATATGGCTTACACATTAGCTCAAATCCAAAAAAAAACTTTTGGCTGTAAAACCAAAATGATCATAAATGCAGCATACTTTCACAATCTTACTCTATATTAATTGGAATATAATCATACCCAATAATGACAAAATCATGCATAAATGAATTTATTGGAAGGACTTTGTACAGAATGAAGAGAAAGCCTATGAATAAGGCTCAGAAAACAGGCAAGAACCAAGTAGGGGGAGGCATCTGCAGTCATAAGACAGGAATACAGTTCTTGTGACAGCTGAATGAAGGCTGTAAATCACTGTGCTTAATTAGAAAGTGGAATGATAAGGCCTCAATCAATTTTCAAGGTGAAAGTAATGATCTGGGACCATTTAAAATTTCCAAATATAATAAATTATGTAAATGTGTTTAACTACATTTTGTAGACTTAAATAAAATAAACCATTGTGGCCAGGCAGCTGAAAACATGCATTAATTTGTCCAAAGTGCAATTAAATTTAAACCAAGAGAAAATCACCTGCAGCAGTACCCAAAATAAAACCAGAGATCGCTGCATCTCACAGTGGAAAGCATCTACTATTTTGGAACTTCCTAAAACTGACTGTGCACCACTTTATATGACTGCTTGAGGTCCACATTTCAGTTTAAATGTGTTTTTCAAATGACTAGAAAATACATTTGCCCTTTTAAATATGTCATTTTACAATGGGAAATCTTATATCCTGTACTAAAGAGAGCAATAGGAGTTAGAAGGTAGCGAATTCTTATAATTTTATGTTGCCTCTGCATCCATTTTGAATACAAGTTTAACTTTCTCATGTCAGAACTAGGGCTCAGTTACCTTTGGCACAATTTCCAGTGTATACAACACCCAAATGGTTCAAGTCAGTGGCCAGAGATAATAACTTACAGGCACCATTTTGCCTAGCAGACTGGTGCCTGCTTTTCTGATACTTCCTTTAAAGAAATCATTCATTGCCAACAAACTTAAAATAACCCACACCTTATTCGCTTACATATACATTAGTACCTGTTGCCACGTGCTTGTATATATATTAGTGCCAGTTGCCATGTGCTTGCTGTCTCTCTGTCTGACCTTTCATCTCTGTCTTGACCTAGAAACAGAAGATTGTCCTCCAGATTCATTGCACATCCCTGCCAAGGATATGTAAGTAGAAAACCTTTTGAATTGTTTATGCTTTGGTGGTGTGTTATATTTGTGCCTTCCATCTGAAAACAAAACAAAACAAAACAAAACAAAATCAAAAAAACTAGGGGCTTCGCAGGCTGGGTTTTCCCCAGGATGCCAGGAAAACACAAGGTCCATAGCGTTCCCAGCAGCACAGTGAAAGAGGTCAGGCAGGCATAAACAGGTCAGACAAGAGCCAACAGGGCACCTGCTAGTATAACCAGCTCCCATGGGAGGAAACCCCTGGTCACAGATCAGGCAAATAGGCATTAGGACATTCACCAGGTAAAAGAAGTTTTCTGTTAAAGAGACACTAAATGCCCATGTTCAGCACCCCTTCATTTTCCATTAGTGACCTAATCATCTCTCAAAGTTAGAAAACTAATCACCAGTGTGATGGTATTAGCAGGCAGGGAACTTTGAGAGATGAACACAAACTTTCAGGTTATAGCATGCCTTATTAAAGAAATCTTAGGAAAATGGATGGCATTCTAGACTAGATCTAAACCATGTGTGTTTATTTCAGCAATTCTTAGATGCACAATTTTTCACTTTTTAATGTTTCAGGAATCAGGATGTGGTCTCCAGAATTACGTATACTTTCTTTAGTATTTATGGTTTCTTCCCCTTAAGAAGTTTAATAAATCAGACTAATGCATTTTAAAATTGATATCTTCTTACAATTTAAAGAATGTTCTTCTTATAAAATCAAAGGCAAAAAGGTAAAGCAATGGAAATAAATTTTTCTCCCAGCTAGAAAGGATTGGCAGTAGAGAAACTAGGGGAAAAATGAGAAACACATATATGGCATTAGTATATTTTCTTAGCTACATGGAAATAAAAAGTAGACTTCCAACATGGAAGGAGCTTCAATTATTTATAGAATTGTTTTGAGTTAATAATAGAGAAAAAGACCAAACTGAATCAGCCACCTAGGCTACATTCAGAGCTTTTGACAAGTGAAATACCTTTGGTCAAAGACTAAAATATATTATCTTTAAAATTAGAAAAACATAATATGCAAGTCATGAGAAAGATAATTAGTTGAAACTAAATATTTTTACTAAAAAGTATTTTTCAAATCATTCCTTTGTTTAAATAAATTATGTTTTTAATATACATACAGATTAATTTCTACTTTAATAGTCATATTTTTACAGAAAGATATAGAATTGAACACACATGAATAATAATTTAATTCTATAAATATTAACTAAAGCCACCACCAGCCAGCCATGGCATTATCCTACTGGTGGCAGATGTCCCAGTTGAGTGTAGACCTTGCCAATTTAAATTTTAAAGTGGTTGCAGATGTAACAAAAGTTTTACAGCTGCTCAAATATTTGTTGAAGTTATCTCAGATAGGGAATAGAATATGAACTTGGTTTTCTTGTATAGGAAATTTTAAGCATGCTTTATGAGGTTTCTATTCTTCACTTAGAATCGAATCAGCTCAAATATCTAGTGTTAGTTCCTTATCTCCCATAGACACTCAGCATCCACGTGTGTGAAAAAATGGAACACGTTTAGATAATCTCTTATACTACCTGCAGCTTCACGACTATTGCACTACCATTTAGGGGCATGAGAAACATGAGATGATGACTTTTCCTGATGTCAGGTAATATAAAATTGCAACACATTTCAATACACTGAGTAAACTAATTAGATATTCTCTGTGTGTTAATTAGCCTCATCTCACCCATACAATATCACTTTCCAAATAGTAGGCATATAATACAGCACAGTGGCTGGCTTCTTGGATCAGGACAACTAGACTTGGGTATGATTTCCTATAATCTCTATGACTTTCAACACATTTTGTAACATCTTGAGTCCTTGTTTTCTCTTTCATAAAATGAGGAAAATATCATGACCAACTTCAACGGGTGGTTGTATTAAATAAGTAAAGCATGTATATCAGAAGCTGGCACAATGTAAGCACTCGATACATTTTAGCTCTTATTATTACAATAAAATTGACTTCATTTTGTAAACATAAAGAAGAGTCATCTTTTTTGATGATTAGGACAACTTTCCAAGAAGGTTGAGGGCTTTGACATCACAATTTATAAGGCATTATTATTTTAGTAGACTGCAGGCAAGTTTCTAGTTAATGAGTCCTCTAATTTCTCTTATAGATAAAGAAGAGTTTATCATAAAAGTAATTTCACATGATGATATGTCTCTCTGTCTGATTTGCTCTTTCTCTAAAACAGGCACTTCTCTTCGAAACAGAACCTGCTTCTTCTGTTATTAATAATTCCCCTCCCTTATCAGAGAGTTATAATTCTGATAGGTTAAAAATGTAGCTAAAGATACAGAATAGCAATCACCCTAAAATCAATTTTGTGAGAAAAATACTCATATTCCTGTCAACATTTATAAAGACTTTCTATGTTCTGGGAATGGGGCAAAAACAACCCATTTCTTCAAGGAGTTCACAATCTATGAAGGAACCTGACAGTAAAACTACAAGTCTCTGGAGAAGCACCTATTTAGGAAGTGACACTCAGCTGTCTTTAGATGTGTAAAGGAGTTGGGCAAATAATAGGAAATGGCAAGAGGGGGAAAAGTTTGTACTAGTTCTAGTAGTTCTAGTTCTTGTAGTTCTACAGGATATTCAGTGAAATCATGCATAAGAGACTGACGAACGAAGAGAGATTAAACTCAAAAGGTGCATTGAGGCCAGCCATATAAGACCATAAGATGTGTTATGTAATTCACATGAATTTTGAAAAGTTCACTCCAATATAGGGTAAGTGAGTTTAGTTTTAGGCTGTATTTTATAGGGAGAAAAAATGACTAGGTGTCGAATGTATGTCTGTGTTTCAACTAGCATTTACGGAGTGTTTACTTTGTGCCAGGTATTCTACAGTATGCTTTATATAAGAATTCATTAAATCCTCAGTGCAGTACCATAAGGTAAATTTCTTAATCAGCTCCATTTTAGAAATGACAGACTTGTAGCTTCCTTTATTTAATCTGTTTATGGTCAAAATGTACATACACTTAAAATTTGGCTTTGAGTGTCTAATCCCAGATGCATGTAACTTTCAACAGCCAGTCCAATCCCACCAGGAAAGAAAGTAATTTATGGTTTATAAAATAGCTTTTTCCTTAGAGTTCCAACTGTGCAGAATAAATTTGCTATAAAATCATTAGGAAAGATCAGTTAATTCACCTGTAATTACTCCTAAAGATATTCTCACCCCAATCTTCCCAGTTAAGGCTTGAACACCTGCCACCCTCTCTTTGCAATTCTACTGGGAATTCCAGCATCAATAAAGCCACTTCATTCTAGAAACACAGTTGAGGGACTAGAGTAATTAAGAGCAGACCTCCCACTTTTTTCCACTTCATGACAGAACCGAATTCTACTTATGGAGTTTTACCAATATGTGTGTTAACACTCTTTAGGCACAGGATATAAAGAGTTCTACATATTTCCAAATTCAACTATAAGTTCTACAGGTACATAAGACATAGCAAACTGTCGTTTAAGACAAATGCTATTAACTTTAAAAACTGTTTCATTCAATGTTTGCTAGTCAGTAAATAAAACATACCTAATGACTGAAGGACATAAATGCTTGCTTACAAGAATAAATTTAGACCTAACTTATTGTTTATGAATTAATTGAAGCTTGCCAAATATTGACTGTAGTGAGAAATGTCTTCTTAAATTATTGCTAACGAAAATTTCATACTGCAGTTCAAGCCAAACAATAAAGTTTAGCTGCTATAAATTTCAAAGAAAGATGATTTATTTAATACTTGGGGGTTATTTTTTATCCCAGCATCATTAGAAAATTCCCATGGAGTGGCAGTAAGAAGAATATGCTCATCATTTGCTTTTTTGTTCCAAGTGCAGGTAAGTTATCCCTGCTGATAGTCAGTTTGAGTTGATTGGGGCATTGATAGAATAAACATTTTGTTTTACTGTTATCATAAATCTGACTCCACTAATAAGGGGCATGTCTTGTCATAGTGAAAAGAGAACAAATTTTCTTCCTACGCTCTTAACGTACATTTAGTATGAGATTCTGCACATGTATGTATCCATTAAAAAATTTACTTTAAAAAAACGTTTGCTAACTTTGAATAATGACCTCATTGTTAAATCCATGGGAAATCCTTGGTTCTTGTCTTTGTTGTCTTATCATCAGCATTTGACATAGTTGATCATCCTTGAGATATTTTCCCACTGGTCTTAGAAGACATATTTTCTCTTTCTTCTCTTTTCTTTTTTTCTCTTTTCTTTTCTTTTCTTTCCTTCCTTCCTTCCTCCATCTTTCTTTCTCTTTCTTTCTTCCTTTCTTTCTCTTTCTTTCTTTCGTTCTTTCTTTCTTCTTTCTTTCTCTTTCTTTTTCTTTCCTTCTTTTTCTTTATTTTCTTTCTTCCTTTTATCTTTGTTTCTCTCTCTCCCTTCTCATTCCCTCCCTCCCTCCCTTCTTCCCTTCCTTCCTTTCTTCCTTTCTTCCTTCTCCCGTTGCACTAAAAAGCAATGAGTTACCTAGTCATGAGAAGACATGGATGGATTATAAATGCATATTACTAACTGAAAGAAGCCCATATGAAAGGGTACATGCTTATTATAATCTAACTGTACAACATTTTGAAAAAAGCGAAACTTACCGAAGGTTAAGAGGGAGGAAGGAATAGACATAGCAAGGAATTTTATGTTAGTGAAACTACTCTGTATAATACTACAATGATGGATACATGTCATTATACATTAATCTAAACACACAGGATGTACAGAATGTAGAACACCAAGAGCATATCCTAATGTAAACTATGGTTTGGGGGTGATAACGACGTTTCAATGTTGGTTTATTGATTGTAATACATGTACCTCTTTGGTGTGGGATGTTGAGTGAAGAAGATGTGAGTGTGTGAGAGAAAGGAGCATATCAGAACTCCGTACTTGATTTTTCTGTGAACCTAAAACTTCTCCAAAATTCTTTTAAAAAGATTACTAAAAATAAATATACAAACCTTGTGAACTTTAAAAAATTCTCATCTCAAAATCTACAGAACAATAGACAATATATTAACTATTTAAAGTATGTTGGACCTCTCATGTAAGATATGTATTCATTGAGAAGTGATATCACTATGACTGAATACAGAGGTGGTATTAATAAAAATATTTTTACAAAATTATAATAAAACTGCCTTTAATTACATGAAGCGACCTGATACCAATGAGAGCTATCTGAAAGCTCCTAAAAGAGCAGATTCATAGCTAAGAATTTAAGATCTAATTAAATAAGGAATTGAGTAACAGATAACAAATAAAATCATGAATATTCACTTTGTTGTTTGCTATAATAAAACAAATAAACACATTAAATAAATAGGTTATTAGAAATGATTTTATATGCACATATTTTACAAGTATACATATTTTTAAAAAGTAAAATTTATACAATTGTATTTTTCTTTTTTGGTCTTCATAAAAATTTTATAAAATCTATTCACAGCAATTTTAATATTACACTTGTAAAAATATTTCATTTTATTGAAAATATCATGACTATTAACAAACACTTTATTCCATTTGAATTTGTATTTCTGTTGAAATTTTTGATGGTTATTTTCATTATATGATCCAACATTTGGACTTCTACTCCTAACATTGTGTTCCCAGCCAGAAGTGGTGAGTAAATGTTACTTTTCTCTGAATATTTGAGTAATCAGAATACTTTCAACTTCCTCTGATTATTCAAGTGGCTCATTTACATCTCAGGTAGACAAAGTCACGAGCCTTAACTTTGAGCATAAAGATCTCATGCAAAGGTGTACCTCTATTGTCCCTCTTTAGACATGACTCATCCATCCTTGCAGATGCAGACAAATACTCAGACCTAACTTTATCTCTATTTCATTATCAAACTTCTCTTGCTAAGACGAATGTTCTGTCTCTCTCTCTTTTTTTTTTTTTGGCAATTACTCAGTCTCTCCTTTTTATTAAAATATCTTTATCAAGCATGACTCTTACTTTCCTTCAGCTAAACCAAAGGCATCTCAGTTGAGTTAAAAATAACATAATTTCACTTTAAATGTACTGGCTTGTTAAAACTTGAAATAAACTCATAAGTTATGATTACTACAAATAATTAAATTCATATACCACAGACAGATTAAGTGAATCTCTTAAGCTTACCTGGCAACCAAAAAACAAAGCCAAATTTCAAACCCTGTTCTTGACCTACATCAGATCTTCTGTCTCCAAAGCCCAGATTCATACAAATTGAATTCTTGTCTTCTTCCCAAAATTGCATGTGTGCAGCAATTATTGCCATGCTATGAGTCTACAAAGTGCTTTCCATAGTACAGATACATTTGAAAGGACATATTACTGCCTGCAATAGTGCCAGAGGGAAGAAAAAGAAAACAAAATAAATAAATAAGTAAATTTGAAGCAGCTAATAGGTGTCTAGCATTGGGTAAAACATCCGAGTTCCAAAACACAAACACACACATACACACACACATACACATACACACACACACACACATTCTTCACCATCTAGAAATTTATAATCTAACACGTGTAGAGAATTGGAGACAACCTACAGCCTTAAGAGATCTCAACCCACAGCAAGTTTGCTAATCTAATAAATTCTACAGAGACTTTCTTCCTGTAAGCCAGTGAATCTCAAAATGTGTTCTCTGGGCCAATAGCATGAGTATCACCTCAGTACTCAGAAATGCAAGTTCTAGAAAAGGGACAGAGCAAGATAGCCAAACAGGATGCTCCACCAACCGTCCCCCTAACAAAGACACCAGTTTAGCAACTCTCTACACAAAAATTCACTTTCTTACCAAAAATCAAGTGAGCATTCACAGTACCTAGTTTTAACTTCATATCACTGAAAGGGGCACCGAAGAAGTAGGAAAACAGTGTTGAATTACCAATGCCACCCCTCTCCCATGCCCTGGCAGCAGCCTCATGGCGTGGAGAGAGTCTAAATTTGGGAGAGGGAGAGCGCAGCAATTGTGAGACAATGCACTAAACTCAGTGTCACAGCAGAAAGCAACACTGGGCTGAACTCAGCAGATGTTTACCCATGGGGGGAGTATTAAACCAGTCCTAGCCAGAGGGGAATCACCTATGCCAGCAATCCAACCTTGAGTTTTGGCAGGCATCACCACCATGGCCTAAAGTGCTTTGGGGCTCTAAATAAATTGGAAAGGAAGTCTAGGGCACAAGGACTACAACTCCTAGGCAAGCCCTATTGCTGAGCTGGGCTCAGAGACGGTGGACATGGGGAGCATGTGACATACTGAGACACCAGCTGGGGTAGCTGTGAAAGTGCTTGTGCCATTCCTCTCTCAACCACAGACTGCACACTTCAGGAGCTGAAAAGAGACCCTTCCTTCTGTATGAGGAGAGGAGAGGGTAGATTAAAGAGGACTTTGTCTTGCAATTTGGATACAAGCTCAGCCACAGAATAGGGCACCAGTAAAAATTGTGAGGCTCCCTTTCCAGCCCCATCAAAAAGTGGGCAAAGGATATGAACAGACACTTCTCAAAAGAAAACATATTAATGGCCAACAAACATATGGAAAAAAAGCTCAACATCACTTATCATTAGAGAAATGCGAATCAAAACCAGAAAGAGATACCATCTCACGCCAGTCAGAATGGCAATTATTAAAAAGTCAGGAAACAGTAGATGCTGGTGAGGCTGTGGAGAAATAGGAATGCTTTTACATGGCTGGTGGGAATGTAAATTAGTTCAACTATTGTGGAATTCAATGTGGCGATTCCTCAAGGATCCAGAACCAGAAATACCATTTGGCACAGCAATCCCATTATTGAGTATATAGCAAAATGAATATAAATCATTCTACTCTAAAGACATACGTACATGCATATTTATTGCAGCACTGTTTACAATAGCAAAGTCATGGAACCAACTAAAATGCCAATCAATGATAGACTGGATAAAGAAAATGTGGTACATATACACCATGGAATACTACACAGCAATAAAAATAAATGAGATCAGCTGGGCAGGGTGCCTCACGCCTGTAATCCCAGTACTTTGGGAGGCCTAGGCGGGTGGATCACGAGGTCAGGAGATCAAGACCATCCTGGCTAACACAGTGAAAACCTGTCTGTACTAAAAATACAAAAAATTAGCCGGGCATGGTGGTGGGCGCCTGTAGTCCCAGCTAATGGTGTGAACCCAGGAGCCGGAGCTTGCAGTGAGCTGAGATTGAGCCACTGTACTCCAGTCTGGGTGACAGAGACTCTATCTCAAAAATAAATAAATAAATAAAAATATAAATAAATAAATTAGATCATGTCTTTTGCAGGGACATGGATGAAGCTGGAAGCTATCATCCTCAGCGACTACCACAGGAACAGAAAACCAAACACCACACATTCTCATTCAAAATTGGGAGTTGAACAATGAGAACACATGGACAGATGGAGGGGAACAGCATACACCAGGGCCTGTTAGGGTGTGGGGGGCAAAAGGAGGGAACATAGAGGACGGGTCAATAAGTGCAGCAAAGCGCCATGGCACAGGTATACCTACGTAAAAAACCTGTACTTTCTGCACATGTGTCCCGGAACTGAAACTAAAATAAAAATTAAAAATAAAATAAAATAAAAACTAAAAGGGATAATAACAGAAAACTTCTCAAACTTAGGGAAAGATATTAATAGCTAAGTACAAGAAGGTTATAGAACACTAAGTAAAGTTAACCCGAAGAAGACTATCACAATGTATTTAATAGTCAAACTCCCAAAGGTCCAGGAAAACAAAAGGATCCTAAAAGCAGCAAGAGAAAAGAAGCAAATAACATACAAAGGTGCTCCAATACACCTGGTGGCAGATTTTTCAGGGTAAACCTTACAGGATAGGAGAGAGTGGTATGACATACTTAAAGAGCTGAGAGAACACAACTTTTTACCCTAGAAAATATACCCAGTGAAAAATATCTTTCAAATATGAAGGGGAAATAAAGACTTTCCCAGACAAATAAAAGCTGAGGGATTTCATCAACACCAGACCTGTCCTACAAGAAATGCTAAAGAGAGTTCTTCAATCTGAAAGAAAAGGGCATTAATGTACAATAATTACCTGAAGGTACAAAACTTACTGGTAATTGTAAGTTCACCAAAAAAAAAAAAAAAAACACAGAATATTACAACACCGTAACTATCATGTGTAAGTTACTCTTACCAAGTAGGAAGACTAAAAGATAAATTACAACCTAAGTGTCCATCAACAGATGAAGAGATAACGAAAATGTGGTATATATACACAATGGAGTACTGTTTAGCCGTAAAAAATATGAGATCCTGTTATTTACAGCAACATGGATGGTACCGGAAGTCACTATATTAAGTAAAATAAGCCAGGCACTGAAAGACAAATATCACGTGTTCTCATCTATTTGTGAGGACTAAAAATTAAAACAATTGAACTCATGGAGATTGACAGTAGAAGGATGCTTACCACAGCCTGAGAAGAGTAGTTGGGGTGTGGGAGTGATGTGAGAGGGAGGTGGGGATGGTTAATGAGTACAAAAATATAGTTAGAAAAACTGAATAAGACTTAGTATTTGATAGCACAACAGGGTGACAATAATCAATAATAAATTAATTGTACATTTTAAAATAACTAAGAGTATAATTGGTTTGTTTGTAACACAAAGGATAAATGTTTGAGGAGGTGGATACCCCATTTTCCATGATGTGATTACTTTACATTGCATGCCTCTGTTAAAACATCTCATGTACCCCACAAATATATATACTTACTATGTACCCATAAAAATTTAAAACATAAAATTAAAAAATACATATTTTTAAGAGAGTCTTAAAGCTTAGAGTTGGAGGTTGATTTTTTTCTTATCCAACTTTCTCTACATACCTTAGCATATAGTAAGATCTATATCAGAGAGTTAATGACTTACTCTCACGAATAATGATTTATAAAATATTCACTAGTAGTACAAATAAATACAAGACTGTTTACTTGAAAAGTTGCAGGAATTTTTATCAGACAATTTTCAGGCATATTTATCACTTGTACTTCTCCTAACAATCTTATGAAAGAGATAACACAATGATCATTTTGCAAGTATGATAGCTAGGGTTCTGCACTTCACATTATAGTATTACATATTTCTAATCCTGGATATTTATTTGATGCTTTTATTAGTTAGAATAAATTGGATTTAGCTATGTGAGATAGAAACCCCAAATAGCAGAGTGTTACACTAAAAAGGAATTTCTTTCTTTTTCTGAATTTCTGACATAAAGTCAGGTGTTGTGACTCTGTTACTTGAAGGTGTTAAGAACCAGACCCCTTCTCATTTGATGCGTTGCTACCTCTATAATGTTGTCCGTTCCTGTTTGGTCCATGATACCCTCATCTCTATGTCTGTGTTCTACCATCAGGGAAGCATAAAAGAAAAAGAGGAGTGTACTTCAAGGAGAACTACAAACCACTTCTCAATGAAATAAAAGAGGATACAAACAAATGGAAGAACATTCCAGGCTCATGGGTAGGAAGAATCAATATCATGAAAATGGCCATACTGCCCAAGGTAATTTATAGACTCAATGCCATCCCCATCAAGCTACCAATGACTTTCTTCACAGAATTGGAAAAAACTACTTTAAAGTTCATATGGAACCAAAAAAGAGCCCGCATCGCCAAGTCAATCCTAAGCCAAAAGAACAAAGCTGGAGGCATCACACTACCTGACTTCAAACTATACTACAAGGCTACAGTAACCAAAACAGCATGGTACTGGTACCAAAATAGAGATATAGATCAATGGAACAGAGCAGAGCCCTCAGAAATAACGCCGCATATCTACAACTATCTCATCTTTGACAAACCTGAGAAAAACAAGCAATGGGGAAAGGATTCCCTATTTAATAAATGGTGCTGGGAAAACTGGCTAGCCATATGTAGAAAGCTGAAACTGGATCCCTTCCTTACATCTTATACAAAAATTAATTCAAGATGGATTAAAGACTTAAATGTTAGACCTAAAACCATAAAAACCCTAGAAGAAAACCTAGGCATTACCATTCAGGACATAGGCATGGGCAAGGGCTTCATGTCTAAAACACCAAAAGCAACAAAAGCCAAAATTGACAAATGGGATCTAATTAAACTCAAGAGCTTCTGCACAGCAAAAGAAACTACCATCAGAGTGAACAGACAACCTACAGAATGGGAGAAAATTTTCGCAACCTACTCATCTGACAAAGGGCCAATATCCAGAATCTACAATGAACTCAAACAAATTTACAAGAAAAAAACAAACAACCCCATCAAAAAGTGGGCAAAGGACATGAACAGACACTTCTCAAAAGAAGACATTTATGCAGCCAAAAAACACATGAAAAAATGCTCACCATCACTGGCTATCAGAGAAATGCAAATCAAAACCACAATGAGATACCACCTCACACCAGTTAAAATGGCAATCATGAGAAAGTCAGGAAACAACAGGTGCTGGAGAGGATTTGGAGAAATAGGAACACTTTTACACTGTTGGTGGGACTGTAAACTAGTTCAACCATTGTGGAAGTCAGTGTGGCGATTCCTCAGGGATCTAGAACTAGAAATACCATTTGACCCAGCCATCCCATTACTGGGTATATATCCAAAGGACTATAAATCATGCTGCTATAAAAACACATGCACACGTATGTTTATTGCGGCACTATTCACAATAGCAAAGACTTGGAACCAACCCAAATGTCCAACAATGATAGACTGGATTAAGAAAATGTGGCACATATACACCATGGAATACTATGCAGCCATAAAAAAGGATGAGTTCATGTCCTTTGTAGGGACATGGATGAAATTGGAAATCATCATTCTCAGTAAACTATTGCAAGAACAAAAAACCAAACACCACATCTTCTCACTCATAGGTGGGAATTGAACAATGAGAACACATGGACACAGGAAGGGGAACATCACACTCTGGGGACTGTTGTGGGGTGAGGGGAGGGGGGAAGGATAGCTTTAGGAGATATACCTAATGCTAAATGACGAGTTAATGGGTGCAGCACACCAGCATGGCACATGTATACATATGTAACTAACCTGCACATTGTGCACATGTACCCTAAAACTTAAAGTATAATAATAATAAAATAAAAAAAAAGAGGAGTGTAAATACTTTTCCTTAATGGATACAAATTGAAAGGGGCTAGCGTCTCCTCTGTTTATATACCAGTAGCCAGAACTTAGGAACATGGCCCCAGCAAGCTTCAAAGGATGCTGGGAAATATTTATCATGGATGATAATTTGCTCAGAC
This sequence comes from Homo sapiens, assembly GCF_000001405.40. Lineage (NCBI taxonomy): Eukaryota > Metazoa > Chordata > Mammalia > Primates > Hominidae > Homo > Homo sapiens. The sequence goes on along the minus strand of NC_000011.10, from coordinate 24,874,940 downwards.
GAAAGTAAAATATATTTTTAGAATAGAGAGAAGAGCTATTTTGGGAAAAAACTATCAATATTTGCCACAGTTCATCACTCTTTTCTCATCCCAATTGAGGAACTGGATCTTAACTCTTAAAATAGAAAATGAAAAGGGGTAAATAACACATTTTCAGTAATAACGTTAATTAGCAGAATGCATGAGAAGCATCTTTTTCAGCAGCTAACATTAGTTCAACAAGTGCCCCACACTCCATGAGTCTGCAAGGAATCAGTTAAGAACTCTTGTGTTGTTTCCAAGGCACTTATCCATGTGATGAGAAAGTACTTGTATCACAGATGAAGGACTTAGTCAATATTTCTTACACTGGGGCTATTAGGGATATGGCTGTGCTGCAGTCAAGTACAGGCCGAGGTCAACATCCGGTGCAGCATGGCACAGTGGGATTGGAGTGCAGGCATACAGTCCTGTGCATTATATAATCAGTTATGTAACCATGTTATGGGTGGGCTCATCACCTGACTCTGAGCCACTGTTGCCTGTGAGGTCCATAAATGCCTCACCGACACTGTGAGAGGTGGCATATAATAAAGCCATGTTTCACCTGCCTACAGCCCCCTGAGTGTTCTTTCAACTGCCCGCCACCCATCTACCAACTCCCCTTGGACCCCAGCTCAGGTTGGAACCTGACAGGGGCCCTCGAATCACCTTCCCAGGAAGCAACTAGGGTACTTGTTAATAAAACAGAATCTTGGTCCCAGGCCATATTGGGCAAATGAGAATCTCTAGCCATGTGGCCCAAAAACCTTCATTTTAGCATTGTTCCCAGGTGAGTCTTACGCACACACAAGCTTTAAAACCACTGTAAAGCTGGAAGAATAAATGGAGAGAAATTAATTATCTCACAGTCTATCTTACTGTATCTCTTCCCATTAATAGTTATTCTACAGTATCTGCAGGATGGTTGATCTTTTTTTTCTATGGTTGCTAATCCCTGTCAGGTGTTAGAGCTCAAGAGGAAGATCTACAGAATCATTAAAACCAGTTAAGTTTCACAGTTACTATTTTATACAATTTTCTTAACAGCCCTGCAAGAAAGCTAGCAAGATGTAGTTTTTCTATTTAACAAACAAGTTAACTAAACTGACACTCAGAGAACTCAAGGGACTTGTTCAATGTCACACAGCTTTTCAAAGGCAGAGATAAAATGTAGATCATTATCTAAACCCAGGCCCTGGGCTCTTTCTCATCTTCTTGTAATTGTCTCCCAAATAATAAGGAGTGTGAGAGCATGGCCTCAAGTATTCAGTTTAAGCTTGGCCACCTCTGACCCATGAGGATGTTTATTTTGACACATCTCTCCTCAGTGCCTGCAATTTATCAGAGAAGGTTCACTAAGCTATTTTTAATGAATCAAATAATATCTGAAGTCAAAGGGTTATCTGAAGGAAAAAGGGAGGAAAGTCATACTTAGCGAATGGCTGCTCCGAACACTGAGCAAGGCTTTTCATATAATGACAATGCAACAATTCACACAAACTCCAAAGGCCAACATTTTTGTCACCCTACCATTCTGACTTATGCTGGGCTTATTATATATAAATGATCTGTGATCCTGAATGTACTTTCTTCTAATTATTTCAAAAATTTGAAAAATATTTACTACATAAGGAATTCATGATAGAGGTAGGATTTTGAAATTACTAAATACCATTTCACTTTCAAAATTCTGCAAGACTTACAACTTGCTCAATTCTTGTGACCACATTTTATTCTTCTTGTGTTGCCTGCTGTGATCTGTGCTTTTAGACTAGCACTGGGGTTTGAAAGCATTAGAGTCTGTGAATGAATTGTTATCACATCTGTCTTAATTGCATTTCCAGCTGCTCCTGTGGTGTGCACTGTACATTGCTGATTAGACAAGAACAAGAGAAAATTTTTTTCTAATAGTGTTTCTCCTTACAGTCAAAATCAAGGCATTTTCAATTTTTATTTGATAGAGTGTTACAGAGGGAAAAATGTAAAACAGAATTCACAAGATGTATGTTCTAGTCTAAAGTCTCCCATTTACAAGCTGTCACCATGGGCATATCTGTACTGTGACATTTCTAAGCCTTGGTTTCTCCATCTGTAATGTATGCTTCTTGACTCTGTTGCTGTGGGAATAAGAGGAAACAAAGAATGTGCAAATGCTTTGTAAATAAAAAAAGCAAAATTTTGCATATGCCATATAGTCATATGTCACTGATACTGGAATTTAAACTAAAACCCACAGGGTGTAGGATTTTCCTAAAATATTAGATTTACTGTTTGATTAAAAAAAATCCATAAGTGCTTCTACTCCTTCCATATGCCTAAATTGCTCTCCATTTTGTTGAGTTTAAAATGGTGGATGAAAACACACAGGAAGAGAGGACTATTGAAGAAGTGATAGGTAATTAACATTTTAAATATGCTCTTTAATTTTCCAAAATATTTTAATCCCCTTGAATGGTTTAATAGTTGCACTACTGAGCTGCTACAGCCAGGGCAGGGAACAAAGCTTTTAGATTAGGTAATACAGCTGAGACAGCAGCAAATAGAGCAAGCAAATACAGCGTGAAATCATTCCAGATGGATATAAGTACCCATAATTAGTAGCAAACATTGTGCAGAGCATATTAGAAGAACAAACCTCCTTCATCACAATACTGAATTAGACTAGCACTGGTATATAAGGTGAATTTGCAGTAATTGTAAGTAAAGACTGAGAAAAATTCACCGATAAGAATAACTACTCTAATATAAGAAATTGATAGCCCAATGTAGAGAGATATTGAGAAGGATGGTGTCTGACACATACAAGGAAATCAGAACCCGGACAATATACATAACATGCAGGGAGAAGTCAGAGCATGGGGATAACAGGTGGTGTGGGGATGAAAACAGAGGGGAATGAGAGATAAGTAAAGGAAGATAACCACATACAACCAGAGTCAAATGGAACTAATAGTTTACATTAGTTCCTTAGCAAGGTTAGATTACAATTGGAAAGGTAATCTTATGCAGACATCACTGTATACTATTATAGTTTGGGGAAATTATTTCCTAACGTAACTGCATAGCATGTTGTACATATAGCTCATTCCAAATGTGGGTCAGTCATTCTTAGAGAAATGTTTTTACCTTGATTTTATCAAATTTGGTGTTAAATATTTTCTCCAGATGCTAGTAAACATTTTTTTTTTACTGTAGTTTATAGGGAATACTGGCTCTATGAAAGATTCATAGAAATAACATCACAAACAATTCTGTGATTAAATACATTTGGGGAACCTTGCTCTTTGCTGAAGGATATCTCAGAATCTGACTTAAAGACGGCCTGATGAGTCTTCAGAGGTAGACCAGAAGTTGCATAACTTATACTAGAACTCAGGGTCCCTGGAAAAGCCTTTTTCACAATTAAATCAAGACTGAAGTGGCCAGGGGGGATGAATTCAAGTTTACAGCAAAATGTACAGAAGAGTGATTTCTGGAATCAGGTAAATATGATAACTGGCTGATGGTAGCAAGTTGGTAGGAGAGATTACAAAATTATAAAAACTAGGATTGGAAAACCAGATGAAAGAAAACTATGTTAGTGGTTTAAGGTCATTCATTAACCATTTCCATAAAGGAAATTGTGATGGTTGACAACTTCATTAGTGACAAAAGTAATTTAAATTCAAAGAGATATAAATTTATATCAAATTCATTTTTAAAAATTTAAGTAAATATACAGGAAAAGTTATGGAATATTGAAAGAAATTTTGTAAACATTACTAAAAAAATTGTAAATCTGGATAAACATTTTGGAAAATAACTTTACAATATATTTGAAATATTTGAATATTTTAAATTGCATTCAGATACTTCAGAGTTACCACTTCCTAAGAATGGACCTAAATATAATGTAGAAAGTGAGAATTCCAGGAAAAAAGTTTCAAATATTTTATACTAGTATAAAATATGTAAGCAAAAAAATGTTCTACCAAAAAAATGGTTAACTGAATATATAGAAATTCATCCAATGGACATTTTATATCCTCATTTTTCTCCTTACATTTAGCCTATGATCAGGGACATCAGTAGAGAACAACAGCTACTGGACTTCTTACAACGAAATGATCAGGATGAAGATTATAATAGAATGAATCTTGTGTTTTCAATAAAATTTTTAGCCGAGAGAAACCCCCTTAAGGCTTTTGTATAAGTAATAGTCTGTGGCAGAAATAAAAATAGACCAAATTTCTTCAGTAATTTTCAAGCTAGCAGCATCAAAAGCCCAGAGACTTTAGGATACTTTTGGAGGATTTATTGCAAGTTTCTTTACTCAAGTCCTTACTCTAAAACCTGGGAATTACACATTTAAGAGACAGATTTCTTAGTCACAAGTAATAGAAATAATGCTCTCAGTATCACAAGGAAGTGTGTGTGTGTGTGTGTGTGTCTGTGTGTGTGTGTGTGTGTAGGAACTGGTGTGCTCATAGATTTCAATAGATACAGAATAACTGGAGAACTATGATTGGAAAACAGGTAGGACTCATGGAAACTCAGGAGGCTGGGCAGAGAAACAATACTTAGGATTACATTGAAGCTGCTATTAATGGGTTCTCCAAAACATTTCATAAGCATTCAGAATTCTGGCAAAAATTGTATGATTGAGAGGCTTAGGCAATGTGGTTGTGCAAGAGGTGAAAGAGCAGAAATATTGGGACTTTCTCAGCTTTCCTTAATAACCTCATGAACTCACCCCGATAGCTCAAACTTTTCCTTTACAGTTTCATTATCTTTCTCAGCCTTTACAGCATTGAAGAGTTAGGGCCTTGATTTAGAGCAGGCTTTGGCTTAAGGGAATGTTTTGGCAGGTTAGATCTTCTATACAGACCACTAAAAATTTCTCCCTATCAGCAATAAGGCTGTTTCACTTTCTTATCATTCATGCTGTAGTAGCACTTTTAGAAGAGCTTTGCCTTTACATTCACAATTTGGCTACCTATTTAATGCAAGAAGTCTAGCTCTTAGCCTATCTCAGCTTTTGTCTTCATTTTCCCACTAAGCGTAAACATTCCTAGCTTTTGATTTAAAGTAAGAGACTTGCGACTCTTTCTTTCATTGTAGGGTATTACTATAATTGGCCTAATTTCAATATTGTTGTGTCTCTGGTAATAGGGACCCCTGATGAGAGGGAGCGAGATGGGGCAATGGCCATCACAGACAACATTATTTATTGTTTGCCATCTTCTCTGTGTACAATTCATGGCTCCCCAAAACATTTACAATAATATCATCAAAGTTCACTAAGCACAGATCAGTATGACAGATATAACAATAATGGACCCTGTAATCCCAGCTACTTGGGAGGCTGAGGCAGGAGAATCACTTGAACCCCGAAGGCAGAGGTTACAATGAGCTGAATTCATGCCACTCCACTCCAGCCTCGGCGACAGAGGGAGACTCCATCTAAATAATGATAATAATAATAATAATGATGGAAAAGTTTGAAATAATATGAGAATTCCCAGAATGTGACACAGGGATATAAAGTGAGCAAATGCTGTTGGAAAAGTGGTGCTAAAAGACTTACCAGACAAGGTTTTCACAAACCTTCAATTTCTTAAAAATGCAGTATCTGTGAAGCTCATTGAAGCTAAGTGCAATAAAACGAGGCTGTATCTGTACTCTTCTGCTTCAAATACTCTGTCTAATTTATTTGTTCCTGTTCAGCATCAATACCACTTTTCTTTCTGTGATCTAAAATGTCCTCTCACTTGCTTTGATGGTATGTATCAAGCAGAGTGTTTTTAATTGTGTATCTGCTCAAGTCATCCCACTGGCTCTCAAAACTCCTGAAGGAAGACCTTGTCACAGAGTGCAAAATCTCTCCCTTCTTTGAGGCTGGTAAGTTCCAAAAACTCCTGGCAAAGATGCAAAAGATACATAGCGAAAATACATTCATTACAATGAGAATATTCTTGGAAGTCTACTTGTTCTCTCTCTACAATTCTATTTTGTTGCTCTTCCATATTACTGGTTACATATAGGAAGAAGCTTTGATCAGGAAGTCCTGATTTTTAATACCTGATTGTCTTTGATATGGATTATGTAAATGTGCTTGGGATGAGTCCGTATATAGCAAGAGTTGGAGGCAGAGAGGTATAAATGTGGCTTGGAACTCCCTGTAGCAAGTAATACTAAAGCATAAAATCCTTTTGGGGGAGATTTTTAATTTATGTTAAAATTGCTACATGTGGCCCAAAGAAGGTACTTATGATGTCACAACATCTTTAGTATTCCACTATAGATTATTTTGTTTTGTTAAATTATGAGGATGGTGTCAGGGAGAAAATATAATTTCTTCTTAGCCCTCATAAGTTTGTAGTTTGGACAGACTCCTGCAACAAAAGACAGATTAACAAGAGAAAAGCAAGCAAGTTTATTAACACATGTAGTGCACATCACAGGAGAAAATTTAATGATGGATAACTCAAAAGTAGTGACTTAGAACTCAGGCTTATATAGCATCTTTAACAAAGAACAATATTATTTTAGAGAGGTGACAAGAATATGGAATGCAGTCTTATGCTTCCAGAGTCAGAAAATTGTAGGAAGAACACAGGAATGAACTAATGAGGTGAGGTTTGTTTGTAGATTTCTTTTGTGCCATATCAGAGCTAAGAGTTGTCTCCAGTAAGGAAGAATTTATCTCTGTCTTTACACAGGAAAGGAAGGAGAGGATAGAAATAGCCCTTCCTCTACTGCTTCTTAATTGTCTTCACCTTAGCAATATTTACATCAATAAGCCATATTCTGAGGTGAAAAATGCCGGTTTTCTTCAGTGGTCTGAGAGGTGTAGGAAGGGTACAATAAGAAATGCTTTGTTCAAGAGATGGCTGAACAAGGTCTAATGAGAGCTGTGAAGATGCTGGCCATGGATCAGAACAAGAAAACTTACATTCTATATATGTATTTCTCAAAATACAACACCTTTAAAAAATCATCCAAGGTTTTTAACACTGATATTCAACCAAATGTTTACATCAGTACTGATAAGTTGTAATATTAGGAAATATTGGACCAAATTTACATTTTAAAAAGAACTCTTAAGTTGATTCATTGGCACCATAGTTTGACAACTACTGATATAGGTAAGTAGAGAAACAAATGATGCCTTTCCTCCCTCTAAGTGTAAGTGTGAAAACAACTTCTGAGTATGAAAACATCAAATTGCCAGGAACTTTCTACTGTGAACTTGTCCCAAGTTCCTTGACAAGCAAACACAAGGAGAATTAGAAACAGTGAGACCCTGTTTCATAGGACGTCTGAAAATAACAAAAGCATGTGTAAGTCTCCATGAGAGTTAAACAGTCCAGCCAAAGGAACTCCAAGGAGCTTGCAGCCTGAAGCCACACCTAAAATAAACATCAATGGCAAGGGTAGGTCAACTGCAGCAGTTTCTGAACAAGAAAACCAGAGGCAGAGCGTGATCAATAACAAAATGACTGGAAGAAAGAGAAGGGAGAGAAAGACAGCCAGAGAAGCAACTTCAGAGGCAAAATAGACACTAAACCCAATGCCTTTTTGAAATGCTGTGAAAGGAACAACATAGCAAAATTTAAGAATAACTATTAACCCAGACCGTCATGCAGGTAAAAATTATGTCTTGTATATCCCTGGGGGGCTACAAACCTAAAATCCTACTCTGGAGTCTTGTCTTACCGTAAGATGAGAATGCAAGGAGTTACTCTGGGATCATAAAAGGAATCCTTCCTCTTTCCTCTGGTGGAAGTGCACCCTTTTATTAATTTATCTCTTGAAGAAAAAGAAGAAAGACTCTGGTCCATAATTTATACTCTATCACTTGATTGGGTTGCCTGCTAATGCTTCAAAAGGCTTTTTGAAGTCAAGTTGAATTACTCAGCTTTTATCAGTGTCCTGCTTTCCTGGGAAACAGCTTTTAAGACTGGAATGGATGCCGTTAGCAGCCGCTGCTTACCTCCACATGGCCTCAGTCTTATCTCCAGTCTCATCTCCCACCGAACTCCTGTTACGGTGGCTCTCTCATTTTCTGATTAATCTGAATATTTCCCAAGCCTGATGATTACATTTTTTCCACTTCCTCCCATTCTACACTTCTGCACTAATTAAAATCCTGCAAAGTCTAGCACAAATGTCACAATTTCTATGAAGTCTTTCTGAATTTTCAAAGTCCCAAACAACTTTCTTAAGTTTATCATGTTACCTACTATGTTGGCAGACAAATCTGCTATATATGTTGAAGAGGGATAGCAGTTTTTTTTGTGTTCTGTTCCTCTCTGCCTGTAGCATAGTGCTTTGCACATTGCAATATTTGATCACCTTTTTCTACCACATTTCCTTTTTCAAATGGGATTGCTATTTTACAAAAAAAAAGTGTTGTTTTATGTATGTTACTAAATGTGTCAGTAAATTTGCAGATGTCATTTTGTTTCTGAAAGAAACTTGAGCAGTTTCCCCTTAGAAAATCTTATTGCAGGCTGGTTGTCATGGCCAATAGCATATTGAGATAGTCACTGTGGATTTCAACAAGAAATATGTCCAGTTTTCCTCCCTGATGGGATAGTTATACAGAAAATTATGCCCATGAGATTATTCAGTCTTTTTCTGTCAGCCATACTCATAGATACTATGTTGAACTCTTTAGTTATCATTTTATAAAGATATTAGTGGAGATAAGTGGACTAAGGAGTGTTCATGAAGATTTGTAAAGAAGAATATTAGACAATTAAAAAGAAATTAAATATATACGTGTGTGTGTGTGTGTGTGTGTGTGTGTGTGTGTGTGTGTATGAAATGCAGGCCGGGAGACTCACGCCTGTAATCTCAGCACTTTGGGAGGCTGAGGTGAACGGATCACTCGAGGTCAAGAGTTCGAGACCAACCTGGCAAACATGGTGAAACCCCTCTCTACTAAAAATACAAAAATTAGCTGGGCATGGTGGTGCACATCTGTAGTCCTAGCTACTCCAGAGGCTGAGGCAGGAGAATTGCTTGAACCTGGGAGGGAGAGGTTGCAGTGAGCCAAGATCATGCCACTGCACTCCAGCCTGGGCAACAGAGTGAGACTCCATCTCAAAAAAAATAAATACATAAATTATATATACACACACACACACACACATATACATGCATATATATACACATATAAATATATATACACACACACACACACACATATATATATATATATACACAAACATATAACATATACACACAACACACACACAAATGTATTTGGTGAAGACATTTAAGGGGAATGCTGTCAAATAACCATCTGAGGGATAAATGAGAGAGGGAGTGAGACAGACACTAGCAGCAGGAGCTGACTTTGGTAATCCCATAATGTTAACCCATGCCACTCCTGCCTATAGCCTGTGCTGGATAGGCAAGCCAGGGATTTTTAAAAGGACTGAAAAGAAGCAGCAAAAAACTTGGCCTCTTTAAATTTCAATCTTAAGAAATAATTTACTAAATCTTTGCCATAGGCAAATTAACCAGGACAATGATTTATCTGTACAAGACTACTTGAACTTCTCAACAAATATTTAGATTATCCTACTTGTACATAAGAAAACTGAGGCAATAGTATTAACAAAAACAAAAATAGTGGTTAACATTTACTAAGCACTTTCCAAATGCTACGAATTATGCTAAGCATGAAACATCAGTTTTCAGCTGACATTACCTGAGAGGGAATAAGCCACATTTTTGAAGCCAAAAAAGTAGTACATGGCACAGCTGTTATTCAAACTCAACTTGTTCTGACTCTGAAAATTGACTTTTCCTCTCATGCTATAAACTAACCTTAGTGTGACATTTGCCTCAGCAGTCATCATGACCATGTCTGCCAGCATCAATACTTCACAGTAATAAACGTAGAATAAGAGGAAGTAGACAAGACAGGGGTGCAAAGTTCTGTATTCAAGTTCTTGTTCTACCGATATGCAATTGTGAGATGCTGAATAAACCTACAATTATGAGAACATCAACTTTTTAAATAAAGGAGAGTAAATATTTGTTGTTTATGGATCCTGTATTCAACTCCCTTTCTTGTGGAAGCAGCTCCAGTTTTAGATTGTGGCATCACCTCTTCATGACTCTTAGTTCTCCGTACCTTGAGGAGTGGGACTTATGAAGCAGCATAAATCAATTCACATAACACATTGCCATGGATAGAATCATAGATTTATGAGCAAACTCATCATTAGTGTGAATCTCCAGACTTTATTCATAATGGCCTTTGTTCTTTTTCACTAACATGGAATGTAAAAGAATCACCTAATGTATCTGACCAAACAACTTGCCACCATGCGGACACAGCCTGTCTGAGAATGGAGTCACCACACAGAAAGCCAGGCCCAGCAATGGAAAGAGAGAAACAAGCTCATATGTGATCATTGAGCTATATGCCTAGATTAACTTAGAAACAAATCTATTGCCTGAAGTTGATTATCACAGCCTTTATTTATTTATTTCTGAGTCTGTTTGAATGTTTTGCCACAATTATAAACACTATAAATACTATAATTATAAAGGCACAAAAAATCCCTTATTTCTCTTTGAGCTCAAAATTCTGTAATGCCTTTGTCATTGATTATTAATTCGGCTTTTCATTAAATATTGTTCCATGTCAATAATCCTCCTTGATGAAGACATTATAGAGTCTACATCATAGAAACTTCAAACATGTGTGTATCAGGCTTAGTGTAATAACCAACACATAAGTACACTATAATTACACTTATTATTAGTAGCACTATTACCATTATTGGGGAACAAATATTTGAAAAGTATTAGTTTTCTTAATTACAGTATAGAGAAATTAAAGTGAAATCATTATTTTCTGATACACCATTATTTCTTACTTCAGCACCCTCTAAGTTACCCATTGTACAGTAATTTTTATTATTTTTTCCACTAAAATATACTTTAAAAATTCAGAAAATAATCCTGTTATAATTACAATTTGTTCAATTGTCTTAAAAGAATATTTAACAATTCAGATGTGAGGTATCATTATGAATCTCAATTATGATATCTTAGATAAATAATCTTCAGTGCACTCAGTCTTTTATGTGCAAAAAGGACTAGCAATATCAGGCTGCTGAGGTTGAGTGAAGAATGAACATGAATGTTTTTCTCCAATTTTTCTGGGGACGTGTTTTTATAACAGCTTTATTTAGATGCAATTTATATAATATGAAGTTTAACCATTTAAAGAGTACAATTCAGCAGGTTTTAGTACATTTTCAGTTAAATAATTTTCATCATTATTTACTTTTAGAATTGTTCTATCACCGCTTCCCCCCAAAAAATCTCTGTATTCATTAGCAGTCATTTCCTATTCCCCCTTCCCCCCAGTATTTGGAAACTTCAAATATACTTTTTGTCTGTATGCACTTGCCTACTCTGGAGATTTCACATGAATGGAGTAATGAAAAATATGGTCTTATATGAATGGATTCTTTCACTTGGATCATGTTTTCAAGGTTCATCCGTATTGTAGCATGTCTACTTTTTTTCTTTTTAATTGTTGAATAGTATTTCATTTTATGGACAAACAACATTTTGCTTGCCTATTTATCAGTTGATGGACATTTGGTTTGCTTCCACTTTTAGGCTATTTTGAAAAATGCCACCATGAATATTCATGTACATGTTTTGGTATGAAAATGGGTTTTGATTTCTTTTGCATACATATTTAGGAATAGAGTTGTTGGGCCTTATGGTCATTCTATATTTAACATTTTGAGGAACAGAGGAACTATTCTCCAAATCAGCCTCACCAGTTTAAATTTCCATCAGCAATAAATGAACATTCCTATTTCCTCACATCCTTACCTATAGCTAGTGTTGTTTGTCTTTCTAATCTCAGCTCTCCCTGTGAGTGTAAAGTGGTTTCTCAATGTGGTTTCAATCTGCATTTCTCTATTGAAAATTACATTAGCACCTTTCCTTGTGCTTATTAATTGTTTTCTTAAAAAAATCTTATTTGAAGAAATCTTTATTTATTGCCCATTGCTATTTTGGTTATTTGTATTTTTGAATTGGAAGATTTCTTTATATATTCTGAATTCAAGTTCTTTATTAGATACAATTTGAAATAGTTTATTCCATTCGGCAGGTTGTCTTCCTACTTTATGGTTCCTTTAAAGATAAAATGATTTAATTCTGATGAAGTCCAGTTTATTTTTCTCTTTATTTCTTAAATTGTCCTCCATCCCATAATTTTGAGCCTATGTGTGTCTTTGCATTAAAGATAGGTCTCCTGAATACAGCACACCGATGGATCTTGACTCTTTATCCAGTTTGCCAGTCTGTGTCTTTTAACTGGGACTTTTAGCCCATTTATATTTAAGGCTAGTATTGTTATGTGTGAATTTGATCCTTTCATCATAATGCTGCACACTAGTTGATGCACTTTCTTCATAGTGTCATTAGTCTTTGTATTTTGGTGTGTTTTTGCAGCGGCTGATACCAGTTTTTTCTTTCCATATTAAGTGCTTCCTTCAGGAGCTCTTGCAGGGCATGCCTGGTGGTAATGAAATACCTCAGCACTTGCTTGTCTGGGTAGGATTTTATTTCTCCTTTGCTTATGAAGCTTATTTTGGCTGGATATAAAATTCTGGGTTGAAAATTCTTTTCTTTAAGAATGCTGAATTTTGGTCCCCAATCTCTTGTGGTTTGTGGAGTTTCTGCTGAAAGGTCTGCTGTTAGTCTGATGGGCTTCCCTTTATAGGTGATCTGGCCTTTGTCTCTGGCTGACCTCACAGCTTTTCCTTCATTTTGACCTTGGAGAATCTGATGATTATGTGTAGGAGATCAGTCAGAGTGGTGGGATAAACTATAGGGAAAAGAGCAGGCCTTCTGAAAGGTCAGAAGCCTCTGCATAGCTTTGGGGGAGAATAAGCTGAAGGCAACTGTTCTCTGACCCTGAGGCAGAGGGCAAGGAGTAGATACAAGGAAGTGTAGGGGAATTTATCATAAACAGGCTTGTTTACTTATGTTGACCAGAAGCTGACCTTTGATCATGGGTCCTGTTCCCTGTGGCACCAAACTATGTGAGAAACTCCAACAGGGGTTGTCAGACAGCCTATACAGGAGCGATTCTACTGTGACTGCTCCCTGAAAGGGGAAACAATAATGTTAATTACCTGCAAACTGTGTTTGCTCCAGGCTTGTGGCATTATGTCTGTACTGAATAAAAGCAAGCAGCTCCAGCTGTTTGGGACTGCTCATTCTTCGGCCACTAGTGGCGGGCAGTCCCCTAGCTGCTCTTACACTGCATACCTGTGTCTGAGTACTCCTTTCATCTGTTGCTCAGCCCGGGTGTGTGGGACGGACCCGGCAATTATGTGTCTTGGGGTTGGGCATTTTGTGGAGTATCTTAATGGTGTTCTCTGTATTTTCTGAATTGGCATGTTGACCTGTCTTGCTAGGTTGGGGAAGTTCTCCTGAATAATATCCTGAAGTGTGTTTCCTAGCTTGTTTGCATTCTTACATTTCCTTACATTCTTACATCCTTACATTTCCTAGCTTGTTTACATTCTCCCCATATTTTTCTGGTACTCTGATCAATTGTAGGTTTGGTCCTTTTATGAAGTCCCATATTTCTTGAAGGCTTTGTTCATTCCTTTTCATTCTTTTTTCCCTATTCTTGTCTGCATGTCTTATTTCAGCAAGGTGGTCTTCAAACTCTGATATCCTTTCTTCCACTTGGTTGATTTGTCTGTTGATACTTGTATATGCTTCACGAAGTTCTCATGCTGTGTTTTTCAGATTCATCAGGTCGTTTACATTCCTCTCTAGTTATTCTAGTTAGCAGTTCTTCAAATCTTTTATCAAAGTTCTTAGCTTCTTCGCATTGGGTTAGAACATGCTCCTTCAGCTCAGCATAGTTCTTTGTTACCATCTTCTGAAGCCTACTTCTGTTAATTCATCCATCTGATCCTCCATCCAGTTCTGCACCCTTGATGGCAAAATGTTGCGATCATTTGGAGGAGAAAAGGCACTCTGGCCTTTTGGGTTTTCAGCATTTTTTAAATTGATTCTGTCTTATCTTTGTGAGTTTGTCCAGCTTGGGTCTTTGAGGCTGCTGACCCTTGGGGAGGGTTTTTGGGGGGGCCTTTTGTTGTCGTTGATGCAGTTGTTGTTGTTTTCTGCCTGTTTGTCTTTCTTTCAATAGTCAGGTCCTTCTTTTGTATAGGCTGCTGCAATTTGCTGGGGGTTCACTTCGGGCCCTATTCATCTGATTCACTCCAGTGCCTAGAGAGGTCACTAAAAGAGGCTGGAGAATAGCAAAGATGGGTGTCTGCTCCTTCTTTTGAGACCTCTGATCTTGAGGCACCATCCTGTTGCCAGTAGGATCACTCCTGTATAGGGTGCCTGACAACCCCTGTTGGAGGGTCTCACATAGTTTGGTGCCACAGGGAACAGGACCCATTTAATGAAGCACTTTGTCCTTTGGTGGTGGGGCTGTGCTTCACTGGGGGGAAAACCCACTCATCTGGGCTGCCCAGATTCCTCAGAACTACCAGTAGAATAGGCTAAGTCTGCTGGTTTGCAGAGGCTGCAGCCACCCCTCCCACTAGGGGCTCAGACTCAGGGAGATCAGATTCTGTCGCTGAGCCTCTGCCTGGGGTTACTCGAGTTCCTGCAGGGAAGCCCCACCCAGTGAGGAAGGATGGGACAGGGTCTGACTTGATGAGCACTCTGACCACAGATGACGGATGACAGCCAGTGTGTTGGACTGTGGGGAGAAGTCTTGGGACTAGGCCTTTATGCCTCCCTGGCTCCAGCAGGGGAAAAGCGTAGCCTGGAGCTATAGAGATGGGTGCTGCCCTTCCCCTGCACGGGGAGTTAGGCAGTTGTGAGTCCTAGCACCGGTTGCTACCCCTCCCCCAGGAGCTTAAATGACTTAGGCAGCAGGTGGCTGCAGCTATTTCTTGTCGCCCCTCCCTCTGGGAGTTGAGTTTCCTGCTGAGAGGCTGTAAGACAGCGTGTTCTGGGGTTGGGACACTAGGCCCCAGTGGCTTGGGTTCACAAGTGGGATCTTCCGATCCATGGGTTGCACAGTTCAGTGGAAAAAGCACAGTTTCCCCTGCTGGATAGTGGGCTCACTCATCGCCTCCTTTGGCTGGGGGAAAGGGGTTCCCCCGTCCCTTGTGGCTCGCAGGTGGGCTGCCGCACCACACTGCTCTTCCTTCTCTCCGTGGGTCATGCCAGCCTTCTAGTCCATTTTGATGACAGAATCTGGATACCTTGATTGCTGGTGAAGGATTCACACACTTGTTATGGTTTTTTCGATGGAAGCCTCCGAGCACCATGCTTCTAGTTGCCATTTTGGTCCCACCCCTCCAGTTTGTCTATTTTTCTTTTGTCAACTGTGCTTTTAGTGATGTAACTAAGAAACCGTTGACTCAATAAAAATCACAAATATTTACTCCATTTTTAAAATTGTATAGTTTTAGGTCTTACATTTACATCTGTGATTCATTTTGACTTAATATTTGTATATGGTTTAAAGTGGGAGAAATGGGGTGGTTCTTTTCAGTGTAGGATGAATGACAAATTTGGGCTTCATAAATAATGATGAGCTACTACAATAAGTCGGGAAAAGCTCAATTTCTTACTCTTTCAATATTATTTTATGCTTAATGAACTTATTAAAATTTAAATTGTAATTTGAATTAATAAAATAAGATGACTTAATATAAGTCATATGTGACAATATAACTATTGTTGTACTATACTATTCTTATATTGTCACATAACTTATATTAAGTCATCTTCTTCTATTAATTTCTCTTTTGTTATGAGTGCCTCAGCCATGAACCTAATAATGGGTGAGTAAACAAATCTTTCCTGCCCTATACTGGCTAATTTGTGGGCTTGGAGTGGAGGTAGATACAATATATCAATAATGATAACAAACTGCAGAAATGTGATTGAGTTCAGCTGTTATGATTGATTAAATGTGTTCTATCTCTGAAGAACACTGGATTTCAAAATGGAGGTGGGATAAACTAAAGAATAATCCCCAAATATAAATATGCAGATTTTGGCAGAGCCTATATTGCAAGATTTTGTTTATTTCTTGTATTTGTTGTTGCTGCTGTTGGTTGTTTGTACCCTTTCTTCAAATAGTGCCAGCTCAGCACCACTGAAACTACACCTTGTCCTGCTTTGCATATAAACGTTCTTCTTTACTAAAGAACTACATTGTTCACAGACTTATCATTCAGAAGGCAGTGGTTTATATTTTATATTTTATAACTTTTTATGGATTATTAAGTTTCTTTGCATTTGGCAATAGCTCTTTTATTGTCCCAAATGCTCCTGCTGAGAGACTCAATGCCCGTAGAAATACAGAGAAATGTAACATTATTTTACATTCCATTTTCTCTAGGTGTGATGTTAGCAGCTGCTTAGAAACTTTCTCCCCCAGTGAGAAAGAAGAACAACTGTGTCCAAGTAAGTTACTTGGGTTGCTTTGGAAACCACTGTGCTGTCAGAATACAATAGTTTTATCTTTAAAGATAAATAGCATCTCTCAATATAGTGGCTATAGTTTATCAGGAAAAAAGAAGAAAAACAGAAAAATAATTATGTTTTCCATTCTGTAATGAGAACAAGGCTTAGATCACAAAATTCAGTTTCAGGAAGTCAAGAAAAAGATGCTTTATTAAGGAAAAGCTGTTAAAAGTATGCTCAACAATTACCCCTGAAGAATGAGTCCTCAGAGGATTTGCTGAAACTACTTTAGACACAGCATATGTGAAAGTTTGTGCTTTTTCCTTCCCCCCTGGGGACAATTCTAGTCATTCGATGCCAAAGACACCCTAGTAAGTGTGATGATAGCTGTGAGAGTCCTCATCCCAGATTAAAAAATAAAAAAAAGAAAGAAACTGCACAAAAGAATGTGCATATAATTATAGGGGCTGAAAAAATCACTTGAATTCCATGTGTGAATTCTGGATTCAAAATACATGAACTGGGTGCACCCCAATGAAGATAACTGTAATATTACTGCATCTAAGCAAGGTTACATGGAAACCAGTTAAGTATACTGAAAACCTTAGCTTAAAAAATGTCATACTTATAGTTCAGGGGTAGGAATCAGGGGTGGAGGTGGCTGGAAGCATGCTAAAATGGCTTTAAAAGATAAAAAACCTGCTAAATGGAATTAAAGTTCACCCTCTGACTGCAGATCAAGATGGTAAATAACCATGGATCACTTTTTCAAGCGTTCACACTGTACCAGGTACTACTCTAAGTGTTTTACATATATTAGCACTGATTTAACATTCACAGCAATCCTAAAGATAAAAAAAAAAAAGACCTATTTTGGATATGCACCTGAAAAAGGGCTTTGCTAGGATTCCAAGCAACATAATTTGGGTTAAAGAGACTAAAATATTGTGGCACTGTGAATTTATACAGAATTAAATTAAATAGCAAATTAATGTTACTTGTTTATATAAAAATATTTATTAAATGTCTATAATGTATCATACACTATACTCAGTACTTGACATAATTTTGTGAAAAACATATATATTATATATATATGTGTGTGTGTGTGTGTGTATATATATGTATATATATATATGTATATATATATATATATCCCCATGAATCTTATATTCTTGTGGGTAGGGGAGTGGGGATACATGGACTGTAAACAATTAAGGAATATGAAAAATAATGTACAATCTTGTTACCTCCAATGAAGAAAACAAACAAATTACAGTGGTAACTAATTATGGTTTCAAATTGGGAATCTGCTTAGAATGGATGGTCCTTTTAATTATTCGTATAAACATAAGAGGTACAAGGGCAGTTTGTTATGTGGATATATTGCATAGTGGTGAGGTCTAGCTTTTGTGTAACCATCACCTGAATAATGAATGTTGTAACCACTAAGTAATTTCTCATCCCTCAACCCCTTCTCACCCTCCCACCCTTCTGAGTCTCTACTGATGATCTATACTCTGTGTCCATGTATATACTTTATTTAGCTCCCACTTATAAGTGAGAACATGCAGTATTTGACTTTTTATTTCTGACTTATTTCAGGTAAGATAATGGCCTCTAGTTCCATTAATGTTGCTGCAAAAGACATAATTTTGTTATATTTGTGGTTTAAGATAAGACATTAAGTTATGTATTCCATTGTGTGTACATAACACATTTTCTTTATCCAATTATCCATTGATGGACACTTCTATTGACCCATATCTTTGCTATTGTGAATAGTACTGTGATAAACATACAAGTACAAGTATCTTTTTGATATAATGATTTATTCCCTTTGGGTAGATATCCAACAGTTGTGTACCTGGATCGAATGATAATTCTATTTTTAGTTCTTTGCAAAATATTTTAAGTTTTCTATAGAGGGTATACTAATTTACATTCTCAATAAAAGCATATAAGCATTATCTTTTCTCTACATCCCTGCCAATAACTTTTATTGACTTTTTAATAATAGCCATTCTGACTGGCATGAGATGGTATCTCATTTTGGTTTTAATTCACATTTCTTGATGTTTAGTGATGTTGAACATTTTTTCATATGCTTTTTGTCCATTTGTATGTCTTCTTTGAAAAAGTCTGTTCATATCATTTGCTGCCTTTTAAATGGAGTTGTTTCTTGTTGTTAAGTTCCTTGTAAATTCTAGACATTAGTCATTGTTAGATGTATAGTTTGCAAATATTTTCTTTCATTCTGCAGGTGTGTGTCACTGTTTATTTTTTCTTTTGCTGTGCAGAAGCTTTTAGTAAAATTAACTTCCATTTGTCTATTTTTGTTTTACTTACTTGTGCTTTTAAGGTCTTAGTCATGAATTATTTGCTTACACTGATGTCCAAAGGAGTTTTCCTGGATTTCTTTCCTAGGATTTTAATAGTTACAGGTTTTACATTTAAGTCTTTAATCTATCTTGAGTCAATTTTTATATATGGTAAGATACATAGTTTCATTTTTCTGCATATGACAATCCAATTTTTCCCAGCACCATTTATTGAAAAGTTTGTCCTTTCTGCTGTGTATGCTCTAATTGACTTTGTCAAACATTAGTTTGCTGTGGATATGTACCTTTATTTCTGAGTTTTCTCTTCTCCATTGTTCTATCTATTTTTACACCAGTACCATGCTGTTTTAATTACTATAGCCTGTGTTATAATTTGAGATCAGGTAATACGATGCCTTCCACTTTGTTCTTCTTGTTTAGGATTGCTTTGGTTGTTCCAACTCTTCTTTTTGGTTCCATATAAATGTTAAAACAGTATTTTCTAATTCTGTGAAGAATGATCTTGGTAGTTTGATAAAAATATTATTGAATTTGTAAATTGCTTTGTACACTATTGCCATTTTAACAATTTGATTCTTCCTGTCCATGAGGTTGAAATACTTTTCCATTAGTTTGCATAATCTACAATTTCTCTCATTAGTTTTAGTAGTTTCCTTACGGAGATATTTCACCCTCTGGGTTAAACATATGCCTAGATATTTTTTGTAGGTATTATAAATGGAATTGGTTTCTTGAGTTGTTTCTCAGCTTGTTTGTTATTGGTGTATAGAAATGTTACTGATTTTTATAGGTTTATTTTGTATCCTGAAATTTTACTGAATTCATTGATCACATCTAGGAGTCTTTTGGAAGAGTCTCTAGAGTTTTCTAGGTCTAATTTCACAGCAAACAGAGATAATTTGACTTCCTCTTTTCTAATTTAGATCCTTTATATTTCTTTCTCTTGTCTGATTGCTCTGGCTAGGACTTTCAGTAGTATATTGAATAAAAGTGGCGAGAACGGAAGATCACCAAATAGGAACAGCTCCAGTCTATAGCTCCAAGCAAGATTAACACAGGAGGTGGGTGATTTCTCCATTTCCAACTGAGGTACCCAGCTCATCTCACTGGGACTGGTTAGACAGTGGGTGTGGCTCACGGAGGGCAAGCCAAAGCAGGGTGGAGCATCACCTCACCTGGGAAGTGAAAGGGGTCGAGAAATTCCCACCCCTAGCCAAGGGAAGCTGTGAGGGATTGTGCCATGAGGAACAGTGCATTCCAGCCCAGATATTATGTTTTTCCCATGGGCTTTGCAACCTGCAGACCCGGAGATTCCCTCAGGTGCCTACACCACCAGGGCACTGGGTTTCAAGCACAAAATGGGGCAGTTGTTTGGGCAGATGCCAAGCTAGCTGCAGGAGTTTTTTTTTTTTTTTTTTTCATATCCCAGTGATGCCTGGAATGCCAGTGAGACAGAATCGTTCACTGCCCTGGAAAGGGTGCTGAAGCCAGAGAGCCAAGTGGCCTAGCTCAGCGGATCCCACCCCCATGGAGCCCAGCAAGCTAAGATCCACTGGCTTGAAATTCTCACTGCCAGCACAACAGTCTGAAGACAACCTGGTATGCTCAAGCTTGATGGAAGGGGCATCCACCATTACTGAAGCTTGAGTAGGTGGTTTTCCACTCATAGTGTAAACAAAGCTGCTGGGAAGTTTGAACTGGGTGGAGCCCACCATAGCTCAGCAAAGCTGCTGTAGCCAGACTGCCTCTCTACATTCCTTCTCTCTGGGCCAGGGCATCACTGAAAGAAAGGCAGCAGCCTCAGTCAGGTACTTATAGATAAAGCTTCCATCTCCCTGGGACAGAGCACCTGGGTGAAGGGACAGCTGTGGGCGCAGCTTCAACAGACTTAAATATTCCTGCCTGTTGGCTCTGAAGAGAGCAGCAGATCTCCCAGCACAGTGCTCTAGCTCTGCTAAGGGACAGACTGCCTCCTCAAATGGGTCCCTGACACCCATGACTCCTGAGTGGGAGACATCTCCCAGCAGGGGTCAACAGACACCTCATACAGGAGAGCTCTGGCTGGCATCTGGCAGGTAGTCCTCTGAGACAAAGCCTCCAGAGGGAGGAACAGGCGGCAATCTTTGCTGTTCTACAGCCTCCACTGGTGATATCCAGGCAAAAAGGCTCTGGAGCGTGCCTCCAGCAAACTCCAACAGACCTGTAGCTGAGGGGCCTGTTAGAAGGAAAACTAACAAACAGAAAGGAATAGCATCAACTCAACAAAAAGGATGTCCACACCAAAACCCCATCCGTAGGTCACCAACATCAAAGACCAAAGGTAGATATATCCATGAGGATGAGGAAAAAACAGAGCAAAACATCTGAAAATTCCAAAAGCCAGAAAGCCTCTTCTCCTCCAAAGGATCACAACTCCTTGCCAGCATGGGAACAAAACTGGATGCAGAATGAGTTTGACAAATTGAAAGAAGTAGGCTTCAGAAGGTGGGTAATAACAAACTCCTCCAAGCTAAAGGAGCATGTTCTAACCCAATGCAAGGAAGCTAAGCACCTTAAAAAAAGTTTAGAAGAATTGCTAACTAGAGTAACCCATTTATAGAAGAACATAAATAACCTGATGGAGCTGAAAAACACAGCACAAGAACTTCATGAAGCATACAGAAGTATCAATAGCTGAATCGATCAAGCAGAAGAAAAGATATCAGAGATTGAAGATCAACTTAATGAAGAATTTTATATCCAGCAAAACTAAGCTTCATAAGTGAAGGTGAAACTAAATCCTTTACAGACAAGCAAATGCTGAGAGATTTTGTCACCACCAGGCCCATGTTACAAGAGCTCCTGAAGGAAGCACTAAATATGGAAAGGAAAAACTGGTACCAGTCACTGCAGAAACATATCAAATTGTAAAGATCATCAACACTATGAAGAAACTGTATCAACTAATGGGCAAAATAATCAGCTAGCATCATAATGACAGGATAAAATTCACACATAACAATATCAACCTTAAATGTAAATGGGATAAATGCCCCAATTAAAAGACACAGACTGCCAAATTGGATAAAGAGTCAAGACCAATCGGTGTGCTGTATTCAGGAGACCCATCTCACATGCAAAGACACACATAGGTTCAGAATAAAGGGATGGAGGAATATTTACCAAGCAAATGGAAAGAAAAAACAGTAGGGGTTTGCAATTCTAATATCTGATAAAACAGACTTTAAACCAATAAAGACCAAAAAAGACAAAGAAGGGCATTACATAATGGTAAAGGGATCAATGCAACAAGAGGAGATAACTATCCTAAATATATATGCACCCAATACAGGAGCACCCAAATTCATAAAGCAAGTTCTTAGAGGCCTACAAAAAGACTTAGACTCCCACACAATAACAGACAGATCAACGAAACAGAAAATTAACAAAGATACTCAGGACTTGAACGCAGCTCTGGACCAAGAAGACCTAATAGATAATCTACAAAATTCTCCACCCCAACTCAACAGAATATACATTCTTCTCAGCACCACATCACTTATTCTAAAACTGACCACATAATTGGAAGTAAAGCACTCCTCAGCAAATGCAAAATAAGGGAAATCATAACAAACAGTCTCTCAGACCACAGTGCAATAAAATTAGAACTCAGGATTAAGAAACTCACTCAAAACTGCACAAGTACGTGGAAACTGAACAACCTGCTCCTGAATGACTACTGGGTAAATAATGAAATTAAGGCAGAAATAAATAAGTTATTTGAAACCAATGAGAACAAAGACACAATGTACCAGAATCTCTGGGACACAGCTAAAGCAGTGTTTAGAGGGAAATTTATATCACTAAATGCCCACAGGAGAAAGCGAGAAAGGGCTAAAATTGACACCCTAACATCACAATGAAAAGAACTAGAGAAGCAAGGGCAAACAAACTCAAAAGCTAGCAGAAGACAAGAAATAACTAAGAGCAGAACTGAAGGAGATAGTGACATGAAAAATCTTAAAAAAAATCAGTGAATCCAGAAGCTGGTTTTGAAAAGATTAACAAAATAGACATACTGCTAGCCAGACTAATAAGAAAAGAGAAGAATCAAATAGACACAATAAAAAATGATAAAGGAGATATCACCACTGATCCCACAGAAATATAAACTACCATCAGAGAATACTATAAACCCCGCTATGCAAATAAGCTAGAAAATCTAAAAGAAATGGATAAATTCCTGGACACTTAACACCCTCCCAAGACGAAATGAGGAAGAAGTCAAATCCCTGAATAGACCAATAAGAAGTTCTGAAATTGAGGCTGTAATTAATAGCCTACCAACCAAAAAAAGCCCAGGATGAGACGGATTCACAGCCAAATTCTATCAGAGGTACAAAGAGGAGCTGGTACCATTTTTTTCTGAAACTATTCCACACAATAGAAAAAGAAGGACTACTCCCTAAATCATTTTATGAGGCCAGCATCATCCTGGTACCAAAACCTATCAGAGTTACAACAACAACAAAAGAAAAACAAAGAAAATTTCAGGCCAATATCCTTGATGAACATTAATGTGAAAATCCTCAATAAAATACTGGCAAACTGAATCCAGTAGCACATCAAAAAGCTTATCCACTACGATCAAGTCGGCTTCATCCCTGGGATGCAAGGCTGGTTTAATATACACAAATCAATAAACGTAATCCATCACATAAACAGAACCAATGACAGAAACCACATGATTATCTCAATAGATGCAGAAAGGGCCTTCAACAAAATTCAATGCTAAAAACTCTCAATAAACTAGGTATTGATGGAATGTATCTCAAAATAATAAGAGCTGTTTATCACAAACCCACAGCCAATACCATAATGAATGGGCAAAAGCTGGAATCATTCCCTTTGAAAATGGGCACAAGACAAGGATGCCCTCTCTCACCACTTCTATTCAACAGAATATTGGAAGTTCTGGCCAGGGCAATTAGGCAAGAGAAAGAAACAAAGGATATTCAAATAGGAGGAGAGGAAGTCAAATTGTCTCTGTTTACAGATGACATGATTGTATATTTAGACAACCCCATTATCTCAGTCCAAAATGTCCTTAAGTTGATAAGCAACTTCAGCAAAGTCTAAGGATAAAAAGTCAATGTGCAAAAACCACAAGCGTTTCTATACACCAATAATAGAGAGCCAAATCATGAGTGAACTCCCATTCACAATTACTACAAAGAGATTAAAATACCTAGGAATACAACTTACAAGGGATGTGAAGAACCTCTTCCAGAAGAACTACAAACCACTGCTCAAGGAAATCAGAGAGGACACAAACAAATGGAAAAATATTCCATGCTCATGGATAGGAAGAATCAATATCGTGAAAATGGACATATGGCCCAAAGTAATTTATAGATTCAGTGCTATCTCCATCAAGCTACCATTGACTTTCTTCACAGAATTAGAAAAAACTACTTTAAATTTCATATGGAATAAAAAAGAGCCCATATCACCAAGACAATCCTAAGCAAAAAGAACAAAGCTGGAGGCATCACACTACCTGACTTCTAAGTGTACTACAAGCCTACAGTAACCAAAACAGCATGTTACTGGGACCAAAACAGGTATATAGACCAATGGAACAGAACAGAGGCCTCAGAAATAACACAAATCTACAACTGCCTGATCTTTGACAAACCTGACAAAAACAAGCAATGGGGAATGGATTCCCTACTTAATGAATGGTGCTGGAAAAACTGGCTAGCCATATGCAGAAAACTGAAACTGGGCCCCTTCCTTACACCTTATACAAAAATTAACTCAAAATGGAATAAACACTTAAACATAAGACCTAAAACCATAAAACTCCTACGAGAAAACCTAGGCAATACCATTCAGGACATAGGCATGGGCAATGACTTCATGAATTAAACACCAAAAGCAATGGCAGCAAAAGCCAAAATTGACAAATGGGATCTAATTAAACTAAAGAGCTTCTGCACAGCAAAAGAAACTATCATCGAAGTGAACAGGCAACCTACAGAATGGGAGGAAAATTTTGCAATCTATCCATCTAACAAAGGGCTAATATCCAGAATCTACAAAGAACTTAAACAAATTTACAAGAAAAAAACAACCCCATCAAAAATTGGGTGAAGGATATAAACAGACACTTTTCAAAAGAAGACACTTATGCAGCCAACAAATGTATGAAGAAAAAGCTCAGCATCACTGGTCATTAGAGAAATGCAAATGAAAACCACAATGAGATACCATCTCATGCCAGTTAAAATGGCAGTCATTAAAATGTCAGGAAACAACAAATGCTGGAGAGGATGTGGAGAAATAGGATCGCTTTTATACTGTTGGTGGGAGTGTAAATTAGTTCAAACATTGTGGAAGACAGCATGGTGATTCCTCAAGGATCTAGAACAAGAAATACCATTTTACCCAGCAATCCCAATTATAGGTACATACCCAAAGGATGATAAATCATTCTACTATAAAGAAACATGCACACGTATGTTTATTGCAGCACTGCTCACAATAGCAGACTTGGAACCAACCCAAATGCCCATGAATGATAGACTATGAAGAAAATGTGGCACATATACACCATGGAATACTATGCAGCCATACAAACAATGAGTTCATGTCCTTTTCAGGGACATGGATTAAGCTGGAAACCATCATTCTCAGCAAACTAACACAAGAACAGAAAACCAAACACCACATGTTTTCACTCATAAATGAGAGTTGAACAATGAGGATACGTGGACACAGGGAGGGGAACATCACACACCGGGGCCTGTTGATAGGTAGAGGGCTAGGGGAGGGATAGCATTAGGAGAAATACCTAATGTATTTGACAGGTTGATGGGTGCAGCAAACCACCATGGTAGGTGTATACCTATGTAACAAAGCTGTACGTTCTGCACATATATACCAGAACTTAAAGTATAATAATAAAAAAGATATATCAAATGAGTATCCTGTCACAGAAACTAATTTTTAATAATATTTTTAAATGAAAAAATGCTGAGTAGCAAAAAAAGTGTGGTGAGAATTGGCATCATTTTCTTGTTCATGTTTGTAGAGAGATGGCTTTATACCTTCCCCACTTAGGTTGTGGGTTTTGCTGTGGGTTTGTCATATATGGCCTTAATTATTTTGAGGTATGCTCTTTCTGTGCCTAGTTTTTGAGGTATGCTCCTATGCTCCTATATTAAATGCTTTTTCTGCACTTATTGAGATGATATTATGGTTTTTGTGTTTATTTCTTATAATTGTACTTTTCTGATTTCTCCTTGTCGAGTTTTGTGGTCAATTATGCTAGTCTCATAAAAAGAATTGAAATGTTTCCGCTTTCATTCATTCCCTTTCCATTGTCAGGGCTAAAATGATGGCAAACTCTAACAGGCAACTGTAGGCTATAGGCCAAAGATGGAGCAGTAAGGCTTGATACCAAGAAGGCAGAGGACAAAGATGCAGAGGCTGTGATGGGGCAAAAATGCAGCAAAGCAAAAGAGAAACAGCATAACTAGACTAAGAAGGCAGCAGGGCCAAAGACAAGAAAGGCAGTAGGGCTCAAGGGTAAGTAGCAAACTGGCAGCTAAGAATGTATAGGGGCAACAAGGCAGGAGTGGAAGGGTGGGAGCTGAAGATAATGAGACAAGAGCAGAGGTAATGAGGTGGCTATCCTGCACAGATAACTGGTCAAACATAAGCAAATTGAGCAAACAAATAAATGTAGTGAAGATAAAGGGAGATAAAATTTTTACTGTTAAGGATGGGATCTATAAATGTGAAAAGTGAAATCACTAGAAATATCTCTAAGGAGTTGGATTAGATCTGTAGGTTTCAGTGTGAAAGCGTTATGTTTTAATATAGATAGATAAATGGATAAATAAATGGTATATAACTGTAGCAGTAATAACATATCTATCATATCATATCATATCATATCAATCATATATTAGTCCTGTTTGCTGAGAAGGTCTAGAGCTAATGACACCCAGTAGCAATGAGCACTCTGAAACCCAAGATACTCTCTCCTACTAAAATTACCGACTTCAGACTGAGTCAGATAAAAGTCAAAGTGATCTTAAATGATTCTATGTACCAGAAATTAAGGGAGTATTCTAAATACAATAGCAACAAGAACAAATAAGCCAGCTTAAATGAGTTCCCACTTACCATAACTGAGATAGCGTAAGTTTTGAAATTAATGGTGATAGTAACAAATAAAAATATTTGATTAAATATAAATCCACTAGGTAACATATAAATAAATGAGGAAGGTAAAGCCCATTTTATAATAGTGCCAACTAATCTGTAGACAAAGTGTGATTAAAACAGAAAATCAATATTTGGCAAAAATTGTGGAGGTAGCAGGATCAGACAATATTCATCAACGAATGCTAAGGTTGGTGGACTGGGATATTTGTTTCCCCCCTCCACCCCGTATTTCTCAATTACAAAGATGAATAGTAAGTTTTTAATGGAGAAGGTAGGCACATACCAATATGAACAGGCAACAATGGTAAAGACCATGAGTGTTGAGAAAAATCTACATAATGTGCCTCCAGTAAAGAGCACAGCATTATTTCTGTGTTTTTCTGCCCTAGAAGGCATGGCCTGAGAACGGACATGATAAAACATTAGACAGATTCAGATGAAGAGGACTACCTCTAGAACGAAATGTCTGTATACTGTAAATCTATGAAGATCATAAAAGATTGAAAAAACTGAGGAATCACTCAGTACCGAAGAAAACTAAAGAGACATGCCAACTATATGCAATGAGTGATCTTAGATTGGATCCTGAAGCAGAAAGGAAAAAAATATATATATATTATTGGAATAAATAGTGAACTGTAAATGGGACCTACGAATTAAATGAATATATACAATGCTGATTTCATGATTTGGATGATTATTGTAGCTATGTATCCCAGTTTTAAAGAAATTCACAGGAATATTTAGAAAATAGCATATTATACCTGTAATGTGTTTTCAAGTAACTGAGAAAAAGAAGTAATAATATTAATAATTAGAAATGTATCTATATATGTGTGTATACATGTATGTATGCATATATATGGAGAGAGTGTTGTACACGTACTATATATGAGTGTATATATACATATACGTACATATGTGTATATATGTATGTATACATATATGTATGTGTATATACATGTATATATGCATATATATGTGTTTATATATGTATATATGGAGAGAGTGTATTAAATACATATATATGTATACACACACACATAGAGGGAGACAGAGAGAAAGAAAAAGAGAGAGACTGATGTGATGAACTGTCAAATAACTGCGGATTATTGTAGCTGCAATAGAAATAAAAGGTTATTTGTCTGCCCTTGATAATATAGTAATTGTTTCATTGTTTTTCTGTTCTCTCATAGACTTTGGATATGTGTGATGTATTCCCAGAAGCCATGAAAGCCTGGGATTTTCCTTGTAAGGTTTCAGTTACAGATTCATTCTCTTTAATAGACAACTAGACTTTAAAATATTTTATTTCATTTCTTTTTCTTTGTTTCTATCAGTTTTGGTCAGCTGTCTTTTGAGAAATTGTTCTATTTTATTTTAAAAGGTGAATGTATTGGCATACTTTTTTTCAAAATATTTTATTTAGTGAGGTCTTTTTCATTATTGTTCTTGGGAATTTAAGTTCTTCAATTTTTCTATTACTCGTTTTCAAAATTTTTTAGTTCTCTGTTTCTTATTTTCTTCTTTTATTTGGCGGATTTGACTTGCTGTATATGTTTAGCTTCTGACAATGGAAACAGATTATCAATATTCATGAAGGGCTATACATTTTCCTCTAAGCTTAATTTTAGCTGAATCTTATATTTGATTTTTTTTCTTGTTGGCTTTTGTAAACTGAGTTTTTATGATCATCATATGATCAACAAAATTATAGTGTTTTTTTTTTCTTTTGTATCCTTGAATTCATGTTTCTCTCTGTTCTGGTTAAGCCCTTCAGTTGACTCTTAAATAGAAGTGGATATAATAGGGATCCTTGCCTGCGTTGAATGGATGCATCTGATAACTTACCATAAAAATATAATGTCTATTGAAAATTTTTAATAAATATATTATAGCATGTTAAGTAAATTCCTATCTAGTTCTATTTTGTTAGTAGCTTTATTTTCCCTCTTTTTATTAGTCCGTTTCCAGACTGCTGATAAAAACATACCTGAGACTGGGAAGAAAAAGAGGCTTCGTAGACTTATGGTTCCACATGGCTGGGGAGGTCTCACAATCATGGTGAAAGGCAAGGAAGAGCAGGTCATGTCTTACATGAATGGCGGCAGACAAAGAGAGAGAGAGCTTGTGCAGGAAAACTCCTGTTTTTTAAAACCATCAGATTTCATGCAACTCATTCACCATCACAAGAAGAGTGTAGGAAAGACCCACCCCCATAATTCAATCATGTCCCACTGAGTTCCTTCCTTGACACATGGGAATTGTGGGAGTTACAATTCAATATGAAATTTGGGTGGGGACACAGCCAAACCGTATCATTCTGCCTCTGGCCCCTCCCAAACCTCATGTCCTCATATTTCAAAGCCAATCCTGTGTTCCCAACAGTCCCCCAAAGTCTTAGCTCATTTCAGCATTAACTGAAAAGTCTACAGTCCAAAGTCTCATCTGAGACAAAGCAATTCCCTTTCACACATAAGCCAGTAAAATCGAAAGCAGATTAGTTACTTCCAAGATACAATAGGATAAATTGTCCAAGACAAAGAGGCTATATAAGTCTCATGCAAATCTGAAATCCAGCAGGGCAGTCAAATCTTAAAGCTCCAAAATGATCTCCTTTGACTTCATGTCTCATATCCAGATCACGCTGATGCAAGGGATGGGTTCCCATGGTCTTAGGCAGCTCCACACCTCTGCTTCACAGGGTACAGCCTCCTCCTGGCTGCCTTCACCGGCTGGCATTGAGTGTCTGCTGCTTTTCCAGATGCATGGTGCAAGCTGTCAGTGGATCTACCAATCTAAGGTCTGGAGGATGGTGGCCCTCCTCTCACAGCTCCACTAGGTGGTGCTGCAATAGGGACTTTGTGTGGGGGGCTGTGGCCCCACATTCCCCTTCCTCACTGCCCTAGCAGAGGTTCTCCATGAGGGCCCCATCCCTGCAGCAAACTTCCACCTGGGTATACAGACATTTCCATACATCTGAAATGTAGACAGAGGTTCCCAAACCCCAATTCTTAACTTTTGTGCACTTGCAGGTTCAACACCACATGGAAGCTGCCAAGACTTGGGGCTTGTACCCTCTGAAGCCATGGCCCGAGTTCTATGTTGGCCTCTTTCAGCCATGACTGGAGTGGCTGGGACACAGGACACTAAGTCCCTTGGCTGCACACAGCACAGGGACCCTGGGCCTGGCACACAAAACCATGCTTATCTCCTAAGCCTCCAGGCCTGTGATGGGATGGGCTGCTGTTAAGACCTGTGACATGCCCTGGAGACATTTTTCTCATTGTCTTGGGGATTAACATTTGGCTGCCTGTTACTTATGCAAATTTCTGTGGGAAGCTTGAATTTCTCCTCAGAAAATGGAATTTTCTTTTCTATTGTATTGTCAGGGTGCAAATATTCTGAACTTTTACACTCTGCTTACTTTATGAAACTGATGCCATTAACAGCATCCAAGTCTTCCCTTGAATGCTTTGCTGCTTACAAATTTCTTCTGCCAGATACCCTAAATCATCTCTCTCAAGTTCTAAGTTCTACAAATCTCTAGGGCAGGGGCAAAATGCTGCCAGTCTCTTTGTTAAAACATAACAAGAGCTACCTTTGCTCCAGTTCCCAACAAGTTCCTCTTCTGCATCTGAGACCACCTCAGCCTGGATTTCATTGTCCATATCATTATCTGTATTATTGGGCAAAACCATTCAACAAGTCTATATGGAGTTTCAAACTTTCCCACATTTTTCCACCTTCTTCTGAGCCCTCCAAACTGTTCCAACCTTTGCCTGTTACCCAGTTCCAAAGTCACTTCCACATCTCTGGGTATCTTTTTAGCAATGCCCCACTCTACTGGTACCAATCTACTGTATTAGTTCGTTTTCACACTGCTAATAAAGACATACCTGAGATTGGGAAGAAAAAGGGACTTACAGTTTCACATGGCTGGGGAGGCCTCACAATCGTGGAGGACATAATGAGGAGCAAGTCACATCTTACATGGATGGTGGCAGGCAAAGAGAGAGACAGCTTGTACAGAGAAACTCTCTTTTTTTAAAACCATCAAGTCTCTTGAGACTCATTCACTATCATGAGAACAGTACAGGAAACACCCGCCCCCATAATTCAATCACCTCTCACCAGGCACCTCCCATGATATGTGGGAATTGTGTGAGTTACAATTCAAGATGAGATTTGGGTGGGGACACAGCCAAACCATATCACTCTTCTTTGTTGTCCATAGATGTATAAGCTAGCAAATATTATTCTTCATCTTGTTTTGAGATTGTGTGTCTATACATTTTTAATATGCCACTGTGGTTAATATTATTTTATTTCAACATGCTTGATAGATGTGGTTTATAATCCATTATAACTTTAAAATGTTGCTAGATTTTGCTCACATTATTTTGTTTACAATTTTTACAACATTAATGGGAAAGATTGGCCTATCATTTTCACTTCTATTACTGTCATATTTTTCATATTAACTTCAGGCTAAAATTGTTGCACCAAAAAATCACCCAATATTTATTTTCTGAGGAATTGTATAAAATTAAGAAAATTTGTTATAATAAGTTTTGGTAAAACATACGTCTAAAATCAAATGGCCCCACTTTGTTTTGTTTTTTTATCTTTGGGAACATTCTAACTAATAACTCTGTTTCTTTAATGGCTCTGTTAAATCACCATATTATTTAGTCAGTTTTAGTAATTATATGAATATATATGTTTGTATAAATTGTAAGATAGATTGTCATACAGTTTTCTCATAGTATTCTCTTGTTTTTTATTTTAAATATATTTTGGCATTTGCACTTACATCCTCTTTTTCATTAATAATGTTACTTATTTTAGTCGTTTTTCTTTTGTTCAGTAGCTTCAGAATATATTTTATTAGGCTTTTAAATTTATTGATGCTTATACTCCTTGCTTTCTGTTTCAACAATTTATTTTTTTCTCTATTACTTCTTTGCTTAGGTTTAATTTGCTTTTCTTCCTTAACTTTTGAATTCAGATCTTTGGATCATTAATAATTTAGCTATTCTTTTTAATATAACAATGTAAATTTACTTTTCCACTGAATTGTTATTATAACTACATTATATATAATAACATTACATATAATCTTAAAGCAGTATTTTCATTATAGTTAAGTTTAGGTAATTAAAATTTTTATTATTATTTCTTCCCTGACCAAAGAGTAATTTAGAAGTATTTGCGTCTAAGCCAAAAGAAAAAGAAATATTATTGATTTCTAGCTTAAGGGTCAGAGAACATTGTCAGCAGGCTATCAATTTTATTTTGTAGTTTAAAAAAGGGTGTATTGTATAATTGTTGAGTACAGAGGTCAACATTTGCTTGCTGAATTCGCCTTGTTGGTTGTGCAATTAATATAGTGTACATTGCTAAAGACTTTTTTTCCCTGACTGACCTATTAAATACCTAGATTCATGCAATGCCTTTCAAGCTCCAATAGCTGTTTTGCTTCATAAATCTCAAAACTATTTTATTAATTCATATATGTGTAGAACTATTACATCATCTTGGGAGGTAATATATTTAATTTACTATACAAATTATTTAATAAATTATATATTATGTATTATATAACATATTCCTTATAATATAGAACATATTTAAATTATGAACTAATAATATAAATATAATTGAAAATTTTAATATTAAATAATGCCCCTCTGTGTTAATAATTTTTGTCTTAAATATTATATTGTCTAATATTAATATATTGCCACAACTTTTAAAAATAAGTGTCAGTATATCTATTTTTTTATATTTTTACTTTCAATATCTTTGCATATTTATATATTTCTATTTTAAAGCTTAACAATACCTTAGATAATTAAAATGGATGTTTTGGTCTATTTACACTCATTGTGAGGTATGTGAGTTTCCTCATACTATGCTAATATTTATATGCTACAAAATCTTAGGGGAGACATTTTTATTATCATCATTATAACATTTGTTGTAATCCAGAGACACTGCAGAGGCAGAAAAAATGTCTCATCTGTCCCTTTGCTCATTGTCTGTCTATACTTGCACCGTGAGTACAGACCCTTTTGGCAGGGAGTTAAATTTAGCAACTCTAACCTGCTAGGGCCCAAGGCCTAGAATATCTATGTGCCAGTTAATTTTGTATGTGACATTTGCTCCTAGGATATTTTTGTTTACTTAATAATTTTATTTCAATTATTTGTTTGCCCTTTGGAATTGATTTTCTTTCTTGAGAAATTGGAAGGCATTTAAAGTTACATGTGTATAATTTCCAAAAATTTAAATGTATTGAGACAGAAAAATTTTATTGCATATATAATTTGTCACTCAGCAGGAAGTAGAATTCTACCTGCTACCACTTTACCTTTTTTGAATTCTTACCTACCATATCTGCTCCATACAAAGACCCTTACCACCTGACCTAGTTTGGGCTGGTGTAACAAAAATACCATAGACCAGGTGGCGTAAGCAACAAACATTTATTTCTCAATTTTCTGGAGACTGAAAAGTCCAAGATCAGAGTCCTCACAGATCACTGTCTAGAAAGAACCAATCTTTTTGCTTGTAGGCAGCCACCTTCTAGCTCTATCCTAACATGGCAGAGAAAGCAAAAGAGTTTTTTGTCTCTTTTTCTTCTTATAAGGGCACTAATTCCACCATGGAAGTTTCACCCTCACTACTCCACCTAGACCTAACTACCTCCCAAAGGCTTCATCTCCTAATACCATCCCATTGGACATTAGGGCTTTAACATATGAATTTTGGGGGACAGAAACATATAGTCTATAACACTACTCCAAAGTCATTTCATTACTGCATACTACATGGTTAACAATGAGAACATACAATAGCATATTAAATTCAATGATTAATTTTAAATAAATAATCCATATACTTCTATTTAATTCAACAATCATATTCAGGTTATATAACACCTCTTATAAAGTTGGAGAAATGTTGAGGCTTTTTGCTAGCATTGAATATTTTGGATGGTAAATTTGTGGCTCTTCTTAGATAGAATGATGCTGACAACTCAATGCATTAAAAGAACATCAAATGAGGCTTGACCTAAATATCTAGTGCCCTAAATATGGAGACATGCTTTCTGTATTGCCATTTATGTAATACTTTGGTAACCTTGGAAAATTACCTAACCCTATCGGCTTAACTTTACCCATTTGAATCACTTGTGGATCTTAAAAAATAATTCCTAAGCCCCCATCTCCAGATATTCCAATTCACTTTTTCAGTAGAGCTATGGATCAGAATCTCTAGGGCAGAGGGCTGAGTATACATATATTTTACAAGCTTCATAGATTATTCTTTGGTCATACAGGACTGAAAACCACAGATTTAAGAAACTTATTTAGTGCTTTCCCATCTACAAAAGAGGACCATCAGCATGGTATATTAAGATTTTTTTTTCCAATCCTTGCAGACGTTTTATAATCTGAACAAAGATCAAAATAAGAGATTATATGATGTCAAAAAACCATCTGGTACGTGTCAAATGTTTCCTATATAAGGCTATGCCTCTTTCTAGTGTATTTCTGTTGCAGAACCTGCTGACATTTGTCTTAGACTGGGATAAATGTTACTATGTTTTAAGCCTAAGCGTGGAAGGTATAGACATAAGAAGAAAGGGTTGAGGAGAATAAGAAAGGTATTAATTGAGTTTAAAATAATCAGTAAGCATACAGTCTACAGATCCTGAGCTCTTAGACCTTGATGCTTAAAAATAAGATTGCCATTTAAATACAGAGAATTGTCCCCCACAAAGTGCTGTTAAATGAAATTTAAAAAATTTTGTATTATTTACCAATTAATTGGTATTATTAAAGGGGTGCAGCAAACCACTTTTCCTTTTCATGGCAAAATATGCTGGGGCTAGATGGCATGATATTTGAGAGAATAATCAATACAGAAATGTTAGGGTATTACTTATGTGCAGGAATATTCTAATTGCATTACCAGACTGCATATCAATATCAAGAGTGAGAGTTAAGCTTTATTTCCATTTATATTCTAACTCACTATCATTTCGATTATTTCTTCTGGATTATGAAAGAGCAGACAAGAATAAACTGAGACAGCTATAATTTAACTTTGACAAATGGACCCCGAGAGTGTTCTGTATCTTAACTATTTTGCTATTTTCATGGTTATCTATATTCTTTGAAAGGAAATGTGTTTTAACAGTAAGATGCCCATGAAGAGATAAGTCATCAGGCTTTCTTCAGGAACATTTGCAATGATCATTTAGCAGTGACAAAGGATTCCATAAAGATAAAAGGCTAGGGATTTTTCTCCTCATCAATATTGAATTGTACTAAAGTACTAAATTCAGTAGCACATGCAATTTTGAATATTAATATGTGATAAATTGACTTGATTATATTTAGCACTATTTTTATGCTATCTCAGTCACTACAATCTAGAAGTTTTAACCTCTATAAAAAATAGATGGTTTTCTAACAAAAATGATTTAAAAAATAGAACAACAAGATTTAACCATTGGCATGGACCTATTTCTAAAACTAGTACACTATCAGTGAAATCAGACTAATGATTGAAAATCAGGCTTGCAATAAAGGAGAGTTTTCCATGGGTAGGGAAATACACATATGGGGTTCCTGGAGAATCATTCCTAGACTAATTGGGGTCAACTTTTTAAAAAATTATTTGAAAGAATATGTACAAAACATGAAAGACTATTACAGGTAGAACTCAGATATTGTAATTTTGGGAAAAATGCTCATGAGTATACAACCTACAACTTTATTTCCTCATACATAAATTTGAATTGATAATTATAACCATCTCATATGGCTGTTATTAGAATAAAATACCAAGTATAAAGTGCCTAGAATGTGAATGCTAACAGTTAGTGCCAGCAACGGTGATAAGGTTGTGAAAGGAAAGTGGTTCTTAACTTGGGAATGAAACGTGAGCTTCATAGAGAATTCAAAATGCCTGAATTAAGACTTCAAAATGCCTGAGTATGTATAAAAAACATTTCTTTACATACATATTTTTTCAAGGAGAGAGTCCAGATCTTTCATCATGCTCAAAGTGCCAGTGGTCCCAAAATATTAAAAATTCCCTTATATGCTATCTCATGATACTATATGAATGCAACTGAAAATAGAAAATAAATACATACTTAAACTGCTTAATTTCATAACTTGGGGAAAATCTTTTTCAAAAACATCTGAAGGCCAAATAAAACTTAAAATTATTAGACACAAAAGTGAACTTAAATGCTCTTAGCTTGTTCCCTAAGGGCAATAGTCAAATGCTACGTTATTACTCCCACGGCGTACAATATATGAGGTTTTTGCAAGAAAAACATTAATAATCGATATATGCAGAGAGAAAAGTGCAATGTAAACAATGCTGTGTTTAGAATCAGAAGACCTTTTCCATGTACCAGCTAATCTATAATCATGGACAAGTGACTTATTTGAGTCTAAATGTATCTTTAGAAAACAAAATTAAGATAAACTGAGACACATCTCCTTCACAAGGTTGTTAAGTATACAAAAAGAGAATGTATATGAATATTTTATTAAAAGACTAGATGCCATAAAACATAAATTATTGCTATGACTATTAATGGCAAAATATACCCATTTATTTACAGTAAAGCCAGTAGTGTGTAATATTTCCTTGACTTGTGGCTATCAGATAAATGTAATTTTATCTTGGCTGTACTACATATCAGCAATGTGATATTGGGAAAATTATTTAACTTTCTTCTAAGCCTTAGTTGGACCACATATTAAATGAGAAAAAATAGTAACATATAACAAATAGAGTTGTAGAATATGAAGGGCTAACAACAGTGCCTGATATATACATGTTTAATACACATTACCTGTTATTAGATTGTCCTTATAGAGAATAATCATGCAACCATTTGTGAAATCTAGTTTGTTTATCTGGGAGAAGTCAGGTTTCTATTCACAAGAGTATTGTGAAGATCCAACTCATTCACAGTGATAACTAGCAAATACAATACTAAGATGGGGGACAGTAAAGGGAATTATAGTATATTGAGCATGTAGAACTACAAATTCCAAAATGATTCCACACTCTAAGTCTTTTAGCCTTAAAGCAACCCCAAATATATATCCATTTTACAGAGAAGGACACCGTAATGATGACAATTGAAACAACTTTACAAATTGAAGCTTCATAATTCTGTCTTTCTGTCCTCAAAGCTTGATTCTATCCAATGTGAAAGAAACCACTGTATGTTTTCCAGGTCGATTGTTTTTCCTGAATTAGATATTACTCTTCCACAAGTTATTTTAAAAATGCAGAACAGTTGTCATTCTGATACATTTCATCTATAGCCATAAACACTGTCTCATAAAATTGTAGTGTTATCCTTATTCTGAATCTTTTTAGTTAAAGATCGCAGCATTCTGCAGCTTCTTGAGGGCTCAGACGATCAGTGAAAAAAAAAATTGAAGGTTCATATTGGGTTCTATCTGTTCAGAGGCTTTGGACAACATCCTATTCATCATGAGTAACTACCTCTTGTCCAAATAAGCCTTGAAATCTGTTTTGTGTTCTTAGATATCAATCTCTTATTTAACATAGTTTAACAAGTCAATGAATTGGAATTTTATATGTTTATTCCTGTAAAAGGAAAGTATAAAAAATATTGAATATGGCACATAATTACCATATATATTCTAATATATGTCAGAAATGTCAGAGAACTGGGGAAAGGGGGTAGGACACAGAGGAAATTACATCGGATGAACATTGAAGGACATAATTCTACCAACCATTCTTGAACAGTTCCAAGGTTGTCAATAGCTTGTGTTTTTGTTATTACCTACTGAAAGACTTTAAAGGGTGAGGAAAGTAACAAGTATTAAAAGAAATATGTATTTCTCTTGAGCCACTTGAGATTTGCTAACATGCTAATGAGGATCTCAACTTTAATCCAAGCATCAAAATCAAGAAATCAACATTGATACAGTGCTACCAGCTAAACTTGGACTTTATTCAACTTTTCATGTGTCTCAATAATGTTTATTATTGTGAAATGTTCCAGACTAGAACTATATTTTGCTTTTGGTTGTCAAGATTATTTAGTCTCCCTCAATCATTCTAAGCCCTTGTGTGTGTGTGGCTTCATAACCTTGATATTTTTGAAGATTACAAATCAGTTCCCTTGTGTAGTATCTCTTAACTTTGGCTATTGTGATGTATCTTCTTGATAAGGTTCAAGTTATGCAGCTTTGAGATAAATACCAGAGAGATCATTCTGTGGTTTTCTCACTGCTATCAAATGGCACATGATTTTGATTTATCCCCTTATTGATTGTTATAAACCAAATGTGTCTCCTCCAATATTCATATGCTGAATTGATATAACCAGCCTCAACCTCCTTTATTTCTACCAAATTTGATATATTTTAATTTCACTAGTTGGAAAATCAGGGTTGTTTTTAATAACTACATTTTCAATCTATTTAATATTCCTTTAAATCCCATTTGGGATAAAAAAATTTTAAAGACTTCATAATTATTTATAATATTAAAAACAGTGATGACTTAATGAGTACTTGCTCTATTCTTGACAAAGAGCTAGACTCTTGCTATGAATTTTTTATGTATGAATTTTTCTCACTTGCTCAAATCAGATATTGTTGCTGTTATTGTTATCACCATCATTACTGTACATGTGCTAATGAGAAAATTCAGGTCAAGAGATTTATACATGATCATTATAGCCCAAACTTTGAAAGTGAAACAGTCAGAATTTCTTCTCACTTTAACTCCATAGTCTATGCTATTAACCACTGAAATACTGGGTACCATATGGCATCTGCATTTACATCAGGAAATCAGTATGACTTGATTAAATTTTTTAATCTTCCTTCAGAATTTTGCAGCAAATTTTTTACGAGTAGTTTCTTAATAACTCATGAAACTGCTTGACAAACAGAAAATGGTAAGATTTATGATAACTTAAAAGAAATAAACATTAACAAACATTACTTTGGCAGTAAATATGTAAAAATATTATAAGAATTTATGTTCTATATTAAGGAATTAAGGAGACTGAGATTGCTAATACCAAATTTCTTAATAATTACAACATTTCTCAGCCCCTTTTGTGCCAAGAATACAATGTGAAATGAAATAGGCATCAGGAAACATGAAATTTCATCTAGCTCTGTCTGTTTTTGTCTCTTACATTATACAAGCCATTTTTCCTCTCTAATCCTTAATTATCTTATCTGTAATCTGAACTATTTGAATTAGATTATGAAAGTATACTGTAGCTTAAAGAATCCAACTTTTCTGTAGGTTGCCTGTTCATTCTGATGCTAGTTTATTTTGCTGTGCAGAAGCTCTTTAATTTAATTAGACCCAATTTGTCAATTTTGGCTTCTGTTGAAATTTCTTTTGGTGTTTTAGTCATGAAGTCTTTGCCCATGCCTATGTCCTGAATGGTATTGCCAAGGTTTTCTTTTAGGGTTTTTATGATTTTGGGTTTTACATTTAAGTCTTTAATCTATCTTGAGTTAGTTTTTGTATAAGGTGTAAGGAAAGGGTCCAGTTTCTGTTTTCTGCATATGGCTGGCTAGTTTTCTCAGTACCATTTATTAAATAGGGAATCCTTTCCCCATTCCTTGTTTTTGTCAGGTTTGTGGAAGATCAGATGGTTATAGATGTGTGGTG
Source organism: Homo sapiens (assembly GCF_000001405.40). Classification (NCBI taxonomy): domain Eukaryota; kingdom Metazoa; phylum Chordata; class Mammalia; order Primates; family Hominidae; genus Homo; species Homo sapiens. Next base: position 24,835,149 of record NC_000011.10, on the reverse strand, counting down.
TTATTTCTAAGGTCTCTGTTCTATTCCATTTGTCTATATATCTGTTTTGGTACCAGTATCATGCTGTTTTAGTTACTGTAGCCTTGTGGTATAGAGTGAACAGGCAACCTACAGAATGGGAGAAAACTTTTGCAATCTGACCATCTGACAGGGGTCTAATATCCAGAATCTACAAGGAACTTAAACAAATTTGTAAGAAAAAAAACAAACAACCCTATCAAAAAGTGGGCAAAGAAACTGAAAAGACACTTCTCAAAAGAAGACCTTTATGCAGCCAACAAACATATGACAAAAAGTTCATCGTCACTGGTCATTAGAGAAATGCAAATCAAAACCACAATGAGATACCATCTCACACCAGTCAGAATGGCAATTATGAAAGTCAGAAAACAATAGATGCTGGCAAGGCTGTAGAGAAATAGGAATGCTTTTGCACTGTTGGTGGGAGTGCAAATTAGTTCAACCATTGTGGGAGACAGTGTGGCAATTTCTCAAGGATCTAGAACCAGAAATACCATTTGACCCAGCAATACCATTGCTGGGTATATAGCCAAAGGATTATAAATCATTCTACTATAAAGACACATGCACATGTATGCTTATTGTACCACTATTTACAATAGCAAAGACTTCAAACCAACCCAAATGTGTATCAGTGATAGACTGGATAAAGAAAATGTGGCACATATACACCATGGAATACTATGCAGGCATAAAAAGAATGAGATCATGTCCTTTGCAGGGACATGGATGGAGCTGGAAGCCATCATTCTCATCAGACTAATACAGGAACAGAAAACCAAGCATTGCATGTTCTCACTCACAAGTGGGAATTGAAAAATGAGAACACGTGGACACAGGGAAGGCAACAACACACCCTGGGGCCTGTTGGGGGGTGAGGGGCAAGGGGAGGGAGAACATTAGGACAAATACCTAATGCATGTGGTGCTTCAAACCTAGATGACAGGTTGATAGGTGCAGCAAACCACCATAGCACATGTATACCTATGTAAAAAACCTGCACATTCTGCACATGTATACTGGAACTTAAAGAAAAAAAAATACCATATAGGGAAAAACAAAAAAAAATCCAACTTTCAATAAAATGTAACACTTTAGTAATTATAAAACAGGTGGCACTTTTAAGAACTATAAATGAGCATTATTAATACAAATAATGAGCTTTCCTTCTTTATGGGATAATAACCCAGACATTTTCTTATGTTTCTCACCACAAGGAAAATGCTAAGGCAGAACACAATAGCTGTCTCCACCTTCCTGTGTTTGGGGAAGGAAGTGAGCTGGGTCAATTTATACTTATCTAAATTCAACCTTTTCCTCTGAATACATTAAATGCTTACATGAGGAGGAGGCAATGAGCTTGCAGGTTTTTCTGTTTGTTTGCACAATGGAATCAAGTGTGTGTGTGTGTGTGTGCGCGCGCGCGGTGGCAGGCGTGGGGGACGTGACGTGTGTAAAACTATGGGTGTCTGAGCTCCACTACACTGAAATTCTGATTCGATTAATCTGAGTGGAGCTCAAAAATGAGCACTTTTTAATAAAATTTGACCTGATAATTCTGATTGACAGCCAAGGTTGAGAACCTACCTCTGGGTTACAGCTAAAGATCTCTCCCTGGGTATGTCCAACTTGTAAACCTGACTGTGAGTCTCAGCCTGAGGGGAATTCTTACAATGTTGCAAAGCCCCAAGAGAGAAAATGCACGAATATTTTTCCAACAAACAATAACACTCATGAGAAACCAATTTATTTCTCAGCAAAATTAATAGTGGTGATGTTTTGATTTTAGCAATCCCAGTTGTTTTGGTGAATATTATCTTTCAGAGTTCTACCATTACTGAGTGTTTCCCAGTTCTCCAATTTGAAAAATTGTTACAGAGATAGAAATCAGTTTACAGCAGAGTTCAGTTATTACCATTCTAGACAGTAGGTCTTTTATTGTTTTTCTATTTTAAGGAACTATAATTTGTTTCAGAGTATTCTATGCCATTGCATTCATTCATCTCTTGCTGACTATGGTTGTAAATACAAAATCAAAGTAGATTTTTACAGAATGTCATTCAGGAAACCCCTTCATCAACTGCTTAATTTTACATCATTTTAAAGTCAGGGAAGCCCAAAGAGGTTAGGTGATTAGTCCAAAAGTACCCACAAAGTTTGTCAGACTAAATATGGAATTGAAATCCAGACCTCTGGCCTCTAAGTTATGTAATAAATCATACTCATTATACAGGGGACTAAAGTAAAAAAGTATCCATTTTATCTATCTATCTGTCCATTTATTTTTTATTTAGAATAAAAACATGAAATAAAAGATATATTTCATTAAATGTTGTCTTCATTCAGCTCTGACATTAATATTATTGTGAACATTTTGAAAACTTCTCTTTTAGAACTTACAGTAAGGCATTTTTAAAGACACAAAGATATTCTAATTTTTTTATTTCTAACTACATTTATATATATGTATATATAAAATTTTGTTATAGTGTGTCTCAAACTTTAGTTACTAAGGATACTAGTGATTTTTGCATGATTTGTAATTTTTGCATATTTTTAAGTTATATTTCATTGTTTCAGAATGACAAAAGAATGGATCATTAACAAGATATTATAGAAAACTACATTCTGGTATGTAATAATATATTTTATGTTTATAAAGCAACTTTTTTTAAAATAAAACACATCCACTTGGAAAAATAAAACCTGTTATAGTTATAATAATATCTATTTTATTACCTTAAAACCATATCAGTCCCCTGTAAGCGTGCAAGACTATTATTTTATTTTATTTTTTTCTTGCTTGATGATCAGGGCTGTTACAGGAGATAATGTAATCATTTAATAAATATAGAACAAGTCAAGTGATAACATCAACATTTTCCAGTATGAAATCTCTTCTCATATTTTGTTCTATTCATTTTTCAAGGTCCATTTTCTCAGTAATGGATTTCATTATTTTACAGATAGATTTGATTTCTCTTTTCTTCCATTATAGCAAGTATCCTGCTTTATTATATCCAATTTTATAGAAGTAAAAGTTTTGGGGGATAGGTACTTTCATATTTTACTCTTGAATTTATTAATTAATTCCACACATATTTATTTTGTATCTAATATAAATCTCCACTATTCTAGGTACTAGAGATACATCAATAAGTATATTGACATGGTCCTCATGGAGACTATCTTCCACTGGAGATCTCTTGGTCTCTTCCTTGAATCCTACAGATCAGCATCACAAAATACACAAACATTTGTATGAGAGATTTATTTATTACAAATAGTCCCTTAGCAGACAGGAAAAAAAAGAAAACAGAAACTGTCTCTTTTACTTTGGCCTTTCCAAAGTTTTTAAAGATTTTCTCTTCTCACTACTGCTGGTGTGCTTTGCTTTCTTTGTTTAAAATATAATATTTTAAGTCTACATAAATTAAACACTTTCTGATATTCACTAAATGGCATGCTACAACGTTCATAGCAATCAAGTTTGTGTTTGACTCCTATTCTTAAGCTCTTCATTATATGTAATTTTAAGAGACAGTAACTTTGTAAGTTTCTGGAATAGTTAAGATCATTCATAATATATTTCATACATTTTCTTTTCTTTCTTTTTTAAAGATTATTTGTACTATACTGCCTGTACCTTCTTTCAAAGCTCCTTTAAAAGCATCTCATTCTGTTTTTCTAAAGAGAGCTTCTGCTTCCAAAATGTTAATGTCACTTAAGACCCTAATCGTTTTCAAGAAGAAGTCCTACAGAAGTGACTACATACTGATTACATGAATTGCCTGTATCTCTCTGTGTAAAACTTCCCTGGACAAAGTGTAGAGCTGAATATCTCTGCCTTTGGCATAAAGAGCTTAAATCATGAGCTAGACATTGTGCTCCAATGGAACAAGAGATATGAACAAGACGTTGTTCTTGAAAAGTTTCTACTGCTAGAGATGATAAATAAACAAGGTCAACGTAATACGATAACTGCTAGATAGTCAGTTGTTTGTGTTTTTCATTTGAGAGATGGTACAACTTAATCGTTAGGAACACTGATCTGGAAACAGAACTCTTGAGTTTGACTCTTAGCCTTGCTTCTTCTTCTTTTTATTTTATTTTAATTTATTTTATTTTTATTTTTGAGAGGGAGTCTCTCTCTGTCTCCCAGACTGGAGTGCAGTGGCAGGATCTCGGCTTACTGCAAGCTCCACCTCCCGGGTTCACGCCATTCTCCTGCCTCAGCCTACCAAGTAGCTGGGACTATAGGCGCCCACCATCACACCCGGCTAATTTTTTGTATTTTTAGTAGAGACGGGGTTTCACCAGGTTAGCCAGGATGGTCTCGATCTCCTGACCTCATGATCCGCCCGCCTCGGCCTCCCAAAGTGCTGGGATTACAGGCATGAGCCACCGCACCTGGCCAGCCTTGCTTCTTACAAGCAGCAAGATTCTAAAAAAATCACTAAATTCCACTTTTTTGTCTCTAAAATTGCGGTAATAATAGTAGCTATTTTAAAGACTTATTGTATTAAGTAATTTAATATATCTAAATATCTCATAATAATATCTGACATTTAATAGGCTTTCTATCCATATTAGCTATTGCCATTCATTAAATACTTTCTGTGTGTCTTTTGTGTGTCACTCAAGGTGCCCCGTTTTGGAGACAGACCAATGAGGCCTACTTGGCTTTTGGCCTTCAGGCAAGTTGGCATTATAAGCAAATAAACAGCCAATTACAACATATGGACAATACGATTTTATATTAGGAGAATCATATGGACAATAAAGATATAAAAGAAGGAAACTTAGCTCAAAAATGGGGAAGAAATTTGGCTACCAAGAAATTTATGAGAAAGAAGTGGCAACTGACATGAGACCTGAAAGATGAACCAAAGTGCTTTAAATGTGAAATATAATTTGAAAGTTTATGTGATGGTAGTTTTGATACAGATACTAGTTCTGATAGTTTACATAGTAGTTCAGAAACTAAAGTGATTATGAAGGCTTTAAGCGTTTTTTTTTCTCTGACAAAATTTGTATTTCAATTATTTAAGTAGTGTCAATAATCCTTGACAAATCAGATTTTCTTCTCTTGTGTTTAAGTTTTTAACTATTTCACTAAGTCTTTAAATCTGCTTCACATTAAACATCACTGTTACCCTATCTCTCATGGATCGACCAACACAGACAGCAGGGAGTACTATGATGAAAAATACGTAAAACTAGATACAAGTTTCTTTTATCCACAATCATGTTTTGCAAGAAGGCATTGTCAGCTGTTAACTCTGGACTTATCAAATCACAGACACTTAGAAATCAGGAAATAATCTTTTCAAAGTCAACTTTCCAGCCAAGTAACACACATACTCTCTAGAACCTCACAGCATACTCAAGTTTCTCTCTGGAAAATTTAAAAAGACAACAATCTAACATTTTCCTTCCATTTTATTTCTGCAATTTATCAACAGTTTATCTTGATAGATACCCATTTATTCCAACACCCTTATCACAGCAATGCAGCAATGGCTATAGCCAATCAATGTTAAGATTCCAGCTTTAACCCTCTTTGTGCAACAGAGTAACTATATATGTATATATGGGTATATACATATATAATCACATATATTTCTCCCACAATCTTTGAGCACTTGTTACATATCACTACAAGTTGAGCAATTTCAAAATACTAAATTTCAAAATTAAAGTTCTGTGTTTATGTGTTTGCAGAAAGCTGTGCTTCCTCTTCTTTGTGTGTGTGCACTGTGGGGGAGGTGTACATGCACGCACACTTTTCCTACTCTGGAGTTTTTCATTTACTTCTCTTCTGACTTCATTTTGTAATGACCCCTGCCCACACCCAGAACTCTTTATTTTTGGTTAAGGTCTTGCTAATCATTCTCTCTTTCCTTCATCTGTCTTACTTCACTCCCCTCTCTCCTTTGTCATTCTTCATTTCATTTTTGTTTGTTCTCTGAAGCAGGTTATTCAGGCTTATCTGCTTCCTCCTGTTTATCTTTTCAGAGGGAATAAAATAGTTGGCAGCAGAGCTTTTCTTCTCTCAGCAGTTGGCTAGTTTTTCCTGAAGGAAACTAACAGGGTTTCATCATGCCAATGCCTCCATTTGAAAAAGGCACAGGAGGACATATCAACGTCCTTGTCCTCCCTCTTTGATTTTAAGCTGGAACCCAGGGTTACTCCCTGGTCCCTCTCCTACCTGCAGAGATCTCAGAGTTCCATTTCTCTCCTGCCTGTGGTTCTTTAGAAATCCTAAGTTAAAACTGTACACAGCCAACTAAGAAGAAGCTAAAAGCAAATTCACTTTTCTTTGTGACCCTCTTGACCTTGATGCCTGTCTACAGTTTTTCCAGCCCAGCTTGAAGATCTCTGAGAAGCTGCCAGTCCTCCACCTCCAGCTTACAGAACATAAGACTGGGACAGCACTGAGACATCACAGTTTCGAATTTTGCCTTGTTATTCACGCAGGTTATGACACATCATTCAGAAGTTGATTTTAAAAAAAATCCACTGAACAATATGGGTAATATTAGTAGATATGTTTTTTTTTTTTTTTTTCTGCCACAGGGATGGTAGCTGTGCAAGGTATCTGTAGTGCAGGAGATCAGTAACTGGGATACCTGTGATTTTTCTTAATCACTAATCAGAATTTTATTACACTTTTTTAATTCTAAATCTCTCTGCACAGGAATTTTTGCATGTTCAATGGGTAGTAAACATAGTGAATTTTTACAAATGCAATTTAAAATAGATTTAAACTATCTAAAGTAGGCTCTAAGTTGCTTGTGTCTTTGAACATTAATGAAATCAGTCATTCCAGTAATATTTATGTGTTATGACCCAAATACCCTATCATTGTGAGAGATTAAAAGGAAATGTGACCTCACAGAAAAGCCAAAGTGAAAAAGTGACTATTTAGATTCTGGCCTTTTGGTAAGTTTTATCCTTTGATGTCTTCAAAAGAAGTCACCAGAATATTGCTCACTTACCTATCTTTCATTGTTTTTTCTATAGTTTTCTCCTTTAATTCTTTTGTGCGTGTGTGTGTCTGCGTCTGTGTGTGTGTATGTGTGTGTGTGTGTGTGTTTCTCCTAAAGTTTGTGGAGCTGGGATAAAATCTGTAAGTTGCAGACCTACAGCAAACTCTAAATGTCATTCAGCTTGGTCTAGTCTAATGCATGTATCTCTGTGGAAATTTTCTGTTGTCTAGAGTGACATTCATTTCCATCCCTCTCTGGTTGTGCCTTATGATCATGGGTTATCCACAATGAAGCCTGGGCTTCTAAAGACAGTCACTAAGAGTTGTTCACAGGCCAGTGTTCTCAAACATTAATATGGTTAAGAACCACTGGAATGTTTTTATAAATGCAGAGCCCCAGGTCCCATCCTCAGAGATTACTGATTCGAAGACAGAGTTGATAATAGACCACAAGCCCTTGCCTGGTCTGGTTTCCACCTACCTCTTCAGCCTCAACTTCCATCATGCCCCTACGCCCCTTCTATTTTAGTCATATTGTCCTGCTATAATTCTTTTCACCTAAAATGTTCCCTCAAGTTTCAAGACCTTTGAATGTACTTTTCCTTAAGAATAGCACGGTATGCTATTATTTAGTTAACATCTGATTTCACTGCAAGATTGCAGTGACCTTTCAGGTAGAAATTTTGCCCTCCTCATTGTGTCATCAGTGTTCCATAAATGTTGGTAATAAATTAATAATAAAAAATATTTCTTAAGATTTCTTAGTGATCTTTTTGTAGTATATCTACAAATAAAACTTTGAAAAGATATTGTAAGTTATCTTGGGCCTGAAGAAAGCAGAAATATGCCTTGTTCCTAGGGATAACCCCTGAATTCTGACCCACTCTGGTTTGACAAGTAACTGTAACTCCTAGCAAAGTTACATTCATTGGTAATTAAATGCTACAAATCCAAGGTCCCTCAACTGAATATGCCATACTGCATAGATTTAAAATTGGCCATTCAATCTTATACATAATTGGTTTTAGAAAGTAACAAAACCCACACTATGTATTTCTTTTGCATAGCTGTATCCTTATTGGAAATTTGTATCTGTCTTATTTTTTAAATTGAAAACCCAATGACATTATAATTTTATTGAAAAGGATTCTATGAGATGTTGATAGGTTTTTTATGTCCAGATGTTTTTAATTGTTCTGTGTTGCATATTAACTCCTCATTTAAACACCAGCATGAGAAATCTTGGTGGTCTAGGACTGAGAATACTGCAGCTTTCTGTAGTTCTACTTTAAATCATGCTGTATTCTTTTGCCTTTAATTTTAAAATAAACAAGGTAAACTTTTCAGAAAAGATTTTTCATTTACTGCCTTAGAATGATTTTACTGTTCAATTATTTAAGAGTTGGGTCTATTCACTGCAGTATATCTTCAGTGAAACTCTAGACATTTCCATTTGTGGGCAGGGAAGTGTTTAGAGTGAATCAAAATAGTGAATATTGCAGTGGAAAATTGGTTTGCCTTGCTTTATTATTTAAGTTGCTGCTGATATACCAGGCATCTGGTGAGGGTGCTTTTAACACTGTTTTGGAAGGGCAGTGAAATTAGGAAAAAAAAAAAAAAAAGTTTAATACTCTCTAAGAAGAAAGGCTTTCTAGTGTTCTGTGAATTTACAACTCTGAGGAAGGCTCGACATAGTGTGTGTCTTCTGTATGACATTTGATAAAATAGGAGTAGTGTAATCTCCCAATTCACTGACAGTCAATTCGGTTTCATTTTCTTTTAAACCACCCCTGAGTCTCAGAGACACAACTACCATATCATAGTCAAGATCTATAAGACAATAATTACAGAGCATCAGTTTAGTAACACAAGCAAGATGTAATGAAAGATCCAAACGTCCTAAACTGTTCCCTGAAATTAACTTTTACTATATATATATATATATATTTTTTTTTTTTTTTTGAGATGGAGTCTCGCTCTGTCGCCTAGGCTGGAGTGCAGTGGCGCGATCTCGGCTCACTGCAAGCTCCGTCTCCCGGGTTCACGCCATTCTCCTGCCTCAGCCTCCCGAGTAGTAGCTGGGACTACAGGCGCCCGCCACCGCGCCCAGCTAATTTTTTGTATTTTTAGTAGAGACAGGGTTTCACCGTGGTCTCGATCTCCTGACCTCGTGATCCACCCGCCTCGGCCTCCCAAAGTTCTGGGATTACAGGTGTGAGCCATCGCGCTCGGCCAACTTTTATTATAATTTTTAAAAATTCACTTTACTAATAGTGGAGTTGCAAACTATTTTTCTAATCAATAAGGAAAATGGAATCTATTTGAAAATATGTAGCAGGCTTCCAAAATACTGATCCCATTCAAGAAGGAGAAAAATCAGGGGGTGAGGAGGGAAGCTTGTGGGATTTCTGTCGAAATAAGTAAATAAAAAACTATCATATTTTAAAATTCATGAGCATGGAAAAAGTCCTCACCCAAGACAAATTTATAGTTTTTCTTAAATATTCTCCTTATTTTTTGAACAAAATAAAAGTCTACCTTATTTCACCTTGAGACCCTACTCATACTTTATTTGCAATAGTTTTGACTAATGTTATTTCAAGACCAAGAACAGTGTCAAATCTAGTGTGTTTATAAAAAGATCATTGTGTACAAAGACACTGAAGACCAGATTAAATGCAGTTTTCTGAGAGACCAAGTGGGGAAAGCAGGAGGAGAGAGGATCAGAAGAGGGGAAAATGGGGAAGGGAGGAAAATGGAGTACAAAGTGATTGGGTTTTCAATTTGAGAGAGTTGATACCAATATTGGGATAATCTTGGGAAAGCTATATTGTGACAATAAAAGTTTTCTTACTAAATTGTTTCATTTAATTGAGTAAGAATATAGTAAGAATGTACATTTTCTCACACCCTTTTTAACAGACAGTTCATGGAAACATAATTTTTTTAAAACCTGAGTATTTACATTAGAATTAAATAGATTGAAAAACTAGATGTCACCTTAGACTAAATATCTTGGATAAAATTAATAAACATAAACATTCTGCCTTGAAGTGGGTGTGTTTACACATAGTGTACACACATTTGTGTACACAAATGTAGATCTACATATATGTTTGTGTTTATGTTTTCCAAGCATCAGATCTAACATTGTTTCACTAGATAAAGCTCACGTGAAATATAGAGCCTATAGTTTCATTAACAAATGGATAATATATAGTAAGCAAAAATTTTATTTGGCATAAAAATGTAACATGGATTGTAATTTATTTTGTCAAAATTTTAGTTAATAATTGATAGTGATTTATTATTCAATAACATGGTACCACGCATGAACACAAAATGAGATTTTTGAAAGCACATAACTCACACATTAAAATATCAGAAAAAGCATATTTTTAATTTCTAAGAAACAGATGATTATATAAAATAAATATGTGTGATCATATAAAATAAATATGTGTAGGGCTTTATTGGGGGAATTTGTAATTTATTCAATTTTTTAATATTATAAGACTTTAGATTTGGAAGCAAATTCTACAACCATGTGAACAAGTTCACATAATGAAACTAAGATCAATGTAATTTTGTGACTTACTTCTTAGCTCACTGTTTATTAAGATAGAATAAAAACCATAACTAATATCTTTCTAGTTGTCTTGACGGTTCCTTCTCAAATATTACATGTTTTCCCTAACAGAAATACCTCCAAGGTTTTCCTATCACAGTAAATGGTACCACTCATTTTTTTTTTTTTTTTTTTTTTTTTTTGAGATGGGGTTTTGCTCTTCTTGCTCAGGCTGGAGTGCAATGGTGTAATCTTGGCTCACCGCAACTTCCACTTCCCGGGTTCAAGCTATTCTCCTGCCTCAGCCTCCTGAGTAGCTGGGATTACAGGCATGTGCCACCATGCCCGGCTAATTTTTTTGTATATTTAGTAGAGATGAGATTTCTCCATGTTGGTCAGGCTGGTCTCGAACTCCCGACCTCAGGTGATCCGCCTGCCTCGGCCTCCCAAAGTGCTGGGATTACAGGCATAAGCCACCACACCCACCCAGGTACCACTCTTTTTTTTTAGACAGTGTCTCGCTCTGTCGCCCAGGCTGGAGTGCAGTGGCGTGATCTTGGCTCACTGCAACCTCTGCCTCCTGGGTTCACGCCATTCTCCTGCCTCAGCCTCCCTAATAGCTGGGACTACAGGCACCTGCCACCACACCTGGCTAATTTTTTGTATTTTTAGTAGAGACAGGGTTTCACCATGTTAGCCAGGATGGTCTCGATCTCCTGACTTTGTGATCCACCCGTCTCAGCCTCCCAAAGTGCTCGGATTACAGGTGTGAACCACCATGCCTGGCCGTACCACTCATTTTCTAAGCCTACAAACTTAGTGAAAATCATTAATTTATTTTATATATCCCTTCAATATCTGCATTATAACTATGGATTCGATCTCAATAATATTGTCAGTTTTCTTCATCTTCACTATTGCTGGCATAGCCTAAGGCACAGTCTTTCTCACCTGGAATATTGCTGAAGTCACCAACTTGGACCTATTGCTTCCCCTACTGCCCCTCCATAATCCATTCTTCACAAATGAATAGAATCATTTTGTTAATGTAAATCTGATTATAATACAGGCCTGCTTACAATTCTTAAATATTTTGTATTACACTCAATATAAGTCAAAATTTATTTCTATGGCCTCCAAGGTCTTCTATGGCCCAAATCTGTCTTTTTTTTTTTTTTTTCTGAATTCATTTGTTTCCTATTCCCTTTTTGTCCACTACTCTTCAGTCACAAAGACATTCCTAAAACACACCAAGACTTGAAACCTCAGTGCCTTTGGACTTGCTTTTAATTCTTCCTGAAACTCATTCCACAAATTTCAATATGTTTACCTACTTTTCATTATTTGGGATTCAGCTAAAATGTTGCTGCATTTTAGAGAAACCTGCTACAACAGCTGGTCCCACTGACTATTGTGTATCACATAACCTTACCGTATTAGCTTCATTGTGTTTATCAACACCTGAAATTCTTGTTATAATATAAGCCCCATGAGAACAGAGATCTTGTCTGGCTAGTTCTTCATTGTATTTCCAGCTCCATAATAGTTCCTGATATGTACTGGAAATACATACAAATATTTGCTGAATATATGAATGATTATTACTACATTTGTGCAACAGATGAGTAATATTTAATTTCAAGTTTTCTTCACTTATAGAAAAAATGAAGAAAATGAATTTTGTGGTGTAAATTTTAAAGCTTGCATATATAGGCAAATGATAATTAAGAATGTCATATTAACCACCATTAATGCTACTGAAAACATCATTCACCTAAATATAGGAATTTATTTTTTAAATCATGTTACAGAATTATATCTCAAAATGAATGAAAAGCAATATTGAGAAATACTACCCTAGATGGAAATCCAAACACTAGGTAAACAAGTCAGGGAGGCAGAAATGCTGAGACCCTGGACAAAAAATTCATCCACGAATAAACATCATGAAGGAAGCGAAGGGAGCACTGGATTCCTGCAATTTAGGACCCTAAAAGAACAATAACCATCACAAAGAATGGGGAAATGTGTAATGACATTCTTATAAAAAAAACTAAAAGCTAACACTCTTAAAATGAATGTCATTTAAAGAGGGACTTTCACCTAATGTGCACACACAATGAACACACACCCACACCCACACACTAGTGATGAGAATACGTCACAAAAGGATATATACAAAACATGCAAAGAGGGAAATCTAAGAGTGGTTCACCTCTGTATGGGATGTCTGGTGCTCAGAAGGCTAAAAGTAGCAACAAAAACTTCTTAGGATCCATTCAGCTCAGGATGGAAGAGAAAATGACAGTCAGTGATAAATATTAGCAGATCACAGAAATGAAAAATAAAATTAGAAAGACCATCATTTGACTTTAGACTTCTATAGTAGGGGAAATAATCTTTCAGTAGAGAAATATTGTCCACTGAAGATTCACTCTGTGCTACACTGCACAAAGCATCTGTACATGCTTTTACATTTAATTCTCATGACAATTTCACAAAGAACATATCCTAACCCAATTATTCAAAGGCCAAAAAAAAAAACCCCTGCATAATATTAAGTAAACTGTCAATAGTAACACAACGAAATCACCATTATACCAGGTTATGAACAGAAGTTAGTTTTACTACAGAATTCATATTCTATTTTTCTATTATTAATAAATCAGAAGCTTTTAAATATATATATATATATAAATATTTCTGGCATATAATGTCATTGTCATCCAGTGAAAAAGGTTTGGAAGGACTGTAGTTTACTATACCTTTTATACCTCAACTACAGTTCCCATCATTTTCTTGACTGTTTTTCAATTATACATTCAAAGTATCTGAAAATATGTTATTTTTTAAACCTTTCATCATGCTTTTTGAAATGTGCAAGAAGAAAGTCTGCATTGAAGGTAATTTTACCCCCAAGGAGGCCAGTAACTGACAGAAGACAGAAATCAGCTAGTTCCACATAAAAACTACTCAGTTATGTTTACTAACATGAATCTTACTTAACAGCATGAGGCAAGATCTAGGGTCAAGATGGGTTAGAGAATAATGTGATAAGAAGGTAATATAAAGCTCAGTATCAGCTGAAACTACAATGAAGTCGGTAAAATAGTTAATAGATATATATCTTAAATTAATAAGGTGTTAATGTTTAGAACTCAAAATGCTATTGACTAACTGATTTGAAGATAGCATCTGGAGAACGGAATGTACTTACTCATTTATACACGCATCCATTCATTCTACAAGTAGTAATTGAATATGCACTGTGTTCTAGGCACTACTTTAATGTTGAAGAATGTGTATATTTGTGGGTACAACATATCAGAAAAATGCTAATTAATAGGACAATTAAACTAGCTAAACATTTGGTATATAGCCCCTTATCGAACAAGAAGACAGCTACATAAAGCAAACTATATGCTGTGTTATGTTTGCTTTTTAAATTTTACTAATTTTTAAGACTACATATTCTTAAAATATGAGACAGTGATTTCGATAAATCATTTTTCCTAATAACACTCTTGAAAAAGACATTCCAAAATATTCTACACTCCAATTTGTTGCTTTTCAGATCCACTGATTATCTGCAATGTGAAACATGATTCTGACTGTTCATATATGTTGCCCAAGCTCAGATCATCCACTGATGTCACCACTGACTGTTGAACATCAAAAAAGTCTCTCTATCATAGAATAGACTACAGCATCTGAAGAGGAGACTTGTCTAAGTGACTTCCAAGTCTTCTTCTTACACTATGCCTTCCACATCATCAGCCTGGCTCATCTTAATACACATCCTATGGTCTTGGATTGTGACATAACACCGTAACACCCAAATCCAAAGATTTGAGCAATCTCTGAATCATATTTGCCCCCATTTTTCCATATTTCCTTTTCCAGTGAGTCATTAAAGTAATCTTGGACATGAATTTCAAGTCCTTATATTTTCCCCTAATCCTACTGTCAGTTATCTACATTTATTATTTTTCAGATCTCATCACTAGTTTCTGTTCCCCTTAATCCATCTTCACATGAGTATCAAATTACCCTTTCTAAAACAAATCTAAACAAGGGCATCCTTTATGCTGAACTGCCTGGTGGATTTACATAAACTCTAGCTCAAAATTAACTCCATGTTCTCATTTCTTATTTCTTTCCTGAGACTCCTTGAACCGGTGTCTTTCCCCACCATACACATCCACACAAATACATCCTCATTGCTTCCTTAAAAGTGACATGGATTTTCACTTGCCCATAGTGTCAAACATGCTCTTCTCTGTTGTTTCCTTTCAGGCTCTGAATAATGAGCTCCTGTGAGTGCCTATGACATGGCACCAGTGCCACCTCCCTGACGAAATGTTATCTAAAGTCCACAGATTAAATGCTCTTTTGTCACTGTATGCGTTCACCTATTATAACAATTTCCACACTTTATTTCAAATATTTTTTTCTTTTGTCTCACTAGGCTAAAAATTCCTTGAGAGTACATACAGACTGTTATTTTTCTTGTGTATATCGCTCAGTAAATGTCAAAGAGTGAATTAGATTCACTGTCACTCTCAACTGCCATGACTCCTTCATATAGCTTTCCTCTCCAATGAATAAAATGCATGAATAATTGAAATTTAATGCCTATAACATAAAGTAAGGAATTGTCATTTTCATTTTCTGTGCCTAGTGTCTTTTGCTCATAAAATGAAGAGCCTCATTGTGGGAAAAATTATTACTATAGAAACATTTAAATGTACACAACTGTAAAACTTAACTCTACAATGTATACTATTGCTTCCTAAAAAAATAACTAGCCTATTATAAGTTATTGTGAGAAAAAAATTATTTGATTAATGTGTAAATGGGAAATCCAGTCTTTAGGCAGGTGATACAAATTTGATTAACCAATGGAATCACACTATGTACCATAAATGTTTTATGGTCTGTAAAATATAAAACGTGAAAACTAATTCAAATTGTGAATTGATAAAGCAGTAAAAAATATATTTCAAAAAACAGAAAAGTTTTAAACCTCAGGCATAATTATAAATGTGTATTCCTATAGAGATTTCTGGGCATATACGTCAACAGAAACGTCTAAATCACTAAGTCATCCAAATATCCCAGGAATATAATGTGGATATTTGAGGCTACAAGTAGCTGTTCACTCAAAGGTCTACTACTAGTGTTTTTTCTCATATGGAAATTAAGTCCTATCATTCTCTTGCTTACAATTCCTCAAAATCTTCCCATCAACAAAAACACAAATGAAAATCCCTTAGGTATTATGGAGGGCTTTTCAAAAGCTGGTTCCTACCACTTGTCTAACATCATTTCCTGGCAAGCTATACCTCACTCTCCACAGCTTGCAATTTTCCAAACACGCTGTGCTAGACGACTTTCTTTCACTTCCCATTATATTTGCCTCCCTTCCCTTTTCTTCTCAGTAACAAACAAACGTTTTCTCAGAGTCGCCAACTCCTGATATTCCCAGGCACCCAGATTGTGTCTTCCCTGTATATCTATTATACTTTTAAACAAAATATCATTAACCATAAGATTAATAGTATTTCAAGTTTATTAAAACTCATTTTCATGGATCCTGTTTAATGTATTCAAAAAATATTGAGCTCCTTCTATGAACATTGTAGTTAAAATAATTAGCAGAACAGATATGGCTTTTGGTCTGTGCAAACTTACAGACAATTGGATAAGATGGACATTATGTAAATAATAACAATAAAATGTATGATTAGGAGTTAAAAATATATAAGAATATATTGCAGAGGATCAAGCCAAGTAAGGGGTCATGAAAGCGTCTCTGTGAAAGTGATGTTTAAGTTGAACCTGTATAGATAAGCAGAAGAAATGTCCTTTGCATAACATAGAGCATGATATATAATAATCTCACAGTAAATATTTGTTGAATAAACAAATAAATGACAAAGTAAAACTTCCCATAATTTTTCATATAATTTCTGCAAACTTCTGACTTTTTTAAAGAAATTGAAAGTTTAAAGCCTCCTATTTTTCTTGTAAAGATTGATACGCATGCTTTCAACATAGATAATTTATTAGAATTGCAGCCCCGCCGTGCTTCACATACCACCTCTAGGACACTGCTTATTAATGTCAGAAGAGTAAGTGACATGTCAAGTTTCCAGAACCATGCCAATTTCTAAAAACCCATTTGTTAGCTATGGTACAGAAACAAAATATGCCCAGCAGTTTTCAACTGGGCTAATAAATTTAATTAAACATTCTCATAAAAGCAAAGAAAACTTTTCTATTTAAACTTTCTTACAGAGGAAACCACGTTTGTTGTCTTGCTTCTTGATGGAAGAAACCTAAACATTATCTACCTAAAAGACGGATCATCCATCTTGTCATCCATCTGCAAAGATATTTTTTGAAAACATTTCCACTGACAGCTTACTTTATTTTGCCAATCCATTTAAAGAGACAGCACCAAAGTTGTTTTTAAAAAAATCAAGTTGCTGCAACTCAAAGAGCTTGGAGAATTTTCTAGCCTAGTATCTAAATAGTTTATTTGATTACAAGATGCCCCATGCTTGCTATATTTCTAAAGAACTAATTCATAAGCATATGTAACCTTCCCGTAGCAATAAAAATCTAATAAATTTTATTATCTACATATTTGCAAAAATCAGCTGGAAGATATGTTCATAATACATGAAAATATTACACAGTGTATGACAGGCTACCCCTGGGAAAGAGAAAAATAACTGGTACAAGAAATTGTGATGCACTTAGTAATACCATTTCCTGAACAATTATTTTTACTGCATTTCACTGTGCAATTGGACATGACTGTCATGTCTTGTCTTTACTGAGGACAAATCTGCATCTTGAACCACAGATTAGAAAAAAATACCAATCCCTCATTTCATTCATCTACTTCGAGGAAAGTAAATTCTCACTATCAGAGAATTTGGAAAATTAATTTTGTTTTTCAAGAACTTGTATTCATCATTTTTGTAGATTATTTGGAAAATATGTGGGCGTTGAAGACAAACAGATCTGTTGAAATTTGGATTTCAGATTCCAACTCTCTCATTCATCAGTTGTATAATTTTCATTGGGCTCTTGTACCTCTCTGAGACTGCTCCTCATTTGTAAATTAGGGATGTTATACACCTTTATGTAAGATACTTATCCAACTCAACCATGAGCCAACTAGAAATACGATATATTTTTTGTATAAGTTTCAAGAGTATTATACAAATTGGAGTTTTTGCATAAATCTCTCTAGCACCGGGTCCGAAATATCTTAGTTATTATTACACTTTGATGCATCTCTAGACACATACTTGTTGTTATTAATAACTTGTTGTTATTAATGATAGCATTCATTTATTGCTCATAATAAAGCAGGTGCAATTGATATATTATTATTTCCATTTTACAGATGATGAAAATGATCCTCAGAGGAGCATTGTTAATAATCAAATTACCAAAGAATGATGCCTACTCTGAATCCAGATGTCTGACTTCACAGGACAAAACCACTGCATTTACTGTTCTCAAATGATTTATTTTAAGAATTTACGCTTCTAAATTTAATCCCTGAGGGTAATGGGTTATGTCTTAAAATATGTAATGGAACATTAAAAAAATGAATTCTTTCTTGCTTGGTTTCGGCCAAAATGTAAATAAACTGAATATCAAATACTAAAAAAAGTCTCAAATATACCGCCCAGAAAAAGAATGTGAAAATCACTCCAAAAACTGAGTTACCTATATGTCTTATATGTCACTTGTCATCAGCAAAGTGGAAACAATAATAGTACCTCCCTCAGTGGCTGTCATGAGAATTAAGTGAAATAACTAATGTTTGTAAAACACTTAACATGGTGCTTGTCATGAGAATTAAGTGAAATAACTAATGTTTGTAAAACATTTAACATGGTGCTTATCAGATTACTGAATGACAAAGAAAATCCTGAATCCAGATATCTGACCTTATGGCATCAATTAAAATCAAGATTTGACTGGGTCAAGGTTATATATTAATATATTAGTATATATAATTGGTATTATTAAATGAGATCAAAATATTTTTCCAACATTTCAATTCCATAAGTGCCACTAAATTTCACTTGAGCTCTTATCTTGGATAAGCATGACTATATTTTTTCACATCCTAGTTGTGCTTTAAGGAGCTTAAAAACACTTTTTAACCACCTAATTTATCATGCATTGCTATAATCTAAACTTTTACTGTTGAGGTGACACTATCAGAGAGATACAGAATATTAAAGCTGAAAAAAAAAGATTTTAGAAATAAGATGATCCAGTCGCCATATTACAGAGGAAAAAAAGCCTCACAGAGGAAAATGACTTGTTCAGATCATTCTAACTACCACGTGGGGTGTGCTTACTGCAAGCCAGGCATGGGACTAGGAGATTCACAAAATTATTTTTTATCATTATAAAAGCTAAATATAATGTCCTTCTTATACAAAGAAAACTAAGGCTTATAAAGTTTACATAAGTCACCAATCATGCAAAAGTAGCCGGGTGATAAAAGTCTTTTTTTTTTTTTTTTAAAAAAAAAAGAAGATAAGAGATGAAAGAGATGCACTAATACAAACCAAACCCACTCCTGAATCGAGACTTCAGCATTCCCACCTAGCACATGCTCCATTGCACTTCCTTCAGTGATTAAACAGTTTAAGTACATCTGAACTTCATCCTATGGCTCTGATTATTGCTCATTCTGGGATGGAGACTGAGATCAGTACTCTCTTTTATAAGGGACATTTTGACAAGCTACTTTAATGACACTCAGAGCATTTTATACTTGAAAACCCACGATGAAGAGATATTTCAGCTTTCCAAGGAAGTTGATTCTCTGAGCAAAGTGGAGGCTGAGAGGTCTGGAGGCTGAAAACAAACCCAACCCATCTGTTCTTACTAAAAGAGAGATACTACTGCTTTAAGGGGCTAAAGGCTGGGCAGGAAAAAGCAAGTATCTTCTAGAATCAGTCCACTTTCAACTCTTACTTATATGACACCAGTGGCTTGGAGAGTTATATTATTAAGATAAATTGTTTTTATTGGTAACTTCCTAAAATTCCTCACTAAAGACGAGTATTAGGTATCAAAACATCCAATTCCATAGCCACTTTTCAAAATGCCTAAAGCTAAACTCCTTAAACTTTTGATTATCATTTGAGATATACTTCGTAATTTCTTTCCATATGCATCAAAGTCAATATAAAAACATTTTTAGAAAGAGTAAGATCAATATTGCATATAAGAATTAACATAGATGATTCATTCACAGTACTGTTATTTAAATTTGTAATAAATTTGCATTTTGCAATTACATTACAAAAATAATGATATAGATTCATTTATAGGAAAATTTGTGTATGGGGGTTTAATTATGAAGAATTGAACACCTTTCTACTTCAAATTAAAACCTACATTTTAACAACACAGATTCAGTTTCCCATTCTCAACCTAGCAAATCAATATAGTATAGGACATTCTACTTAATAATAATATAATAATCAATTTTGCTTTCACATTGATTATTTTTATTTTTTTTTTTTTTTGAGACGGAGTCTCACTCTGTCGCCCAAGCTGGAGTGCATTGGTGCGATCTCAGCTCACTGCAAGCTCCACCTCCCGGGTTCATGTCATTCTCCTGCCTCAGCCTCCCGAGTAGCTGGGACTACAGGCGCACACCGCCACGCCTGGCTAATTTTTTGTATTTTTAGTAGAGAAGGGGTTTCACCGTGTTAGCTAGGATGGTCTGGATCTCCTGATCTCGTGATCCACCCGCCTTGGCCTCCCAAAGTGCTGGGATTACAGGCTTGAGCTACCGCTCCCGGCACATACTGATTGTTTAATAACACTGAGAAACTTCAAACGCACTAGGATTTAAATATCTTCTTGTGAGCATACTAAGCTGTAACTACCATAAGTCATCTGGAACTTTAGCTGTGTGGGTCGATAAAGAAACCATTTGCAAGAAAGGAAGGACTTTCTCTAGAAGTAAAACTTAAAGAAAAAGAGCTGTTCTCCATAGAAAATTCATTTCACAGCACAAGGAAAGAAAGCATTTACATATATCAGAAGGAAGACTCTTTCATAAAGCCCTCAAGGACCACATACATAGTCTCTAGGAATAAAGATGAAGACTTCTCTTTTATCTCTCTCTTTTTTAGTGGTAGAAACCACTTGATCTCACTTGTCATTCACCCCTTCAATACATATCCATGAAGTACTTCTTATGTTCTAGGATCTACACAGGAAAAACGAGGATGAAGAAATAATTTTTCACAGTCCAGTGAACAAGGCAGACACATAAACAACTTCTACTATGTGTCAGAATTATTCTCTACAATGGAAAAGATAGGGCAAAGGAGGAAGTTATTAATTCGCCTGAAGATAAGAAGAGAAAGATGGTGGGAAAGTTTCCACAGAAAATAAATAAGCAAGTTTTAACTTACAAAATGTTGAATTGGAAATGGGCAAATATAATAATAGCTAACACTACCAATTGTTCACTGTGTACAAGGCACTGTGCCAAGTGCTTTACAAACATTAATAATCTCATTTCTCATGACAGCCACTGAAGGTGTTGTTATTATTTCCGGTTTGCACATGACAAACTGAGGCACAGGGAAGTTCTGAACTTTGCTCATCATCATGTACTGGAAGGTTAGGATTTGAACATAAGTTTGTGGGATCATTGACCACTATTCTATCCTGCCTCCCAGGTGAAGAAGGGAGGGGCATCTCAGAGAATAAACATTCAAAAGCTAGAGGTGCATCACCACACTGAGTAATTTAGCATGTCTGGAGCAAAGGCTCTGATATAGTTTGGATATTTGTCCTCACCCAAATCTCCTGTTGAAATGTAATCTCCAATTTTGGAGGTGCGACCTGGTGGGAGATGTTTGGATCATGGGGATGGATCCCTCATGAATGGCTTGGGCCATCCCCTTGTTGACAAGTGAGCTCTTGCTCTGAGTTCACACAAGATCTGGAAGTTTCAAAGTGTGTGGCACCACCCCTGACTCCCTTTTTCTCTCTCTCTTTCTCTCTCTCTCTTGCTCCATTCTTGCCATGTGATGTGCCTGCTCCCCCTTTGCCTTCTGCCATGACTGGAAGCTTCTTGAGGCCTCCGCAGAAGTAGATGTCATTATGCTTTCTGTACAGATTGCAGAACCATGAGCCAATTAAACTTATTTCTTTATAAATTACCTCATCTCAGGTAGTTCTTTACAGCAATGCAACAACAGCCTAATACAGGCTCTATTTAGGAAGTGGCAGGAATATAACTGAAGAGAATAGAGAACTACCAGACAAGAAGGAATTTGTATTCTGTGCATACTGAGGAAAGAATAGGGAATTATAAGACTCTTGTTCAGGAGATCAGATGGGAGATGATCACCTAAGTAAACATGAGAGAATGGTGTCAGTCTGAAATAAAACAGTATCAATCTGGACAAAAGTAATTATCAAGATTCTTAAGAGGAAGAGTGGATAAAATTTAGAGAAAGACTGAATGTGGTGAGCAAAGAGGGAAAAGACTAGAGTGACCCCTATGCATATGGCATGAGTGGCATGGTATTAAGTGCACCACAAACCAGGGCAAAAATGAAAGTTGTTTTCCAAGGAGCCAGATCTCTAGGTTTGCTGTACTTAAGAATTCCATGTGCATCTTTAAGATGTGAATATGCCTAGCGAGCCTGTATGAAAGCATCATCTATTTACTAGAGTTTTCTGTGACAGTGGCTGCCACTTTCCTTAATTCCTTGGTTAGGCAACAATATATCATTTGGTTCTCTTTTGCAGTCCAAAAAATAAAACAAACAAACAAAAAACACAGAGCAAAACCCACATAATGTCTCCCTTCATACCTAATCCTTGGAAACTCACAGGAAGAATCTATTTTTGTCTCTTTCTGAGACATTTAAATAGCTTTATTTATGTTATCTTACCAATATTTACATTATGGCATGTGCTAAGGAATAATTTAGCCCTATTTTTAACGGGCAAAGAGAGGTTAAGTGGCTCTTCTGGAATCTGGAAATAAAAGCTCAGTCTAGAATCAGTTCTTTATGTGTACAGCAACTGGCAAATTGTTATTGATATTTCAGGTGGCTTGAGTTGTTAGAATATGTATTTACTAGTAAACAATGAGCTGAGAAGCAGAAGGGGAATTGAAGAAGTTTTCTTTTTTTAACAAGACAGGCCCATGTATCTCTTAATTCACTGTTAGCTTTTCAACTGACCTGTGTTTTCAGTAAATAAGGATCTCAAGGTGATATTGAACATCATTGAGGTATTCATAGAAATATGGATGAAAATGTTGTGTAAAAGTTATGTTTACATCAAATATCATTCTGCAATGCATCCTCATAACATAAAAAATACATATTTTATACATTTCTACCATCAAATGCCATAGGGAAACGGTCTAATATACATTATTTTTTATATCCAGGTGAGAAACTCTGATGAAACACAACAGCCCATATTGTCGATGAAATAATTCTTCAATCATAGGGTGAGATGGCAAATGATCACTTTCTCTTCCTTCAACCACCTTTTTTGTTTGTTTGTTTTACATAGTTTCTCAGGTTCCCATACTCACTGGAATTTCTTCCCACCCTCTGGCTATTCCTTCTCAGTTTCCTTGGCCCCATTCGCTGACCTTTGAAAACTAGGGTAGCCCTTGGATTTCTTCTCTGTTTTATCTATACTTACTTCCTACAGATAATCTTATCTAATATAATCTAGGAAGGACGTGATACCTTATCTAATCTAGGCAGGACAAGATAGTTTGGGCTAGAGTGAAATGCCTTGGAAGGCTGCATACTGAACACATTTTAAAGGTAGAGCAGTATAATTTCCAGAAAGACAGAATGTGGGATGTGCCTCAGAGAACCATCGAGATTGAAAAAACTACCTATTAGATACTATGTTTATTACCTCAGCGACAAAATAATCTATACAGCAAACCTCTGCAACACATAATTTATCTATGTAACAAACCTGCACATGTACTCCTGAAACTAAAATAAAAGTAAAAAAAAAAGGATTACTCCATGATTTTTGGCTGAACAAGAAGGAGGATAAAGTTGACATTAACTATGTCAGATAAGACAGCGACTAGCAAATCTGTGCTAGAAGCAATATCAGAAATTCAGTTTGGATATGTTATATTTCAGAGGCTATTAAGGGGGGGATTAGTGTATTCATGTTGAATTTAAAGAGCAAAACCGGTAAAAGTGATATGGAATATGGAATGTATCCTGTGGATTAAGGCTTGCAGGATTCTGAGGGCTAGTGGAGAAATCTATGGAAGTCTATCACTTCTAAATTTGGTGGCTAGCCTCAAATCACAGTAGGGCAGAAGGGCTGGCAGTCAATAAGAAAAACTGGAAGCAAAACAGAGTGAAGCAAGGATAAGATAGAATCTTCAATAACAACCTGAAGTCTATGAAAACAAACTGGAACACAGGTGGACAAACTGAGGCCCAAGTTTATTTCTTATTTTCTGTAACCTCAACAGTGAGTGTGACCTGCAGAAGACACTGATACTACTTGTCATGAACTCCCAGTTGAGGACTCAGAGAAATTAAAGAGAAGACCTAATGGGAGCTGTAGGAGCTACAATCTTGCTACTGACCCATCTCCACAGGATAAAGGCAAATCAGTGACACTGAGCATACACGGTAACAGCAACACTTGGTACCTCTTCGGAGTATAATGAGGCTGTTTTTCTACAGATGGTTTCATGGCTTATCCTTTACTTCCTTTATGACCTAATTTATTCTTTTGAGGAATTCCCAGATTATCTTTTAAAATTATAACTCTGTTCTTGACAGTAACTCCTTGTTCCCTGCTTTATTTTTGTCCATACCACCTTTTATCTTACAACACACTATACACCTATCTTACTTGTGTATCTTAACTTCTATCTCACCCACGAGGAAGTAAGCTTTATAAGAGCACGTACATTAACTGTGTTGTTTCACATGATAGACAATAACATTTGTCGGACGGAATGGACAAATTCTAGTTTCTCAATTAAATTAAATGGCCTAATATTTTAAATTTTGTTAACCAGGTTATGTGGAATACCCTCCAGAAAGAGTGGCTATTATCTTTATACAGAACCTTGACAACAGATGTGTTTATTTCTTCAATTAGGTTGAGCCATATGTAATTGTTAATCTTTTATTCTTTCTAACTTACAAAAATGGCAATATTCTATGGCTCAACTTATATGCTAAATATGACAGGAAAAATGCACAGTAATCTGGGTAAATATATGTATAAAATTTACCTGTGTGTGCATATATATGTATATGTGTGTGTGTGTACTGATTTCATTTCTTCTTTGACTTCCTCAGGTTTACAACTATAGTTCCCAATTCTGAAATCTACAAACTAAATGGATACCAGTAACTTCAGTAAAACAAACAAAAAGAAGGCTGTTAACTACCTGGAACACAACTACTTATAAACATAACCGCTCCTCTGCAGTTACATGCAGGTTGAATGCGTTACTCAGTCCTTTAGTGGGGAAAACACACCTCTGGACTTCACTATGCTTTTGCAGCATTATGATAAGATAGTTATTTAATAGCTATATTTCCCTATTATATAACTATATAAAGAAAATTCTAGGTAATGTGCCAAGTATTTTTCAGTAGTGAGTAAAGTTTTCATTTATACCTTTGTATCATCATAATTCATTTATATAGTGGTCTCCTAAGCAAATCTAACCACTTCATAATGTAACACAATGTAACACATAAATCTAACACACACACACAAATGCATAAGGAAAAAAATCTATTTTATCCCTTATTACAGGAGAAAATAGAGAAAGAAATGTTATTTAAAAACATTTTTTTAAATTAGGGTTTAAAAACTCCCTCATTTTCAGAAAGTTGATTCTCACACACTTTTCTTCCATTATTCACTCCTTCCCTAAATACCTTAAGGCTTGGCTATGCCAGTCTTATGAAGCCTATTTCTCCATAAACTTAAAGTATGTTCACACTAAGGCAAAGTGAGACTTGCACTTATAGGAGGTATGATGAAAGAGGAAACATGTCCTTGGAACTTGGGGCGGCAGATTTAGGTGAGATGCTGAAATGGGAATAGAATGGCATGCTGAAAGAGTGTGCAGTAAAAAGGAAACTAACTCAATGATCATCTGTGACATGTCAACAAGTTTGTTTCTGCAGGAATTCTGCAAAATCAGGCTATCCCTTCCCACTCCACATGTGAATAACTTGAGATTAATAAAATTACTCAAGCTAATATACATTTTATTTATTATTTATTCATTTGTTAATTTATAATATTTGTTTTGGCAAAGTGATATGAAACATTTTTAGAATCATACATTTAATCAATTATACAGCTCACTTTGGAATACAGATCTCTTTTGTTACATATTATACATTTCCACATTGCCAGGCGAGCCATGTCATAAGTTCTTAATATGAAAATATGACAGTGACCACATATGAATAGCATATTAACAATCTGTGTTTTCCAAATGAACTGACTTCACCTATCTTCCAAAAGAAAATTAAATAACTATAAGTTATTTAAATGTTTAACTCTAAGCCAGAGTAATTCTAAATTGATATAAACTATTGGTTTTTATATTTTAATAGTATTTGATGAATTGATTATATTATAGCTATTGTCATTTTAGTTAATGAGTTACCTAATCTTGAAACGCACACATAGAATTTAAACTAAAAATATTTTTCCTAATTTTAGAGTTGATAGCTGGGATTTGTTACATGTGACTCCAGTACACCAAGGGTTAAGGACTATAGATATTTAACTACATGTTGAGTAGTGCAGAAGGTGGAGACCAACTTGCACAGTAAGCACAATTAAGTTTCACAATTAGCCCATGGGCCAGATAGGTTTATTCTTGCAATGTGCAGTATAAAATAATTTTATATAAGAAATTTAAATAAATCAAAGTATAAAAAATTTAACTTTGATTCTTATAGTTTATCTATATTGGAGAATATAACATTGGGCTTTGGAATATAAAGTTGGAAAAACTGTTTCTTCAATTCTACAGATTGGCAGAGAAAAGATTAAATTTTCTCAGCCTCATTGTATCAGATAACACCTACAGGAAAGGTTGTGTAAGTATTGGAATTTGCCAACCTTCAGAATCGAGTTCATTGCAAATCCAGTCAGAAGCTTAAATAAATAAAAGAAAACATGTTAGTGACCTTCACAAAAGCATGAGTTAAACTTTATTAGAATTTACACTGTCTAAAACCCAAAATATTCTTGGAAGTCATTGGGCTTAAGGACATGATGCTAGCACCTATGTTGTTATCATCCGCTTACATTAATTATTTAAATTAACAAGTAACTCCGCAATTTAAAATTGGAAGTAATCTTGTAAGTGAAAGTGCTGTATAAACTCTAAAATATACATTATTGTTCTTATTTCTATTACTATTATTTACATTTTATTTCCATTGTGATCACTGTTTCACAATTCCCATCAATTTGACAATGCAGAATGTAAGTCTCCTACAGAATCACACCCCAAAATAATTAAGAAATGACTTGGATTCTATTTGATAGTGACGCTTTTAATTTTCTTCTGATCTTAGTTCTATCACAGCACAGAGCACAATACCCCCAAAATATGTTACTATGGCAACTGAGAAAGCCAAAGAGCAAGATGGTCGCCCTGACCTTCCTCCACTTTTTTATGGGAAGCATGGCCATAAAAAAATTCTCTGACCTCGCTTGCCTGAAAAGTAGGTCATAAGACCCTCATTCTAGAGGAGTTCTTTCTCTTACTTGGGAAGAATGAATGCTACACAGAGAGGCCAACATGAATCTGAATGAAAATGGGACTTGCTGAATCTCTCCACACACCC
Source organism: Homo sapiens (assembly GCF_000001405.40). Lineage (NCBI taxonomy): Eukaryota > Metazoa > Chordata > Mammalia > Primates > Hominidae > Homo > Homo sapiens. The sequence goes on along the minus strand of NC_000011.10, from coordinate 24,807,644 downwards.
CCAATTCATTACTGTAAGCTACACTCTTTTTTGCCCAATCACATTTCTACACAACTATTCATTCTTTGTGGAACCTGAGCACAAAAATACAGCTTTCCCTGGGTCTTTATTTCTGTAGCCTCCTGTGCTATGTATAACTTTGTTAAATAATTTGTTTAACCTGACTTTTTTTTTTTTTTCTTTTGAGATGGAGTCTTACTCTGTCGCCCAGGCTGGAGTGCAATGGTGTGATCTCAGTTCATTGCAACCTCCGCCTCCGGATTCAAGTGATTCTCCTGCCTCAGCCTCCCAAGTAGCTGCGATTACAGGCACTCACCACTACGCCTGGCTAATTTGTATTTTTAGTAGAGACAGTGTTTCACCGTGTTAGTCAGGCTGGTTTCAGAAATCCTGACCTCAGGTGATCTGCCCACCTCCCACCTTGGCCTCCCAAAATGCTGGGATTACAGGCGTGAGCTACTGCACCCGGCCTTAACCTGTCTTTTAAAAATCAGCCATGATCCTTACAATGGGTAAGGAAGAGATATTACTTTTTCCTTCCTTTGTAATGACCTATAACCAGAGGGTGCCATGGTCTAAAGTATCTAGACCGTATCTCTCCTTTTTTTTTTTTTTTTTTTGGTGGATTTTCTTTGAGGGATAGTAAATAAATTGGTTTGCCCACTGATGTGATTAATAAAAATGTTAATGAACTAACCCTTTCTACTTCATTTTCTAATTTTTTGATTTTTTTTTTGTCATCCCCTATCCTCCAACCAACTTATATGTGATTCCATAGAAATCGGTAAAAGGAGATTATTTTATCAGAGTTACCCTTCTGAGGAGAGAACTAAGGCTTTTAATAGTCAAAGATTGTCTGAGGTAAACTCTTCTGTGTTCCAAAGTCTTGTTTCAGGAAACAAAAATAATAAAAGCTATTGGGAGAATTGATAGAAATAACAGGAGAACTTTATCAACAGGATTGTAAATAACTGGGAACTACCTATTTGAGTCCACATTGCCTTACCTCATTTCACATACAAATTCCAAGTTTACCTTCCCAATCTCCTTTTTCTTTGTAGTGAGAATTTTATTTTTCTAAATAAATTACTACCTACATGAACTTAATGCTCCTCCCTTGTAAAAATAAGCAATTGGATTTTATTAGTGAATCCCACATACAGCACTGATCCTATACAATGTCTTAGTAACTTAAGGGTTGATGGTGCGTATAGTTTACAAAAATGTGCACAATGTTGGTGATGCACTAATAAACAAACTCTGGCAATAGTGGAGGCTGATTAGTAACATATACCAAATTCCGTGATGTAAATATTACTACAATGCCCAATTTCAAGCTACCATCAACTTAACAACTGATTCACAAAATTCCCGAATATTTAACAATTAACATTTACCGAGTGGTAAGCTCCAACTTCAGAGCATCACTGTATGTTCCTACCCTGAAGCTACACATTTACCAATGATAAAATAAGAAAAGTCCTGCAGTGTAACCTGGCTTTTTATCCCCAAGATTTTTGACCATGAAATACTTTTTATAGACTAACATCAACATAATGTACTTTTACAAGTAATATTCCTGGTCTCTTCATATCTTCCAACACTAGTATTTCAAAGCAAGTCAGGCCAACATCTAGCTCCTACATTTCTTTGCAACAGGCTTTCTGCCAAGACACACTTTTCTTACTCTTGTTGCAGGACAGAAATGTGGAATTAAAACCCCTGCAATAAGCCTCCAGCCAATATTTAAGAGAAGTCTTACAATGTCATCCAAAAATTTCTGTAGGATGATTAACCTACATCATCCTCAACTGGCTGCCTTCCCTTTCTCGTCTTACTTCTCCATTACTCTGCTGCCATGCATTCCTTTTCCCAAACTACTTAGTTTTGAATTTTTGTCTCAGGGGAAATCCAACCTAAAACAAACAGTTGAGAAAACGATGGGCTAGAAAACCTCAATGGCCACTCAGGGTTCTAATTTTCAAAGATTAAAATACTTCCAGGGATTATTTCTGACATTTTCAGGCTGAAAACTTCCAGTACCATTTATGATGCTTAGCTTATGTAAGTCAACAAGCAGATTTCTGCTGAACAAATCTGTAGGGCAAATCCAAGAGAATGTTGACAAAGGAAAGAGTATGAAGTAAAAGAAGTTGCTTCTGGCCAGGCGCAATGACTGAGGCAGGCAGATCACTTGATGTCAGGAGTTTGAGACCAGCGTGGCCAACCTGGTGAAACCCTGTGATATGGTTTGGCTGTGTCCCCACCCAAATCTCATATTGAATTGTAACTCCCACAGTTCCCATTTGTTGTGGGAGGAACCTGGTGGGAGGTAATTGAATCATGGGGCTGGGTCTTTCCTGTGCTGTTCTCATGATAGTCAATAAGTCTCACCAGATCTGATGACTTTAAAAATCAGAGTTTGCCTGCACAAGCTCTCTCTTTGCCTGCCGCCATCTATGTAAGATGTGACTTGCTCCTCCTTGCCTTCTGCCATGATTGTGAGGCCTCTCCAGTCATGTGGATCTGTTAGTTGATTAAACCACTTTTTCTTCCCAGTATTGGGTGTGTCTTTGTCAGAAGCATGAAAAGTCTAATACATCCTGTCTCTACTAAAAATACAAAAAAAAAAAAAAAGTTAGCCGGGTGTGGTGGCACATGCCTCTAGTCCCAGCTACTCAGGAAGATAAAACAGGAGAATTGATTGAACCTGGGAGGCAGAGGTTGCAGTGAGCCAAGATTGCACCATTGTACTCCAGCCTGGGCAACAAAGTGAGACTCCATCTCAAAAATAAATAAATAGATAAAGAAGGTTCTTCTCATAAGATTCAGAACATGCTACACCAAAATATGTCACCTTGGCATCTGAAGAGAAAGCAGAAGCAAGAGGGTCCCTCTGACCTTCACCCCTTCTCCCCTGAAGCAGGCAATAAAAGAATTTTCTGACCTTTCTCTAAAACAGGTCATGAGATTCATTTCAGAAGTAGCCCTCCTATACCTGGAGGAAATGAACATCTTTATTCTCTAAGATAGAGAGATGCTAAGATGAATCTGAAAAACAGGCCTAAGTTTACCCCAGTTTGTTACCATTAGATCATCCTTATTTGTCTTTCAATCATACTTCTGCAGGGCTGTCCAAACAAGTAAACAAACCTCTCTTTTTCTTTGGTTCTTTGTTTATGAAGGCTCCTGTGTCAGTAATTATTAAATGAATTGGTGTGTTTTTCTCTTGTTAATATGTCTTTTATTATAGGGGTAGCTGCCATGAACTTTGGGATGGGTTAGGAAAAGATGATACGTTTTCTCCCCTAAAATTTCTATAACATTCCTACCTTTGATGGAGTAACTAGAAACATAGGCTTTATCTGAACTTCCTAGATGGCTACTGCCTTCTCAATCTGCCAATACTTGGCCTGTCTTTTTGTCTTAGTGATTTTGTGATATAATAAGAAAAATGTATTTGGTCTTTGTGCCTCATTCCTGGCACAGAGCATCTAAGAGATAAATTAGTGTGAAAATTGAAATAAATTGTAGACACTTAGTGTCCACAGAAAATTAAGGAATTGCTAGTGGAAAACCCATATATTTGGTTTCAGAAGTGTTAGGAGCAAAGTAACAGTTATTCCTAGTTTTTTTTTTTTTTTTTTTCCTTTATGGCACTTGCTTGTTTGTACTTCAATGTCTCACTGCTTTATTCTAATCTCCTATGTTTCCAGTTTGATCAATATCTAAGAAAAACTCACTTACCATAAGTTCTTCCAATTCACCTTCAACATTAGGCAGAAATACTTTTATATAAATAGAATTATTGTGCCACTTATTGATAAGTTACCATACACTATGCTAGTCTTCCATATATATTGTTTAATTTAGTGCATATAAAAAACAGTTTGGGATCACACCACATTTGTCTTTTCATAACTGGCTTATTTAACTTAGCATAATGTTCTCAAAGTTCATCATGTCGTGGCATATGTCAGAATTTCTTTTCTTTTTAAGGCTGAATAATATTCCATTGTATGATACACCACATTTTGTTTATCTATTCATCTGTCAATGGACACTTGGGTTGTTTTCCCATTTTAGCTGCTGTGAATAACGCTGCTATAAATGTTGGTGTATGAATATCTTTTTGAGACTCTGCTTGCAGAAAATTTGGATCATTTGGAAATTCTATTTTTAGAATATTTTCCACAGCAGCTGTACCACTTTAGAGTGTGCAAGGATTCCAATTTCTCTACATCCTGGCTAACACTTGTTATTTTATGTGTTTTCTGTTGTTGTTTTTTGTTTTTTGGTAATAGCCATCCTAAGGGATGGCTAAGACGTATGAAGTAGTATCTCATAATAGTTTTGATTTGCATTCCCATAATGATAAGCATCTTCTCACCAGCTACTTAGCCATTATATGTCTTATTTGGGGAAATATCAATTCATGTCTTTTGCCCATTTTTGAATCAGATTTTGGTTGTTGTTGAGTTTTAGAGAGTTCTTTATATTCTAGGTATTAATCCCTTGTCAAACATAATTTGCAAATATTTTCCCCCATTCTGTGGGTTACTTTTTTACTCTGATGATATTGTCTTATATGAGATGTGTCTTAGTCTGTTTTTGATGCTATAACAAATACCACAGACTGGGTAATTTATAAATAACAGAAAGTTATTTCTCACAATTCTAAAAGCTGGGAAGTCTAAGATAAAGGAACCAGGAGATTCAGCGTCTGGTAGAAGAAGGAGAAAGGATGAGGATGCTCTCTTCAACCTTTTATATAAGATAATTAATCCCATTAATGAAGGAGGAGTACTCATGACTTAATCACTGTCCAAAAAGCCCCAACTCTTAAAACTATCATACTGGGTATTAATTTTCAACATGTGAATTTTACAGAGACTCACACATTCAAACCATAGCAAGGTACATAAAACAGTCAAAATCATAGAGACAAATAAAAGAGTGGTTGTTGCCAGGGCCCTGGGGGAGATGGGGAATGGGGAGTAACTGTTCAATAGGCACAGAGTTTCAGTTTTACAAGATGTAAGAAATGATGAAAATGAATGGTTGTGATGGGTTCACAACATTATGAATATATTTAATATTTATGAACTGTGCAATTAAAAATGGTATACAAGGTAAATTTTATCTTATGTGTACTTCAGCAAATTTTTTAAATTAAAAAAAAAACAGTGGCAGTGATATCTGTTAAAACAGACTGTAGAAACCCAACATAAATGTGTCTATACAGTCACCAAAACTCATGTAGTAGAATGTTCTTCATGGCAGTATCTTTCATAGTCCCAAACTGGAAGCTACCCAAATACCTATCAACAGAGGAATGGGTAAATATAGTATACACACAGGATAAAACACTATGCAGCAATGAGAACAAGCAAACTATATCATAGCTAACCATATGGCTGGATCACACAAATATAAATGCTGAGTGAAAAGAGCCAGATATAATAGACTGCATATTGTATGAGTCTAATTAAATAAAATTCAAAACAGGCAAAATGAAACTATTCTGTTAGAAGTAAAGATAGTGGTTATCTTTGATGGGTAATGAATGAAGGGAGGATTAGGGAGACTTCTGATTTTGGTAATGTAGTAATGTTTGGATTACATGCACATTACATGAGTGTCCTCAGTTTCAGAAAATCATTAAACATATGTACACATATGTACTCTTTGTACATACATATATTATTCAAAAAATTTTAGTTAAAAAAAAATTGGGGATATTAAACCTATTTGCAAATGACAGAACAAGCTCATAACTGTTTAGTAATTTTTCAAAATTGGGACAGCTATTAAGTGGTAGAGCCAAGTATGTCCCTAAAATCTAGGATGCTGTCATTAGATTATACTATTCCTTATATTAAGAAAAAACAATAAATAAATTTAGGAAAGTTTTGCCTACATCCCCTACTAGACTATTATTGTCTAAATGATAATACTATTAGAATATTATTGTCTAAATCCTTAAAAATTTCTTTTAATAAACATTCAACGTAGCATTTTCCGAATCTCCTTAGTGAAGCAATATGGAGTTGTGATAAGAATTTTCCTAGATCTCTTTTTCATTAACTGTGTTTCCTTGGATCAATACTAAGCCTCATTTATAAAATAATAATCACAATAAAGTAGTGGTAATGTCATGTATTTCATAATATTATAGTATTCATATAAATAAATATTTTTCAAATGGTTAACACGATTTCCTCCAAACACAATACATCACCAAAACCTGGAAATTATTATTATTAGTGAACATGTGACCACTGGAAAACCTGAATAAAATGTGTCTTTAATGGAGCATTCAGAAAGCTTTGAGAATGAATTGAGGGTTGGGGTTGCAGAGGCAGGCAGATCGATTCCTGGAAAAGGGAGATGGTATTCCCTCACCAACAATGATTTTAAAATTTACCCCTGCTGAGAATATTTGTAGAAATTCTTTTATCAGCACGTCTTTAAAGTGATGGGTTATATGTTGATTCAGCAGGATCCACATTCCCTTATGATACTTGAACCCTTAGAGAAAATTGTTTTAAAAATTATGGTCATCTTAGCAAATTTCCACTTTTGAGCCAAGCACAATTAAGAATGAAACAAAAACAGGCTTCATGATGTAACGTGAAATGGAAGAAGTTTAGGGAGGTTAATCTACTCGGAATTTTTGCTACAAATTACAATAGTTTGTTCTGGTGTCAAATACAAATAGAACTCATAATAGCTTTTGGACATATATTTGCCACAAAAGTGTACAAATAAAATAGGTTACAATGAAACAAAAAAAATGCCATTTGCAGGGTTTTAGAAAAAATTCTAGGGAAAGCAAATGTGAAGGAGGAGTTCGTTTATCTTTCTTATGTTTTCTTAACTTTCAACCTGGGGCTTATAGTAAAATTTACATGATTTTTCTAGTGTGTTTTAAATAAAGTTCCAGAGAAAAAATTTTGTCCAGCGCTGCTCAGTCTCCCATTAGACACAACAAATTAGAGATGCATGAGGAAGATAAGTGAGGATATGACCTGGAAAGCAAATCCACTTTCACCCTCCCTGAGTTTTTTGGGTTTTTTTGTTTTTTTGTATTTTTTTTTTTTTGAGTTAAATGATAGGCATGTGAATGTAATGTGGGAGGTTGACCTGGCATTCACTAGATCTCTGAACATGCTTATATAGGGAATTCAGTAACCTCTGCTCAGACTGTTGTCCTGCATCTAATCTGTTTTGCAATTCTTGATAGTGACAATGTCATATACCCAGTTGCAAGTGAATGCTAAGCTACATCACAGACACCACAGTCCTACACAATGTGACAGACAATCTAGCGTGGCAAGGCAGGAGGAGGGGGCCACGGAGTCTTTCATGAGAATTTCCCAACTAAGTATCACCAAGAATTCTGCAAGAGAAAAAGCTTATCCGTTATCACCTTCAGATATTCACTTCCATGTATGGAGCGTGTGTAGGATAAGGAAAGTGAAATATTCTCTCTTGCCAGCATCCAACCCTAAAAAAACAAGGGTGGGGGCGGGTGGATAGCAAATTATGGGGAGGAAGACAAAGGACCGAGAGAGCTGCTGAAATGTTCTAAAATGTAATTAAAGAGATCAAATCTACACTTTGCCTTGCTTTACTTCCAACGATGTTTAGGATTGTTTCGTCCTTTAGCTAAAAGAATTAAGCACTTTTATTACAATTATCATTTATTGCAGCAATCAATCAGGAAGATATGCTCAATGCCTAAACTTATGGGAACATTAATTGTGATTAATTCTTTCTGATAGAAAAAATACTACTACTACTAAAATATTACTTTTGTATTCTAATAGTAACTTCCACTGCCTGGAATTAAATCATTTCCCCATATTTGATTTAATATCTACAACATTACTAGGAGATAGCTATAATTATTTATCACCTTTTTTGGATGAGGAAACTTAGGCTCAAGATGCTAGGTGAGTTTACTAGAGTTATGAAGTTGGTGTTTAGCAGACCTAATACTTGAACTCACTTTTGCTGGTCCTGGTTTGCATTTTTCATTTTTTTTTTTTTTGAAACAGTCTTGCTCTGTCACCCAGGCTGGAGTGCAATGGTGTGGTCTTGGCTCACTACAACCTCCACCTCCCAAGTTCGATTCTCCTGCCTCAGCCTCTGAGTAGCTGGGATTACAGGCGCCTGCCACCACACCTGGCTAATTTTTGTATTTTTAGTAGGGACGGGGTTTCACCATGTTGGCCAGGCTGGTCTTGAACTCCTGACCTCGTGATCCCCCCACATTGGCCTCTCAAAGTGCTAGAATTACTGGCGTGAGCCACCACACCCGGCCCCTTTGAATTTAATAGCTGTGGAAGTTGTACTGGTTTCTTCCTCCTATGTGTTACTCAGTTTTCTCTCTATATTAAGGTAATACTTTCCTACCTGTGGGAATCCTTTGATAACTGAACGAGCTCATGTCTATTCATCAGCACATAATGCATAATGTGCTAGAACATCAAAAGTTTTATTTAGCATTACTTATTTTCAGATGATGACAATGATGATGGAGGAGCAGAAAGAGAAAATGACAGTGAGACACAGTGCTTCTAGTATAAAACAGCTTTCTCTACAGTGAGTGAAGCTTCCACTACCATAATAAAACTGAGCTTGTAAATTTTGTGTGCCTCAAAAACTCCTTTTCTCTTAGTAGCAATGTTGAACACATAGTAAGGAAGCTCACCCAGCCAAAATAAATCTAACTATGTGGTGAACTCCTTGCACTGGTGGCACTTCTTTGGCCACTACTGTCCACTGTACACAGCATTGTTTCTACAGGAAATAACCTTGAGTCCACTCCAAAAGCCAGACCTGCAGCTGCTCCTTTCCCTTATGTCAACTCTCCCACAGGCTCTAGGGAATCCCTTCTCCTCTCTTAATGGCAAGCAGGGGGAAGCAGGAAGTTGAGCATGCAAGATAGACAGTCCTAGTCTCCCACAGCCTATACGCCCATTCTGCACAGATAATTCTGCACTCTCCATCTGATATCTCTAGACTAAATGTCCCTTGTGTGCTCTGATTTGGTATTGCACACAAGGCAGATGGGAACTTAGGGGACTCCTTCCCCTTGTGGCGCAAATATATTGTTAGTTTTTCAAATTAAACTAACATAAAAAGATTGCAGTGGCTCACGCCTGTAATCCCAAAGACTTGGGAGGCTGAGGTGGAAGGATGGCCTGAGGCCAGGAATTAGAGACCACGCTGAGCAACATAGTGTGCCTCTATCTCTAAAAGCAATAAAACATTAGCTTGGCATGGTGGTGTGTGCTTTTAGTCCCAACTACTTGGGAATGAGGTGGAAGAATCAAGGCTGTAGTGAGCTATGATCTTGCCACTGAACTCCAACCCGGGCAAAAGAGTGAGATCCCATCTTCCAATAGATAAATACATAAATAATAAAAAAAAAGAAATATAAGATGCCCCTAGCTTCAAAGAAAGAAGCTAATTATATTTCAAATTTTAAATAAATAAATAAGCAAGCAAACAAACAAAACATAGTATTTGTGTATTTTACAGAGCATCAGAGCCAAAAAAGGACTTCTTTTTAATAACACAAAACAAAAGAAAACTAAAACCAAACTCGATTATTATATATTTGGAAAATTTGTCCTGTTCTCAGCTCCTTTTACTTTGTATTTTTCTTAGTATCATGTCAGACACAGGCTCTAATTATTTTCTCTCACAAATAGTGAAGGTTTTTAAATGTCTTGAAAACAGCAAATGAGGAAAACATTGCAACTTGGTAAAGTGTACTCAACTTTTGTCCATAACCCACATTAGCATCTTGCCAGCAGATTTATAAAAGAACTTTATCAATAAATAGAACTCCTAAACTATGTCAGCTGTTTCATAGATTTTTCTGGCATGAATCCTAAAAGTTGTTGTTATCTTAGCAATAGGAAATTGAGATGCTAGTGACAAAATATGTTTCCCCTAAGTTATCCTGTATGAATAGATGGGGAGCATTTCTACTACAGTAGCATTTCTACTACAGAGCATTTCTACTACTGGCAGGTTTATCACCAGGAGGCAAGTTTTCTGTGGTTTGAATCTGGCTTTGATACTCATTTGCTCTCCGACCTTGTACACGATTTTTAAAGTCCTTGAGTTACAGTTTCTTCACATGTGAAATGGGAGGGATAATTATGTCCCTTGCAAAATTGTTTCTAGGATAAAAGGAGATTATTGACATAAAAGCAAATTCATACAGTGTTTGCCAAACATTAGGTATTCAAGAAAAGGTTATTGCCTTCATCATCTTCCTGGCATCACATCAATTGTGGTTTTCAGAATTTCTACGACCCTTGGATTATCAAACCTAATTATAAATCCTGAGTCAAATGACTCTTATTGCAGGATATCATGTGTTTGACTATTCAGAATGCTTCATTATGACATATCGTAATGTGATAGTGATAAGGGCTAACAGTTATTCAGTTCTTATTATCTTATGTGTTTGATACATATTAATTCATTTAATTCTGGCCACATCCCTACAGATTTAGTACTCTTACTTTCTCCCTGTTATTCATGCAGGATTGAGGCTGGCAGTATTTGAATTACTTGCACAAGGTCACGCAGCTAGGGAATGATGAGCCGAAATTTGAACATAGATGTTCTGACTGGAAAGCCTGAACCCCTGTCCACCATGCTTTGTTGTCTCCAAACCTCGCCCTCCTCCCTTCATGTAAGGATGGTTCACTATGCAAAATAAAACATGCATATGCAGAGAGTTTCTGCTGTTAATGAGGAGGATTTATTTTATCTGTGTGTCTGTATAATCCATTAAGCTAAGCTTTGCTAGATTTGTTCTTCAAAACCAAAAAAAACTTGTGTAGTATCTAAATCATGTCAAGTGTGAAGCAATACTTCACTTAAAAACGTATTATATGATCTGCATTTTTATTTTTTAAAGATGTTGGTCCAATTAGACCACAAGAATATTGAATCTGACCAGAGTTCCCCAGCAGTCTTATCACAAGCCAGCCCTGGTATAAACCTTCTGAACCTCTTCTCTCACTTTCCTTTTTTTTTTTTTCTCTTTGGCTCTTTTTTTCCTCTATCCCTTGCTGTGGCACACACACACACACACACACACACACACACACACACACACAGATTATTATTACCATACAAAATTATAGTTGTAGTTTATATGACTTTTTTATGGGCAACCTATATAAATTGAAAAAGGCAATTACAAGTTGTTTGTGGTTAATAATAACGTTACACCTCTTGCCAACAAAACCAAGAACACACTATAATTGGAAGAGTGGCAGAGAATAGAGGAAAGTAGAACATGCTAAACATAGAAAACTCTAATCGGGTTATTCAAAAAGACTAACCCATGTGATTTCAGAAGAATAGAACTTGCTTTGCATATGCCATTTGCTTAAGGTCTTGAAAGCCCCAGAGCAATTTGACCCCTAAAACGTATACCCCTGCGTGTTCAGAAGGTTATTCACCAAATTGTGCTTCAGATAAATTCTGGCTGGGTCCAAAATTCAAATTTGCACTCAAAAAACAAAGTTGCTTGTTTATTTATTTATTATTAATTTATGCTACATTTGAGAACACTCAAAATAAGTTTATACAGTATCTAAAGGTAAAACTGTCATCTGTGGAAGGGAACGGATCACCTGAGAAGTTCTTGGACAGTAGAGTAGGGAGTTTGGTTCATAACCACTTGCAGTCACTGAAACAAGATCACAGTTACTACACACCAGTGCTCTCTATAGACAGACAGGATTAGGCAGGCAAGTGTATATCTCAGTGAGGCGCATAACACTGAAGTACTTGGAGACAAGAGATTGATAGCAAGTCATATCATCTTACTATAGACTAGGGTTCTGTGTTTTCCTTTAGCTCTCTGATCTCAAGACTAAACCCAAATTACATAAGCACACCGTAAAAACAGAGGAGAGGAACTGTGGGACACTGACATGCTGACAAAGCAACAGAGGAGAACCTGGTAAAAAGCTCAGGTTTGGGAGTTACATCTGGTTTAGTTGTGAGATTTGTACTAACTTCCATAAATTCTCAGGGCCTTTGTTTCTTAATCATGAAATGAGCCCAGTACCTTAATTTCTGCATGGATATTAGGAGAATTGTATGTAATAAAACTCTTGAAAATACTCTGTAAAATGCATTCCCTTCACAGTTGTTCATTATTATTGCTATTTTCCTTTTCTTCTTATTTCTCATACTGTTTTAATGCTGTAGGAATCAGATATACTCAGTGAATAATTAGTGAACTTTCTGAACATAAAGATAAATATTGCAATGCTGACCATTTGCCAATTTTTCTCTAGGTGGAGTAAAAAGTAAACAAACAAAAAGGAAAAAAGAGTGTTTCTGAAGATCTAAAATCATTGATACATAATAAGAATAATGACAAATTGTTCAAAATAAAAAGGTCATTAATAATGATGTTTTAATCAATAAACCATGTATATTGTCCATATGATTACTATGTTAGTGGTTATGAAACAAACATAAATAATTATGAGCCATCTTATCAGTAAAGTCGAACATTTTGGAAAGTGAAATGGGTTAAGAAGTTAAGGAGCTATGTTTGAATTCTACTTGCAAGTGAGTTTTAACAGTATTTAACTTCCATCTGCCCTCTATCTTCAACACAAATAAATAACCAAATTAAGATGTTATTCATGGCCAAATGATCTCAAATTCACTTACACATGAAATCCTATAATTCTTAAAATTAACTACCTTGTTAACAAGGTTATTTTGAATGTCATATTTATTCTTCTATTTGATTGATGATATGGTATCTTATATCTTTTATTTACAAGTACATTTTTTAATACCACACTTCATTTCAGTCTTGAAAGAAACTTATGAGAGAATAAATTAGAAAATATTATTTGTATTACATGTAAAAGAAAGGCAAAATTGACACAATCAGCAAAAGAACACCTTTCATTTGTCCAATTATGGCATACAAAATCATTTTAATCCATAACCAATTTATACAGTCATAGCTTGTCTCATTCTAAAGTGTCAGATATCAAAATATATAAAACATTTAGCTTATGTGTTTTAATAAGTTAATATTTCCCATGGCTTAGGAGTCTGAGGTTGGGGTTTTAATTTTCCTTTTGTTTGCTATATCTCTTGATTCGCCTTCAAGGAATGGCAATCACAGCCATTCTGAAAATACGCACTGTTGGACACCATCAGGATTAGGAGTAAAGATTAGCAGAGACTGCACACATTCATTCTCCACTATTGGAATACAAACTTTAAACAGTAAGAAACTCATCTCTGTACATAAAGAGTAGTATGCCATGTGCAAAGTATGTAGAGTATGTAGAATATATCAGTAGAATATGTGGAGTATTACATTGTGCAATGAACCCTTGAATTTTTGTTTTCTGCTTGGTCAAGGTTTAATGGCACTTCCTTCTAAAATCTGTATAAGTTAGATAAGGAGATCTGACAAGGCTAACAAGGCCAGGCTCATTAGTTAGATCCTTAATGTTCTATTTAGGATCAGTTGGAGAATTTTACATTTTAAAGGCATTATATTTATCTACCTGTTACTTGAAATGAGAAACACAAGGTCAGGTTAGGGAAAATAGATCCTTGTATCTTCTCAGACTCAATATTAGAAAGATTACTTTTCTGACTTTCTATTAATAATTGGTTAGTCAGAATATAATAATTGGTTAGTCAGAATATAAAAGATAAAGAAAAATGTATATAAATATAACTATTTTGTGAGTAGGTTTGAAAAAGATAAAACCACTCAAGACAGCTAACAAAACCATGTTAAAGCAGCTGCTGTTGCCTAAGAGCTGTTTAATAGGTGAGACTGAGGGAATGATACAGAAAAAGACTTATACGTAATTACTAGTCTCTTACAGACAAAGACATTGACTGTCTTATATTTCTTGTCTTATAAGGCAAGACTGCCTTAATATTTCCCTCATGACTAACAAGCCGCCTATCTTTTGTTTCAGCAGAGTTGAGATCAGCTGTGTTCTGTCCTCTCTCCCTTATCATGGTATTCTCAGATAAACAGCAGTTTAATTTTGTCAGGTGCAATTTTTCTTTTGCAAGATTTAGTCAGACTTTTCTTTATTCTTTTACAGCTGAGCATCAAGAGGATCCATAAAAGTCTTTTCACTGCAAACCCATCTGTGAGCAGAGTACATCCACAGATGTTTGCAGGTGGTGACATTAACAGAGTGTGTTTATTTGTGAAGGAAAGACCCATAGAGTGCAGATTCAGGCCCATGGGATTACCCAGAATTGTTTAGAAATAAGTCACAACAAAAAATTGTACATCAAATAACCATATCATTTATGATGCATCTACAAAGCTGAATAGTGCCATATTTTAAGGCTGAACTTTGACACAAGGAAAGGTTGAAATAACAAGAGTTAGTTCATCAGCAATCATACAGGGAAATTCCAGAAAAGGTAACCTGACCTGTTCCAGCATGGAAATTAGATGAATATGGGACACTAAACTCTCTACTAAACATCTAAATAAAGTACTATGAAGAAACAAATCCACAGTTAATAATTTGCTCAGCTAAAATTAAAATGCAGATCTAACAGAAATTCACCAGTTATGGCAAAGAAAGACAATGAATCTGGAAAATAAATCAGCCTTCCAGGAAGCTAGAAGATCTTTTGGTGAGAAAATGGGGGAAAAGGAATAAAAAATACAAGTCATAGAAATTGCCTCAAGGGAGGCTTTCCATTCCAGCTCGTGTACATCTTTGGCTGAATCAGGAACAAATCCCAATCCTGACACCAAGTTCATGCAGGGAGAACCAGGGTGTGGATTGAGTAGGAACAACAACAGTACAGCTTTCATTGTGAATGGGAGGAAATTCAGGGCATAAGAAAAATTCATAAAAGAAGATTTTTGTTTAGTGGTATAACTGGATTTTAAATCCCAATGAAGCTTCCCTCAAATCCAGTCTCTCCTTTTTACTACTTGGCTAAAATTAGGCATACGAACTTCAATGAACTTCATTACATTTTCCTGTAGGTCAGAGATTATAACAGTGCCGTACTAAGTTCTTATAAAGATATGTGGTAATATAAGCAAAAAAAACCAACACAGCACTCCACATAGAGTACGTGTCCAATAAATGGTACAAAACAGTTTCATTATATCACATAAAGTTGTATTTCTTTTTTTTTTTTGAGACAGAGTCTTGCTCTGTCACCAGGCTGGAGTGCAGTGGTGCAATCTTGGCTCATTGCAATCTCCGCCTCCCAGGTTCAAGAGATTCCCCTGCCTCAGCCTCCCAAGTAGCTGGGACTACAGGTGTGCACCACCATGCCCAGCTAATTTTTTTGTATTTTAGTAGAAACAGTGTTTCACCATGTTGGCAGGATGGTCTCAATTTCCTGACCTCATGGCCCGCCTGCCTCCACCTCCCAAACTGCTGGGATTACAGACATGAACCACCGTGCCTGGCCATAAAGTTATATTTCTTTGAAAATAGAAATGCAAGATAGGTAGGTCACAAGAGCTAAATGCATTTCTCTATACATGGAAGAAATGATCGGATAATTTTAAAATGAAGAATTCCATTTCAAAGCTCTCAAAGTTTAAAAAGAAAAGGAAGAAAAAAGCTGCTATTTGGATTGAATGGAAAAAAAAAAAAAGACTCTCACTAAGAAAAGGGCCTGAGCAAATGGAGAAAATTCTTGACATTTACAGTATCAGAGTCTGCTCACTGTTTTTACTGCTTTCACTGTTTGAAATTTGGACCACAGAAAGAAAGTTCTAAGCTTCTGTTCAAATGTTTCTGATAATTGCAAAACTCTGTAAATAACAGGTCTACAATTTGGAAAGATCAAAATGTTGCTTCTTAAATAATCTCCTTCTGTCCTATAAAAGAAAATAACTGGTAAGTTATTTATTCAAAATAATCAAAGAACTAATTTAACCCTTTTTGATAGCCAATGAAAAATTTAGTTTATAATTATATTAATTATACAACATGTTGAAGAGATGAAAATAAAATATACAAGCTGCTTTACATGCAAGTAGTGATATTCAAAAAAAGAAAAAAAGCTTTTAAACTCTCATAAACCTTAAATAGAAGTTGTATGGATTGAAACATTTAATATTGTTAACATATGTTTATCAGCTAGTCCTACAAATTATCATGTACATGTACTAAATCCACTCCACTCCATCAGAGCTCCACTCAGAATGTTCTCCTATTCCATAAAAGGTATACCTTTAAAGCTAAATTTATAATGGGAAAAATTGTTGAAAATACGATATTCAAATACATAGCTCAGATTTATCTGACTTTGAATAAGATTTGCTCATTCAACTAATATTAACAATAATGAAAATGGTAGATAGCACATAAAATCATGAAGATAGCTTGGATCTGTAATATTTTATTATTTCTTTTGCAACATTAAGAAGAATTTCAAACGTGGGGTATGAGAAAAAGAAAGGTGTCAACAATTATTACGAAGTGTTTTGTCTCAATAACTTCCACATATGAGATAATCAGAGACACTGATGTTGGATGTCATTAGTTCGAGATACCATTTAAACATACAGGTAAATATATTGAGTAAGCATTTGCACATACATATCTGGAGTGGTCTGAGCAGAATATACACATAGGAAAAGTATACATTGGTCAATGACACTCATAAACTTAAGACAAAAAAGATCACTTTTACAGTATGCATAAATGGAAAAGTGAGAGGTTTGAAGACTGAGGTCTGGAACACTTGAACAATAAATAGCTAAAAATTTAAGAAATATCTAACAAAGACAATGAATAAAAGGATTGGCTGTGTGTGATGGCTCACGTCTGTAATCCCAGCATTTTGGAAGGCCGAGGCAGGTGGATCACCTGAGGTCAGGAGTACGAGACTAACCTAGCCAACACGGTGAAACCCCGACTCTACTAAAAATACAAAAATTAGCTGGGCGTGGTGATACATGCCTGTAATCCCAGCTACTCAAGAGGCTGAGGCAGGAGAATCGCTTGAACCCCCGAGGCAGAGGTTGCAGTGAGCTGAGATTGTGCCACTGCACTACAGGCTGGATGACAGAGCAATAATCTGTCTCAGAAAAATAAATAAATAAATAAATAAAAATAAAGAATGAAAGAAGAATGATCAGTGAGATAAACAGGAAAATACCCTAGAAATATGGAGTTATGAAAGACAAGTAAAGCAAGCGTTTAAAAAATGTGAGCATAGTCAACTGTTTCAAATACTGCTAATAATTTAACATGAAAACTAGGAACTATCATTTTGACTTGGCAGTAGGGAGTTACTGATCTTAAACAGAAAAAATGTATTTTTTTCAAATTCACATTCAATGCAAATATGAATTTGCAGAATAAAAATATACTGTATTTCAAAGCATTTTACTGTAAAAAGGAACACAAAAAAAGGCAGTAGCTGTGTGCAATGTAGGCTAGAGTGCTGATATTTCAAAGATGAGTGACACAACAGCATATATTTATGAAAGAGAGAGTGAAATTTATGATACATGAGAGAAGGAATGGTTATTAGATATTCTTGCATACGAGTGGAGTATAAATTCAAAGCACAGGTGGAAAGACTAACTTGAGATAAGAGCATGGATAACTCATTCAGCATAAGTTGAGAAAGCAGAGTAAATGGGTAGTGCTATGGTTGAAATGTTTATATCCCCTTTAAATTTATATGTTGAAATTCTAACCCCACAATGTCATTGATATTAGAAAGTGCAGCCCTTGAAAGATGATTAGATCCTGAGGATAGAGCCCTCATGAATGGGAATAGTGCCCTTATACAAGAAGCCCAAGGAAGCTCATTTGCTTCTTCCACCATGTGGGGACACAGCAAGAGGTGTCATCTTTGAGCCAGAAAGTGAGTCCTCATCAGACCTCACTGCTGGCATCTTGATCTTGGACTTCCCAGCTTCTGGAACTGTGAGAAATCAATTTCTGTTGTTTATAAGCCACCCATTTTACAACATTTTGTTATGGCAGCCTGAATAGACTAAGACAGGTAGCAATGCTGATAGATTGGTAGATGTGGCTAGAAGCATGTAAAAAATTACTTTGTATGATTTAATCAGGACTCCATCAGGAAACAGATGAAGCAATCAAAATAATACCAACTTGAGCAAATTTAATTGAAAAACTATTTGCTAACATGTAGGGAGTAAAGAGAAACTATAAGAGGTAATCCAGTATCTTGGATTACTTAAGTAATGAAGGGAATAGGCATGAATTCAAGAGAAGAAAGTTATACAAAGAGACACACCTTGAGAGAAGCTATGAACTTTGGCTGAAAATCCTGGCATCCCTAGTTGACCATATATAGAGGATAAACATATATTGACCTCACTACCAGCCCTCTTCTATCTGCTGCCAAAGATTAGCATTTAGCAAACTCAAATGAAAGCCAAATGATGAAAGAACAAATTGATGTTGTCCATAGAGCGTACTAATTCCTGGGCACACAGCAGAGTAATAATGGGTGAAATGTACACCACCAAGGGTCCATGAACACTATGCAGCATGGAAGCCTTCTGTTTTCTTGATGAAATAAAAAGCAGGGTTTAATGGATAGGTTTATGCATCAATTTGGCTGGACACAGTGCCCAGAAGTTTGATCAAACATTATTCTGGATGTTCCTATGAGGGCATTTTTTGATGAGATTTGCGTTTGAATTGGTGGCTTGTAAGTAAAGAGATTGCCCTTCATAATGTGGGTGGGCCTTGTCCAAGCATTCAAAGGCCTGAATAGAACAAAAGACAGACTTTCCTGGAGCAAGAGCAAGAGCAAGAGGGAATTCAGCAGCAGATGCACTTCAGAGCTGAACTGCAGTATTAGCTTTTCTCTGGGTCTCCAGCTTGCCTGCTTGCCATATAGATTATGGAATTGGCAGCCTCCATAATCAAGGAAGCAATTATTGAAAATAAATAGTATTTATATGTTATGAATATTATAACATATTTATATGAATATATATTTCCAGTTGTTTTGGCTTCTCTGGATAATTCTGATTAATACACAGGAATATCAACTGACAGTGTGGCTTTAGAAGGCAAGGCAGAATTTTCAGTTTGAGGACAAAGAAGAAGGTATGAAATAGGCATCTGGGCTGGGCACAGTGGCTTACGCCTGTAATCCCAGCACTTTGGGAGGCCGAGGTGGGTGGATCACAAGGTCAGGAGTTCAAGACCAGCCAGGCCAATATGGTGAAACCCCGTCTCTACTAAAAATACAAAAATTAGCTGGGTATGGTGGTGCACACCTGTAGTCCCAGCTACTCAGGAGGCTGAGGCAGGAGAGTCACTTGAACCTGGGAGGCAGAGGTTGCAGTGAACCGAGATTGTGCCACTGCACTCCAGCCTGGGCAACCGAGTGAGACTCAGTCTCAGAAAAAAAAAAAAAAAAAAAAAAAAATTAAAAACAAAAAGAAATAGGCATCTGTTACAGTGAAAGAATTAAGGTACTGTTAAATTTACAGAATTTCAGGATTGCTTCGAAGTAGTAAGGGCCCACTTAAGATTACTGATAATGAATTTAAGTAGACATGGGTCAGCATGTTTATCTGAGTTTCACAAGCCAATGATGTTTTACAAAAAAGTTTACGGGGACAATGCCCCAAAGAAATTAGCAGTTTTCAAATGGAAAACTTGCTTTAAGAAAGGATAAGACAGCAAGGCTTGGTGACACACACCTGTAGTCCCAGTGACTCAAGATGCTGAGGCAGGATTCCTTGAACCCAGAAATTCAAGACTAGCATAGGTCAACATTGTGTAACTAATTTCAAAAAAGAAATAATAATTATGTGTATTGCATTGATGACCTAGCTTTGTGAATTACAAGAACAACTATTATATATAAACCTGATGCTTCTGTTGGTATTTAATATACCACAAAGAAAATTAATGTGAGAGAATAAAAAATCTTGCATAGAAAATAAATAGAGGTGAGTGTTGGAGGTAGAATCATGAAAGTTGTGACTAAATGAAAACAAACATAGCAGAAATAGAAATTGAGTTTAACTCTACAGTCAATCACTGCCTCTGCTGATTGCTTTACTAGGTATAAATGAAAAACAATCACCTGACAATAGGAAACAATTTTGTCCAGTTTACTATTAATTACCAATGATAATAATAATTATCGTCATTATAGCTAACATTAATGAGATTCTAACATTGTGTCAGTGACTATTCTGACCTTAGTTTTCACAATAAATCTTTGTAGTAGATTTTATGATTATGTCTTTGCTATAGCTGAAGGAAATAAGAATATGCTGCCCCAAATTTTTGAACTTATAAAATCAGTCTACAATCAGCTCAATCTTTTTTAACATCATTAGCTTGAGTCATGGCACAACACAACTGATACTTCAATGTTCAGCTTCAGGCTCTAGATGATTTGAAACATTTAAATAAGCTTACTTTAAATTAAAGAAGTTAATTGTCCAGTGTTTCAGAAGGGTACCCAAACGTAGCTGTTGAAATAATAAGGTCTTTTTAAATCATTTCAGGAGATCAAGGAGCAGGGAACAGAGATTTTGTCACTTGACTAAACAGAAACATTCAATTAACTCAAACACTCATTCCTCAATTGAATTGATAACTGGGCCTGAATTGGGCAAGAAAAGTTGTCAATCCTGCTGTTTTAGTGGCAGTTATTATTTTTCAAGTGTACAATACCTACTAAAGAATGCACAGATAGCATCATTCTATTTACTGATACAGTACTTTCTTATTGAAAATTTGGCTTCCTATAAAAATACCTGAAAGAAAACATAGGCAATTGTTTAATTCATTCCTGCATAAAGATAGTCTTTCTAATCATTAAAACAAAGGTGGGAAAATAAAACAACACAAAACAATGGCATACATATATATATATAAATACATAATATACATATTTATATATAAATACATAATATACATATTTATATATTATATACCTATGTGGTATATAATATATAAATGCATATATTATAATTTATTAATATTATATAATATAATGCAAATATATATTTTATATATTATATAATTATATACACCTGTTTATATATTATATATTTGTGTATATACAAATATACACATATTTTATTCTTCACATTAGGGGAAGGTGTTACAAATAGGCAGTCGTTAATATGATATTTACGCAGAATTTTTGGTACCATGAAAAATTGCATATGTATACTAAGTGGAAAGAAAAACATCCCATATTATTTATATAGAAGGGTCAGGAATGTATTTATTAGATATGCCCATGAATTCTGACTACTTTTTTCCCGTGGTAAAATAATAAAACATACTATTTTCTATGTTCCTGTATTTTATAATTTTTATATCAAACATGCATGCATGCAATTACGATGGGAAATTAAGTTAACCTAAAAATATAAAATTATAAAATATATAATATGCTTCTTGGTTTTAGGTTTCCCTGAGACATATATTTTACAACGCCTTCATAACTTTGAGGGATTTGTGAGGGCCTAAATTAAAAATACAGTCATATACCAGGTGCCAGCCGATGAAAAATGTGCCCACCAGCAAAGATGAGTTAATACATTGATGTACTCGGTGCCCCAACTCTGGGTACCACTTGAAGGGTCAAATGTGAAGCTTGTAAGTCCAAACTCAAATAATTACATTTGGTGACTGCTTGTAGGAAGTCAGATCTATAGTTCCTGCTAGTTATAACTGCTGCCAATTTGGAACAAAGTATTTTTAGGGAGAAACAGAGCAATTTCCCAGAGTCAGCATAGCCTCTTGAAGCCTGGAACTTTTCATCTGTGAAAGGAGAAGTGTGGGCTAAATGCTGTCTGACATCTCTTCTGTCTCTAACAGTTTATATAATAGCACATATGTAGCATCCTAGCCATAATTGTATTGTTTGATATAACGATTTATCTTAACTGAGTTTTTTGTTCTCCTTCATTTTAATCATATTATAATAACATGTTATTATTGGAATTGACTACCAGGGTCATCTTGTCAAGCTCATTAAACTTCCTAATGAAATGTCATACTCTTCTTATATTTATATTGTCATTATATTCATAATGACAATATAAATATGTCATTAATATTCCCAAGTAAGTATCAATGTCTTTACAGGTCACAGGCTATTTAAATGACTCAGTTAAACATTTCCAAGCAAGGTCCATGCTTTATTTAATAATTCACATTTTGACACTTGCAATTGAAGATGGCATACCTTTTTAACACACCATTAATCATAAATCCACCTGCTATTTTGTATTTAAGCCTTAGATTGTTAGTTTCTTCTTTCCTCCTCTCCTTTTTCCTCTGAAGAACTTAGAGTGTAGTAATTCCTTAGTGTAGTAGATAAGACAGCCTCATTAGTAAAAACTAGCCAGCAATCTGGTGAAAGCCACAATATAGATATGTGTACTAAATGTGATGGGAACAGATGATAAAGTCAATCAGTTTATGCAGGAGAGGTCTGAAAAGGTATCATAGAAGAGATATCTTCCAAAGAGGAATGAGCATAAATAGTGTAACTACAGGGAAGAAGGTATGTGTGAGGTATGGATCCACAGAAATATGAATGGGGCTTCACACTTCCACAGATCTGTGGAATTAATATTGGGATCAAGTTTAATCAGTTTCCCAAAAGGCTAATCCCAAGTGAATTCTAATATCTGGATACTTATATATGCAAATGTATGTATTTACATGTACAGCATGTGATTAGGCATAGAAAATATATGCATAAATGTATATCATACACATTATATGTCTAATCATATACAATATATGTTCCCATCAATAATAATACATTAGAAAATAGAAGTGACACAAAATTAAACTTTCATGCAGATTCTACCTTGCTATAGTTAACAGCATGTAGGGCAAGAAGCATTCCTTTCATATTGTCACCAATTCACTATTGCCTTGTTTTACTGGAGGACTCACTCTTTGAGTGAACATGAATTGGACTCCATAGCATTTGGGAAAGACACTTCCCTTGCAAAACAAACAAAAATGAAAACAAAAACAGATTGGAAATTCTGAGTAATTATTGCTAGATAATGAATACATCTTGTTTTTGAAAAGAAATAGGTAAGTGATTTACCTTTTTGTGACAGAATCAATAAGCAACTTCCAAAGGATGGAAGAAAAGAGTATTTACAAAAATCTTCTAATAGAACCAACACCATTAAATAAACAGACTGATGACAATATACCCTTATAATTTATCGGGTATTGTCACCATTTTTTTTCAAAAAAACATTTTTTAATGATTCTTAATTGTGAAATAAGTGTTGGTAGTATTTTTCAACATTAATGGTAATAAAAAATAAAAAGATCTAAGCTTATTAGCTATATATAAAGAAAACAAAGTAGAATAAAAACAAGATAAATTTTATTTTCATTTAAGGGATTCAACTCTTAAAATGTTTGCCTCTGACATTACTGAAAAAAGGAAGTTCTGTATCTGTTTACATAACAGTTATGCTATATTCTGTTAATTCACAAGAAATTGAACATGAAGGGATGCATCAATAGTCCAAACTCCGTGTCTAGGGGTGTATTTAATGAAGCCACGCAAGAAAGGCCTAGAAGCTGCACAAATGGCACTAGTTTCAATTGAAATTCTTAGTAATTCAGGAGGTCTACTTTCTACCCAAATAGGTGTCACCTTTCATTTCCCAACAACAACAGCAACAGCAACAAAGGTAGACCTTGTTGCTACAAATACCTTGAGGTAGGTATTTGTTTGGTTACTCAGTAAGAACTTACTATGTATCATGCACTACTGTTTCAAACTTGGAATAAACAGAACAAATAAGTACTCCTTCCCCTCCTCAACAGAGAAATGCATTGCAGTGTGATAACTTTTGAGTTATAAGAAGGGTAGTGCACTGCTGGAGCAAACAGTAGGGTCAGTTCTCTAGCTCTGACAAGGAGTTTTCAGTTGCTACAAGAACAAATCAGAGTCCTCCACAGAAGTTGAAGGTTGCAGATTCATGTATGAAATAAAATAATTTAAAATGCATACCAGAGGAATCATTTTGATATAAAAACTTGTTCCTCTAATTTGGAAAATGTTAGAACCTTACTTGGAAGAAACAGTATTAATTGATAACTGAGATTTAAAAAAACCTTTTATCTCTTAAAAATCAAAATAGGGTTAATTTTTAAATTATGATTAGCAAATACATTTACCAGGTAAGCTTGAGTTGTGAGCAAATTTATAAAATTGTGTTGTCTTGGTTAGGAAAAAAAAAATGAAGTGTAATTATATTGAAAGCCCCTAGTAGCAGTTTTCCACTCTGTCAGCAAAGGCATAATCTTATCTAGAAAAGAAGAAATGCATGGAAATATGAGAGCTGTAACATCCAACTTAACAAAATGCTTTATAAAGAATACAAAGAGAAGTTTATTTTCTTGCAGCTCTGACAAGAATAGTGAACTTAGACAATGGACATGTGCTTGTGATAGTTACAAAGATTAAAAGAGGCAGTTATTTATGTGGTTGATGTCACATTTATTTCAAAGTCTATAGTCATGAGGGTTGAGAACAGTAGGTAATCAAAAAAGCACCTGAAAAGGAGAGGAAAATTTGAGTGCCTCATTCATTCCCTAGTCTCTTCTGGCTCTTTGCAAGTAAGCAACTTGGAAAGCCCCTAATATTTCATTTTCTTTATCTCTTCCTTCCATTTCGTTTCAGAATGTGTTCTGACTGATTTACTGAATTGTGCAAAGATAACTGAAATTATGTATATAAAAGGCTTGTCATTAAGAAGTGAAATTACACAGGTAACATTCTAGGACAAGAATGGCAGAGGCAGAGCTTTTATTTCCTTTTTGATGAGCTATTTTTATTGTAAAAATACATCAAGCTAGCAATTAGTCAACATGTACTTGCTGAGTACCTACTATTTGACAGGCACTGGGTTCCTCAAGGGTAGTGATGGTGGTGATAGAAAAGGAAAAATAGGAAAAGGAGGAGGAAGAGGAAGAGGAGAAAGTGAGAAAATATTAAAGCAAGACAGTTGTATAGCAGGGGACCAGGAGCTTATGTGTTAAGAGCAGTGCTTACCAATCTGAATTTTTTTTTCAGATGCTCTATTTTCTGTGGTTATAAAATTAAATCTCTGTTATACCATGACCATTGGTTGCTTTGCAATCCATCATTGAGTCCTGGCAGCACCTCCAAATTTAGTACTTGAGAAATTATCTCCTGCTCATAGTACAGAGTTTGAGCACACCATTTAATCAGTGGTTCTGCTCTTCCCTGTCTAATAAATGTGCATGAGGCCCAATATAGACTGTGCTGTATCTTCACAGCTGCACTCTGACCATACTTCTAATGCTACAAAGGTTACTCTTGAAAACTTCCTTCACCAGCACTTTAAAGTTACTCAGTCAACAGATTGCCAGGCTTTTCTGTGAACTCTTCAGTTGTATAATAAAATCTCTTTCACCTAAATTTAGGGAATGCAGATTGCCAACCTCAAGTCACACCTGATTCTGAATCTCTAAACAGCTATTAGAAATCTACATATTAAAGAAGCTCTCTGAATGATTGTTAGTAGCCAGTCAGCACCTACCCATTCAGCAGCATTTGACAAGCACTTACTTAGAGTCTTCTTATCCAAACCGTGGCATATGCATTGATTTTATTGGCATCACTTGGGAACTTGTTAGACTCTCAGGCCCCATCCTTCATCAGAATATTCATTTTTTGTAAGATCCCCAGGTGCTTTTCATACATATTAAAGTTTCAAAATCATGGGGGAGGACATCTAATTTTTTTAATGTATTGGGTAAGGAAGATATTATAAGTCAATGTGAAATGCTAAATTTAAATCATGTGGTTTTTAGAGGCAGAAGGGTTCCTAATGTATATTAAAAAAAACTTCCTTTCTATAAAATAGCAGCTCGTTTGCAATTTCTTAATATCAGTTTTTGATTTCTAGTATTACCATGATGTGTTATGAGGTCTATTTTTTAAAGAAAATGGAAAATGGTAATGGAAATGAAAGTACCTGTGGCTATAAAAAATCATGAAACACAGGTCTTCATGACTGATGGAGAAAATTACTCCATCTAGTGTTGTCTTCTGCAACTTTCAGACATAAGGTAGGAAAGGACCTAATATTGTTTTGAGGGGCCAATTACTGCAGAGTCAACATATTTCAACAATGGTAAATAGTGCAGTAAGAAATATCTCTGAGGTTAAACCAAAACTATGATTATATTATCATATATCATATTGTCAATCTATTTTGATGATATCAACATGAATATTTATAGAAGAGAGGAGGAGGAAAAAGGGGACAAAAGGTGAAATGTTTCAGCTGATGGTTGAAATTACATTTGAAAGAGGTAGAAAGTAAACCACCATGGCACATGTATACCTATGTAACAAACCTGCATGTTCTGCACATGTACCCTAGAACTTAAAGTATAATGAAATAAAAATAAGAGGTAGTCAGTTTAAGTCTTCAATTAGGCTTAATGCAAAGTGATAAAGATTGAACATAGTAACTTGAATCCACTTTACAAGATTTGGTTAAAAGGAGAGAATATTAGCTCTTGTGTTAGACAGTCTGGCATCACACTCCAACTGTATGATTGACTATATGACTTTTATTTCTCTTTCCCTCTATTTCTTCACATAAAAACTGTGAATGAGGATGCTGAAAAGGGATTTTTGGCAAGGCCTAGCTAGCTCACATTTAAGTTGGTGTCTTTAGTAGTGTTCTTAAAAATAACATTTTAAAAGATTAAAGACTGTGCAAAACCAATATTATATGATGAAGATGTGATATAAACCACAGAATCACAGATAATGACTGATTAAATTCTGCACACCTGAAGACATTCCATTAAAAATGAACAGACAAACAAGACAGTTGTTCAAATTGAGTGACATAATGCATGTAAAACTCTTGGTAATATGGAGTCTGGCCCTGTCTGGTATCACAGAGTAAATACTGGTAAACTGTTGTTATTACGATCATCATCATCATCAACCATCATTATCACCTTCATCATGATTGGCATGTTGTTGTTATATATCCCAGTGCTAGCAAATTTCCTGCTCAATAGTTTTTGTGTGAAGTAAATGAGTAAGATGCCTGGCTCCTTGTATACATTATACAACTATCATATAAGTTTATTACATGTTTAAGAGGTCTTTTCCACACAAAGCAAAGGTGGAAAACAAGGCGTGGAAGATCGAATTGATTTTATTTCCTCTCTGCTTAATATGGTGCTCAGGACTCAGAAGTAGTGTGATAAATAATGGTTGAAGATAAAACACATGGGTACTTTACAATCATCTATAAATTCTATCCAATGGTCAAAGGGGAATGCTTGCCAGAGTTTCAGTTCAGTTTCAGAATTAATAGCTGGAAATGGAATCCACCATCATAAAACACACTTAAGTAATTAATATTAATGATAACCTGAATACCTGCCCTACTTCTTCCCCACCTGTGTTAGTTTCCTAATTAAATTACCACAGATTGAGTGATGCAAAACAACAGAAATTTATTATTTAATAATTTTGAAAGCCACATGTCAGAAGTAACCAGCCCAGAATCAGGAGCAAGCTGTGTTGAGCTCCCTCCAGAGGCCCTACGGGAGAATATGTCCCTTGCCTCTTCCACTTTCTCATGGCTGTTGTAATTCCTTGGATTTCAGCCCACATTCACATCCCTCCCATTATCAAAGTCGGCATCTTCAAATTTCTCTCACCCTGTCTTCATATCAATTCCTCCCCTATGTGTGTGTGTCAAATCTCTCTCTGCCTTTCTCTTATAAAGACAGTTGTGATTACATTTAGGGTCTACTGAAATTATCCAGGATAATCTCATCACCTCAAGATCCCTAACTGTATCACATATACAAATATATTTTTGCCTTATAAGTTTGCATGGACATGTTTCAGGAATTAGGACATGATCTCTCTGGGCTACTTTTCAGCCTACTACATGTATTTTCCATGTAAGAGCTGATTAAAGAATATGCCACGAGTAATATTTAGCCTGTGGCCAGCCATTAATTAACACTTTACATTTATTATGAAAAACAAGGAGTGGCACAATGATAGTTATTCTTGTAATTATTATCTCATTTTACCCTCCCAACTGTGGTGGTCAGTATTGATGTTTCTATTTCAATGATAGCATTTAAGTATCTCAAATGTTAAGTGTGACATGTATGATGAAAAGCTGGTATAGATACACAGATTTTTGCAAACTATGTCAACTTTCTTACTACCCATGACATTTATTTTTTGTCTTCTAAGCACTGGCATTTTCTTATGTCTGAGGGAGAAAATAGTTGATAACTGCTTAAGTGATTGCTTCAAGAATATCTCCAACACTTTGTGAATGTGCATATTTGCTAGAAATAACGCAGAAAATAATGTTTTATTTTAAAAAAATCAACTTCTTTTAAAGTTAACATAGTTAATGTAAATATAGGTGCAATGATGAAACTTTCTTAAATAATCTTGGTTAATTGTTCATGGTGTATTTTTCTATGGCATGTACTAGAGAATACCATACTTTGACATTTAAAAATACACACACACACATTTCTGAAATGCTCAGAAAATCTCTAGGCAAATCCAAACACATTTTAGAGTCACCTGTTTGAAATACTAATGACCACTCAGTTGGAATTTACATTGAGTTTAGTACTCAGGTATTACTGATGTTATCAGTTGGTGTGCTATTGTCTCTACAGACTAAGAATTTATAGTTTTTGAATTGTGAAGCTGAAATTAAAAAATCATGGGGATCATTTTATGCAAACCTCTTATTTTACCAGTGATATTCACAAAAGTTTTGACTTTTCCCAGATGATGCAGCAAATAAGTCTTAAATGCTAGCAAAAATTCTACTCTTCATTCTCAAGGTTCTTTTCTCATCTTTCCTTCCTTTCTTCCTTTTTATGTTCCTTCATTTAGTTTCTTTCTTCTTTATTGATTGTTTGTTTCTTACATGCTTTTATCCTTTCTTTCTGTGCAGCATGTCGCAGTAACCAGGAGTAAAGTATCTTGCCTTTCAGCCCCTTATGTAAAAATCTAAGAATTCAAGTTTTAGCTGGTTCTAATCAATATGAGATTTTCTAATTTCTATGATTTTTAAGGTTATTACAAATTGTATAAATTTTATTTGTTTGTTTGTTTGTTTATTCATTTTTTGAAAGGATCTTGCTCTGTTGCCTAGGCTGGAATGCAGTGGTATGACCACAACTCACTGTGGTCTCATTCTCTTAGGTTCAAGAGATCCCTTCACCTCAGCCTCTGAATAGCTAAGACTACAGGCATGCATCACGATGCCCGGCTGATTTTTTTATTTTTTATTTTTTTATTTTTTGCAGAGACGAGGTCTCACTATGTTGCCCAAGCTGGTCTCAAATTCTTGGACTCAAGCATTCCTCTCACCTCAGCCTCCAAAACTGCTGGGATTCCAGGCATGAGCCACTGTGCCCAGCTTACTATACGTTTGATTTAGAAAATCTTCGCACCATTTTGAGAACTCTCATTTCTATGAGTTATGGATAGTGGTCCATTTTATGATACTTATAGAAATATAACCTATTCAATGAATATTTATCATTCACTCAACAAGTATTTATCAAGTGCCTACTATATTACAGAAAACATGGAGAAGATATAATATTAAAAAAAGACTTTTTTCTTGTAACTTTAAGAAAATAATGCTTGTATAGTGTATTATATACTTTAAAATGTATTAACGGGAGAGATTTCATGTTGTATACTCATCACCACACCAAAAAAAATAAAAACCACAGAAGAGAAGAATGAAAATGAACAAGTAAATCAATGAATTATGTACTATAATATCAAAGACTAGTAACTGCTGTAAAGAAAATAAAATGAAGTGTCCAATTTTTCTATGACACATGGCTTTTAGAATAAGACTATAAGTTGTACAAAAATTGTATAAATTTTATATAGAAGTTAAACAGAAGTATAACTTTTATACTTGAGATTAGTACAAATATGTTTACTATTTTGTCATTGAAACAGTTACCAATTTTGATACATTAGATTTTCATTAGGAATCCACTAGGATAATATATGCATATCTGATTTTTATAGTGTTTATACTAAGTCTTAAGTATATTATTTGAATTTGTTTCTTCTCTGTCCATCATGAAAGCAGCATTCTTTCTATTTTTCCAACTTGTTTAAATGGATCCCCCCGCATGAATTTACTTTTCTCACACCTCTAACAAGTTGTAGCTCCTTACACTTCCCAAATCCAGTCTCTATACTTAAGTAAAGACTACTTACAGGCCGGGCGCGGTGGCTCAAGCCTGTAATTCCAGCACTTTGGGAGGCCGAGGCGGGCAGATCACAATGTCAGAAGATCAAGACCATCCTGGCTAACACGGTGAAACCCCGAATCTACTAAAAATACAAAAAATTAGCCAGGCGTGGTGGTGGCGCCTGTAGTCCCAGCTACTCAGGAGGCTGAGGCAGGAGAATGGCATGAACCCGGGAGGCTGAGCTTGCAGTGAGCCGAGATCACACCACTGCACTCCAGCCTGGGCGACGGAGCAAAACTCTTGTCTAAAAAAAAAAAAAAAAAACTACTTACAGTGTCACCAAGGGGATGGAACCCTTGCCCTGTTGGGAATGAAGGCTGTATAGGCACCATCAGTTCCAGTCATAATGCTGGATACATGAGGCACAAAGGTGGGTGTCAAGTACATACAATGAAATGATGAATCTCTGAGGATTGGAAACAAAGCAGTTCTTCCATTTCCTTCCAGGTGCAGAAATGGAGATGATCATTTTCCTACCATCATATGACTAGAGCTTCTTTAGTGCCATTTTATGGAGTATCTGAATGTAGTAAGTAAATATAAAAGATGAAGAGTGAAGATCCTCAATATGTTTGGAGCAATGGTAGAATTATAGCCAAGGGGACATTGCTAACAAATATATGGCAATGTGAATACATCACATATGACTTGGGAACAGCAATGATTACATTATTACTGCATTCTATGATTTGAAGGATATTAAGAAAATGATCGAGGATGGCAGGGAGTAGTAAAAGTATTTGATAGTTTTCTGGATATATTTACTTATCAGTCCAGGTACTCTTCTATAATGAACTCTTCTTTCCTGTGGGAAATCTGTGTTTTGAGTAGGGTAAATTTCATCCAACATAAGAGCAGAAATGTGACTCAGGCTTAGCAATTAAACTGCCCATTTCCCTGACCATGGTGGTTGACTCAGGAATGTGATCAATTCAGTATCTTCTCTGGGATTTTTCCGTTAGTCCAATTTGAAAAGGTTTTCTCCATAGGCTATTGTTTCTAATTAAAATATGAATTGCACAGTTGTTAGTCTTCTTGTCTGACATGTGGAAAGAAATGCTTTAAGAGATGAAATGAGACTGTCTAAAAGTGATAATTAGAGTCCTTTCTTACCTTTGCATTTTTATTGATAAGTTTAACTTATGGTTCTAAGTTATGAAGTTGTTGATTGGCTGATTTTTAGAACTTAAGAAACTTTTGATTGGTTGTTTGATTTTTAGAACCATTTCTAAGCAAATATTTATCTGTACATAACACTGCTTATTGATGAACTAATTTTAACTCAGAACCCAATAACAATAATGGAGGATGATGATAGCTTCCATTTGGTGACAGCTTAATATGTACTAAATGTCTAACATGCATAGTTTTCTCTTGTACTAAATTAACCACATTTTGAGGTACATAAAATAATATTTACCAAAGGCATAAGAGTAAAGAGCTAAACTTTCTCCTTTACTTGAAGCATGTTCAGGGAACACTAGCTATCTCTCTCTCAGAGAACCGAAAAAGTGACCCAGATGCAACCAGGGTATAAGGAGCATGGTTTCAACTGAGTCACGTCTAAGATTGTATACAATGGTGTTATCCTAGCCAACATTCTGCTGCAGGAAATTAATGAGTGAAATTAATTGATAAAAGCAGCAAATAAAATGAAAATTAAAGTAGGCTGCAAACTTCCATAAGACAGCCACCCTGACTTACCTCTGGAATACTAAGTAAAAAGTCTACAACACCCTTGAGAAGTAGAAAGCTGGCTGACGTATCAGCTAAGAGAACTTTTCAGATTTATGTTTCTTTATATTATGCTTTGGCTGTAACAATTGGATTGGCTGTCCCAATGTCTCTTTATAACAGATACTTACAGCATTGATTTGGGAACCACAAATATTTTCTTTGCAAGTAAGCTGGCCTGAAATTGGATTCCACCACAATGCACTATCAAAATGAACTTTATGCACATTAATAAACAAGTAACAATTTCTTCACCTACAAGAGGACTTGTGAGGTATCAACATTTTCCTGTTTACTTTCTTTGTAGTGAGCAAATAGTCATAAATTCAAATTATATTATACTTTTCAAAAGCTACCCCTTAGATGAAGCCTTCAGTAGACATTACACTTTTCTGGGTTATTGTCGTCATCTTCCCCCTTTCCAGGTTATATTGTAAAACGCTCATTTCAATGATTTTTACTGTAGTTTTGAGCAATTTTAGAAATTATTATTGTATTTTATATTATATGGCAAATATGTCACCTGTTATGTAATATTCCTAGAGTAGGTAGGTAGCCAGAAATGAGCAGGCAAGGGATCCCTCTGGGAAAAGAAGTTCTAGAGATGCCGTATTAGTCACGATTCTCTAGAGGGACAGAACTAAAAGAATATACATATATATTCTTTATATATATTCTACATATATATAGAATGTATTCTATATATATTCTTTATATATATTCTACATATATATAGAATATATTCTATATATATTCTTTATATATATTCTACATATATATAGAATATATTCTATATATATTCTTTATATATATTCTACATATATATAGAATATATTCTATATATATTCTTTATATATATTCTACATATATATAGAATATATTCTATATATATTCTTTATATATATTCTACATATATATAGAATATATTCTATATATATTCTTTATATATATTCTACATATATATAGAATATATTCTATATATATTCTTTATATATATTCTACATATATATAGAATATATTCTATATATATTCTTTATATATATATTCTCTCTACAGATATATAAAGAATATATTCTTTATATATATATTCTCCCTACAGATATATAAAGAATATATTCTTTATAAATATGTGTGTGTGTATGTATATATATATATATATATAGAGAGAGAGAGAGAGAGAGAGAGAGAGAGAAGTTTACTAAGTATTAACTCATTAACTCACACAATCACAGGGCCCCATAATAGGCCATCTGCACAGGCTGAGGAGCAAAGAGTCCGAGTTCCAGAGCTGAAGAATTTGAAGTCTAATGTTCGAGCGCAGGAAGCATCCAGCACAGGAGAAAGATGTAGGTTGAGAGGCTAGGCCAGTCTCTCTTTTCACATTTTTCTACCTGCTTATATTCTGGCTGTACTGGCAGCTGATTAGATTGTGCCCACCCAGATTAAGGGTGGGTCTGCCTTTCCCAGCCCGCTGACTCAAATGTTAACCTCCTTTGGCAACAACCTCGCAGACACACCCAGGATCAATACTTTGTATCCTTCAATCCAATCTAGTTGACACTCAGTATTAACCATCACAGAGGCTGCCCACTGACAGAAAAAAGGACAATGGCTACATTGGCTACATGTGGCTTTGTGGTTAGGGTCCTCGGGCACTGAAGGGGGCTTAACAGTCCTTAGTGGGAGATGACCATGCTAGAGATTTTCCCTTGTGGCAAGCATGTGCACTCCTCCAAAACTCACTGGAGAGTAGCCTTTTGCTGATTATAATAGTAAAGAACATACTCCTAGGTGGAGATTTTAAATGCTACTGAGACATGAGACATGTGTAATAGCATGTACAACCACAGAACATGTGCACCCTAAGGGACCTCCCAAGCCATGAATAATTCACACACCTTTGTGAATAATTATGTAAGATTCCCATAATAAGTCTCCCAACACCGGCTGCTGATGGCTCATTCTTTTGAACAGCCCACTCTGTCTCATCCTTCAGAGTTACTACCTCTAAGTAAACACTGTTATGATTATTTTTCCAGCTAGACCAGCCTGGGGCTATGTTCCACACCTCTCTAGGAATGTACTTTATCTTCTTCCAATAAACTCTGCTACTTAACGTTTGCTATTCATCTCTTGGCTGAATTCTTCCTTCCAAGTTAGACAAGAACCAAGGAGATCTGTACTTCTCGGTAACAGTATTAAATGTTCTTTACATTTCTCATGGTTAGCGATTGTTTTACTTAATTTGATTTTAATAATACTTGTATGCCTCTGGAATCTAGCACAATGTTGGGACAATATTGGAATTAAGTAATATATTCCAGAAATAAATATACAGATAAATATTACATATGCATTTAAATAAGCAATTTTAGGATACTTCCATTGATAGATTTATACCTAATAAAATGCTTTCTCCTTGCCTTTCAAAAAAAAAAAAAAACTACACTGTTTATGAGGAATATACAAAATGCCACAGATGGTGGAGTGGTTTAATAGTATCACCCCAAAATTCATGTCTACCTAGAACTTCAGAATATGAACTTATTTGGAAATAAGTTATTTGCACATGAAATTGTTAAAACAAGGTCATACTGGATTAGAGTGGGTTCAAAATCTAATAAATGATGTCGTTATAAGAAGAGGAGAAGACACACAAAGACATAGAGGCACATGAATAAGAGGCACATAGAGGCATACGAATACTGAAGCAGAGATTGGAGTGATACCACTACAAGCCAAAGAGTGACATGGATTGCCAGGAGACACTAGAAGCCAGGAAGAGGCCCTGTTGACACTGTGGATCCAGACTTGTAGCCTCCAGAATTGAGAGACAGGAAATTCCTGTTGTTTTAGGACACATACTTTTTTATACTTTTTAACAGTAGCCTTAGAACCTTATATGGATAGTTTATAGGGAGCTTCACATGCTGGATACGAAATTAACCAGAACAATCAGTTGACTAACATTTCACAGAAATCATCACTTAAGATAGGCAAATAACCAGCAATAAAGTGAAAAAAAAGAAAGTTATAATTAAATATCTTAAAAACCTCTTGGGTGTGTCCTGGACTCAGTAAATATTCGACTCAAACTCCTACACCTATTCATCTGTAGGCAGGCATAAGAATTCATTTTCAGAATAGTGACCCTGAAGCACTCTATCATGTTAAGAAATATCCCATCATCTTCACTTCAGTGTGTTTATTGAGGCAAGAAGGTAGAATAATTTATTTTAGAAAGATTTACAGCCACAAGAGTTGAACCAAAGTGAGTTTTCTTCTTAAAATTTAGAGTTTTCCCTAGATCATTGGTTATTGACCTTTATTGTTTTTTTTATTTTAGTCAAGGACTTCTTCTGAGAATCTAGGCCCTCTTCCTTGAAAAACACAACACATATACTGTTTTTCTGCATCATTTCAGGATGGCCAGTGATTCTCAGATATCAGTCTTTGTATATTGTGGGGTCTTTAAGCATTCCTATGAAGGAATATTGCTAATTAGGAATTGTATTGTCCTCTTCTCATGCTGCTAATAAAGACATAACTGAGACTGGGTAATTTATAAAGGAAAGAGGCTTAATTGACTCACAGTTCCACATGGCTGGGGAGGTCTGACAATCATGGAGGTAGGTGAACGAGGAGCAAAGTCATGTCTTACACGGTGTCAGGTCAGGCAAGAAGAGCTTGTGCAGGGTAACTCTAATTTATAAAACCATCAGATCTCATGAGACTTA
Source organism: Homo sapiens (assembly GCF_000001405.40). Lineage (NCBI taxonomy): Eukaryota > Metazoa > Chordata > Mammalia > Primates > Hominidae > Homo > Homo sapiens. Next base: position 24,771,787 of record NC_000011.10, on the reverse strand, counting down.
TTCACTACTGGGAGAACAGTACGGGGAAAACTGCCCCCATGATTCAATTATCTCCACCTGGCCCCCACCCTTTGACACGTGGGGATTATTACAAATTAAGGTGAGATTTGGGTAGGGACACAGCCAAACCATGTCAGTAATTAAGCTTTTATCTCCAAATTTGGAGGTAGTGTCTTTTTCTTAATTCATGTAATTCATTAGTACTAGTAAGAACAGACTTGAATATGGTCTTAATATATTCTCAATATATGCAAAGTCCTGGCCCTGTGTTGTCTTTGTGAAAAATGTGAACTATGATGTGCTATGGAAGGTAGGTTTCTAACTTCAAGGCATTTGCATCATGTTAAGAAAATAATTCTGAGAAATGCAAAGTTAAAAATCACATGAATAGATACGATGCCATGTATATACATAAGACACTATAACATACATGCACACACTATTGAGTACTCCATCATTGGTACTCACAACTTGTTTCTCACTTATTCAATAGCCTTCAATGATGACCTACTGTCTACTAAAGCTGGTTATCATGGACTATAACTCTTTATTAAGAAAGGTTGCCTTTAATACACAGGTTACTAATTTATGAGGACTAGATTCTGCAATGTGAAAGCTTTCTATAGTATCAAATCTATATTTCCCATGAAAAATTAAAGCAGACAAATAAAAATAAACAAAATCTGAAAATTCATTGCGGCTCTAGGTCAGATATGACTTAGGCTTTACTATTCAGACATGATCTGTGCAATATGTGGATACAGGAATTTGTTACTTGAGAAAATAGGCTAAATGCTATCCATCCTCTGTTGCAGAAGGCCCAGGGTGTGTGGTGCTGGAGCCTGCAGTGGCAGGGCAGCAGGCAGGCTGGCAACTTCCTGATTCAGGCGGAGGTAGTGCTTTCTCAAGACAGCCAAATCAGTGGTGTGTTTGTAGAGTTTTTTCTAAGGTACAACCTATAAGCTGTATTTTTAGCTCTTCAAACGATTTTGTAAGATATCTATAGGAATTAATAAATTCCTTTCTTAAAAGAACAAATTTTGCCATAACCAAGAATAGTAACTGCTTTATTGCCCCTAAAAATCATGTTTTATTCATCATATTCCTGGATATGTGTCAATGGCTATTTGGAACTACTTGGGAATCCGATATTGGCCAGTGACTTGAATTGTGCAAGATTTTTCTCTCAGGCACTTAGAGCAATGACATTAAAACAAAATATAAAAGGACATTAAATCAGTTGATAACAGGAGCTGAAGAAGACATATTAATAAGCCAGAATTGTAGTAAACTATATGGTCCATATAACAAACAGATGAGAAAGATAACTGAGAGACTTGAAAGAAAGGAAAATAGAGACATGAAATAATAAAAGGAAAAGGATGCCACTGAGATAGAGTAGCTGGGTTAATTTCTGATTTCCACCACTGACCAGAATCAAACCCACTCTTATGATTACTGACCTAATTTAAACTAATTAAAGATATTTGTCCTAGTGCCTGATTTGTCTAATAATTCCTAGACTTATATATTATCCCACTCATTCCCAAGCCTTTCTTATATCTCAGACCGTTACAGACAAACTGATTTTATCCTAGAAGTAAAATAATTAAAATTCAAGAAAATTACAAATGATAGTACAGAAAGGGTGTTTTGAAAGTGAAAGAATACATTCTGAACTTTGAGAATTTAGTGTCCTGGTGCAGTGGCTCACGCCTGTAATCCCAGCACTTTGGGAGCCTGAGGTGGGCAGATCACTTGAGGTCAGGAGTTCGAGACCAGCCTGGCCAATATGGCAAAACCTCATCTCTACTGAAAATACAAAAATTTAGCCGGGGGTGCTGGTGCATGTCTATAGTCCTAGCTACTTAGGAGGCTGGGGCAAGAGAATTGCTTGAACCCGGGAGGCGGAGGTTGCAGTGAGCCATGATGGTGCCACTGCACTCCAGCCTGGGTGACAGAGCGAGACTCTGTCTCAAAACAAAACAAACAAACAAAAAAGAGAATTTAGTGTGATTCCCTATTTCATCCTTACCTTGAGCTATCGAATGAGTCTCAGGAAACAAATCAATTATAATCCCAAAAAAAAAAAAATAGACCACCATAGAAGAAAATAAGGAAAAAAATATCTGCCCCATCTCCTCCATCTTTCCCTTCTCTTCCATGTCTATCTACTGACTAATTCAAGACAGAATGTGTTTTTCATTATTTTATCAGAAACTAGTTTAAATTTTTTAAGTTATTTTTGTTTTATTAGGTTTTAATCGACACATAATTGTACATATTTATCAGCTGCAATGTGATGTTCAATACACATATAGATTGTGTAATTATCAAGTCAGAGTAATCAGCATATCTATCACCTCAAAGAGTTGTTATTTCCTTGTGGTGAGAACATTCAAAATCCTCTTTTCTAACTATTTTGAAATACATAATACACTGTTGGTGACTACAGTGATCCTACTGTGCAATAAGACGCAGAACTTATTTCTCCTACCTAACTTTAACTTTGTACCTGTTGACAAAACTTCTTCCATCTCCTTCTACTCCCTGCTTTCTCCAGCTTCTGATAACCACTATTCTCTCTACTTCTTTGAGATCAACTTTTGTAGATTTCTCATATGAGTGACATCATGCAGTATTTGTCCTTCTGTGCTTGGCTAATTTCACTTAACACAATGTCCTCTAGGTTCATCCATGTTTGCACAAATGACAGGATTTCATTCTTTTTAATAGCTGAATAGTATTTCATTGTTTATATATACCACATTTTTATCCATTCATCTATAAACACATTGATTCCATATCTTAGCTATTGTGATAGTGCTGCAATAAACATGAGTGTGCAGACATCTCTTCAACATATTGATTTCATTTCCTTTGGATATATAACAAGTAGTTATATTATTGGATCATATGGTAGTTCTATTTTTAGTTTTTGAGAAACTTTCATATTGTTGTTCATAATGGCTGTACTCACTGAAGTCCCACCCCTAGTGTATAACAGTTCTTTCTCCACATCCTTGCCAGCATTCCTTACTTCTCTTTTTGATACCAGCCATTTTAACTGAAGTGAGTTGATATTTTATCATAGCTTCGATTGGCATTTTCGTGATGATTAGTGATGTTGGGAGTATTTTTTTATTTACCTTTTGGGCATTTGTAAATCTTCTTCTGATGAATGTCTATGCAGATATTTTGTCCATTTTATCAGATTATTTATTTGCTACTTAATTGCTTGAGTTTCTTACATATTTTAAATATTAACCCCTTGAGCATAGACTGTTTAAATACTAGTGTTCATGAAGTATTTCCAACTATGTAATTCTTTCAAAAGCCCTGAACATTATCCAACTAACACCTTTATTTAAAAATTTTGGCAGGGTGCGATGGCTTATGCCTGTAATCCCAGCACTTTGGGAGGCCAAGGCGGGTGGATCACCTGAGGTCAGGAATTCAAGACCAGCCTGGCCAACATGACAAAACCCTGTCTCCACTAAAAATATAATGCCTGTAGTCCCAGATACTTGGGAGGCTGAGGCAGGAGAATCCTTTGAACCCAGGAGGTGGAGGTTGCAGTGAGCTGAGATGGCACCACTGCGCTCCAGCCAGGGCGACAGAGTGAGACCCTGTATCAAAAAAGGAAAAAAAAAATTTCAACTAATTAAAGATGCTTGTCCCAGTGCCTGATTTGCCTAATATTTCCTAGACTTATATATTATCCTACTCATTTTTGAGCCTGTCTTATATCTCAGACCATTACAGACAAATTGATTTTATCTTAGGAGTAAAATAAATAAAATTCAAAAAAAAAAGAAATGATACTATAGAAAGGGTGTTTTGAAAGTGAAAGTCAGAATAAATTCTGACCTTTGAAGCATGGGAGATTGACTACATGATGAGGCAGTTGCCATATGTATGGAAGTTAGAGAAGGGAGGTTGAATTTTTCATTCGTTTCCTTGTTTTGATTTATTTTCTGGTGCAAAACTGTATACTTTTTGCAACCAAACAATATTCAAACACAAAATGCAAAATAAACATTGAAGGCACAAGGATGTGTTAAAGTAAATTAAAATGGAGATGAGCCCTGAAGAATCCTTGACCAGACAAAGCCAGTTAGGCTTTGTAAGTGACGTTATCGTTGCTTGATTTGCAAACATATGAAAAACTTAATGTGGGCCATTGTAAATAAATGCCTATATTAAAGAAAAACAAAACTTGAGCTTAAACACACAGAAGAAACAAACTTGTAATTTTATAACTAGAGATTTTCCAGTGGGATCGACCAAATACAGCAACTGTCTAACTGTAACCAAACAAATATTTTCTTTGCTTCACTTCTATTTTAGTCACATAAAAACCTTCCACTGTATTTCCTTAGTGAAGCTCCTGAACAACTTCTAGTTCAGAACAGCCCAATTTATGCATTGTTGTTTGCTCAAATAAACTCTTCAAAAATGGTATTATATCTCAGTTAACCTTTTTAACAGAAGGATTACACAAGAGAGATTAGAACTAGAGACTTAGATTACAAAGTTACTGGAAAACTGCTGATATATGAATTATGAGTCCAATTTTGCATATAGGAAATCTTATATTCTACAAATTACACACTAAAAATAGAAATTTTGGAGGGAAAATGGGATTGGGGAAGACCACTTACTAGGTAACATTGTTACCAGAACATAAAAAATAAAAATAAATAAAAAAAATAACAAACTGGGTGTAGGGGTTCACACCTGTAATTCCAGCACTTTAGGAGGCTGATGTGGGTGTGGGTGGATCACACCTGAGGTCAGGAGTTACAGACCAGCCTGGCCAACACGGTGATGCCCCATCTCTACTAAAAATATAGAAATTAGCTGGGTTTGGTGGTGCATGCCTGTAGTCCCAGCTACTCAGGAGGCTGAGCCAGGGGTATCACTTGAACCCAAGAGGTGGAGGTTGCAGTGAGCTGAGATCGCGCCACTGCCCTGTAGCCTGGGCAACAAAGTGAGACTAAGAAAAACAGTAAAGAAACTAATAAAAGTGTAAATACAATTTTTTTTAGCATTTATCTCAAACATAATCATTTGATTCTTTGAAGCTTTATATTCAGGATTTAGTGTTCTTCCTTTGGGATGTAGATCTTTGAGGGAATTGACTTCTAACAAAGCACACTATCATCAAAATTAAAATTTGATGCAGATTTTTCTTAAATCTCTTGTTTCAATGCAGGGGAAAAGTCTTAACAGAAACTTCTGTATTCACATCTTACCCAGCAAAAAGCATAAGAGTTTTAATGCAATAACTATCACTACAACCACTAAAAGGAAGCCCTTTCATACATTTTCAATCTTTTTCTTATGTCCTTGTATTGATAACAATTTCTTTAAAATTTGAAAAGTCTTTTGCCTGAATGCTTCAAAACTCAACATATTGGAAAGAAAAACAAAATGATTTTTAAAGCTTTGCTGACATTATTTCACCCCTTGTTAATTGTTAATATGATTATTTGATGCAAGGAAATACACATTGTTGCGGAATAGATTTGACTTGAATATTTCATAAAAAAAAATATAAAGAGAAAAGCAGACGGCCCAAAACTGAAACTTAGAGACCACATCAATCACAATAGAGCTTTTGTTAAGTCATAACAGTACAATTCAGAGGTTAAAAGTGGTGCCCATGAGAAGATATAGGTAACTGGAAATAGATGAAATAAAGGTGCTTGAAATACTCTGATTGGCAGGGCATGGTGGTTTACTCCTGTAATCCCAGCATTTTAGGAGGCTGAGGTGAGTGGATTTCTTGAGCCCAAGAATGCAAGACCCACCTGGGCAACATAGAGAAACCCCTTCTCTACAAAAAATGCAAAAATTGGCCGGGTGCGGTAGCTCACGCCTGTAATCCCAGCACTTTGGGAGGCCTAGGCAGGCGGATCACCAGGTCAGGAGATGGAGACCATCCTGGCTAACACAGTGAAACCCTGTCTTCATTAAAAATACAAAAAATTAGCCAGGCGTGGTGGCGGGCATCTGTAGTCCTAGCTACTCAGAGGCTGAGGCCAGAGAATGGTGTGAACCTGGGAGGCGCAGCTTGCAGTGAGCCGAGATCAAGCCACGGCACTCCAGCCTGGGCAACAGAGTGAGACTCCGTCTCAAAAAAAAAAAAAAAAGAAAAAAGAAAAAAAAGGAAAAAATTATTGTGTTGCTGTCTATCTCATTTCTTAACATATGTGGTCAATAAATGTGGTACATCACATAACCAGAATTAAAAACAAAACCCATACGGTTGTCTCAATAGATGCAGAAAAAGCATTTGATAAAATCCAGGATCCCTTTATGATAAAAACCCTCAACAAAATAGGCATAGGAGGGACTTAGCCTTCATCTTTTGGCACTTCCCTAATTCCCTCACTCAAAAGTAACCACTTAGTGGATTTCAAACTTCTTCCAGAAATTTATTTGTATCTGTTTTATCTCCCTCACCACTGTATTTTGTTTAATCAATTTACCTGTTTTTTTCTTATGCCTGAACGGAAAATCTTCCATGAAGTGCCCATATAACTTCACTGTACAGTGTATACACCAGTTATTTCATTAAATAAATCTGCCTTAATCTCTACATGCGTACTGATTATTTACTAAAAATTAAATAATTTGATATAAAGGAGTAAAATTGAAAACATTTAATTGCTAATATATGTTCACCGTTAGGTTTTGTAAAAAGACCAAAGCTTTTTTGGTTATCAATTTTCATTTCATATGTTCTTAATAGTATTAAAGTGAATAGTAGCAAATTTAATTATAAAACTCATATTTAGCAGATATTATTTCTGTAGGGTTGTATTTCTTTCTGAATTATTCTAGTCTATGTAGTTATCAAAGTGCAATTTCACTATAAAAATAACCTCCCAAGACAAAGTATTTTGTTACTTGTTATTAATAATTCATAGTTTTGCGTTTATTTATTTATTTGGTAGAGATGGAATCTCATTATGTTGCTTAGGCTGACTTGGAACTCTTGGCCTTAAGCAACCCTGCTGCCTTGGCCTCCCAAAGCACTGGGATTACAGGCATGAGCCAGCCTGGTAGGTTTTTGTTGTTGTTCTAATTTTTATTTTTTAAACTTATTTTTAATAGAGACAGGGTCTTGCTCTGTCACCCAGGCTGAAATTCAGTGACATGATCACTGTTCACTGCAACCTCGACCTCTCAGGCTCAAGCAATCCTCCTGCCTTGGCCTCGTAAGAAGCTGGGACTACAAGTGAGCCACCACTCCCAGCTAATTTTTTTTTTTTTTTTTTTTTTTTTTAGAGATGAGATTTTACCATGTTGTCCAGACTGGTCTCAAACTCCTGGGCTCAAGCGATCCTCCCACCTCAGCCTCCCTAAGTGCTGGGATTATAGTTGTGAGCCACTGTGCCCAGCCTAGTGGTTTTTTGAAAGAACTTCCTCCTTAGTTGAATTCTAGATTTTAAGAAGTTATCTAAGATTAAAAGTGAACTGATGCTACTTATGTAAAGATAAAAATAAAGTTGAAATTCTCTTATAATCATACAACTGGGTTCATATTGCTGATTGTGTGTGTACGCGCCCACGCACGTGTGCATGTGCATATATAAATGTACTCCCTACCCTATTTTAAAACTGACTTTAATCTCGTTTAAAATGTTTTCCTTGTTTTAAATCGTATGTGAGCATTTTTTGATTTGAGTAAGCTGGCTTTCTCACTGAGCCCTAAATGACTCCAACAAAATAAATATTATCCATTATACCCAGTATTCTGATTACTCTGGTATGTTGATATTTTCCATCATAATCAGGATTCAAAATAAAACATAATTAGTGAGATTGATCAAGGAAGACTTATCGTGAATTAGTCATGGCTCAATGGTCTTAATTAATTGCATTTAATAAAAAGGAAATGAAAAGGTAGAAATAGGTAATGGAGAAATTATAAAAAATTAAAGTAATTGTATAACAAGATAAAGAATCAAAGAAGAAAAATGTATGCAGTATTTAATAGGATGCTTACATTTTAAAGGCTATCATGGAAATGATTACAACTTGTTTATGTTTAAATTTACATTATTTTGAGATTATCCTTAAACACATTTTTCATTCTAGATTGGCCCTTTCTAGCACGCAGCCAATTTCTAGCTAGCTTTCTTCTTCAGTGCCTGTAATGTCATTTATTAAACAAATAAGTAAATGTATTAAATGAAAATTGATTTTTAATATCACCCTAAACAAAATATAATTAGAAAGAAAAATGAACTAGAGAAGTTTGGACTAATGAAATGATCAAATATATATAAACGTAAGGATTATCTACTTTTTGAAATTCTTCACCTTACAATTTCTCTACATTAGTTTATAACTGAAAATTAAATATGCAAGTGTTTAATACTCCAAACTAGTGGCAACTTTATATGTGCATTTATGTATATTATTTGATCTATATAAAATGTATCTAAGATGAAATATATCTTACCTCATTCTGGAGGTCTCGGATCATTTTGCTCTTTCTTTCAACTTCAGTCTTTAAAAAATTAATCTGAAAATGAATAGACTATTATGTAGACACATTCCAAACTCATTACCATGGCTTTCATTATTTTTTTCATTATTTTGAGAAATAATAAATTATTTATTAACAAATATTGAAAAAGAACAAAGAATTACACTGTTCCTTAATCAAAACCTTCATTACTAAATTCACACATATATTCATTGATTATATTAAAATATCTTTTTTCATTTAACAAACTATTTATTATTTTTTTTTTAAATTGAGAAACCCTACACTTTATGACTGTGATTCTCTTGCCTGGATAAACTTCATTTCCTTTTAAAAATGTGGTTCTTTAAAAAAAGAAAAAATAGATTCTAGAGTTGAACCTAGGAATCTCTATTTCTAAAACACTCCAGGTAATTATGACCTGTCGCCAAGTGTCAGAGCAATTACATAATAATATCCCTTACCTCAAAACTACGGGACATTAAGAATAGTCTACCGAAGACACCATGATGTTTCCTTCTGAACAAGATATCATCAGGATCTGTCACCTTATGCCACTTATTGGAACCGTATTTCCTAAAAATAGCATTACCTGCCCGAGTGCTTTGTAAAAAATGGTAGTATAGTAAGTGGTCAAGACTTTTTATAGAATTTATAATCTTTATAATCCCTGAGAGTACACTAGTCACTGAGACTTTATAGTCACTGAGGGTTCCCTATAATAAGAAAATAACTATGACAGTGGATGAAACATTTAATTTATCCAATTTTCAATTTTCTTGTAGTCACATTTTTAATAAAGTAATGACACAGGTGAATTTAATTTTTCTAATACACTTAATTTGATATATTCAAAATATTATTTGGACATGGATTATTCATGACATAATTTACATTCTTTTTGTGTTATATGCCTTTAGATTCCAATGTGTGTTTTACACTTACAGTACATCTCAGTTTGGATTAGTCATATTTCTAATGCTCAATAGCCTCATGCATTGAACAATGTATTCTTAGAAGTTTCCTGAAATGATAAAAGAGACTCACGATCCAGGTGATCTCTGAAGATAGACTGAGTCATTGGGTTGGAAGCTAAATTTAGGAAGAAGGTTAATTTTTACCATATACACAACTTTAAAAAATATTTAGTTCTGAAACATTTCAAACATGAAGAAAAGAACAAGAATACGTAAAATGCCTGTGGGCTAACCCTACACATTAACCAGATATGAATGTTTTGTCCAATTTTCTTCAGACCCTTTTATAAGTAATATATTATTATTTATCATTATTTATTATTAAAGTTTCAGCTAACTTCTATTCCTTTCTTCACCCCCACCCCCCCAGGTAACCACTATACTGAACTTACATATTTGTCTCATGCATATTTTTATACATTTTATTTATTGTGTATGCGCTTATGAAAAATAAATACTATTACTTTATGTTAAAGTTTGCCTAAATTATGAGAAAATCAACTTTATGAGATTTATTTGTATTTATTTTATGTAATACCAGTTAATTTATTGTAGCTAGTGAATTTGTTATGGTAGTAACCACAGTTGAAAGTAAACAATTACTAAATTAATCAAGGTGAAGAACGAGGCACTGTAACTGACATATCCCTAAATACAGTGGTTTAAATGAGATAGATTTTTCTCTCATAGAGCAGTATATAGGTGTCTGCAGCCTGGAGCCCAGAGGTGAGTGGCCCACAGCCTGGATACAGCTCTGGCATTAGCAATCATCCTTTGAATGATTTTTCCCATTATCATCATTTCCCAGTTACTGGATGATGTGTCTTGGGTCTGTGTTCCCACCCTAATCTCATGTTGAAATGTAATCCTTAATCCTTAACACTGGAGCTAGGACCTGGTGGCAGGTGATTGGATCATAGGGGTGGTTTCTAATGGTTTAGCACCATCCTACTGCTGTTTTTATAATAGAGTTATTATGAGATATGATTGTTTAAAAGTATGTAGCATCTCTCCCCCTTCTCTGTCTTCCTCCTGTTCTGCCCATGTGAAGCTGCCTACTCCAGCTTTGCCTTCTGCCATGAGTAAAAGCTCCCTGAGACCTCCCCAGCTATGCTTCCTGTATAGCCTGTGGAACCTGAGCCAATTAAACCTTTTTTCTTTATAAATTACCCAGTCTCAGGTATTTCTTTATAACAATGCAAGAACAGATTAATACACAGGATGTGGAAAGTCCAGGGTAAAGAATAACTAAATAATTCTGACTCTAAAATAAAATCTAGGCTATTGGATTTTCCTTGGGAGATTTGAACTGGGAACCTCTAGAGAAAACTGGCTAGTTCTCAGCTGAGATAGGTTAAGGATGTCATAAGGTATTATTAAGACTGTGTTAAGTCAAGTGTTGCATAAGTAATATGCAGAGGAAGTCAGTTGTTACAGAAATAGAAACAGTCAATGGAAAGCCAGCTGAGTCATTTATCTAGAGGACTATAAGAATGAAAATCCATGGATTCCTCTTTCTGACATCTTCAAGAGCTGCAATAGTTCCAGTACCACCTAACAGCCTCATCACATCTGACTCCTGGGCTTGGCTTTCCATAAAATCCATCAGAAGTTTTACAACACCTGTTAACACTTTTTTCTTTCAGGCCTGTATAAGTTTCCAGACATTACCATTTCCTCAGTTGTTACAGAAAACCCAAACCAAACACTTTTTATGGCAAAAGAACACATAATACAGAAAGAGAAGCTTGAGAATTAACATGTCTAGTGTTTTAGCCATATTAATTTTCAAAGTAATCTTGAATTTTGAAAATATTGACAGTAACCCCAAAACACTAGTCCTCATTGTCCATTAGGTAGATAGTTCAAGTTGATAGAAAAACCAAGGTATCACCACTGTAACCCAAAAGTAAAACTCTAAGTCCTCCTAATCAACTGAATGGACTCCTCCACTCAGCCAACGACATTCCAAAGTTAACCTGAAACACAAGTTCAGGCCATGATGGGAATTTAACATTAAAACGGAGACCTTAAGATAATCTATTTGCTCTGAAGCCTGCTACCTGGAGGCTTTATCTGCATAATAAAAACCCTGGTCTCCATAACACAACCACTTATCTTAACCCAGACACTCCCTACTATTGATTCTAACTCTTAGATAACCAATTGCCAATCAGAATATCTTTGCCAATTGCCGATCACAAAATCTTTGAAATCAACTATGACCTGGAAGCTGGACATTCTGCCACCCTACTGGCTCCCCACCACTTCAAGTTGTCCTGCCTTTCTGGACCAAACCAATGTACATCTTACATGTATTCACTGATGTCTTCTGTCTCCCTAAAACATATAAAACCAAGCTGTAGCCCGACCACCAGGGGCACTTGTTCTCAGACCCTCATGAGGCTTTGTCACTGACATGTCCTTAACCTTGGTGAAATAAGCTTTGAAATTGATTGAGATCTGTCTCAGATACTTTTTGATTTACACCAAGTAGAACCTAACCCCATTCAAAATTAAACACGTATGCAGAGTAACAGTGCATCCCCCAAAAAACAGCTTTTACATTCTTTTCTACACAAGCATTTTATTAGCTCCAGAAAATTTTGCTTTGTACAGATTTGTCTTTAGTTATGTCACGAACTACTTAAAGCCATATTACTTATATTAATAACCTGTTCTTTCACTGATACCATTATTTCCCCCAAATCCCCATATATGGATACTGCACGCATTGTTCATACTTAACAATTAACTTTAATTAAAGTATAATGAAAATACATTACCATGTCAAGACTATAATTATTAAATGTTAAACAAGGACAGAAAAACTTGAGAATGCAATACTTAAATATTCAAGACATAAAATATATTTTGAACATTAAAAATATATTAGCATTTTAGGCCATGGATTTAGAATCCCAACAGATTTTTAACACCCATGAAAGAATAAGCATTCCTATTGATAGTTATACAATAATTCTCAGAAACAGAAAATACATTGTATTTACCCTGAATAAGATTGAAAGAACATAACAATTCTTTATTTTTAATGAGATTCAAAGCTTGAAGCTAAAACTCTTGCTTTAGACTAATTATGTCTCAGGACAAGTTAAGCCATAAAAATTAACAAGAGTAGGGAAATGCATTCAATAATCATTAAAATCTTTAATTATCCTGGTCACACCTGAGAGCCCATTCTTCACTGCTGTCTGTTAGGGTTTTCCATTAGGGTCACAGGTTTGAAATATTTACCATTTCATTATTTGCTTAGGAATAAACATAAATGTTTCTATTTCCATAAAGAGTATTTTTAAACAGAATTAGATCAAGAAAGATACACTGTTTTTTAATTTATTTTTTCAGATATACATCTTTTTTCATATTTTTTAAATTCAATGAGGAAGATCATCTTTTTTCAATCAATGAAAAAATGATAAATAAATCAATGTTTCATAGCATTTTACTATAGACTTACCAAATGTGAGCATTTGCACCATATGTGCATAAACAAACAATCTCTTATCTTGATAGAAAAAAATCCATAGTAATTTGATGTTTAGTCAAGGACAATACATAAGATTATCTGCTCTTAAATCTAAAATAGCACAATATTTCTCTAATCAAATCCAAAATTTGCCCCAATTTGAGAGAGAGCATCAGTGATCTTAATCTCCCTTACTTATCCAAACTTCAATTACAACTATAGTCTTCCTTTCAGTGAAAATAATTAGTGGATGATTTATACAATAAAAAAGTTATAAATATGTGTTAATTTAATCCTTATTTAACCTAGAATCTTCAAATAGGGAGAAAAACTACAAAGGATTTTATTTGAATCTTTACCAAAATTTTTAAGTGTTGATCCCAGTGATATTAATCTTTCCCTAGATTCCACCATCAACCAGATGCACATTATAAAATAAAATATTCATGATATACACACAAGCACATGTACACACACACACACACACACACACGCAAGTCATTCCCACATTAGTTAAAGATTCTGTCATCTCTTTATGGTTTCTGAGTTAGAACATATCACTCTTTCAATTCAAAACATAGAACACATTTTCCTGAAGAGATAAGACATGTTTGCCTTCATTGATCATGATGTGTATTTTGTTAATATACTCTTAGATTTGTTTATTCAGAATTTTTACATCTACATTCATTAATGAAATATGCCTATAAGTTTATTTAGTCATATTGTTATGAATTGATTTGCAATAATAAATGCATATGCTCACATAACGAGATGAGAGTTATTTATTTTCCACAAAATACTTGCATTTATTAGGAATTAATTGGTCATTGAAAATTAGGTAAAAGTCATCATTAAAATCCTTCTTCAGAATTTGGGGAAATAGATGCCTTTTAGTACAATGAAATTCCAAATGCATTGGTCTATTCAAGTATTATATTTCTAATTGCAGAAATTTTGGAATTTTATATTAATATGACCTAGGACTTTTGTTTACAATTTAAAATTAATTAGTTGAAAGTTGCTGATCATACTTCAAATTGTGAATATGGCCTTTTTCTCTTTTTTATTTGACATTTGACATTTTAACATTTGAGTCTTTTATTCTTATTCAATTTTTATCATAACCTTTTTTCTTTAGCATAATCTTTTCAAAGAACTAAGGATTTAGGGGATTTTTGTTTCTTTCATAGTTTATTGTTTTTTGTCTAGTCTTTATAATTCTCTTTCGTTAGTACATTGAGTTTGAGCTTCTGCTTTTTAACCAACTTCTTGAATTAATGTCATCTATCTTTCATTTAACTGAAAATGTATTTAAAGCTATTCATTATCCAGTAAGTATTACTTTGACATGTATGATTTTCATTATTATTAAGTGCCAAGTATGACAATGTGTTTGATCATTTCTCACTAATCCAATGGTTATTAGAACATATTTTTAAACAAGAAATTATTTGACCTCTTATAAAAATTATTTTTACTTTTATTAAAATAGAGTTTAATAACATATGTGCTACTAATATTTTTGAATTTATAGAACTTCATTTATGTTTCAATACATATTTTATTTGTATATCATTTCTGTAAATCTACTGGGTGTGGTAAAGAAATATAGGCAGTTTGTCGGTGATTTCTTACTATATACTAATAGTTTAAAATTATCAATTGTAGAGCTTCATGATATACACACAAACACATGTTCTCAGGCCCTCCTGAGCTAAGCACGCAGATGTTCCTGGTGGGCCACATGCCCAGGGATGGCATGGAAGCCCCATGCCCCTTCCCCATAACTTGTCTTATCTATCTCTTCGTATACTTTTTAATTGCCTTTATAATAAACTAGTAAATGTAGATGTTTCCTCGAGTTCTGTAAGGCACTCCAGAAAACTAATCAAAACAAAGCAGGTGGTTATGGGAACCTCAGCTTGAAACTGGTGGGTCAGAAGTTCTATAGGCCATGACTTGAGACTGGTGTCTGAGCAGGGGAAGCAATCTTAGTGACTGAGCCTTCAACCTGTGGGATCTGACACTATCTCCAGCTAAGTAGTGTCAGAATTAAATTGGAGGAGACTCAGCTGGTGTCTGCTACTTCTTAGTAGAACAAATCCCCATACATTTGGTCACAGAAGTCTTCTGTGTTAATTGTTGTGGTATGGGAGCAGAAGAAAAACATGGTTTGACAGTTTTTCCCAAAACAATTTGTGTCAAGGGAATGAGATTTGCTAGCACTGCTTAGGCTCAGGGAAACACAGCTCGGAAAGAGAAATAATAAAAGAGCAGGGGGTGAAGAACCTTTGATTCCTGGGTGGCCACATGGTCCCCCATGGTATAGAGCTGCAGTTATGCTGCATTTGGTTACTCAAGGTAAAAGCTATCAGTGGAATTTAGATATGGATGCACAGGGAAATGCAAACTGTTGATGACAAAAGCCAAACTTCGTAAAATATTTGAAAAGATTTATTTGAAGACAATTGTGAGGACAATCGTTCTTGACACAGTCTCAGGAGATCCTGAGAACATGTGTGTAAGGTGGTTAGGTTACAGCTTGCTTTTATACATTTTAGGAAGACATGTGGAATTAATCAGTGTATCAATACATGTGAGGTACACATTGGTTCGGTCTGAAAATGTAAGATATCTCAAAGGTGGGAGAAGATGTGGCTTTCAGGTCATAGGTAATTGATTAAAACAGTTAAGCTTTGCCTACAGTTGAAGCCAGCAGAAAGAAATGCTTGGGGTTAACATAAGGGGGGTGGTGAAAGCCAAGGTTGTTATTATATAGATGAAGCCGCCACAGAAGCTGACTCTACAGAGAATAGATGGCAAACGTCTCTTATCAGGCCTTAAAATGTGCCAGGCTCGCAGTTAATGTCTTCAGGATTGGAGGGCTTGGAAGGGGAAAGATTGAGTTACATTAATAAAGACTCTTTACAGATAAAAAGAGCCATTTCAAAATATGGTAAGAAAACATATTTTGAGGTAAAATAATTTGATTTCCTTCTTTATTTGTCATGCGATGTTACACTAAAGTCAGGTTGGAATGTTGCTTCTTAATTGCTACAAAGAGTCTGTTTTGTCAGTCTTAAGATCTCAGTTTTAATGTTAATGTTAGTCAGTTGTGTCTAAAATCCAAAAGAAAGAGTGTAATGAGGCATGTCTGTCATCCCCTTCCTGAACTAGTTTTTCAGGTTTCTTTGGAATCCCGTTGGCTGAGAGGGGAGTCCATTCAATCCATCCGGAGGCTTAGAATTTCATTTTTGGTTTATGAAACTAATAAGAGAAAAGCAACATGTTCGAATCCTTGGTTATTTTTATCTATAATAGCTAAAATAGAATTTAAATAGAGTGCTGAGTCAGGCCTTTAGGGGAAACCAAGCTCAGATGTGAGTCTGTCTGAGCTCAGGCCACTAGCCTCAAAGCCACCCGCAAAGGGGAAAATTATGTCAGGAAAACAGAAAGCACTTCTAAGACCTTTGGTCACCAAAAAGGTGGTCAATGTGGGAGAAGGGCAAAAACAAGTAACTACTAAAACTTAGCAGAATGCGAAGTGCGAAGAAATTGTTCACTTTGTACATTGGTATTATCAGCTCTCTGAGGTACCTTTACTAAAATGGATAGTGAAAGTAAATAATTTGCGACTAATGTGTGTGTGTGTTTTTTTTTTCTGTTTTTTAGACAGAGTTTTGCTCTTGTCACCCAGACTGGAGTGCAATGGCATGATCTTGGCTCACTGCAACCTCCACCTCCCAGGTTCAAGTGATTCTTCTGCCTCAGTCTCCCGAGTAGCTGGGATTACAAGCCCCGCCACTATGCCCAGCTAAATTTTGTATTTTTAGTAGAGACGGGGTTTCACCATGTTGGTCGGGCTGGTCTTGAACTCCTGACCTCAGGCGATCCACCCACCTCGCCCCCGCAAAATGCTGGGATTACAGATGTGAGCCACCAAGCCCAGCCAGTGTCTTTGGTTTTAAATGATGCAGAGTAGAAGAACATGTTTGCATTGATGCAGGACCTACAGCTCACTACTGAGTAATTGCAGATGTGTATATATCATAGGAATTTATTCCTGAAGAAATGGCCAGTCTGGTGGGGTGGATAAAAGCCACTGTAAAGTTCTGAAGTGGGACTGTCAGACTCCACCTATAAATGCCAAGTGGAGCACCCCAGATGAAGCAGTTGATATGCTTCATATGCAAGCCAAATGGGATTGCTTTTATGATGTCAGGGACATTCACTGGCTAAATATGCCTGTTACTCAGGTTATGGTAAGTGCTGTGGTTAGGGGAGCCCCATTTTCATGAACACCTCATGTAACCCTGTTGATACAAAACAGAGACAGTCAGAGAAGCCTTATCAAATTTGTTGTCTCAACTTCTCCTCATGGGTCACTACAGATGCTAATAAAACATCAGGTAAATTAACCAGAGAACAGTGAAGGGTAGTGAGGAGAGTGAAAGAACTCATCCCAGAAAGGTGAAAAATTTTAAATAATTAACAAATAAGATGAATAAAGAAAACACTGGCAGAGCATGATGGCTCACAACTGTAATCCTAGGACTTTGGCTGGCCAAGGTAGAAGGATTGCTTGAGGCCAGGAGTTCAAGACCAGTCTGGGCAACATAGTGAAACCTCATCTCTACAAAAAATTAAGAAAAACAAACAAACAAAAAACACTGATGAGGTGAAACTACAAAGAAAAAGAGAAGAGAGAGTCATGGGATTCATCTCACAAGGTGGAAATCTTTAGATGGTTATTAAAATATTAAATGAATAAAATGGAAATTAATGGGGTTAAAACAAAAGTCTAAATACAACACTATCAAAGGCTGAGTAGATCAAAGGGAGACTTGGCTGGTCCCCCAATACTAAAGGGCCCCAAACCAGTTTGCTCTATTTTCCCCAGTCTGAATAAATTTAAAAAGTCAGAATATTTTAAAAGATTACAATGAGAAACCCATCCGTGGCATTGTCTGGGGTAATGGCTATACTGATTAATGAAGATAAAGATTGACAGAAAGGCCAGGGTCCCTTGGCTTAATCTCTGGCTGAGGGCCCAAAGTCTTTCGCACAAGAGAGGGTAAAATAGTCTGCAAGAGAAGAAGAGAAGTTCCTGGGACAAGAACTTAAAAATGTAAAAATGGATAGGATTATAAAAGTTGATATATTTGAACACACCTCATGTGAAGCAGTTTGGTCACTTTTATCTGATTGTATTATGGGAATGAGCGTTGTATCTGATTGGGAAATTCATCTACCTAGTACTGTAAAACAGAAGGCGTGTACATCTGCCCCTCAAGCAATTTTAATAACTCATACTAAATAGGACTCTAATCTTTCCCTGCCTTTCTGTTTGTGGATCATAAAACTCTCATTCTAAAGAGAATCTTGCCCTATACCCTGGGGGACATAAAGCTGAAGTAATGAAGCTTCCATAAAAACCTAGGACTGGGTTCCTACATGGATGAACACTAGAAATTACTGAAGGGTGGCATGTCCAGCGAGCGCATGGAAGCTTCTTGCCCCTTCCCCTATTTCTCGCCTTAGTCATCTCTTCCTCTGTATCCTTCATTATCTCTTTTATAACAAACTGGTGGATGTAAAATAAAATAAAATTATCAATTGTATTTTTAAGATATTCTATGTATCTGCTTATGTTCATGTTCTATGACATATAGCTTGATGAATACTGAAGCTACATTGTTAGGTATATACTTATTTATAATGGTTTTACTTTATTTTATTTTGTTTGCGAGTATATAGTGTCTTCCCTTATTATATCTGTTTCTTAAATTTTATGTGGCAGACATTAATGTTGTTGCCAATTCTTTTCTTTATATTCTTTTGTCTGTATTTTCCTATCTTGCTTATGTTACATATGCAATATTTTCAATTTTTAAACTTAGAACATTTGTATATATTTTCCTATTCTTTTAATTTTAGTTATTCTGTCTCATTTTAAAAATTAAATTATTAAATTTAACCCATTTTAATTTCTCATGATTTCTAATACATTGGAACTTTGGCCATCTTGAATTTTTTGCCTTTTTTCCTTTCCATTATAGGAATTAATTTAATTTTTTCCATCTTATTTTTTTAACAGAGTAAATCAAGTTTTTCTGCATTGAGTTTCAATATTACACATTCTAATTTTGTTCTCACCATAATTGCTTCTAAGTTAAAATATAGAAAATTTATAATAGTCTTGGTTATGTACTATATGTCCCCTTGTTGCACTGCCTCACTCCAATCATATTTTCCCCTCTTCGGCTCTGTTTCCTAAAGGAAAAACTAAATTGGCCAAGGTATTTGTTCACTATTAATCCTCATATCACTTGCAGTCTGCTGTTTATTCTGTTTTTGAGTACAGTATTTCCTCCAAAAGGATTTTCAAAATGGAGCTTTCTCTGGCAACACTTCCATGCTTTACGTGCTTTAACATTTGAATGCCAGTTTATATGTATAGAACAATGTAGAAGCAGTGTACTAAAACATTGCTTTATTGTCTTCTTAAATTCATTAACAATCTTAAGAAGTCTGATATCTATCTGATTATTGCCCTTTTGTGGGTGACCTGTTCTTTCCCTTGGAAAATTTTGTAATTGTATCTTTTATTTTGATATTTTAAAATTTCACGATGGCACGATAAAGTTTCTATTTATTTATATGTGTGCTTTTATTTTGTGACTCAGATACTTGGCAATTTTACTCTGATTCTCCATAGCTTTTAATGCATATTTTATATTTTCTATCTCAGTATTTTGTCGTTCCCTGATGCTTTCTATAAATTTGTCATTATTACTATTTTCTTTCTTATACTTACACCGTTTAGTGTATTCTTTATTTTACCTATTAACTACTGGCTATTGTCTACAGTTAACATTATCAAGTAGTTTTTTTATGATTTTTTGTTTTGTTTTTCTATGTGTTATTACTGTATAGGTTAACTCCTTGGGTATATTTAACATGCTTAACTAAATTGTTAGTTTATCTACTCCAGTAATTCTGCTTCAGAATGCGTATGTAGTGCAATGTGTAGTGTTTCTTTTTAGTAGCTCTGTACTCAAATATCTTGTCATTTTAGCCCTTATCTGATTTTTTTTTTTTTTTTTAATTTTCAATTGCTCTGTGTGGCAATGGGTACAGGAAAAGGGCCAATGATGGCTGCTGTCCTGGGGAGAAAATGAAAAACCCAGGATAGAAAACTTTGAAAGCATAGAATGCTCTTAGGGGATCTAAGGGAGATGGGGTGGGTACTACGACTCCACCCTTCCTCACTCCCATTACTTCTCATTCTAGCAGGGCTTTTGTACTGCACTGATGTTACCTTGATGACAGGAGAGGCCTGAGCTGTTGCCATTGATTTCTAAGGGGAAGGGACAGAAGGTGATACTCTCAAGGAAGAGTGCAGAAAAGGAGAGCAGAATCTACAGATGACCTTCAGCCTACTCTTGCATGCCTCCTACTGCGGCCCCCTGACTCAACTAATCACAACGATCTCTTCCAAAGACATATATATTCATTTCTGTGAGTCATCTTTCTTTCCAGGAATCACTCATTATTTCGTTTGTTGGGTTTTTCGCATGCTTCTTTTTTAATACTTCAGTTCATATTTTCCTTTAACTGCTATGATTTTTTAGCAGTTATCATTTGGGGGAATGAGTTAGCAATGGCATCAGTTTCTCATCTTGGTAGTAACAATATAAATATGCATTTAATGAATGATTCTGATGATGATGAGTCAAAAAGAAAATGGTTTATTCCATATTTTCTAGTTCTTAATGAGGATTAATAAGTATTCTTGGAATGAATGATAAGCTGTAAGTTTCTGGTAAAATCACAGCATCGGACATGGCCACTTTCCATATATTTTGATTATAAAAGTGTAGAAAGTCAAGAATATCATTTAAAAATAGATTAGAGGATTAGAGTAGAAAGTATGAATATATATCATGCACAAGATTAGTATATGTCACTTATCTTTTTCTTGGTTGACAGTATATGGAAACATTAATATATTTATACATGTATGTGTATATTGTACTGGATGTGATTAAAATGCATTTCTACAATAATGGTTCTAGTAGGCATGGAAGACTTAAGTAGAGAGAAGAGAAAGTTGAGGGATATTTTTAACTTCTACTCATAAAAAAAGTTGCCAAACAACTGAATATACAGTTTATTTAAATACCCTTCTTGAGGAATGACTCCAAAGTGAGCCTATTTAATATTTTGTCTTCATATTGGTTTTTGAATACATTATTATAAGTTACCAACTGGTAGAATATTTGAGTAATTATAATGATGATTCTATATTCTTAATTTGTTTAACATCAGCTGTGTTTTACAATATGAAGATATACTATGGTCAAAAAACCTTGCTTCTACAACAGATTTTAAAAATTGTGTTCATTCTTCTTTCTTTCCCCTATTGGAAGATATAAAGAGGCAAGTATAATGCAAATGATGCAGTATTCATAGGGATGCCTGTGTTACTGCACCATATACAAAGGTCCTCCTAGGAAGACACTAAGTCTGTGGAAGTCAAGATGGAGACCTGAGAGATCTCTGTGGAGTCTTTAAGAAAAGTCTCATTAAATGCCCCAGTATTAAGTAAAAGAGTGGGCATTCATCTGGGTAAGAAAGGGATAACAATCTATTTTCTAGTTCTGATGTTCACTTCCCCAGGTTCTGAATAACATCCAGAGTATTCTGACAAGTCAGATAAAGTTTTTATCAGCCTCTTGGTCTAGAAGATTCCAAGTAGATAATTCTTTTAAGGGACTGTATTAGGGTTCTCCAGAGGGACAGAACTAACAGGATACATGTATATATGAAAGGGAGTTTATTAGGGAGAATTGGCTTACAGGATCACAAGGCGAAGTCCCATGATAGGCCATCTGAAAGCTGGGGAAGAGAGAAGCAGTAGCGGCTCAGTCGGAATCCAAAAGCCTCAAAAGCTGGGAAGCTGACAGTGCAGCCTTCAGTCTGTGGCTGATGGCCTGAGAGCCCCTGGCAAACCACTGGTATAAGTCCAAGAATCCAAAGGCCAAAGAACCTGGAGTCTGATGTCCAAGGGCAGGAGAAATGGGAGGAGGCATCCAGCCCAGGAGGAGGTGAAAGTTAGAAGACTCAAGGGTCTGTCTATTCCTATTAACTTCTAAAAATAATTTTGAAATCACTTATCAGTCTATATCTGTATATGTAGGTATCTGTAAACCAGCTTATCCTACCTTCTTCTGCCTGCTTTGGTCCAGCTGTGCTGACAGCTCATTGGATGGTGCCGCCTACATTGAGGGTAGGTCTTTCTCCCCCAGTCCACAGACTAAAATGGCAGTCTCCTCTGTCAACACCCTCACAGACACACCCAGAAACAATACTTAAACCAGCTATCTACGTATCCTTCAATCCGATCAAGTTGTCACCTAATATTAGCCATCACAGGGGCGTATAACCAAATAACCAGAAGAGGCTCCTAGTGGGAAAACAAGGCTTTTGACTTTAAAGCTGTTTAAATGTACTCACTTCTGCTCTTCATTCTCCATTCTCTCATCTCCTTTTTTATCTTCTTATGGCAAAGACCAAAGACCACCAAAGTGGTCTCTTCTGATTTGCACTTTGTGCCAGCCCAGGTCCGATTCCCTTTGAAGTTGGTTACTTGGAAATTTTGGCCTCTACTGTAAGCTGTTTCTATAGTAATACATACATTTTCTAACTACATCCTTAGAAGGGGGTATGGCTATGTACATTTGTTAACGTCAAGAAAGGAGTGAGATATGCCCTCTGGTATTACTTTATATCAACTATCTATATCAAGATTTCCATTTCTAATTGAAGGGTTACAAATTATATGTAATTTTTAAAATGTTTTAATTTTCTAAAAAGCATAATGGATAAAGAAGACTCTTTTGTTGAAATATATTACTCTTCTTTTCCTCTCTCATTTTCCTCACGCAAAATCACACACAAATATTCCCTTACGTATGTGTATGTGTGTATATTTATAGATACCTACATACATAAATATATACTGATATGTGATTTTTAAATTATTTTTTGAAGTCAGCTGGGTGCAGTGGCTCATACCTATAATCCCAGCACATTGGGAGGCCAAGGGGGGCAGATCATGAGGTCAAGAGATCAAGACCATCCCGGCCAACATGGTGAAACCCCCTCTCTTCTGAAAATACAAAATTAGCTGGGTGTGGTGGCACGCGCCAGTAGTCCCAGTTACTAGGGAGGCTGAGGCAGGAGAATCGTTTGAACCTGGGTGGTGGAGGTTGCAGGGAGCTGAGATCGTGCCACTGCACTCCAGCCTGACCACAGAGCAAGACTCTGTCTCAAAAAAAAAAAAAAGGAAGTTAACAAGAATAGACACACCCTCTAAAGGAAGCAAACTGCTCCCGCAGAACCCAGGAGACACCCCAAATACTGTGAGTACCCAAACCGTGGAATTGGGAAAGGGAGACCCTCGGCTCCTGAACACACACCCTGACTGTGGAAACTGAAGGAGCAGTTTGCAGGAAAGGTTTCCAACCTTACCTGGAGCTGAGTCAATTTAGAGAGCTGAGCAAAATATAGGGGTAGAGAAAGCAGTGGGAAAGGCCCTGGGAGCTCACTGCGTCCCCAAGCAGGCCATTCCTGCCTGGCATCACAGAGAACCTTCAGGAGGGGTGTCAGGGGAAACACCACAGGAAGTAGGAAGTCTCCAGTTGAACTCTGTAATAATTAGAATTGGATAAGAAGCCTCCTGGTTAGAACTGGGGGAAGGGTACAAATCCAGCTTGCAGACTCCACAGGAAGGGGAAGAACAAAGCCCTTTTCTTTCAAAGCTGGAAGGTGGGTAGCCTGGGGTAAGTTCTTAAGCTCTGCTCACCTACCACCTGGAAATAGACTTAGGGCTGTTAGAGGGGACACGGTGGGAGTGAGACCAGCCCTTCAGATTGCGTGGAAGCTGGGCGAGGCCTGTGACTACTGGCTTTTCTCCACTTACCCAACAACCTGCATGACTCAGCAGAGGTAGCCATAATCCTCCTAGGTACACAACTCCAGTCACCTGGGAACCTCATCCCCATCCCCCACAACAGCCACAGCAAGACCCACCCAAGGAGAGTCTGAGCTCAGACATGCCTAGCCCTGCAGCAACCTGATGGTCCTTCCCTATGCACCCTGGTAGCCTGGTAGTGGAAGACAAAGGGCATATACTCTTGGGAGTTTTAGGACCCTGCTCACTGTTGGTTTGTCTCCATACTACCACAGCTGATGCTCTCTGGAAAGGGCCTCGTGCTGGCAGGAGGCCAACCAGTACAAAAATAGAACATGAAACCACCAGAGCTAAGAACCCTCACAGAGTGCATTCACCCCCAACTGCCACCTCCACCAGAACAGGTGCTGGTATCCACAGCTGAGAGGCCCATAGATGGCTCACATCATAAGACTCTGTGAAGTCAGCCCCCAGTACTGGCCCAGAGCTAGGTAGACTTGCTGGGTGGCTAGACCCAGAAGAGAGATCACAATCACTGCAGCTAGGCTCACAGGAATGAACATCCACAGGAAAACGAGAAAAGTACCACATCAAGGGAATACCCCATGGGACAAAAGAATCTGAACAACAGCTTTCAGCCCTGGACCTTTTCTATGACAGAGCCTAACAAATGAGAAGGAACCAGAAGACCAACACTGGTAATATGACAAAGCAAGGCTCTTTAACACCCCCAAAAAATCACACTAGCTCACCAGCAATGGATCCAAGAAGACATCCCTGATTTACCTGAAAAAGAATTCAGGCGGTTAGTTATTAACCTAATCAGGGAGGCACCAGAGAAAGGCAAAGCCCAGTGCAAGGAAATTCAAAAAGTGATACAAGAAGTGAAGGGAGAAATATTCAAGGAAATAGATAGCCAAAGAAAAAACAATCAAAACTTCAGGAAACATTGGACATACTTATAGAAATGCAAATGCTCTGGAAAGTCTCACAATAGAATTGAACCCGTAGAAGAAAGAAATCCAGAGTTCAAAGACAAGGTCTTCCAATTAACTCAATCCAACAAAGACAAAGAAAAAAAGAATAAGAAAATATGAACTAAGCCTCCAAGAAGTCTGGGATTATGCTGAGCAACCAAACCTAAGAAAAATCAGTGTTCCTGTGAAAGAAGATAAATCTAAAAGTTTGGAAAACCTATTTGGGGGAATAATTGAAGAAAACTTCCATAGCCTTGCTAGAGAACTAGACATTCAAATACAAGAAGCACAAAGAACACAGGGAAATTCATCACAAAAAGATCATCGACTACACACATTGTCATCAGGTTATCTAAAGTTAAGATGAAGGAAGGAATCTTAAGAACTGTGAGACAAAAGCACCAGGAAACCTATAAAGGAAAACCTATTACTTTAACAGCAGATTTCTCAGCAGAAACCCTACAAGCTAGAAGGATTGGGGCCCTATCTTCAGCTTTCTCAAACAAAACAATTACCAGCTAAGAATTTTGTATCCAGTGAAAGTAAGCATCATATATGAAGGAAAGATGCAGTCTTTTCTGGACAAACAAATGCTGAGTGAATTCGCCACTACCAAGCCACCACTACAAGAACTGCTAAAAGGAATGCTAAATCTTGAAACAAATCCTGGAAACATCAAAACAGAACCTCTTTAAAGCATAAATCACACAGGACCTATAAAACAAAAATACAATTTAAAAAGCAAAAACTTAAAACAAAAAACACCAAGTACATAACAGCACAACGATTGAAATGGTACCTCACATCTCAGTACGAACATTGATGGTAAATGGCCTAAATGCTCCACTTAAAAGATACCGAACTGCAGAATGGATAAGAACTGACTGGGCACAGTAGCTCATGCCTGTAATTCCAGCATTTTGGGAAGCCGAGGCTGGTGGATCACCTGAGGTCAGGAGTTCAAGACCATCCTGGCCAACATGGCGAAACCCCATCTCTACTAAAAATACAAAAATTAGCCGGGTGTGGTGACTTGTGCCTGTAATCCTAGCTACTCAGGAGGCTGAGATAGGAAAATCGCTTGAACCCAGGAGGTGGAGGTTGCAGTGAGCCAAGATTGTGCCACTGCACTTCAGCCTGGGTGACAGAGCAAGACTCCATCTCAAAACAAAACAAAACAAAACAAATCAAACAACAACAACAAAAAGCTTGCCAACCAATTGACCATCTGCTGCCTTCAGGAGACTCACCCAAAACATAAGAACTCATATAAACTTAAAGTAAAGTGGTAGAAAGGGCAATTCATGAAAATGGACACGAAAAGCAAGCAGGGGTAGCTATTCTTATATAAGACAAAACAAACTTTAAAGCAACAGTGGTTAAAAGAGACAAAGTGGGACATTATATAATGGTAAAAGGCCTTGTCCAACAAGAAAATATCACAATCCTAAACATATATACACCTAACACTGGAGTTCCTAAATTTATAAAATAATTACCGATAGACCTAACAAACGAGAAAAACAGCAACACAATAATAGTGGGGGACTTCAATACTCCACTGACAGTACTAGAAAGGTCAAGACAGAACGTCAACAAAGAAACAATGAATTTAAACTATACCTTGGAACAAATGGACTTAACAGATATATACAGAACGTTTCATCCAACAACCCCAGAATATACATTCTATTCAACAGCGCATGCAACTTTCTCCAAGATAGACCATATGACAGGCCATAAAACAAGTCTCAATAAGTTTAAACAAATTGAAATTATATCAAACACTCTCTCAGACCACAGTGGAAAAAAACTGGAAATCAACTCCAAAAGAAACCTTCAAAACCATGCAAATACATGGAAATTAAATAACCTGCTCCTGAATGAGCACTGGGACAAGAATGAAATCAAGATGGAAATTTTAAAAATCTTCAAACTGAACGACAATAATGACACAACCTATCAAAACCTCTGGGATACGGGAAAGGTGGTGCTATGAGGAAAGTTCATAGCCCTAAATGCCTACATCAGAAAGACTGAAAGAGCACAAACTGACACTCTAAGGTCACACCTCAAGGAACTAGAGAAACAAGAACAAACCAAACCCAAACCCAGAAGAAAAAAGGAAATAACCAAGATCAGAGCAGGACTAAGTGAAATTGAAACAAAAAACAACCAATACAAAAGATAAACAAAAAGCTGGTTCTTAGAAAAGATAAATAAAATTGATAGAATATTAGCACGATTAACCAAGAAAAGAAGAGAGAAAACCCAAACAACCTCACTAAGAAATGAAACAGGAGATATTACAACTGACACCACTGAAATACAAAAGATCACTCAAGGCTACTATGAACACCTTTATGCACATAAACTAGGAAACCTAGAAGAGATGGATAAATTCCTGGAAAAATACCACCCTCCTAGCTTAAATCAGGAAGAACTAGAAACCACAAACAGACCAATAACAAACAGCAAGATTGAAATGGTAATTAAAAAATTACTAACAAAAAAGTCTAGGACCAGATGGATTCACAGCAGAATTCCACCAGATATTCAAAGAAGAATTGGTAACAATCCTTTTGGCACTATGCCACAAGATAGAAAAAGAGGGAACCCTCCCTAATTTATTCTATGAAGCCAGCATCACCCTATTACCAAAACCAGGAAGGGACATAGCCAAAAATAAAACTACAGACCAATATCCTTCATGAACATAGACACTAAAATCCTTAACAAAATACGAACTAACTGAATCCAACATATCAAAAAGATAATCTACCATGATCAAGTGGGTTTTATACCAGGGATGCAGGGATAGTATAACATACACAAGTCAATACATGGGATACACCACATAAACAGAATTAAAAACAAAAATTCCATGATCGTCTCAACAGATGATGCATTCTCTGTTGAATGCTCATCAGAACAAGCATTCTCCAAAACCCAGCGTCCCTTTATGATTAAAACCTTCAGCAAAATCAGCATACAAGGGACATACCTCAATGTAATAAAAGGCATCTATGACAAACCCACAGCTGACATAATACTAAATGGGGAAAAGTTGAAAGCATTCCCTCTGAGAACTGGAACAAGACAAAGATGGTTCACTTTTACCACTCCTCTTCAACATAGTGTTGGAAGTCCTATCCAGAGCAATCAGAAAAGAGAAAGAAATAAATGGCATCCAAATTGGTAAAGAGGAAGTCAAACTGTCATTGTTTGCTGATGATATTATCATTTACCTTGAAAACCCTAAAGACTCCTCTGAAAAGCTCCTAGAACTGATAAAAGAATTCAGTAAAGTTTCTGGATAGAAGATTACTGTACACAAATCTGTAGCTCTTCTCTACACCAACAGCGACCAAGTGGAGAATCAAATCAAGGATTCAACCCCTTTTATAATAGCTGCAAAAAAAGTAAAATACTTAGGAATATACCTAACCAAGGAGGCAAAAGGCTTCTACAAGGAAAACTACAAAACACTGCTGAAAGAAATCACAGATGACACAAACAAATGGAAACATATCTCATGCTCATGGATGGGTAGAATCAATATTGTGAAAACGGCCATACTGCCCAAAGCAATCTATAAATTCAACACAATCCCCATTAAAATACCACCATCATTCTTCTCAGAATTAGAAAAAAACAATTCTAAAATTTATATGGAAACAAAAAAGAGCCCTCATAGCCAAAGCAAGACTGAGCAAAAAGAACAAATCAGGAGGTTCTGCACTACCTGATTTCAAACTATAAGCCCATAGTCACAAAAACAGCATAGTATTGGTATACAAATAGGCATATAGACCAATGGAAATCATAGTGAACCCAGAAATAAACCCTAATACTTAACAGCCAACTGATCTTTGACAAAGCAAACAAAAATATAAAGTGGGGAAAGGACACCCTTTTCAACAAATGGTGCTGGGATAATTGGCTAGCCACATATAGGAGAATGAAATAATCTTCATCTCTCACCTTATACAAAAATCAACTCAAGATAGATTAAGGACTTATATCTAAGACCTGAAACTATAAAATTTCTAGTGGATAACATTGGAAAAACCGTTCTTGACATTGGCTTAGGCAAGGCTCTCATAACAAAGAACCCAAAAGCAAACGCAATAAAAACAAAGATAAATAGTTGGGACTTAATTAGACTAAAGAGCTTTTGCACAGCAAAAGGAACAGTCAGCAGAGTAAACAGACAACACACAGATTGGAAGAAAATCTTCATAATCTATACATCTGACAAAGGACTAATATCCAGAATCTACAACAAACTCAAACAAATCAGTTAAAAAGAATCCCATCAAAAAGTGGGCTAAGGACATGAATAGATAATTCTCAAAAGAAGATATACAAATTGCAAATAAACATATGAAAAAATGCTCAATATCATTAATGATCAGGGAAATGCAAATCAAAATCAAAATGCAATACCACCTTACTCCTGCAAGAATGGCCATAATCAAAAAATCGATAAACTGTAGATGTTGGCATAAATGCAGTGATCAGGGAACACTTTCGCACTGCTGGTGGGAATGTAAGCTAGTACAGCCACTGTGGAAAACAGTGTGGTGATTCCTTAAATAAGTAAAAGTAGAACTACCATTAGATCCATCAATCCCACTACTGGGTATCTACCCAGAGGAAAATTAGTCATTATATGAAAAAGATACTTGTACACTTATATTTATAGTGCACAATTCGCAATTGCAAAATTGTGGAACCAACCCAAATGCCCATCAATCAACAAGTGGATAAAGAAATGGTGATATATATATATATATATAATTATATTTATTTTTATGTATTTATATATAAAATATATAATTATATTTATATATAATATATACATTTATATATAATATATAAATGTATATATTTATATATAATATATAAATGTATATATTTATATATAATATATAAATGTATATATTATATAGAAATATATATGTATATAAATATATATTTATAAATATATATACATTTATATATTTATATTTATAAATATATATAAATATATATCTATAATTATAATTAACCATAATATATATATTAACCATATATATATAATGGAATACAACTCAGCCACAAAAAGGAACAAATTAACAGCATTTGCAGTGACCTGGATGAGATTGGAGACTATTATTCTAAGTGAAGTAACTCAGGAATGGAAAACGAAACACTGTATGTTCTCACTGATATGTGGGAGCTAAGCTATGAGGACGCAAAGTTATAAGAATGATACAATGGACTTTGGGGACTTGGGGGAAAGTGTGACTGGGGGGCAAGGTATAAAAGACTACAAATAGGATGCAGTGTATACTGCTTGGCTGATGGGTGCACCAAAATCTCACAAATCACTAAAGAATTTCCTCATGTAACCAAATACCACCTGTACCCTAATGACCTATGGAAAATAAAAAAAGAAATTAACAGGAATACCAAATAAAAAAGAAATAGTCTGCATTTAAGAAAATGCAAGCCTTTGGTGAAAAACCTCACCATCTAGTAGTTTTTAATAACAGTAAAAATATCACTGTGTTGCCCCTGATCACTGACAGACAGGTAATATGTCTGATTCCCATAAAGACACCATTTGTAAGTCTCTGAGAACCCGAGGTCACTCTCAAACATTTCAATGCTGGCTTTTAAGAATAGCCATTGAAAATCTATGCAGCAGTATGCAGAAATTGCAAAACAAAATTATTTTGAATAGTAATGTAAATAGAGTTGAGGAAATAGAACATCCTAAAGTATGAACAATTGAATATATTATTTTAATAGTCCTTTTATTAGGTATGCATTCTGTCATCGCTGATAATTCTTACCACAATATTATCATATAACAAAGGTTTTAAATGGTTAGGAAGAAAAAATACTAATAATGATGATGATTATGTGATACAACTTAGAAGTTGCTTATAATTGATTACATCTTCTGCTCAACAGTGCATGCATCATCTCATATAACCACCAAATAACCTGTTACATTAGTACCATTGACATACTTCTTACAATGAAAAAGCCTCAGAGAAATCAAATGACTTGCTTATATTCATTCAGCTAACGGATGAAGATGAAATTAAAATGGGAAGTGCAGAAGGAAGGGGAATGACTTTAGTTTAATGTCTACTATCAACTACATGCCAGATATAATTTTAGAGAGATTATGTACATTAATTTAATGTGAATAACCCCTTAAATGTGATAATGAGGAAACTTGCAGAAGTTAAAAAGCTTGATCAAGTCTGGTAATGAGCTAGTAAATTTACAGAATTAGTACATGGCCTACTAGAAATTTAAATCCCAAACACTCTTACTCTGAAGCACATATTAAGTTATGAGTTTCTTTAGGAAGTTTCTGGTTTAGTGAAGAATTTTGGGGGGAAAGAGAAAGCTTCCCTCAAGATCCAGTGTTCAGCCATAAGGAAGGCACTGCCAGCACGCTGAGATGAAGGCAAAGGTGACTCAGTCTACATTATTTGTCCATGACATTTGTCATACTTGGATATTCTAACTTTGGTTTGTGCTCTTTCAAAAGTTATAACTCTCTTCTTTTCGGATCTCAGACAGTTTGCATAATCTACTGGAATAATTATGAGTTCATGCCTTAGCTTATAGCTGTGCAAATACAAGCTAGAAACACGTTATTTGAATTACTCTTTTTCAGTAAAGAAACAAACAATGTAGTTTTATTATGAGAACCAGAGAAAATAGTCTGTGTGAGCACTTCTATTCTGCTCTACCATTGTTTGTCATTAGGCTATGAAGAAACTCAGATTAAATATGATTAGTCACGGCAGAAATGTGATTGCAATTAGGACCATTCAGTAAGCTAGGTCCGGTGTTGGGAGGAGGGATCGACAAGCTGATACTAAAAATATGTCTATTCTTTTATGTAACATTTGGTATCCAGTGAGCCAGACTTTAGGCCACATTTCAGGTGAGCAGTGAGAGTTGCCGTGGCATAGCAATGAACCCACATGCCCGTCCTAACAGGTGAACAGAACAGATAACAGTGAATCCTTACATGAAACAGTTTTGTACTTTGAAAAGTCAACAATCATTGTTGGAAAGGCTGTTCCTGAAATCAGCTGTTGCAGATGACAGACTGGACTGAGTTTCAGAAGCAAAACTCCACATTTTAATCAAGGTTGTTAAAGGAAGTTTTGTAAAAGAAAGGCAGGCTGACTGTGTTTAGAGAGCCTAGGATTCCAGGTAATTGACCTAAATGGAGATTTAGGCTTCACCACGGTTTTAGCTTCTGTAAATCTGATGCTTTAACATTTGTTCTTCATGGATGTGCTGGATCAGCCTTGCTCTGAACAACCCAATCATATGCTTGAGCCACCCTGCCTTAGTTCTGGACTCTCTCATTGATGCTCCAACGTCTCAGAGGTGAGAAGTCCTCCTCCCAGAGACACACTTTTCAAATACAAACAACCAATCGAAAAACAACACTCCTAACTGCCCCCCTTTTATTATCTCAGGCCACTGTGGAGTTGCCCTAATCACCTTAGGGACAGGTTATAAGTCAGGACAGCTGCTATGCCCCAAAGCCAACCAAAAATCACTCAAACTGGCCAATCCCAAGCCCATTTATCCGATCCCAAGCCCACTTATCCTGCCTCACTTGTTCATTGCCTCAGAAACCACAACAAAGCCTCTTACCCACAGTTTCCTCCTCTCCCTCTGCCTCATGAACAGCCTGGGTGCCTCCCCGTGTGGCCCCTCTGTGGTGTGCAGCTAGAACTGTGAGAAATAAGCTATGTTTTCAGTGGGAGTCTTTCCTGATCTGTTGACCTTACCATACCTCATATGTTCAATTAACACACTATATTTTAAAACAGACTCAGATCTTGAAAACAAGATATAAGGTCCAATCCCTATACATGGTGCGTAAGGTGGCTTTGGGGAATACAGTAGAAACCTAGTTTTCAGCATGGCTCTCAGAAACACCATCCCTCCTGCCTGTGGTAAATATTCGTAGTAAGAGCTGAAACGGTGGGGTCAAGGGAACATCATTTCGGGTGAGAAAGTTTGTTTCATACTTTATTTCTCACAATTCTTGCTGTCAGGAGAGGAGTTTGATTCATCAACTTTGGGGATGCATTAGAATAACCCGTGGGATGGATTAAATAGATTCCATGGCCCTGCTCCTGAGAGATCCTTATTCAGTGGATGTGGGGTGCGACTTAACTATCACTTAGCTTAATTTACTTCACAGTCAGTGACGTCCCACAATGTGAGAGCCACTGATGAAGCCCTGACACCAGAACTCTTGTCCCACTCTGTCCTTTAGTTTCTCATTCTTTAAAGTAGGCTGGGAATTAGACGACCCCCTAATAATGAAATAAAACACTAACCTTTTCCAGGAATGAAAGCTGACCAAGTACTATTCTGTTCACATTGACTGATGCTTCTTTTATTGTCTTTTCACTTTTATTTTTTATAGGTGTGTTTGTTCCATAGTGATTTTGGAAAAAGAAAGTAACAATGTCCCAGCCCAAAAGCAAAAGGCACAAAGAAGAAACACACTTACAGTAGCCTGGTGTTTTTCTGCTTTCTCTGATGTCTCCTTAAGCTGATTTTGCAGGGCCTCCTGAAGAGACTTCATTTCTTCTCTATTTTAGTAGAAAACAGAGCATAAGTGAGAAAATAATATAATTCCATTATTTCCTATGAACATTATAAAAGGAAGGAGCTTTGCTGTATACATTTAGGACATAGACAACTAGAAGTGCATAAAGCCACAGTTAAGCATACAGGATGTGTCTAAAGATTCTGGTAATAAAAGGCTTTCTCTCCCATGCAAATATTAAAAGCAAGTTGATTTTTTTTTAAATAACCTTACTATTATGCTTTATAAAAATCCCACGTTTGAATCATCTGTGAGGCACATGATGTGTTAAATCAAAGCAATATATAATTCAAGTTGAAAAGATAATTTCACTAACAGCATACTGGGGTATGAACATGCTGGTTAGAAAAAGTCACCATAGACTTGCTGATAGGATAAAATTACTGTTCCCTTCTGATGCTCTTAATTAATTAATTCTAAAGCATTGTGCTTTATACATCCTTTGTAAGGCCTGACATCTTTTGTAAAAACAGGGAAAAGAAACTTATTTTAACTTAAGGCCTGTCTCATTTAATGAAGATAATTTAAAAATGCATGCCTATGCATATATACTCATTGTGTCTCAAGCTCAGTAGCACATAAGGATCCTGTCTCCCTTTTTAAAAAGAGTGATGTTTCCCTAAATTTGCATTTCTCTTAAGGATTTAGGATTTATTTATTTATAACACATCATATTATCTTTCTGTGCCTTGATTTTTTTTTACTCGAGCTATCACCTCAAATAGATCAGATATTAGATAAAGGCTAGTGTACTTGTTTGTGTTTGTATGTGTGGCAATTCCTGGCTACAGAAATTCTCTCAAAGCAATAGCAACAACAAAATAGAAACCTATTTGAGTCTTACCAGCACCTAAACTAATTTAAAACTTCCAATCTAGTGCCAAAAGATTAGCTCTGGATATTTGAGCAAGTGACACACCCTCTCATACTCAATTTCTTCATCCAAAAACAAGGGCACAATGGTAGAACTAACTTATAGGTTTGTGCTCATATTAAGACGACAGAACGTAAGCAAAGCACTTAACACAATGCCTATGAAAGAATTCCTTAACAAATGTTAGGTCATGGCAATAACCACTGACATCTCTCCACACCCTTATGTTCATTCTCTGACCATGATGTTCTACACAACCATAAGCTGCTCTTTCACCCAGCAGGACTTAATGGGGCTGCCAGCTTAATTAGCCTTGAGACTGATGTCCAAGTCCCAATTTCAAGAATGAGAAAGAAAGTCTGTCTGTTTTTTGTAATCATTTTGGACTTTGGTTGACAAATCAAAATATAGTGAGAACAAGTTATAGAATAATTACAGTCACTTTGGTTTTTAAATGATTTATGCCTTCTTGGGTGATGCTTTTAATGTGCTTGAAGTGGATTCTGAGTGACAGCTTCCATCACTGTCTCAAACTGGTTTCATTTATCAGACTTTCTTCATATATGGACATATAAAATCTGGGCTTCCATTATTATTTCTGATATTTTCCATAGAGTGTTTGTAGTATAATATAATATATACCTACATATATTGTAGGCTTACAATGTGCAAGACACTTTTGTAAACCCCACACCAAACTATGACTTCATGTTATGACAGATAACAAATGCATAGAGGGGTAGTGAAATTGTGTTTTAGTGTCTATATGCTCAAACTATAAAGAGTTACTATACTATCTCTACTGAGAAGGAAGGAAGGAAGGAAGGAAGGAAGGAAGGAAGGAAGGAAGGAAGGAAGGACCTACATGTTATCCCAAACACTCAAATCTTCAACAAGCACTGAGTGAAACACAATAAAATTATATTTCCTACTGAAAATAAAGTTATAATTAAAATGACAAAATAATAAATTTTTAAGCAATTTTAATTTAAAATTCTCATTTTTATTTTTAAAAGATGGTCATAAAACACTTAAAAATTAAATAATAAAGTATGTTTTATTAAAATGACAATGAGTATGTATGAATATTTTTACAAATATAGATAGATAGATAGATAGATAATGTATGTGTGGGAGTAGGTATCTATCTATATATTTCTTCCAAAAAAATCCCCCATTCTGACATCTAGAGGCAATCTAGGGAACAGGACAAAAAACAAATTGTAAAATCTGGAAAAGATAGAGAATTCTGAATATTTTCCTGCCAAAGAACACTATCAGGCAGAAAGGTAAAGTAGACTTTTTGTCTTCTATATCTCTTCATCTCTCCTTCTGCCTTCTTTCTAGGCTTATGTCTTCACATGCTCACTGCTCTAGTGCTTTAGCTAGCTATAGATTTCTGCTTCAAAGACTTGCTAAGTTATCCTCCTATAGAGATGATTCCTGACTTGCCTCTGCACCACTTCCCAATACCAACTGAGATTTGCCCAATCTATATCTGCTATTCTAGGGCTCTGTTTGGTACTAAACTGAAACTTTAATTCTAAAAAATTCCTGGCTCGAGTGACACCTGTGATAGATAGCTCAAATATTGAAATATTTCAGCATAACATTTTGTGTTACAAAGAATTTTAAAGGACCATTATTCCACACCTCTTTCATCCCAAATTATAGCTATAAAAACACCC
Source organism: Homo sapiens (assembly GCF_000001405.40). NCBI lineage: Eukaryota > Metazoa > Chordata > Mammalia > Primates > Hominidae > Homo > Homo sapiens. The sequence goes on along the minus strand of NC_000011.10, from coordinate 24,735,641 downwards.
TCACCTTAATCACTCTACAAAAAGGCATTTCTTTCTAGTGACTATCAGCTTATATTTTAATAACATCACAGATCAAGAACTTGCCACAATTCCAGGCTTTGTTTTAGTTTTCGAGAACATTATTGTAAAGTGCTTTAGTATACCGAGTCCAAAACTGCCTTCTGGGAATCTACCAACCAACCACCTTAAAGAATAAAAGGTTTTATTCTCTTTTGCTCAAGGACATTTTCAAATTTTCAGACATTTCAGGGTCCTGTCCTATTTCTTATTCTCCTTGTTGTGGTTATATATTCTCAGTCCTGGCATGGTATGGTTTAAAATCTCTCCATTCACCTGGGGAATCTCCTATGAATATTATCAAGGCTGTGTAAATATTCCTGAAACGTGACGCTCAAGCCAACATGACTCTCATTTTCTCACTCTTTCTCTCACATAAGTGCATACATGCAAACACACTCCTTTCTCTGTTTGTCTTGCTAGAAAGACACTCTACTTTCTCTCCACATAGTTGTATGTGGCCACAGCATAGCCCCTGAATTTACTTACAGCCTAGCTCCAGCTACACAGAAAGACTTATTAGTTGCCTCTACGTTACAGTTCCAAAGGGAGACACTAATTGATTGGTTTTTGTTTCGGTGGCCACCTCTGAATCATCAGCTATGACCAGTGGTTTCAGAGTCACATAAAAGAAGCCTGGCTTCTAGGGATCACTAGTCCAGATGAAGCCAGATGACAAGGATCTGAGGACAAACAGAAAACAAGGTAATAATTGAGAGCCAGGGATGTGACCAAATGGCAATGGCAAGCACACTGCACTCTTTCAAACTCGGAGAAGATGTTTAAATTTGCAATAAATCAGTATTTTTGATAACCAAAGGTGATATTTTTTCTCTTTTAATGTTTACTAATAAGTCAGATTTTGAAATGAGACACACAGTCTCTTTTACCATAATATACACACAATTTTTATATTTCTCTTTTTAGGTAAACAGCAAAAAACGAATGCATCACATCTTATATCCTTTTGAGAAGTTACCTTTTATTATAATTTATTGAGTCTTCCATTCTAACTTTGATTGTGTATATAATACAAGTTATGCATTTTAAACAAGTTTTTAATTTTAGATAAAACTATGAATTAGTAAGACCAAAATATTCTCCATTTTACCCTCTCTTTGAAAGACTTGTTCTATCATCTGGTAGTTTATATACTTTACCACATGTACACTTGATGATTAAAATTCTTAAACACCTATTCACATTTTTTTTTCCTGATTTTTGTGTTGTTTTTGGTGTCATGTGAATCAGACATAGATATTTTAAAAAAATATCAACAAACTAAGAGAATAGGTTTTCATTCACATCATGCATAAGCCGTCTCCTCATCCGCGTCCCTCCTGTAGTAAGGAAAGGCTGACTTTATTTTCTTTTACTCCATTGTCTTAACTCTTGAGATCTCCCTGTCCTTGTCTCTAAGTAGTGTTTTCTCACCCTGGTCTACATTTTTCTTTCTACCCTGAATGGGTTTGACAGAGTAATTTCCCTAAAAGCCAGGAAATAACACAATATTTCCCCTAAAAGATTTCTTTAATTATATTATTTCTTATGGAGCTACCTAAAAGGGATTCCCTATTTATTATCACTGAAATCCAGTATATGCCATCTTTTAGCCATTTTTATTTTTGTCTTTACATACAGATTTATTTTCTAATCTTCTCAAACTCACTATATCTTCCTCAGTCTCTCACTGGGTGCTGCACATGTATTGTGCAGAAATCAATTTTTGTTTTTCTATTTTTGTTTATTCTCCATTCCTAACCTGAGATACTCTATAAAAATAAAGTAATCATTTTCAGCATCTCTTGGTCTCTTTTCATGGTTTTTTTAAAATTTTTTTTTAAAAAATACAGTTTATTATTAACTATAGTCATCATGTACTAATTTCATCTAAGTTATTCCTCTTTACCAACTGAAATTTAATATTCTTTAGCCAACATCTCACCACCAACACTCTCCCCAGCTACCTCTGACCCTGGTAATCACCACTCTAATCTCCAGTTCTTTTATATCAACTTTTTTAGATTCCGAATAAGAGTGAGATTAGGTGGTATTTGTCTTTCTGTGCCTGGCTTATTTACCTTAACATAACGTCCTCCAGGTTCATCCATGTTGTCACAAATGACAAGATTTTCTATTTTCCGACTGAATAATGTTCTACTATTGCTATTCAAAATGTTGCTTATGTCCTCTATCACTACTTCACAGAGCCACAAATACTGGTGTAATATTGAGCATGATTTATTTCAAACCAATGAAATAATTAAAATAATATTGTTTCAGAAACATGTTCGGATTGCTCTTTTCAAGTTTTTCTTAATATTAGACTTTAAAGAGAATTTCACATTAAATAAATAATAAACATGTCACTATAAATAATAATAAGAGTCCATGTAAAACAATTGATTTTATATTTTTTAATAGATATCATTGGCTCAATCCAAATGCATGTCAATAATAGAGTTTTGAATTTAGAACCAAGGTCAATGGAGGACATATAGGCTGATGAGAAGGGACTTAGAATCTATTCCACATGCTATCTTGTGTGTAAACTTTGAAACAGTTTTTTGCGTTGTGATCAGTGAGCCAAACTGGTAAGGTGGAGCTGTAGGGTAAGACAGAGCAGATTTTAAATCTAAATTCCAATTAACGTGATTCTCAGCAATTCCACTAAGCACTCTGAGCAACAATTTGCCATCTACAAAATGGGAATAATAGCCACTTCACAAGGTAGTTGTGAAGATGAAACAAGAAAATATATACAAACCTACTAGAAGGGCTGCTAGTAAGTGTATAGCAGACGTAAAGTTGTTTCCATATTAAAATACTTGTTTTTCTTTTTTTGGCTTGGAAAAGCAATTTAAAAATCGTATGGCTTTTTATAATTTACACAAGTATATTTCATAATATGCTTCCCTCAAAAATAAGCAAACCAATACTAATAATATTGTACTGATTCTACTTGTATTGTTAGTAAGATAATTCCATTCTTTACCACCACATCATTATTACCATGATCAAGTTTGGATTGTATTAAACATGGTCCATTTAGGTCAATATTATCAAATCTGTCTATTGATGGTCAGACTTACCTGGGTCCATCTTACTAACTGAGGAAAGTATTATACCTCCCTAACATTCAAATTGTTATTTGCAGACAAAAAGCATCAGCACCACCATCACCAAAGAGCTTCTTAGAAATGTGGAATCTCAAGCCCACCCCAGTTGTGTAAGAATCTGCATTTGAACAAGATTCCCAAGTGAATTGCATGCATATTTAAGTATAAGTGAAAAGATAAATAGGTTCATATATTTAGAATCAATAAATTTTGTGAAGTTTCTGAATGTTGCTTGACACTATGGCAGAAATAACTAAGAAAAAAAGAAAAGTCTTACCTTTGTTTCTGTCCTAATTCCAGAAGTTTCTGAACATCAGTTTTGGCAGACTGCTCATCGTTTTTTAAGGACTGATAAGAAAAGTGGAAAAATGAAGTTTTATTCAGGTGAGAAATTGAGACTCACTTTAACTTTGGTTCTAGAGTACTAGATAGGACTGCACATATGCCCTGGAACAAGAATTAAAAATGAGTCTATGATGGTCCTCACGGCTCCAAGGATGTAAACAGAAATTTATGACACCCAACTACACAGTGGCTGAAAGGAATTGAGCAGTCTTGGCTTTCAGAGGTTCGATGGAGGAGAAACTACTCTCCAAATATCTAGGTCTCTTTAAAAGTGAATAAAAAACATATCTTCTATTCATTCTTTGAAGTTTTACTGTGTTCTCTGCAGGCAAGTTAGACCAGGTCTGGCACAGCTTCTACAAATATTAGGGAACATAGCAAACCTCCCTGCATAAGTCAGGAAATAACACAATTCAAGATTAAAATAGTCAAAGGGCATGCACCTGTTAGGTTTTGTTGATTTCTTATTTATGAGTAATACATTAAGACACACACAAAAAAACAAGGCCATGTAAAATTGTAACTGGTCTCTATAGACAGAATATTAACAATAAATTATGTATACTACTTCAGTCCTTAGTGTTTATATACTCTGGCAAATTCAGAATTCAGAGACTATGAATTACAGCAGAAAAGTCTCCTGAGCTTTTTCTTGCAAGAGAATCTATCCTATTAAGCCTTCTCTAATAACTTTCTTATTTATATTCAATAAACTAATTAATAGGGTAACCGGTCATTCTTGGCATTAAAGTCAAAACTAAGAGGCAAGAATATTGTTTGCAAAAGAATAGTTGTGACTGGTAGGGAACTGACAATAGCAAAAAGGGCAAACACTTGTTTACTTAATATTTATTTAACAAATATCTATTATGAATCATGCAAAGACCTACGCAAAGTCATGGTACCTGCCTTCATACATTTTTTAATCTAATGTTGAAAATCAACAATTTTAATGTAGTATGATAAGTATTATAACAGGAATGAAGTGGGATGAACTTTACAAGACAAACCTCTTCCCTACTGTAACTGGCTGAGGTTATCATTGGGAAGCAATCAATAAACAATCTTATTTATATGAAACAGTAGCTTCACATAAATACAAGGAAAGCAAAAAGAAGAATTAAAATGTAAAAAAAATAATCATTCACAGGAGTTAAAGTTCAAAGTGTATCATGGTCTTATGACCTGGCACAAGTCACAAAATCAGCCTTGCACAATGGCAGCCAAAAAAATAAGCAAAAGGCATTTTAAGAACTGCAGTTATGTTTAGTGGTAGGATTGTTATCCTTTCAGCAAATGTAGCTCCATAAAATTGTATATTGGTATCAAGCAACTTTCTAGACTGTTATAAGATGTCTTGCCTTTGGCTACTGGCATAGAAAGGCTGAGTATTCTGGGAATATTGTAAATACTGATCACATCTGGGCCTTTCACGATATGCTTTCAATATTCTCAATGTGTCAAGTGTTCTATGCCTCTGAGAAGGTACAGGTTTCTTTGTATTCTTCCCAGTCTTATTCACTTGGTGAATTTTCACTTAACCACAAACTCAGGCATTGGCTTCACTAGAAATCAATCTGTACTTCTTTTCATCCTTGTGAGTTTTCCCTAATGCTCTGTGCATGCTTCCATCATAACACGATGATTCCTGCGCTGTTTTCATTCTGATACCATCTCTGTGTCCTACTGGGTTGTGTATAATTTTTTTTTTTTGCTCTCGTTTCCATCTTCTCCATATGTAACACATCTTCTGGAAGAAGAGCTTAGATATTGACTTTAAATACCAGCTCTGTCCCTTAACTATCTGTGCACTCTTAGTTTGTTAACTTTTCTCTAATTCTGTTTTCTCACCTATGAAATGTGACTAACAGTCTTCATGTGAAAATTAAATACAAATTGTAGAAAGAGTATCTAGCACTGGACCTTGACCATGTTCAATAAGCCTCAGTGGCTACTAATACCACCACCACCACCACCACCACTACCACCATCATCATCATCATCATTATCATTATTATCATCTTAATGGGACTAGAAAGCTAAGGAGAAGAGTGTGGACAGAAGCGACTCCACATGGTTTAAAAACATGGTTCAGTTCAGTAACTAATAGTGTCTGGAGCTAGATTGTCTACATGTAAACTCTGGCTTCTTTTGTAACATTCAAAAATAACATATCTTTCCTAAACATTATCTCTCATGTGTAACAAGGGATGTCACAATAGGATCTACCTCATAGATACATTACAAGAATTAAACCATGTAACACATACAAAGCTTTTAGCATACAGGATATAATAAATACAATGTTTATGTCAAATATTGCAATATATTATCAAATATTTATGAAACTATTTTTACCCTATGTAGAATTTTTTAAAGATTTCAGTATGTTAAGATGTTTTTTACAGATGCCACTTGCCTTTTAAAGGCATTTACCTATTTCAGTAATGTGGTTTATTAAAGAATCTTAAGAATTATCCCGTGGGGAATTTAAAATTCTCTTCTAGGAGTCATTCCTATATTTATTTAAGTCTTGATCATAATTTGTCATTTTATAATACCAAAAACACAGGGGTCAAACTGATCTTAGAAGCTTGAGGAATTGATGGCTCTGCCAAGAACACAATTTTCCCATTTCTGTATTTGTTAAACACAGATTCCTAGACTATATTTCAAATGACATTTCCGTTTAGGGCACATATAATAGTAAGTAACAACCACCATGGTCAAGCCCAGAAACACATTAAAAACTATTTAAAAATGCATGTCAATCCACTCAGAAAATCAGATGACTGCTCCTCTTTTACTGCTCGGAAAATGAGTTCTCATCTCACCTGAAGATTGACTTTAATTCCATCAAGTTCTCTTGATGTCTTTGTCAGCTGACGAAGAATGGTGCTTCGCTCCTTAAAGACTTCTTTCAGCTGCTTTTCTAGCTCTTCATAGTCCTGTCTAACACAGAAAGAACAGGCATGAGAGCCCCCCAAATGGTTCCACTTGGCATCAGTCATAATCACTAACACTCACAGTTTCAGTGAAATCTAGAGAAGTTAAAACCTCAATTACTAAGATGGTTTTGTTGTCATGATTTCATATAAAAGGGGAAAATTGAAAACCCCATTTTATAACAAAAGTTTCATTTCCCAGTGAGGGCTAGCTATACTCCAGATATCTATGACATAGACATAGACATCTATCTATGTCTTCCCTGCTGCATGTAAGACATGCCTTTCGTCTTCTTCCATGATTGGGAGGCCTCCCCAGCCACGTGGAATCCACTAAACCTCTTTTTCTTTATAAATTACCCAGTCTCAGGTATGCCTTTATCAGCAGTGTGAAACGGACTCATACAGACACTAAAGAAAATAAATGTTGAATTTTTCAAAAAGTGAATAAATATCAGAAGGTTTGGAGTTCTAACTGGGGAGCAGGAGATTTGCTGCTGAAATGTGAAATGACTACTCATTTCAGAAGACTGTTAAGTGATAATTGGGAATTTGGGCATTATTTTGAGAACAAATGAAAGTAAATGAGATGTTTTAGTCAGTAAATGGCAAGATCAGATTTATGTTTTGGAAAATTTTCCCTGGCTGAAAACTCAGGAGTGAATGGGAGGAGGGAAAAAAACAGGAAAACAGGTGACTGTTAAGAAAGTTACCATTGCAATAGTCCAGACAAAAGATTACGCTGGCCTAACTAGAGCAGAAGCAGGGGAGGCAGGCAAACTTGGATTGATTTCAGCAAAACATACAAAATGGAATTAATAGTATACTGTATCTGTATGTGTAACTGTGTGTGTGTGTGTTTGTGTTTAATTCTTTTGCCTGTATGTTGTGGAATAAGTGTAGAAGGGAGCTATTTACTAATGATGCCAGGTTTCTGGCTTAGGCAATTTTTGGACACAGCCCTTCACTGAGAGGGAAGTCAGGAAGAACAGTGTTTTTGGTGAAAGATGGGTCGACAAGTTCAATTGTAAAATTGTGGGAAAACGGCTCAAATTCTCTCAGCTTTAGTTGAGAATCTGTAAAATGTAACAGTTAACTTACCCACATTTTCATGTGTTAAATAGGGTAATTTGTGTAAAGCATTGAACCCATGATAGGTAATTAATTGAAAATATATACATATATAATTTCTATTACTAAGAAATATGATGAATTTATAGTCATTCTGCAGAAATATAAAGGAACTAGATCTCCTAATGGCCTTAGTGATGATTAATACGTTCATCTCATCTAGAATAGACTTCTATTACAATTTTTTTCTTTTTCTCATTTGCTAAATATAGGTATCTAGCACTCTTCACATTCTTCTCATTAAAAGGAAATCGGAATGGCCCATTGCTAAGAACCACAATATTCTCGCTGGCCTTGTGAATTTCACTGATGAACAGTAGTCAACCAGTAATCAGACAATTATTAATGCCCCAAATTTCCATTCAGTCTCACTGGCAAAGTTAAATAATAAACAGCAAGGCATGTTTTTATTTCCTTCCAATTTTTAACCTTACTTTATGCCCCAATTTGTTTCTCCTGAACAATAAACACATCTCCAAAATCATCTTAAGTGACCATAATTCATAATAGTAGATTATATGTATTGACAGGTTATTATATATGCTGTCATATTATATATAGGGTTAATAATAGTGCTTTTCTCATGAATTTGTTCTGAAGAGTAAATGAAATGACGTGCATAACACATCCGTACCTATTTTATAGGCACGGAAATTAAGTCACAAGAGTAGTAAATAACTTCTAAGGACATGCTATTAAGAAAGTGGTGTATCAGTGAGTCTCCAAAGCCTAATATCTTAACCACAAATTTGAAAGAATATACTGATTTGGCTATGAGTTTATCAGTTAAATGTTCATTGCGTCCTTCAAGAACTTACTGTATATTGCTTCTTTCTTCTCTATTACGCAAATAAATGTTGACTTTGTTTACTATATTTATTTTTAATTAAATTACAAATAACATTTCCCTTTTATAATATACAACATTGTTTCATTTCACCTTCATATTTGATTTTCAAATAATGTTATGAAGAAAACAGAACCAATTTAAATCTCTCTATTTTCTGGTAAATACATTGGGAACCATGAAGAGGCACAAGTTATCAGGAAAATGTTGGCAGAATTGTTAATTAACAGTACTACTTTAGATTCAAACATTTAAGGTCCTTATGTAAGAGGAAACCAAATTACACTGCGGAAGTAACCATAATGAAAGTATTGGCTAACATTTTATTGGATTTTCTTCCATTTACAAATGAGTGTATGTTCATCTTCTAATAATTTTCTCTTGCTTACATGAAAAGTAAATGTGACCCTCCTACACTCAGGTTCTGTAACTGGCTTCATATGTCTTAGAGCACTTTCCATGTCTATATATTACTATCCATTTTGGTTGTACTTGAATATATTTTTACCACTGATAATTTACGGTGTTTCCAATTTTTTCTTTCTCTCTTAAAAATTAATAAAGTGTATATATGTGGACACAAAAGAATTCCTGAGTACTTCTGTGATATAAGTTTCTAAAAGTGTAAATATTTCACTAAAAGTCAACATGTTAATTTTTTTTGGTGGGGGGAGTAGGGTGGGAGGTCTGGCTTCAGTGCCCATATCTTGTATTTATTTTTTTTTTAATTTTTAATTTTTGTGGGTATTTAGTAGGTACATGTATTTATGGGGCACATGAGATATTTTGTGTTAGTTTCAATATGTGCTGGTAAATTGCCTATCAGCTATTCTAGCCTATAATTTTCTTAGTATCTTCTGGTGTTCTTCACACCTTCACCTAAACCAGACTGTCTTATCTCCCTTTTTCTTAAAAGAAAATTTGCTAATGGCATGAGTGAAAAATGATACCCTCTTTCTGATGTAATTTGTATTTACTTTATTAGAGATTGATTATATTTTCATAAGATTACCACTTGTATTTCTTTCTCTGTGAATTATCTGTTTATATGTTTTGCCTATTTAAATTTTGAGTTAGTTACTTATTAGTTTTCTAGGGCTTCCATAACAAAGTAACTAAGACTGGGTACCTCAAATAATAGATATTTCGTCTCACAATTCTGGAGGCTAGAAATCCAAAATCAAGTTGTTTGTAGGGCTGTTTCCTGTGAGGGCTGTGAGAGAAGGATCTGTCTTAGGCCTCTCTCATCAGCTTGCAAATGGCTGTCTTCTCCTTATGTCTCTCCACAGCATCTTCCTTCCCGGTGTATCTCTGTGTCTAAATTCCCCCTTTACATAAGAACACTAGTCATATTGGTTTAGAGTCTGCCCTAGAGACCTTATTTTAACTTTATTACCTCTGCAAAAACTATCTCCAAATGAAGTTACATCTAATGTACTAGAGATTAAGATTTCAACACATAAATTTGGAGGCACATATTCCAACCTATTACATTTACCTAATTTATTTGGAAGATTCTTGTCCACTCTGGGTTTTAGTTCATTGTCATTATATGGATTTTTTTTTCATACCTCTTATTGGTATTTACATTTACCCCTCTCCAATTTCTTTTAAATAATTTATTTAGATTAATCCTTTTTCTTTATGGCATCTGGACTATTCTTAGGTTTCTCCAACCCATGTTATTTAAAAGTTTATGTACATTTATAAAAATGTATCAATTTTTAATTTTTACTAAACTACCCAATTGATTTTTGTATCTACATATAAACATATATACAAATATATATGTATAGTAGGAAGGGGTACTATAACTTAAATATGGATAGCCAGTTGTCCTAACACGATTGGATACAATACTTCCCCTGCTGATTTTAATATGGCACTTTTTGATGTAACAAATTTTTTTTTCTAAATGTTTTTAAATTCTGTATTCGGATTCATTTGCTGTCTTCGTGACATGTCATGATTTAATTATTAAAACTGTGTACAACATTTTGATACTTCTTGGATTCATCCCCCCTATTGTTTTTGTTGACAGTTTCATTGGCAAATGTTCTCTTTTGTTTCTTCTGAATGAATTTTAGAATAAGCATGTCAATTTTCTGTAAATTCCTGCAGGGAATTTAATTGAAATTGCATTTGCATTATAATTATATTTAGGGAAATAGATAACAATCACACACCTTACCATCCAGAAATATACTCTCATTTATTATGCCAGTATGTTTTTATAATACGGAAATTCTTTACATTTACTCATTTTTTGTTAGACTTATTGCTACTATTGTGGATGGGTTTCTCCATTTAATTGTCTAAATAGATATTGCTAGTCATCTTTAAAGTTACTGTCTGTAAGTTGATTTTGTTTCCAGATACCTCACTGAACATCTTTATTAGTTGTCATAGTTATTCAGTTTATTCTGTTGACTTTTTAAAGTGGTAGCAATAACTTCTTTGAATTGACCAGTCATATCTTTTTCTAATAGCTACAGTTTTATTTCTTTTTGTTTATTAATCATGTTGCCTAAGACATTCAAAACAATGTCGAATAGAGGAGGTGATAGAATACCTTCTGTCTTGTCCTTGACTTCATTTAATTTAATTAATTGATTGATTGATTTTTTGAGACAGGGTCTGGCTCTGCCACCCAGGCTGGAGTACAGTGGCATGATCTCGGCTTACTGCAACCTCTGCTTCTTGGCTCAAACCATCCTCCCACCTCAGCCTCTCAGTTAGCTGGGACGATAGACACACGTCACTACCCCCAGCTAATTTTTTTCTATTCTTAGTAGAGAGAGGGTTTTGCCATGTTACCCAGGCTGATCTCGAACTCCTGAGCTCAATCGATCTGCCCTCCTCAGCCTCCCAAAATGCTGGGATTAGAGGTGTGAGCCATGACCCCTGGCTTGTCTTTGACTTTAAAATAAAAAGTTATGCTTCATCACTGAGTACCATATTTGTAATTTTCAAGTGATACTATCTTTCTTAGTCCATTGTTTTCAAATATAAACTGTATTAAGATACAGCATTCATGTAGAAAAACAAAAATCCCAAGGACACACTTGAAGTATTGCAAACTAAACACCTCGGAAATTTAAGAGATAGAAAACTAACCTTAGAAGCTTTTCTTTGACGGCACCCATTCATTACCTTTACCCTCCTCCCAACATATAACCAATATTCAGACTTCTGTGACTTAAAATTATTTGCTTATGTTTGAAATTAATACACATATAAATCATATACATCAAATGTCTTTTGCTTGATTCATTTAATATGATATCAAGTTTGTAAAAATTTTTCATATTTTACCCAAAGTTTAATTTTTATTTATTACTTTTTATTTTTCATTTTTCATTTTTCAGAGATAGGGTCTTGCTCTCTCACACAGGCTGGAGTGCAATGGTGTAATCATAGCTCACTGCAGCCTCGAACTCCTGATCACAAGCCATCCTCCCACCTCAACCTCCCGAGTAGCTGGAACTATAGGCACACATCACCATACTCAGGGCTAAGCTTTTTTAATTTTTTGTAGAGATGGGGGTCTCATGATGTTTCCCAGCAGGGTCTTGAACTCTGGGCTTCAAATAATTCTCCTGCCTCAGCCTCCCAAAGTGCTGGGATTATAGGCATGGGCCGCCGTGTCCAGCCAGTTTATTAATTTTTAATACTGCATAGTGTAGTGGTGAATAACTGTACAGCAATTTTTTCTAGTGTTGATAGACACTTGTGACTTTTTCCAGTTTTTGAATATTATGAGTAATGCTGCAATGAATATTTCATATGCTTTGTGGTTAACATATAAACACGTTTATGCTGGGTATATATCTAAGAATGGAATTGCCGCATCATAAAGCACGCATATGTTCTACTTTAGCAAATAACAGCCAAAAAATTTTTCAAATTAGTTGCAGGGTAGGAGAGGTAGAGAATTCCAGTTGCTTCATATTCTTATCCACACTGGTATCATTAGTACTTGTTTTTAATTCAGTAACTCTAGTAGTGGTGTAATAGCATCTCATTTTAGCTATAATTTGAATTTCCCTGGTTGGTGACTCATAAAGGGAGGATGTTACTAAAGGTGATTTTTATATATCCTTTATAAAATGCTCACTCATGACTTTTGCCCTTTTTCCATTAGTTTGCCCATTGCTTGTTATTGATTTGTGGGAGGTATTTATACATTCCACACATGAGCCCTTTTATGATTAAAAGTATTAAAATAATTTCCTATTCTGCTGCTTGAATTTTGAATCTCTCTCTCTCTCTTTTTTTTTTAATATGAGGTCTCACTCTGTTGCCCAGGTTGTAGTGCAGTGGCATGATATCGGCTCACTGCAACCTCCACGTCCTGAGGTCAAGCAATTCTCCTGCCTCAGCCTCCCAAGTAGCTGAGATTACAGGCATGCACCCCCACGCCCAGCTAATTTTTGTATTTACAGTAGAGATGGGTTTCACCATGTTGGCCAGGCTGGTCTCGAACTCCTGACCTCAAATGATCCTCCTGCCTTGGCCTCCCAAAGTGCTGGGATTACAAGAATGAACCACTGTGCCTGGCCCTGAATTTTCAATCTCTTAATGGTATCTTTTAATGAAGAGTTGTTGATAATATAAATATTGATATGGTTTGGCTGTGTCCCCTCCCAAATCTCATTTTGAATTTTAACTCCCATGATTCCTACATGTTGTGGGAGGAACCTGGTGGGATGTGGTTGGATTATGGGGGCAGGTTTTTCCCATGCTGTTCTCATGATAGTGAATGAGTCTCATGAGATCTGATGGATCTCTTTCTTTGCCTGCTGCCATCCGTGTAAGATGTGACTTGCTCCCCCTTGCCTTACACAATGATTGTGAGGCCTTCCCATCCAGTGGAACTGTAAGTTCACTAAACCCTTTTTCCTGTATAAATTACCCAGTATCAGGTATGTCTTTATCAGCAGCATGAAAACAGACTGATACAAATATAGACCAAATTAATATTTATATCAGGATTTGTCCTTTTTAGACTTAGTTTAAGAAATGTAAGCTGGCTTACTATATTTTCTGGAAGCCTATGTATTAAGTAATTAGTTAATTTACTTATTTCACTTTTCACATTTTAGACCTGCAAACAACCTGGAATTGTATTTTTCTGTGTTGCACGGGAACATATAATTAAATCCCAATATTTTGCAGTGCCATTTTTTATAAATAAATTTTTTCAATAAAAAGATGTCAGTTTCTATATTATTTAATCCATCAAATTGAAATATTTGTTTAACATTTTGTTAGTGTCACTGTTTCTTATTTATTAAAGCTTTATAAAAGTATATAGATACCCAAGAGTCTAAAAGTTTAAATTTTGTTATTTTCTTCAAGATTGTCTTACTTATTCACGGTCAAATGCATTTCCATATACATTTTAGAATTGGTTTGTCAATTTCAACAAGAATAAAACATTGTTTGGGTTTTGGGTGACTATATTGACATTTTAAAAATGTTGAGTTTTCTGCTCCATAAACATTTCATATACTACAATTTATTTAGAGATCATAACATTTTATCTTAATAATATTGTGTAGTTTTCAGTGCACAATCCTTTTGTGAATAACTTACATTTGTGCATCGCTTACATTTAGAATCTTTTGAATTTTCTATATACACAATCATACTTTCTGCAAGAATGGTAGTTTTTCTTCTATATCCTAATTTATTATCAAGAATTAAAAACCTATTCTACAGTGCTCAACAGAATTGATACTATAAACATCTTTGTCTTATTCCAGATTGTAGGAGAAAGAGCTTTCAATATTTCACCCCAAATATGGTATTTCCTATTGAATTTTTGTAGTAAATATTCTTCTTCTTTTTCTTTTACATTATCAGATGTAAAATGTTCCCTTTCTAGTTTCTTAATCATTTAATCATGAATAAAATTTGAATGTTATAAAATGTTGCTTGCTTCATTATGGCAGGTGTTATTATTTGCTAACAATTCCTTTCTCCCTTCCCACATTTACTATGCTGCAAATATAAGCAGAATAGAAATCCCTGTGTCATTCATTTGGTCATGTGACACTCCAAAGGCACGCTAGTGGACATGGCTTATCAGTGACATTAAACGTCGTTTATGTTATTTTTCTCAGCTTCTTGTTCTCCTGCTATTGGCCATGTGAAAAAGTAACCGTAGGTAACTGCTTCAACTCAGGCTTTTTCAGTAAGAAAATAAAGAGAACAGGTCTGGCTCACGCTTGTAATCCCAGCACTTTGGGAGGCCGAGGCGGACAGATCACGAGGTCAGGAGTTCGAGACCACGGTGAAACCCTGTCTCTACTAAAAATACAAAAAATTAGCCGGACGTGGTGGCGGGCGCCTGTAGTCCCAGCTACTCGGAGAGGCTGAGGCAGGACAATGGCGTGAACCCGGGAGGCAGAGCTTGCGGTAAGCCGAGATCGCGCCACTGCACTCCAGCCTGGGCGACAGGGACTCTGTCTCAAAACAAAACAAAACAAAACAAACAAACAAAAGAACAGGTCTGAATTTGATCCATACTCTGAAGCAGAAACACTTGCAGTAAGCTCCCAACATGAGCTTGAAAAATAAGTGCTTGTTTTTGTAAGTCATTAGGCTTTGGAGTAATTTGTAATGTAGTATCAGCACAGCAAAAATTTGTCTAATAAATGCATTGGTTCAAGTGGTCACATACATTTTTCATTTATACTATTAATGTACTTCATTGCATTGATCCATCTCACATGTATGATTAATGATTACATTAAATAAATCTCACACTATCAAAATAATTTCATGTATACTTCTGCTAGATTCAGTTTCCTAATATTTTGCTTATAATTTTTACATTTATTTTCATAGAAAAAATCATTTGTAAATGTCTCTCTCATATTCTTGTAAAGCTTGGTATCTAAGTTTTGCTTATCTCATGAAACAAATTGGATAGTATTTTTTTTTTCTATTATCTGAAAGAATTTGTGTGAGACTGGTAACCTTTCTTCCCTGAATGAGGAGAATTCAGAACTAAAATAATATGGCCTGCAAATCCTTTGTGGGAAATCATTTAGTTAGTCAATGTTTTAATAGATACGTAAATACTCAAATATTCTAATTGTTCCCATTTCAATGCCAATAAATTACATAATATTTAATAATTTGTCTATTTTATTATCATTTATTTACTTAATGATTCTGTGTGTTAGTCTGAGCTTAGCTGGGCCATTCACTTGGTTGGGCTTATTCTTGTATTTGCGATCTTTTGTTCATCAGCCAATGACTCTACTTCTATGGTTGAATTGCTGTCAGTTTATCAGTGAAAGCAACTGGATCTCGCTTTATCAGCAAAGTAGCCTAGAGCAGATCATCTACCAGTTGGTCAGGGATCTAAGAGAATTAGCAGAGGTCAGGGAGTATTTTTCAGGTTTAGGCTGAGATTTAGAATAACATCCTGTCAATCAAACAGTATCAGTTACAAAGCAAGTCACAAGTTCAGGCCAGATTCAAGAGTCAGGTAAATATACTTCACTTCTTGATGGGAAAAGCTTCAAAGTCATAAAGTAAGTGTATATGGATATAAGGAGAATAGTTACGGGCATATTTGCAAACAATGTACTACATAGTGCCAAATGCTGTGTTAACTTCTCTATATTTTATTTCTCAGAGATTGGCCAGTTGAGTACTTGTTACATTGTGCATTGATAGTTCTCCAGTGCCTTAAAAGGAATTATTATTTTGAATTTTGTCAATTTTTTCTGTTGACTTCAGCAGGAAGATTGGTCAGCACTAAGACTGACAAGTTTGTCCAATTTCACTAAAGATGGATATTTTGGGGCCATGATTTAACTAATTATTTTCTTTATTTCTGAAAGATAAACATTTGCTCAATCAAATCCCATCTCTTCTCCAATTCTAATTATTTGAACATTTTTATTTGACTCTACCCAATCTTACTATCCTAGTTCAGGTTCTCACTATTTGAATGTTTATATAATAGCATTATATGCATTTTCTTTTTTTTGCTTTTCTAATCCATTTAATTCAAATTATACTTTTTAACTTAAAATTCTAACTGGATCAACTTACAGTTCAAAATATCAGTAGCCCCTTCGGCCATGTCAAGGTCAAGGCCATCTGCCCTGGGGCTTGAATCTGTCTCCTTCATTTTCCTTTGTTCAGCTTTCCTCTATTTCCTCTTATATACCCTGTGCTCAGTTAATTAATTATCAAAGAGAATTTCTTGAAAATATTTAAATGTGTTTTGTCTATTTCAATTCCTGTGAATAAACTAGATCTAAGATTAAAATGAATTCCCTGAGGAATCATTTGTTTAAATTCTTCCTAGTATTTAAGAACTTCCCACACACCGTTGTACACTGTATAGCCTTAACACTTGATTTCACAGCACAAAATCTCCAAATACATCAAGTCAGTCTCTTCAATCCTTAGTCTTCTGTCAAGGTTTTCTGTATTCTCCATCTCTTTTTAGTATTATAATATTTTATTATTTATGTATGTGTTTCACCACAAAATTGAATGCTTTGACTGAAAAAATGTTGTTTGATACTAGCACACTGTTTTGTACTTATAATGTTGAACTGCATCTGAGCCCTGTGCTTCCAGAAATCACCAATGGTTAAGAAATTCCCCAAACCTTTTGTCTCCAAAAATGCGATAATGCAAAATACTGTCCTTGCCATACGAGCTAGATAAGATTCATGGATGACATCCTTATTTACCTGTTATGATGCACTCACAGACACTCCAAATTCCCACTCTTTGTCTCATAATGATTAGCTAAACTTGTGCTTCACTGATTAATCTGCGCAAAAGACTGCTAGCTTCATTTGACCAGAGTGGTCGAGCTTTTTGGTCTAGCTTCTCACCTTCTCTCAGGCCTGTGAACTCTGTCTCACCTTGGGTTTCAACAAGCATTAAGTATTGGAATACGGAACAGCAGCTTAACAACCACTCTGAGATTAGCTTTTACACCATTAATTAATTGGCTTATGGTGTAGAAACATTTGCTGTTCAATCGTTCGGCCACACAACCCGCTCACTCTTTTCCCCACAGCCAGTTTTTGATAGTCCTGTTTCCTTTCTCTCTATAAAAGAAAGCCTTTGCTCTACGATGCTTAAAGATTGTATGGTTGAAGTGTTCTTTCTACTGCAATAGCTTTTGAATAAATTATTTTCTTACTTAAGACTACATTATGACAGATTGGATAACGAAAGTGTGGTACAAAAACACCGTAGAATACTATGCGGTCATAAAAAAGAATGAGATCATATCTTTTATGGGAACTTGGATGGAGCTGGAGGCTATTAGCAAACTAACACAGGAACAGAAAACCAAATATCACATGCTCTCGTTTATAAGTAGGAGGTAAATGATGAGAACTCACGAACACAAAGAAGGGAAAACAGACACTTGGGTCTAATGGAGGGTGAAGGGAGGGAGGAGGGAGAGGAATAGAAGAGATAACTATTGGGGGCCGGGCGCGGTGGCTCACGCCTGTAATCCCAGCACTTTCGGAGGCTGAGGCAGGTGGATCACGAGGTCAGGAGATCGAGACCATCCTGGGTAACACGGTGAAACCCTGTCTCTACTAAAAAAAAAAAAATACAAAAAATTAGCCGGGCGTGGTGGCAGGCACCTGTAGTCCCAGCTACTCGGAAAGCTGAGGCAGGAGAATGGCGTGAACTCGGGGGTCGGAGCTTGCAGTGAGCCGAGATGGCGCCACTGCATTCCACCTGGGCGACAAGGCAATACTCCGTCTCAAAAAAAAAAAAAAAAACTATTGGGTTCTAATACCTGGGTAATGAAATAATCTGTACAACAAACCCCCATGGCATGAGTTCACCTATGTAACAAACCTCCACATGTACTGCTGAACCTAAAAGTTTTTTAAAATAAGAAAAAAAATTAAGACTACATTGTTTTTATTTGATAGCACATTGTGAGATGCTTAATAAATGTAGGTTAGCTGAATAAATTTTAACTACTAACCTTTGCTTGAATGGTTACATCAGCCTAGAATTCCTTTACCTACTCTGTTTATCAATCTAGTTAGAGAAATTACTTCATTTCACTTCTTCCATGAAATCTCCTCCTAGAACTATAAAGTTCATGCCTCTTCTTAATATGCATGTCATATATTCACTCCACTTCTTTATTTTATAATTAATCATTAGTTTTATTTTTTAAAAATGATTGCACAACAGCCTTTATAGATTAATGAGTTTTTGAAAGCATGTACTTCTTCATTTTTTCTAGTAATCATTATTATTTTATATTAAAAAAATTTTTTTGAGATGTAGTCTCACTCTGTCACCCAGGCTGGAGTGCAGTGGCGCAATGTCGGCTCACTGCAAACTCCGCCTCCTGAGTTCAAGAGATTCTCCTGCCTCAGTCTCCCAAGTACCTGGGATTACAGTTGCCTGCCATCATGCCCAGAACATTTTTGTATTTTTAGTACAGATAGGGTTTCACCATGTTGGCCAGTTGGTCTCGAACTCTTGACCTCAGGTGATCCGTCCGCCTTGGACTCTCAAAGTGCTGGGATTACAGACTTGAGCCACCGCCCCCAGCTTCTAGTGGTTACTATTTAATTTGATGTTTACACTTTCCTTGTTTGGACTGGCAGAAGTGTTGAAAAACAGGCTCCTGTACCCTGTGACTTGTCCTCCTCATTCTTGGAACCCTTCTTGACTCTTTTCACTCCTTTGATGTCTGTCCTGCCGTAATTTATATTTCTAACTGTTTATTTTAAATGCAGATACAATAGACTCACTTATCATGGAATAGTCTTTCAATGTTTCAATTTCATTTGCATTGTTTTTGTTTTTTGTCTTTAATGAAAAGATCCTCCAAGAGTATGTTGAACGCCTTCTTTGGATAGAAATTTCATAAAATTCAAAGCTCTGGAGTAGTGCCATGACATCTCAAGATTTGGTTTTCCCAAAGAAATAGAATAACAACAATAATAACTGTAGAAACACAAACTTCCATTCAGCCTGTCTTCAACATTTCTGCCTACTTTTAAATAATTATTTATTATAGCAAGCATAACTATAGCTTCATTTTATTTTTTATTTTTAAACAATATCTAATATTATATACTAGCATATATCAGACATGTGGTAGACATTTTACAATATCATTTAATTCTCATAATTATTCAGAAATATAGGTGTAGTGGACATTCTACAAGCAAGAAAGTAGGTTCATAATTTAAGTAATTTTTCCAAAGACAGATAGTAAATGATGAAAATAGTCGTCAACCCTAGATATCATTGATGAAAAAATACTAGATTATGCAGTCCCTCTACAAATAATGAAGTAGTATATATTTTATTGGATCCTTCTACATGGAGGACTCTTTGAAAAAATATATGCAAACATTAACAATGAAGTATCCCTAATCAACTGGCTCAAAATTTTATTTCTGTAATATAGAACAAAGATTGAAATGAGGATAATACATGACAAAATGTGATAAGAGTAAGACATTAGAAGAAATCACCAACAAGTTAAACAGTCACAGAAAATTTCATGGAAGAAAATATCTTTGTGTGGGGCCTTGAATGACGCATAGGATGATTAAATATCGTAAAGGGGAAAGAAGTCTAAGCACAGGTGACAATATAAGTAATGACAATGTAGATGTGAAAGTGTTGTGTTCATGCAAATTATAAATCAGCAAGCAATATAATCTAAGTTGCATATAGGACACTCCCTGAGCTCATTTAAGTAAGGTAGAATCTGGAGAAGTTGGTGAGGTTCAAATTATCAAAACTCTTGAAGGGCATGGTCAGAAATTTGAATTACTTCCTATAGAATATGAATTTCTCTATGAATTGCTCTTCACCGACCAAGATATATTTAGAAATACGCATGCACACACACACACACACACACACACACACACACACACACACACATAGTTGCTCCTTGAATTGGATACCATAATCTGCAGATGCTCAAGTGCCTTATATAAAATGACTAGTATTTGCATATAATTTATGCATATGTCTTTTTTTCAAACATTTACTTTTATTGATTACACATCATTTTTCATTGTTCACTCTGTCCACTTACGCCCAGATATACCAGCATTGTCAGCAGAGGTAAGTAAATGTCAGTTACCTAAGCAACTCCTCAGGTCCTGCTTGTGTCTTTCAGATGTTTAGAAGATAGGAGATATTCTGTTTCTCAAAAGGCTGATGGGCTGAGAGTCTTTAGTTAAAGTGTGCAGAGGGGTCTGTAGACTCTCTAGGCTCTTCTGACAGTGTAAACTGTTGATGCTATGGCAAGGGCACAGCTTTCTGTGTCAGTCTCTCTGGTGGAGATCTAAACTTCATCAGGGCTGTGCACAGAAGGTGATGCCTCCAAGGGCACTCCATCTCTAGTAGTCAGGCTATCAAATTTCTCAGGCTGTCCCTTAGGTTGCATGTTTTTCTCTTAATGTTTGAATAATTGAATCATTTTGGCAGAAAATTGGAGGATTCATGAGCATGTCAAAATTCTGCTGCAAATATTTTAGATAAACTCCATGCATATACTTCTGCTGTTGTAGATGAACGTATGGGTTAGGGGTTGGGGGGTGCATTCAGCCCATGCTGATGAAGATTTTTACTATCATTTTTCTGAAAGCATTTCAGAAAACAAAGCTTTCTATTTCTAATTATGGGCAGAATAAACAGTTTAATATTACTCCGTGCCAAATCTTTGTTCTTGGCATACACTTTCCCACCAACCCCAAGCAGATCAATTGATTCAGATGTCTGGAGGTGTATTTTGTTATGTGGCTATGAGGAGGCAATGCAACTCAAAAATTATATATTTCTTCAAATAGAAAGAAAAGCATATTTTCTTTTTGTTTTCCTTTTTTTATTTTACTTTATTTACTTGAAAATCTGGGATAGAGAACATGCAGGTTTGTTACATAGGTATACGTGTGCCATGGTGGTTTGCTGCACCTATCAACCCATCACTGAGGTTTTAAGCCCCGCATGCATTAGGTATTTGTCCTAATGCTCTCCCTCTTCTTGCCTCCTACCCCCAACATATGTCTTATATACTTTAAATCATCATTATAATATAAAATACAATGTGTAAATGCTATGTAAGTAGTTTTTATACTGTATTGACTTTTGTATTATTTTTATGGTTGTAATTTTTTTCTTCTTTTTTTAAAAAAGACAGATTTGGCCAGGCATGGTGGCTCATGCCTGTAATCCCAGCACTTTGGGAGGCTGAGGTGGGCAGATCACCTGAGGTCAGGAGTTCAAGACCAGCCTAGCCAACATGGTGAAACCCTGTCTCTACAAAAAAAAAAAAAAAAAAAAAATGGCCAGGCATGGTGCTGCACGCCTATAATTCCAGCTACTCAGGAGGCTGAGGAAGGAGAATCCCTTGAACCCAAGAGACAGAGGTTCCAGTAGGCAGAGATCATGCTACTGCACTCCAACCTGGGTGATAGAGCAAGACTCCATCTCAGAAAAAAAAAAAAAAAAAAAAACAGATTCTCACTCTGTTATCCAGGATAGAGTGTCGTGGTGTAGCTCGAAATCCTGGCCTCAGGTGATCTTGCCACTTTGGCCTCCCAAAGTGCTGGGATTGCAGGGTGAGCCACCGTGTCTGGCCTGTATTAACTTTTATTTTCTATTTTTTGCCATATTTCTGATCTTTGGATGGTTGGACCCATAGATATGAAGGACTTACTATATAAGCACATTTTCAATCCAAATAAACATCAAAAAGAAAGATTTAAATTGTTCTCCCCCCAGTTGACAAAGGCATTCCAAGGTATAGATTCCTATTAATTCACAATCAAGGAGACTGAATAAGAGTGACTTCGATTCGGTTTCGCTAGGGTATTAAAATGATGACACAGGTAGTTTTTTCCTGGGAAACATTTTCAATACCTGCCCACAAGAAAATCATAAAACTATAAAAATTTCTGTGACTTAGAACAAAGCCATAAATAATTTTGTTAAGTGACTTCTATGCTATCTGAAGTCACTCTTGTTCAGACACATTTCTTTGTATCAGAGCCAACACTCAATGTGACCACCGGGATATTTGCATATTTTTCTTTCAAGGTCTGCTAATGCAAACTAAGAGAATCTCCCAGAGACATTGTAGATGTGTGGCAGAATTAGTTGTGTCCCTCACTAAAGATGTCTAGAAAAGTCTCTTCTGGGGAAGTAAGGTCTCTCACATACGTAGTCAAAGATTGTGGCATTAGAGGACTTTTGACAAGATGGTTTCAAGTTAAAAATATATAACTCTTCCCCTACCAATCCCATACCTAGGAATCTATCTGTAGAAGTTCTAGCCCTTAATACAATAAGTTTAAAGCAGCATTAATCATAGATAAAAATATTTGGAAAGAAAATAAGAGGTCTGAATAAATTATGCTGAATACATTGACAAAGACTGTCTTCTTGGCCAAATTTTAGTCAGGCTCTTCTAAGCCCCTTTCTCAATTATGCCCCAAATATGGTAATCTGTCCATGGCCTGCATTACCTAGTCATAAAAAAAATCTTGCTAAGTCATTAACCAAAACCTCCACCCTCAATATTTGATCACCCTCCATATCTGATCAAATTTCTTATCCCCCACATCACCCAGGGCATATCTAAGTGCCCTGGTAGGTTAGCCAGAATCCCTTTTAACCCTGATGCTTTCTCCTAGTAATTTTGTATCACAGATCTTCATCCTGTTCCTTAGCTGCAAATCCTCACTTGATGATGATGTGTTGGGAATTAATCTCAGTACATTTTTTTTTTTAGGCAGGATCTCACTCTGTCACTCAGGCTGAAGTGCAGTGGAGTGATATAGCCTCGACTTTCTGGGCTCAAGCTGTCCTCATGCCTTAGCCTACTGAGTATGTGAGTAGCTGAGACCACGGGTGCATGCCACCATGCCTGGCTAATTTTTTACAGAGATGGGGTCTCACCATGTTGCCCAAGCTTGTCTTGAACTCCTGAGCTCAAGCGATCTCCCTGCCTCAATCTCCCAAAGTGCTGGGATTCCAGGTGTGAGCAACTGAGTCCAGCCAAATTAAGCACAGTTTATAACAAGGTCTCTTTCCTCCTATTTCAATAGTTCCTGAATACTATTTGTCTTTACCTTTTTAACTGCTATTCTGCTTTGATTTTCTTTGACAACACGCTATGGTATACTAAGGTTAAATAATACATCAATCAGAGTACACCACATGACTTGGAGGAATTTCTGTGTGGCACTTTTGAGAGAGAAGAAAAATAATCAAAAGTTTGGTGCATTTATAAAAGCTAGTCATAATGAATAAGGTTCTAGGAGTATATACATATGTGTTTGTGTTTGTTTATGCCTATATACAATTATGTTAGTAAGGGGAAAAATTTGAAAGAGACTGATTTAACAGAGGGCAGAGAAGGGCTGCAAATAGAGGGAATTTATGAGAGGGAAAGGCAAAAAATTAGGGAAAAAACTATGTTGCCTTTATATAAAATTATGTGTTGTATGTGTGACGGTGTGTGTATAAAGAAATCAAATTACAAATTTTAAATAGTAACTGAAAAGGGAATTTCTAGATTTTTAAAAGTAAACACGCTCAAGAAGAGATACGTTGAGCGAGACAACTCCATCCGCATAATCATCTTTCACAGCCAGGCAGTCACTGCATGACTCCCCTGATGTCTATACCTACAAAAGAAAATCTTTATTTATTTATTTATTTATTTATTTATTTATTTATTTATTTTGAGATGGAGTCTCGCTCTGTCGCCCAGGCTGGAGTGCAGTGACACCATCTCGGCTCACTGCAAGCTCCGCCTCCCGGGTTCACGCCATTCTCCTGCCTCAGCCTCCCCAGCAGCTGGGACTGCAGGCACCCGCCGCCACACCCGGCTAATTTTTTGTATTTTTAGTAGAGACGGGGGTTTCACCGTGTTAGCCAGGATGGTCTCGATCTCCTGACCTCGTGATCCGCCCGCCTTGGCCTCCCAAAGTGCTGGGATTACAGGCATCAGCCACCGCGCCAGGCCCAGAAAATCCTTATTAAAGCAATGCTTTCTGTATTAAACATGGAATTGGAATTCTGGCTTGCCCTTGAAGGATATGGAGCTATTTTATTGCCAGTTCCCCCTTTAGATGCTAGCATTTCTTCTTCATTAAAGCTGATTAAGCATATCAGTGTTTTCTTTTTTCCCCCTCTCTACCTCCCTCCCTTCTTTCTTTCCTCCCCTCCCCTCCCTCCCTCCTTTCCTTCCTTCCTCCCTTCCTGCCTTCCATCCTTCCTTCCTTCTTTCTTTCCTTTCTCTTTGTCTCTTATTTCTTCTCGCCAGATTTTGAGCTATGCTTGAATATCAGAAATGACTAAAACATTGTACCTGACTTCATAAAGTTTTTCATTTAAAGTATGATAGAAACAAATACATAATTGCAAAAAAAATGTGATAAATTTACACTGAAGACATGTATTAAGTTCACTGGTTACAAGATGGGGGTTGTGATATATAATACTCTTAATGGATAATTCAAGTAGTAGAAATTTGTTGTGATTAAAGAAATTCATGACAGAGAAATTGTGGCTAGGCTGCTTTCAGAAAGCAGTAGAAAAATTCAGAAGAGCTTGCTATTGTATTGGCACAGAATGTGAGACCATTAATCACAGAGAAAAATAGCCCTGTCAATATACGATCAATGTGTTAGTTTTTTTATTAACTTCATGTATCTATACAGAAACCCATTTCACTAGGAGTACAAGAATCCATGGCTTTGCATTCTGTTTGATGTGTGAAATGAATCTTCTGCTTGGTGACTGATAGGAGCAATATTGATTTTGCAAGCCTTTTATGCTGAGTGGTTTCAGATTCTGCCATTCTGCAAACTGTATCTAGCCAGAGAAAAACTCTAAAAGAAGGGGGAAAAGCTCTAAGACCTACATGATATCTCAGATTCTACAGAGGGCAACTCCAGAGGCACCTTTAGAATAATAAAATCACCACCTCTCATTTATGTTAATTTTTTTCCTTTGAGAATATCACCGTGGTTCAGAAATTCCACCCCACTGATTTTCACTTTCACTACTGAAGACACTGACAAGCACTTATTAAAATGTTAAGTGGGTCTGGTTCCAGCAAATGATAATTATAGTTAAGTTGAGGGCAAATAAAAAGGATCTCATCAGAGGAGCACATTTCTATAACTTTCCAAAGTGGGAGCATATAACAGGAGGATTGAATCCTGGTTCATGTTTATTTAAATTTCTCTTGTTCTAAGGATCTGATAAACAGCTGAGAAAGGCAGACACCAAAGTTAACTTTTTCATCCATGAGCTCCTGTCTACAAACTCACTGCTGGTGAACAGAAAGAACCACCTGATTATATTATCCCTGCAATTCCTGCTTTCTCTTTTTTGATTGCTTTTGAGGCCCCAATACAAAAACGATGACACTGGCAGAAAGAATAAAGGTGCAATGGAAGGCTGTATACATTCCTCTTTATCAGTAGAGTTATGTGCTATCTCAGATTATTATTATTTATTGAGATCCCATTAGCAAATAAAGTTTATATCCAAAAAGAGTTCTTCTAATTATTCCTGGAAAATTTGAAATGGAATTCCTCAATCATAGCCTTAAACAATAATTTTGCACTAAATAGGCATATGATAACTACAAAATGTAAATACAATTGCCAGAAATTGTATCTGCCCTTTCTCTTTTAGCTTCTCCTTGACAATTTCCTTCCATATACTCTGTAGTTCTATCAAATCCATATATTTTAAAAATACCTTTTATTCCATTTCCTGAATACTCTGTACTCTTTTATAACCCCATGTCTTTGTATACACTCTCCTTGAGAATGATGTGTAGGCCCAATTTAAATAAACATATTCTCTTTATATTTTTCTATAATATTCTGAATATAGTTGGTAACCTAATCATTAGCCTTATTCTTCTCCCTTACTGGTAGAAACTGTACACATTACTATTTGAAAATGCCGCATATATAATTTCTCAGCTTCAAGTCCTGTGATAAATCCAGACCATAAAAGATAGGAAGTCTCCCACATGTTCAGGAATGTTTTATTCTCTATCACAAATAGAGATAAAGACAGAAATATTTTGCTGAACTGAAAATCCTCTTCTTTGCTTAACTCTTTCTACTTCTAGATGTGACAATCATTTCAGAAACATGACACACCAGTCCCTAAGATAGGTGATAGCTTGATGGAGCTGGGTAATTTAAAGTGTGAAAACAGCTTTGGTAATTAATGATAGAGCTGGGCTGTGGACCAGCTCTAAAAGCTCCAACATGCAGACTTTTTGTTATGTGATCTTATACAGGGTTTTTAATTTTAATTCTCTGTCAGGCTTTTAGGTAATTACATCTGAACTCATCCTAATTATTGCAAAAACATCCTCTAGAGCACTGTTATTCATCATGCGTTCTGAGTTCCAGCAGTATCATCATTGTCTGGCAACTTGGCAGAAATATGAATTCTTGAATCATACTTTGGGCTTCTGAATAAGAATCTCTTGTGGGGGTGAAGAACCAAGAAATCCAGGTTTTCATAAGCATTTCAGGTGATTCTTATAGGCCTACAAGAAGTGGGTCTGTGAGAGCGTGTTTTACCTTTGCACTATACTCGCTGTGCCTAGTATAACCCCAGCACACAGAGTCTGCCAGCATAAGTTGAATTGAACCAAAACTGAAGAATCTGCTTTTCGGGGCAACATTGGCAATAATGATATACAAGAGGCATTTGTTAAAAATGTGGGGAGAAAAGACTATAAAAATTTTGATAAATGAGGTTATTTAATCAATCCAGATGACTCTTTCTAATGGTTGATTTTGTGTGTTGATTTGACTGGGCTAAGAGATGCCCAGATAGCTGATAAAGCATTATCATTGAGTGTGACTATGAGGTTTTCTTGTGGAAGAGATTAGTATTTGAATCAGTAGGCTGAGGGAAGAATATTCACCCTGTTGGATATGAGTTCCAAATTTCTTTTCAAAGAATTAATATGTCAGTATTTTCAATTTTTTGCCTTCTACTTTTAAACTTAACTTCCTCCTAAAGCAACTTTTTCGATCACCTGCTCCACCCTACATTCCAATCACCTGCTCCACCCTCATTCCAATTACCTGCTACCTGCTCTGCCCTGACTCCCTCCAAAGCACTCACCCTGTCATTCTCTTTAAATTAGCCAGTCAGAATTAGTTTAGCCTGTGTGGTCTAACCCTAGCCAATGGGGGAATGACACTGCAGCAGGGGCCACGTGCGTCAGAGATAAGAACCCCTTCCCCTTCCTTGTCCAAGTTTGTACTCATCATTATTCCATCTGTAAGGGTGCACCCTTCTACATAGAAGTACCTTGCCTTGCTGAGAATTAAAAAGAAAATTTTATATTCGAGTGCTATTTCTTTTGCGGTACCGAAACTTTATATATAACAACCCTTACCAATGTTGGTGAGTATCATCAAATTCAGAGGGCTAATAAAACAAAAAGGCAGAAAGGCAAATTCACTCTCTTTTTTTGAGCTGAGAGACCCACCTTCTCCTGCCCTTGGACTCTGGTACTTCTGGTTGTCTTGCCTTTGGACTCAGACTAAATTACACCACTGGATTTCTTGATTCTCCAGCTTGTACATGGCAGATTGTGAGACTTCTCAGACGCCAGAACCATGTGAGCCAATTCTCATCATATCTAAGAGTTCTAGTATCTCTGGAGTACATTAATACCCCCTAATTTTTTTTTAGTTGTCCATCTAACAACATTTGACAACTGTTAAGCTTTTCTGTGTTTTTCACATGATATTTTTAAGACTGGTAGTCTTCATGGTGCATTTGGCCTAAAATATTATAAAGACACACACATGCACACACACACACACACACGCACACACAGAATGAGAGAGAGAGAGAGAGATAGAAAGAGTGAGCTCTGGCTTTACAGAATAGATTTGAATATAAGCTTTGGATGTTAGTAGCTCTGTGACTTAGGCTGCATAATTAACATCTTAGAGGCTCATTTTTATGTTTGAAATTTAGAGATATTTCTAAATTTCAAATATAAAAATCAAAGGACTGTTGTACATACTTTAGTAAAATGGGACAAGGAAGAAGAATGAGTAAATAGTTATATATACTTTTTTCTTCTCTCTTTTCTTCATCTCTCTTTTTCCTTTCTTTTCTTTTTTTTTTTTATTTTTAGCAAATGCTTTGATTAACTATTTGGATGTGTAAAGATGAACCCCAGATCACAGTGCTATAGAAACAAATGGTGCTTTAATCGATTTACTTATTTCCAGAAATCAAGAAGGAGAAGAGAGAGGTTCCCTGAAGGAGTTATTATGGTGGAGATGACAGAAAAGGGAATAAAAAATAAAGAGATCTGAGGAGGGAAATATATTACTCAGCAAATGGTGAAAAACCAGATATTAATGAAAAGAAACTTGGAACATGGGAAATATCTACCAGTAGATTAAGACTGAAACGTTCAAAAATAAGGCTGGCTCCTAAAGTATTACATTTTAAACGAGATTTCAATTTGCACCTTCGCGTCCCACCCTCATCATTATCCATCAATTCTGACAGCCATTTTATGGTAGTTTAGGCTGCACTTTAATCTGGGCTCTCTACACAGGAGATATTAGACAACTGAGAGAAGGCCGCACAGGAAGAGAATGGAAACAAGGGCAGAATGCAGAATTTGGTTGGAAAAAGGAATTTTAACATTATTAGCTGAGATGGAATGTGGGTGCTACTAACAGGAAATAGACACTGGATTTGCTTCTTCCCAGGGGGTGAGATAGAGACTAAAAAGTTTTTAAAAATACAAGTGAAAGACAAGATGAGAGGTTTTGTCACCTCCCACATAGCTAGCATTTCTGTTATAACAACATAAGTAACGAGCTCCTGGCATTCAATAAACGTTATGCAGTTTTATCATTTTTATCCACCCCACACCTAGCCAATATATGAGAAAAAATGGAAATTATCATCTTCATTATTATCTTCTTCTTAAAAGCATATTATAAAATGGAGGCATCAGCTTCGAGGTAATTTTATGCACCTTAGAATACGACTATTCCTTCCTTGATATGGGAAAGAAGTATCAAGTAGAAGTCACTGCACAGCTCACAGTGAAAATTTTTTCATTGCCCTCATAGGTAGTCTCACCCTGGGCGTTACAAGCCCTAGTTTAAGCTGTCACTCAATGCTTTCTAAATAGGCAGGGAGAAGCTTCAGACACACCTTTTTTTTTTTTTTCTTTTTTAGCGCTATGAGCACATATTTTCCATTGCTGGAATTTTGAGTAGCCGGTTTGTCATATTTTCAATTTGCATGTCATTTTTATTTGAAATATGGGAATGTGCATCACAGATTATGAGTGATGTTTACATAGATTAAATTAATAGCCAATCTTGAAAATGTAAAATGTCACTTTTTAGCAGTCCAGGCACTGTAGGAAATGTTTATTAATCAAGGTGAGTTGTAGTGGCTGTGGGCAGCATTCCAACTAGCAGAGGTCATTTGCAATATGGTAATTGCAGTTGTTCAGCTTCTGTCCCCAACTTTCTGTTCTGAAGCCTGGGAAATTCACATGTCATCTTCTGCCACCAAATTGCTACTTCAAATGGTGGTTTTCAACAGGCACAGCTGCTTCCTTTATTATCAATGTGCATCAATAAATGTACAGAGGAAAGTCTAATTTCAGCAGCATTGAAACCAAATCCCCCATTCTCACATCTTAGAACACTATATACTGTTCCGGAATTTCATAAATCTTATTACTTGACTGTTAATCTTAAAACCTCGATTGATTTTGTTTTCTACCAAATAATAATGTTAGAGAAAAAATTAAAGTCAAATAAAAGGTGATTTTGAAATGTTTCCCTACACATCCTCTTACTTTCTCCTTCTATTTTTCTCTTTTCACTTCTCTTTCATGATTTCTTTTTAAAGAGGCAAGAACAACCTTTTAGAAATAAAAAATATAAAAAGAACAAATGTAGTTGTAGGAAGACAGGTTTTAAAAAACTTTACTATCTTTGGTATTGGAGCTCAAGTGAAGATTTTCTTACTAAATCAACTGTTTTTCAAGAAAAAAAAGAATGAAAAAAAAATACCCCAAAAGAGTCTTGGATGTATACTGAGAGCTTTTACTTTCAAGATTTATTGTTCAAGTAAATGTGTGTATGTGTGTGTGTTCATATTTGTAGACAGACATGGCTGCTCATTCTAAAGATGTATGAGCCCAAGGCATTTGTGGTAATCCAATAATGTAAGCAATAAATCTGCCTGAAGGTTTTATTTCAAGTTTAATGTATTTGAAGAGAGCCTGGGACTATAGATAAGTCATATCTGTACTATGAGTGCTACTTTAGAGTCAGCTTTAACTTTTTGTTTTCAGAAAGTTTACAGAATTAGATGATCCTTATGTCTCTCTATTCAACACAAAATTTGATAGCAATTTTGCAAATATAGCATTTTGAAATGTTAGTATATGTATGAATTTGAACTTATGGTTCTGTAACAACAGTTGTAATATCATGGAGCACTTATTTAAGTTCTCTCATATATATATATATATATTCTTGCATATATATGCATATACATGAGAGAATTTAAATTCCACTCACTGACATATTCTTGACTCTAAGGTAATGTCAGTGCAAACTAATTAATGCCATGGCACATATACACACAAAAATATGTCAAAGCATGTTACTCCTCCGTAATCCTGTTTTTTTTTTTTCTGATTTAGTATATTTAAGAACCTTGTCCAGATACACATGGAAATTATAATTTGGATAATGCTTTAACACATAAGAGAAAAAGTAGCTAAGGAAAGAAATATTTTTAATTTGTAGAAAAGAGAAAATTGTTCAATATTGCATTGATTATTAAGCTAATTTTTAGCAAAATATAGTTATAAATATAAGTTTAACTCTGTGCTTGTCCAAAAATGACCATTTCATGTTTGCTTCCTGTGTTGTCCCTTTCCCCTCCAAAGACGCTAAAGCAAAGAAATATCCCTGATAATCTAATATTCCCGTGTTAACGTATGAGAGAGAGAGAGAGAGAATGAATGTGTATATGTGTGTTGCTGGTGGATTAGACAAACACTTATCTAGATTAAGACTTGTTTTTATTTTATTAAGTTTTATTTTGGTTCTAATATGTCAGTTGGTTTAGAAAATCAAATCATTCTTTTTTCTATAATTCAAATTACATAAGCATACCTTACATCTATGTGGTTATTCCCAAGAGATTTAGCTTTATAGTTAGACACATTAAAAACTAAAATAGTTTGTGAATAATTCTGTTTTTTTTTGTTCGTTTTTTTTGTTTGTTTGTTTGTTTTTTGTTTTTTGAGATGGAGTCTCACTCTGGCCCAGGCTGGAGTGCAAAGGCATGATCTCGGCTCACTGCAACCTCCATCTCCCAGGTTCAAGCGATTCTCCTGCCTCAGCCTCCCAAGTAGGTGGGATTACAGGCACATAC
This sequence comes from Homo sapiens, assembly GCF_000001405.40. Classification (NCBI taxonomy): domain Eukaryota; kingdom Metazoa; phylum Chordata; class Mammalia; order Primates; family Hominidae; genus Homo; species Homo sapiens. Next base: position 24,703,695 of record NC_000011.10, on the reverse strand, counting down.
TACAAAACTTAACTAGTTTTTTTTTTTGTATTTTTAGTAAAGACAGAGTGTCACCATGTTGGCCAGGCTGGTCTCGAACTCCTGACCTCAGGTGATCCACCTGCCTCGGCCTCCCAAAGTACTGGGATTACAGGCATGAGCCAGTGTGCTTGGCCATGTGAATCATTCTTTACTCAAGCATAATGAAGCCTGAAAACTCCCTGACTGTGTCTATTTTAGTAGTATTTTTCATCATTGTTCTGAATGAAATCTAAAATCAGGCTATTCAGGCTTGACGTTTCCCTTCCAAACTCCACATCACTTTCTCTCTGATTCTGTATTAAACTGCTACGTCTCTGAAATAACCTTCAGAAGTAAGAGTCTACCCAGACCACCCATAATATATGCACAGACTTTTAAGATGTACTTTGCAACCATTGGTTGTTTTGCTTGGATACTCCCAGGTTAATTGGATACACTACAAGCTTATTAACTGATACAGAGGTCAGTAGGAGGAATCTTCCTAGGAATGTGATAAAAAGAAATGATGAACAGTAAGATAATGGCTTAAGGACTGAGTACATGAAAATAATGTATTTTGTCTTTTCACTGCCACAATTCTTTGACTTTATAGCAAGGTATCATTCTTCACATTCATAACTTTTTCCATCTTTCAGTCTCCTCTGTCTTAACTTGCCTCCTTGCCCAACACAGATTCCATGTTTTAGTTTTACCATTATAATTACTTGTGAAGAAAGGATATATATGTGCATGCTTTTAACATCCCTCTTAAGTTTTCCCCATTTAACTAGCAAAATCCATCTAGCTGAACAGGCATTACCTTCTCTTTGATTGCACTCAAGCAACATAGCAAAATTGGTGATACTGATATAAACCGATTGGTTCTTCACATTTTAAATCTGAAATGACAACACTCACATAGAAGATCCACACTGCTTGGCCACTGATATGATTTGAATGGTTGTCCCTTCCAAATCTCTTGTTAAAATGTAATCCCCATGTTGGAGGTGGGGCATGATGGGAGGTATTAGTTTGTAGGAGCACCATCCCCTTGGTGATAAGTGAGGCCTCACTCATTTAGTTCCTTCAAAATTTGGTTGTTTCAAAGAGTCTGGGGCCTCCCCCTTCTGTCTCTGGTTCCTGCTCTCACCATATGACAATGTCTGCTCCTGCTTTGCCTTCTGCCATGATTGTAAGCTCACTGAGGCCTCAGCAGAAGATGAGCAGATACCAGTGCCGTGTTTCCTCTGCAGCCTGAAGAACCATGAGCTAATCAAACCTCTTTTCTTTTTTCTTTTCTTTTCCTTTCCTTTCTTTTTATTTCTTCTTCCATAATTGAGATTTTATTGGTTATGTCGAGGATCAGTCCACAGACATTTCACTTTGTACACAATTCTTAACACATATAGCAAAAGTCTAAAAAGCCATGTATTGTAATTATTTTTTAAAGTTATTCCAGTGATTTTCCTGGTTAAAATTTGGAGTCAAACTTTACTTAAGAGACTATCAAGTTCCAGCATCTTCACATGTTGATAAGCTGTTACATAACTACCAACAATTCACAATTGAATAGTGTATACACTACATACTCAGATTTTCAGTATTTCACAGCACGTTAACAATGTTATTAGGAAAACACAACTACCAACACCAAAGATGTTACAGAGTGTGCACGAGTCTGACTGGGAGAGCCATGGTCAAGGAGTGGTTTTCTTTAGGAAACAATGCAACTGAAAAACAACATGGGAATAGAAATAATTTTAAATGTTCAAGACATTAAATGCAGAACTGTGACTCCATGTTGCCATTTAGTATACTTTGTATTACAGGTTATAAAAACGAATCCCTTCTATGGAATGTTAAGGTGACACCTAAGATGGTCAAAGCCTCCCATAATTCAATATTATGGGAGTTTTTTCTGGTTGTACCAAAAAATAAACAATTGACAAATAATGTCACCTCTTAAAAAATCACTTAAAGAATGGGATGAGGTAGGATTCCCTCCTTCCTGAAAATGAGAGCTACTAACAAACTTGCGTTTATAAAATAGTTGATAAAAATCTTCTTCTGGACTGTACAAGAAGGAATACAGGAACCACTGTTGAGACACTATGTATAATATTAATCAGATTTGGTTTCTTTGTCTCGGGCTTCATCAGACGCTGGGTTCTCCGTGGTTTTACTCTCTTCGTTTTCTGCAGGTAAATCGTTTTTAGTTTCTTAGCCATTTTTGCCTATTTTCCCTTTGCTCTTCCCCTTTTCTCCTTTACATTCGTTTGTCTGAAGATTTATCCTTTCCTGCTGCCTTTTTGGCTTCATTTCCACTTTTGCAGGAGCAGATTAAGCTGACAATCATGAAGATCTCCTCTTGAGTTATTCCTTTACTGCCCTTTCAGCTGAACTGACCTTCCTCTTGGGCATCTGGGCAGCAGGGATGGTGATTGGCGGATGCCTGCCTGTCACAGCACACGAAGAGCCTTTGCAAAGCTGGACTGCCTGGTCTCTGCTGCTCCTTCTGCCAACCAAGCTCCTGAGTTCCACGGAGGGGTGATAACCAGGTGGAACAGGATTTAACCTCTGTTCTTTATAAATTACCCAGCCTTTGGTATTTCTGTATAGCAACACAAAAACAGATGAATACAGCCATACTACCACATTTTCCTTTTAAGTATTATTCACTGGGTTGACTGGTAAATCGGATGTTTTTTCTTCTTTTTCCCCACAAACCTAACTCTTGCTTTACTCACACCAAGTTGAAGAGCTCATTGAGGAAATTAAAGATATGAAGAAAATTCCTCATCTTCCTCAAGTCAAATCTACAATCCTTACATTCATCATATATATATCTTTTAATTTTTATTATAAACATATTTTCTTACTCCTGTCAAAGTTAGTGCCCCCACTGATTATAATGTCAGAATGAACCCCAACCAAATGATTGCACAGTCATTTCCCCAGCTCCCATTCTTTCATAAAACCATTTTAATATTATATCAATATCCAATAGTCCAATAAAATTGCTCCATTCAGCTTCACAAAAAACAAAATTACGGTACATTATCAATATATTTAGCACCAATTTTAAGTTTGGGGGATATAGCATTTAAAAAAAAAACACAATTTCTGCTTTCCTGGGTCATATATTCTTATGGCAGCAGAACATTTTATAAATAACTCCGTAAAATACATATGTTAGATTTTGCTAAGTGCTAGAAAGAGAAAGGCGTAGGAAGTGTCAGTATTGGGTGTGATTGATTTGAAATTAAGTGGTCTAGGAAAGTATCACTAAGCTGCTAATGCTTGAACTATGACCTAAAAAGTTCAGGAAAATAAGCCGGGCGTGGTGGCTTATGCCTGTAATCCCAGCACTTTGGGAGGCTAAGGCAGGTAGATCACCTGAGGTCAGGTGTTTGAGACCAGACTGGCCAACATGGTGAAACCCTGTCTCTACTAAAAATACAAAATAATCTGCCAGGAATGGTGGTTTGTGCCTGTAATCCCAGCTACTGGGGAGGCTGAGGCAAGAGACTTGCTTGAATCTGGGAGGCAGAGGTTGCAGTGAGCAGAGATTGCACCACTGCACTCCAGCCTAGGCTACAGAGTGGAAGTCCATCTCAAAAAAAAAAAAAAAAAAAAAAAGTTGAGGAAAATAGGCATAGAGTAATCTGAAAAAGAGTTTTCTTGGGAGAGGGAGTGACAAGTACAAATTTGAAAAGTAAAATTGTTCCTGGCTCTATCCTCCCTCATTGACAGGTCCTACCCTCTTCTGTTGTTGTTGGCTCTTACTCCATACAGACTCTGTATATTATAATTCCTTTGTGTTCAAAACTCTTCATTTCAACTATGCTTTGTCTCTTAGTGGCATCATACACTCCTATGAAATATCATCTCTATTCTATTAACTCCCAAATTATATATTTATATATGAGATATATATATATATAAATTATATGTATAAATATATATAGCACCTAAATATATTATGATGTGTGCGTGTGTGTGTGTGTCTGTGTATATATGTGTGTGTGTATATATATATATGGCCAAGGCTATTGTTCTTAGCTCCATATCTATATATCCATCTACCGTCACATTTCCATCTATATCTTAGGCTTACCATGTCCCCCCAAAAACTTCTGTGTGCTTTCCTTGTTTATCTCATCAGTAAAACAACCTTCCTAGTTCTCAAACAAGATACTCATATCTGATATATTCATTTTTCTACCTTTAGTATTCAATGCATCTGTAATGTCTGTCAATTTTAATTCCAAAATGTATTTCAAATATGAAGGAACTTCAAAAAGTTCATGAAAAATGTGAATTATGAAAAAAACTATGCAGGGAATTCAAAAGTTTTTGCACCAAAAATTTGTTGACCTCAGTTTGAAAAGGTCCCCTATCAAAGCAACATGGATTCTAGTAAAATTGAAGCAAGAACAAACATAAAATTTATGGTGAAGCGTGGGTGGAAGAAAGGTTAAATCACTGATGCTTTATAGAAATCTTACGGGGACAAAGCTTCAAAGAAATCAGTAGTTTGCAAATGAATAGAGAGAGTTATTGTTTCGTGTGTGTGTGTGTGTGTGTGTGTGTGTGTGTGTGTGTGTGTTTCTGTGGTTTGTTTTCATTTATTTATTTTCAGACAGTGTCTTTCTCTGCCACCCAGGATAGAGTGCAATGGGGCAATCACTGCTCATTGCAGCCTGACCTCCCAGGCTCAATCGATCCTCTCATCTCAGCCTCTAAAATAACTGGGACTACAGGTGTGCACCACCACAATCAGCTAATTTTTATATTTTTTTTGTAGAGACTGGGTCTCCAGTTGTTGCCCAGGCTGGTCTCAAAGTCCTGAGCTCAAGTAATTCACCTGCCTCAGCCTTCCAAAGTGAGAGGATTACAAGTGTGAGCCTGGCCTGGATAACTGGTTTTAAGAAGGGATGAGATGATGTTGAGGATGAAGCTGGCAGCTGCAGAAAACTGCATCAAGTTGCTAGAAGAAAAAAATTCTCTATTTGTGTCCTAATTGAAGAGAATCAACAATTATACAGCAGAAACACTAGCCAACACTAGCTTACACACTTCTGACTAAAAATTTAAAGTTGAGCAAATTTTTATGCAATGGATGCCAAAATCATTGCAGACAAGAGCCAAGCTTTCAATGAATATTTTAAACAAGAGAGATCAAAATCCTGAAGCCTTTTTTGAAGAACTATAAAAGGAGATAAAATATGGCTTTGCCAGTATGATTCTGAAGACAAAGCACAATAATATCAATGGCTACCAAAAGGTTGAAGTGTTCAAGTCAAAGCAAAAGTGCATCAATTAGGAACAAAGGTCCTAGCAACACTTTTCTGGGATGCTCAAAGTATTTCATTAAATTAATAATGTAAAAATACTGCATTAATATGGATAAAATTTCAGCACCCTCATTTTTGGAGGGTAGGCTGAATTTCTGGTTTTATCAGTTACAAAAGTAGTTTTACAGCCCAGTGGTTCTTCTTGCCTACTGCACAGTTAAGCCAATACACTGAGACAGCAGTGTTGCAGAAAAGAAAGAGTTTAATTATCACAAGACAGCCAAGTGGAATGACAGGAGATATTTCTCAAATCCACCTCCATCCCTAGCCTTGGAGGCTAGGATTTTTTAAGGACAATTTGGCAGGAAGGGGTCTAGGGAATGAGTGTTCCTGATTGGTTGGAGATTAAATCATAGGAACATCAGAACGGTCTTTGTGCATTGAGTCAGCTTCTGGGTGGGGGTCACAGGACCAGCTGAATCAGTTCCTTAGTGTGAGTCATGGATCCAAGTGGCGTCATTCAGTTTATCAGAATGCAAAAGTCTGAAAAATATCTCAAGACCAACCTTAGGCTTTATAATGGTGATGTTATCTGTAGGAGAAACCAGAGAAGTTGCAAATCTTATGATATCCAGCTACATGACTCTGGAGCAGTAAGACAACTAAGAAACAATGGCTGGTTATTGCTTAACTGCATTAGCAGAATTCAGACTCCTCTCAGATTTCTAATCTTGTCATCTTTGGTTAGTTTTACCAAGGCAGTTTTGGTTTCCAAATGAAGAGGGAGGTAGTTTTGGAAAGGAGCTATTATCGCCCTTGCTTTAAGATTAAACTACAAACTAAATTTCTTCCATGGTTATCTTGGCCTAGGCCTAAAAATGGGCAAAGGTAGTTAGCTTGTGAGGTTAGAGGCAAGATAGAGTCTGCTGTGTCAGATTTTTTACACTGTAATAATTTTTGCAAAGGAAGTTTCAGTGTCTTGAAGTTCTTGGAGCATATGTTAAAAAATGAAGTTTATACTTCTTATTTTTATCTTGTCATTCCATTTTTCTACAAACTTTTTAAAGCTCCCTCATATACATAGATCTCTTAACTTGCCTATTTACACTCTAATTCACCTTGGATAAAGCCATAACCTCCTAACTGGCTTTTCTGCTTACAATAATGACACTCCCTTCAATCAATTTTTCACAAGTAGCCTGGTTAATTTCTTTCAGAAATGTTAATTGTTAACTTGTTTCCTTTTGTTAGTTTGTTAATAGTATATGATGGCATCACAATCCATGGAAAAGAAAATCCAAAGTCTTTTCCTTGACCTTAACAGACCTTAATCATTTAGACCTTGCCTAATTTCATATTTAATCCATATATTTCTCCTAGTTTATGTAACTCTAGCCATGCTAATCTTTACCAAACCCAAGGTAACAGGTTTTTCTTTTATTCAAGTTCTTTACTGTTGTTTATGTATCTGGAAATGATTTTCTTCATCCATGCATAGCTAGTTCTCTCATGTATTTTAGATAACAGTATGGGAATTATCTCATCAAAGAGATCATCTACAACTTACCCAATCTCATGTTTTTTTTTCTTAAGATTCTGTTAATGTTGTTTATAAAAATTCTTATAATCTAAACTGTATTTTTTAGTTTTCTGTATTCAGATTGTTCAAAAAACCTATCAAACCTGATTTGTTTTTCATTGTCACATTTCATATCTTCCCAACTGAATTCCAAAGTTATACCTTTTTTTCTTTTTGTCATTTTATTCCAATCCCCTACCAGAGTCAAGAGTTCATAGCAGATGCACAGTAATTTTTGTTAACTATATAATAGAAAAAATGGATGAGTATGTTATTATGAAGTAATGAGAAATAAAATTATATGTGAGAGGAATGAAAGATACAATTTTTGAAAGCATCGGAGTTTGATTATATATAGGTAATTGTGGCAACTCCCAACATTATGCTCATTCACATTCTATTGTAAAGATAATTGAATTAACATTGTATGATAAGCTATAAAGGAGAAAAATAACAAATAAGCATAAATCTTTGTTTAATGAGTTTACAGTAACCCTTTTTGTTTGTCTGGTGACTCAATAACTTCAGAGACACATCCTTGTCAGAAGATTTTTTGGCAAATTCTAACCACATCTGGTTGAAATAGGTAAAATTATTTAGTCTTGTCCTTCCCCAAATAGTCAATCTGGTTTTCTTTAAGCACCATATCTGGCAAGACACTGGCCTATTTAAATACCAAGACCACTGTCCCCATGGCTTTCCTTTAACACAAACTAAAGTATGAAATCCTAAGCCTTGTGTGCAAGGTCTATTACTGTCCTTCCCAAATATAAGCTCTTCACAGTTCTAGAAGTTTCTGTTTCTGTTGAACCCACACATATACCGATCCCAAGTAATCTCTACTTCTGAACATATATTATATTCCAATATATCCTTCTATCTTAAATGCCTTATTTTCCCATTCTTTCCCCACCTCAAAGGCTTTTTTTTTTAGAAAAGTATATGCATATTTTAAATTTTCACTCGAATGCTATCTCATCCCAAAGAAATTTGGCTCTCCTCTGAACCTGTCAAAATCACTCATCTTATTATGTATTTTAGCATTTAAAAATCATACATCATTGTATTCTTGTTGAAAGTAACTCATACAATGTATACATTCTCTTTCACATTTACTTTCCCTCCTTTCCCAAAAGGTAATTAACTATTATTAATTTGGACCACATTTTTAGAAAGCATAAAGTTGAAAGGAAGATACTCCCATCTCTTCATATAATTAAGAAAATGAGTAAAAAAATTACAGTGAGATAGACAGATAAGTTCTCGTGTACTACAGTGTAGTAAGGTGACTATAGTCAACCGTATTATAGTGCGTATTTCAGAATAATTAGAAGAGATCATTCTAAATGTTCTCACCACAAAGAAATAACCAATTGTTGAGGTAAATGATATGCTGAGTACCATAATTTTATCATTACACAATGTATACATGTATCAAAACATCACACTGTATCTCATATATATGTATAATTATTATATGTCAATTATGAACAAAATTTAAAGATCACATTTTACTAATTCTAAAACTTGCTTTAGTCACTTACCCACATGTCTTTGGTATTATTTCATGTGAGAATGTATAAATGTTCCACATTTATTTAAATCTTGCATAATATTTCCTAGAATTGATATAACAATGGCTTGTACTGATAGACATTTAAAATGTATCCATATATTTTTTATTGCTAGGCAATGTTGAAATAGAGAAAACTTTTTGGACATAGTACTTCTTTTTTTAATTTTGGGATACATGTGCTGAACATGCAGGTTTGTTACATAGGTATACATGTACCATGGTGGTTTGCTGCACTTATCACCCTGTCATCTATGTTTCAAGCCCCGTATGCATTAGGTATTTGTCCTAATGCTCTCCCTCCCCTTGCCCCCTACACAGCCCCCCTGATAGGCCCCAATGTGTGATGTTCCCCTCCCTGTGTCCATGTATTCTCATTGTTCAACTCCCATGATGAGTGAGAACATGCGGCGTTTAGTTTTCTGTTTCTGTGTTAGTTTGCTGAGGATAATGGTTTCCAGCTTCATCCATGTCCCTGAAAAGGACACGAAGTCTTTCTTTTTTATGGCTGCATAGTATTCCATGGTGTATATATGCCACCTTTTCTTTATTCAGTTTATCACTGATGGGCATTGGGGTTAGTTCTAAGTCTTTGCTACCGTGAACAGTGCTGCAATAAACATATGTGTGCACGTGTCTTTATAGCAGAATGATTTCTAATCTTTTGGGTATATACCCAGTAATGGGATTGCTGGGTCAAATGGTATTTCTGGTTCTAGATCCTTGAGGAATCACCACACTGTCTTCCAAGTACTTCTATTAATTCTATAAGTATTTGCTAAAGTGAGTTCTAGACACCTGAGATAAATCATTGAAAACAATAAACACAAAAGACTGACATTACAGTGTTGAGTAAGGTAGTCAAGGTGAGTCTCTTTGAGACAGTAAGATTTAAGCAAAGGCCAAAGGAGGTGAAGAAGTTAGCTGAACAGATAGATATATGGGGAAATAACATTCTAAACTAAGAAAACAAAATAAATCCTTGAACTGGAACAACACATAATGTATTGGAAGAATATCAAAGAGATCTACATGGGCCAAGCAGTGAGCAACAGGCAAGTAGGAGGAGAAAATGTCAGAAGGTTTAAGAAGCTTAGAGCTTTTAGAATATTTAAAAACTGTTGCCTTTTACTTAGAGTGAAATATAAAGTTTTGAAAAGAAACAGAAATAATTGAGATTTCCTTATTTTATGGCCACTTTATTTTTTTCCAAATTGCTCTCTGAATTTTGCATTTTATATGTCCACCAATGATATGTATGAAAGCATCTCTTTTTCCTCATCCTAAATATATTTGGGTTATTATTAATCCTTTTAATTTTTTTCTTCAAATCTGTTTGCTCTACACTGCCTTTTTCTGGAAACTGGAGAGGGTAGGCATGATTTTGTACAATTATTGGTCATTGTTATATCTTCTCCATCTGTACACCTCTTTCATATTTTTACTATTCAGCTTTTAAATGTATTCATATATCAACTCCCATTTTACAGGCATAATGTACAGTGATTGTGTCTTTTGTCTCTGCTTTTCTTTGGTAAGTTCTATACTCCACTAAAGTCTAAGCTGCTTCTATGCAGTACAGAAAAAAATAAGTCTTTGTTCAAAGGATTAATAAATGAAGTGCATAGTTTCTTTTATGAAAAACAAAGATCTCTAGTTTTCCTTGTTTTATTGTTGAGTTTTAAACTTTCTTTGTGTGAAAATAAAACTTCCTGTTTGTGTATTTTTAATAAACATAGATTTAGTTTCCTTTTATTTGTAGGAATAATCATTTATTTTAATTAAGATAAAATATATGGAAAACAGTAACTCAATCTCTTAAATCATATATTGATTCTTCTGAAGTAATCATCTTTAAAACACTCTATCCTATCATTTATGAAGGTTTATTTCTTAGATAGTCCTGTGAAAAAGATCAGCTGCCTCTGTGATGTATTATGTTAAATTTCACAGAAAATATTGCCATTCTAGTGGCATAGTCATACAATAAATCACCCAATGCTGTATAAAAACCATGCTTAAAAACAACAACAACAAAATGATATTATTGAACAAGAATAAAAAATGCAGGAATACAGAAGAATGAAGAAAACTGGAAGAAAAATCAAACTGTAAAAATCAAACAATATACTAAATAAGAGAAAGCCAAGACTGTGAATTCTTAATCAGTTATTTCAATGGTACCTGGTATGGTAGCAAAAATATATTTTTGCTCACTTTTAGTGAAGAACATATAATCTAGGCTCATTTTGTAAAATCTAGGGAGAAACATAAAAAAAAACTTGTCAGTCAAAAATGAGGTAATGTCAAAGAAAAAAATGAAATAGCAGCTGTGAAAATCAAATAGACTCCCATATGCAGTTATTTGAAGGGAAAATGCCATGTGTTTTTATCCTTAAATGTATTTTCTTTGTTTTATGAATTTTAAGGTAATAATTTAATATTCTCCTAAATTAGGAATTAAGAGTAACACTTAGTTTAATTTGTGTCAACCTCTACTTAATTATGTATAGTGTAAGAAAAAACTCATTTATTTTTTTCTCAATATATAGCCAAATGGCACAATATGTGGCTGAAAAAACTTGTTGACTTTTTAGCTATGTACTTTTATGATGAAGAAACTGGGCTGAATGTAAAATAATGCCACTAAATATGCTGCAGAGATATCACATTTATTTCAATTTTTTGGTACTACGTGTAATGTTACAGTGTAACAAAAAAGTGTCCACTTTTTCTTTTTACAGTGAACAGAAAACTCATATTTTGGCTACTTTTCTTTCTTTGAAAACTTGGGTTTGAAAAGCTTAACTTCATGCTAAAAAAGACCGTATATTCTTAGAATAGCCTTTACTACTTTCCTTGTTTTTACTTGTATCACCTGCTTGTGACTTATTTGTTTTGCCAGCACTTATTAGTAAGTTGCAGGAACGTAGAACCTGATACGGCCATTTTTCAGCACTTTTTGCTTCTGCATAGGATGAGTTGGGGCCATTTGGGTAACCTGTGAAGCTCTGTAACAACAATTACTTCTTCACAACAAAACTCTTTTGATCTCTGTAAAATATTAGATTGCTTTAGAATTCCACCATCCCTGAAGAAGCTGATGCATAAGTGGGTGATAGTGAATATCAAGAAATAAGAATAGAAAAAAAAAACGTAAAATGCCATGTAAGCATGAATATAACCTATTCAGAAATAATCTATATGAGATCATTTTATCTGTGAAGTTTAGAAAACATATAATATTTTAGTTAGTTTTCCTATATAAAAATAATTGCATAATTAGTGCAGTAAGAATATTCCTATTCTGTCATGAATCTACTAAATGAATCTTTGAACTCTTTATTCTTGTGAATGCTGGCCTTATGAATCATGACCCCAAGTCACAAAAAATACATGAGTAAAAGAGTCCCATTTGGTAGCTCACAGGTTGCCACCCATAGAGTTAACATCAAAGAGTGTTCAGGGCCAGACATCACACATATAAATATTTTTCCAAAGTTATACAAGTTCCCAAATAACAACTTGTTAAGTCTCCTTCCACCAGTCCATCTTTCTAATACAATGGTACTCTTTGCTCTTTTTCTTATTTATTCATAACATTGTTCTCATAAAAATATCTTATTCCATAAAATTCTGAAATATTCCAAATTCTAGGTTTTATATACCTGAAGGAGACACTTACTTTACCTTCCTATCTGTCTATTTTAGGAGCAAGTCCAGATTTGGTGGGTCTTGAAATACAGGGGTTACTTTGAAAAAAAAAAAAACAGAATATGAGGGAAAAATGGGTATTTATTTGAAAGAGAAAAAAATGATTCACAAGTTTTACAAAACTAACCACAAGCATTTTCAAATTTATAGAAGTAGATACTATTTTATTAGTAAATTACCTAATATACCACTATTTTTGCTATTAGTATTAGCTTAGAGATGAATATGTAAATTTTTTTAAGGGAACACTAATTTTGTGAGGTAATTTCTCTGCATTGTAGGTAACTTCTCTACAATTTTGACTGAGATTTCCAGATATCTTCAGGATAAAACGTATCAGGTACTGAACAACATGATCTGAAACAATGGACTGCTTAGAACATGTGGCAATACACATGTTGTTTGTTGTATTGTTACAGATTTTTTGCTGTAAAAAAACATAGGAATTCTGATAAATTCTATTTCCTGACATTCCCATTGACACAATTTAAGAGAATCTATATGTTTATAATTATGAAAACTGCATTATTTTTAAACAGAAAACAACATCTATGTTGTTGTTAAACAGAAAACATCTAGACATTGATGAAAACTGAATTATCATCTTAAAATTTGTGCTCTTAAATGAAGCAGTTTACAAATTACATTTTCTGGTTCTGTATCTTTCAAAAATTATTTCTCTCCCACTATGAGAAATTTTGGCTGTTCAGCATCTAGAACATGTTCAGTTCCTGTTTAGTCTACTAGCCTGTACCTTCCAATCATAACCCCAGAAGCTGGTAGAGTTGGTGATAGGAGTATACTATTCTCACTACAGTTGGTAGAGAGTAACATAATTGACTGTGAGCTATATACACATACTCCGTTATATAGCCTCAACTCAACTTCTTCTTTTAGATGGATCACCAAAATTCTATTACAAAAATAATATTAGACACAAAAGGAAGCAACTTTGAAGGATATCAGAGTGGAAATAAATTGTAATCTTAACCAAATGAAGTTTAAATATTTTACTTTAGCAAATATTACAAAAATCCAAGAACATGTGAACACATTGATAGGATACTTCTCAGGACCATAAAATAAGTTTGTGCAACAGGAGGATCCAGAGCTTAGGTCTCTAACTTCCCTGGAAATCACCTTCTATGAGCTTTTGTAAAAGTGAAATTAAAACAAAATCTAGAAACAAAACTGCTTTAAACAAACAAATAAACCCTGGTATGCAGAGTCTATTCATTAAAAGCCTTCTTACCTTGAAGACTTGTAGCAAGGCCTTGGAAAAGAGACTTTTTATTTTTTTTCCAAAAGTTTGAGGTATCTGACATTTTAATTAAAAATAATAATGTGATTATTAATTTAATGTAATATGTTGCACTACAAAATTAAAATCTTATAAAAATTTAACATAGTTACTATAATGAGGGGAATCCTATATCACAGAGATAAGATAATTGATTTCTCATCTAATCTATTCCTCCCATTAGGCCAGTGTCTTAGCATCCCTGCTAAAAATAGAGAAATACATGTATAAGAAAATAGCTAAACACCTTTTCCAGACATTCTTAGATATTCTCTAAGAATCCTCACTACCCTTATTTTTACAGTTTATAAAATTCTGGAAAGAAAATTAGTAAAGGGGTTGAGAAGTAAGAATTTGTCTACATAGGATACAGAGAGAAATATTTAAAAAATCAGGTAGCAATGGAAAGCGTTATGAAAAAGGAGTGAATGCTTAAGAAAGAACAGTTTTGGGTCAGGAACATAACTCAGTTCTAAATTGTCAAAGATAAAATAATGTATATCTATAGGCATATAACATGGGGGAAATTAAAAATAAAGTTAGATAAAGGTCTGTCTGTTAAAGTAGGTAGCAGTTCAGACATGAGCAAGACAAAAGAGTCCTCCCCAACCCCACCCAGTCTCAGGAATGTCAGGCCACTATCAAGTGATGGTCAAGCAGTTGTTAAACTGGCTCTCTAAAATAGAAATTGGTCACAGCTGGTGCCAGGAGAAAACAGTCTCCCAATAGATAGAAAGCACCTGGAGCTGGCGATCAGCCGCTTCCCAATAAGCACTCAGGAGCTGGGTGAGCAGGCTCAAGCATACGCACTAAGAGACAAAATAACAGAGTTTAATGGGTATAGGACCCTTCTCTGAGAATGCTCAATTGGTAAGAGAAAAGTGCTTCAAGTAAGGATGCATACAACTTCAGTAAATACACTGTGCATGCTGTCCCTTCCAAATGCTTGGAGGCCACTGCACATGTGGACAGCCTGCTCCAAGGGAAGAATTAGGGGGAAAAAAATGCAAACCTTGGAACCATGCCAATGTATAAAAAATCCCCAATTCAAGGGCTGGACAGGACTTGGATCTCTCAAGTCCCACCCTTGGCTCTCTTACAAGTGTACTTTACTTCCTTTCATTTCTCCTCTAAAACGTTTTCATAAACTTTCACTCCTGCCCTAAAACTTGCCTCGGTCTCTCCCTCTGCCTTATACCCCTTGGCTGAATTCCTCCCTCCAAGGAGACAAGAATTGAGTTGCTACAGACTCGTACAGATTCACCACGGGTAGTATGTTGACTACAGTGAGACAATACAGGGAGGGAGGGCTGAGATCTTTAACTAGATCTTCTAGCTGGGAGATGGGTTAGATTTGAGAATGGGATAGCAGAGCCTACCTCAGGTTGTATAAATGGCTACAAAGTGTGGTACCCAAGAGGTATGATGACACGTGAGAGATGAACTCCCAGTAATATAAATGATATTAGGGCTCTCTTATGTGACTACAGATTTCTCAATAAATAAACAAAACAGGAAACCAGGTACTAATTATATGCAGTGATCTACCAGACCATTGAGTCAATAGTGGTAAAAGTGTCAGCAAGTGGTAGGTTCCAGTTTCTGAGCCTGAAATAAGATTTTAAGAGATCCATCAAAAAGTGAATAAAAAGGTCATACCTGGGAGTTGGATAGTAGCCTGCTTATCATGATATTTATGACAGAGATCTACTTGTCAAAATCAATTATAATGCAAAGACAAAAATCTCAAATGTCTACTTGAACTCCAATTATCAGACTTTCAGGAGAGGCACAGAATAAATAACAGAATGCTATTCTTGACTTTCTCACGGTAGTTCCCCAGTGCTTCCAAAACAGTCTTCCTGAGGGTAAATCCTGACCATACAATTCTCTAGCTACATAGTATTGGGCAAGTGCTTAATGTCTCTGTATTTGTTTCTTTTATTAGTAAGATGACGATCACAATGGTAACTGGGTTCTTGTGAGGACTAAATGAGATTATGTATATAAAGCATTAAGACAGTGTAAGACAGTATGTGACACTTTGTAAACATCACTGAATGCTTGTTTTTGTTGTTTCTCTTTCAGAATGTTTCTCTTGTTATTATCATTATAAACTTAACTCCCTGAAAAAGAGAATATACCTGACCTTGACCAGTGACTAGCTCAAGGGGAGAATGACATTGTTTGGCAGAGACAGAGAGAGAGAGAGAAAGAGAGACAGAGAGCCAGAGAGAGAGAAAGAGAGACTTAGTGAAGCCAGGCTCCAAGCCGAAACTTGTCTCCAGGCAGGAAACTAAGGGGGTGCTGTGCCCAGGAAGAGAACTTAGAGAAGTGAGGCTTGGGTAAGCTCTTCTTTTGAAAAAAATATGTTAATGCCTACCAGCTTTTTAGTGATTTCTTATCTCAAGCACTAATCTAATTGATTCAAATATATTTAGATCTTCAGACCAGCTCTGGGGAAAAGGCATTCAGATGTTACTGAGTTTCAGTTATGCCTGAGCATGAGTGGAGGAAGTCAATGATGCCAGGAAATAGAGTGGGGAAAATCAAGACTAAACTGGCACAATTACTCCAAGTAGGGGTGCCAAGTTTGCAAATAAGTTCTGCCTTTTGTAACATTTGAACTTAAGAAAGATATGATGATCACAGTTAAACTCCACCAGTTCAAACTCTGTCTCCGCTTCTTAGCGGCTCTGTGACCTAGGACAAGTTATACAACCTCTCTAAACCTTAGTGTGTAAAACGGACCTGATAAAGGTACCATTCTCACAGGTTTATTACAAGGATTAAATTCATTTAATCCTCATATTTAAAACAGGATCAAGCACATAGTAAATTCTGTGTAATTCTACCTCATACTTTGTTTATCAAGAATGATTTTTGCCTATGACAATGATTTCCCTACTTTTGAAATTCAAAGACTGATAAAATTCCCGAAAAGTATATTTAGTCATCAGTGTAAGTTTCAAATTTTTTTTTTATTTTGTCACACAAGGGCATTTAAAAATCAATGATCATTTTATGCATATGTCATTTTATACATAAGGACATTTTAAATCAAAATGTTAGGGACCTAAAACTACAGTAAGAACAGATATCTCTACATAAAGATTTTTGTTTAAAACAGACCAAATTTAGCTGCATGGACAACTCTGTAGTGTAATGTTTTTCTTCTCTTTCCTAATAATATCTCAGACACTTAAAATCTTAATCATAATTCATTTTATGTGGCACAACACTGCTGGTCGCCTTGGGGCACCAGTGACCAAGTTGTCTTTGGGTAACCAGTGGTCAAATGATTGCTAAAATTATGCTGGAAAGTTTCAAATATAAATTTTCAATGTTAACAAGCAACTCTCGGGGAAGCAGCATGAGCAGGGTCAAACCTTTAACATAAAATGTTGAAGGGCAGTCATGAGGTGAGAAAGTTAAAGCATAGGTAAGTTAATAAAAATTATATAGTATTCACCTAAAAGTGGCTGAATTTTGGAAATCGCTGTTCTCATTAGCACTGGACAATTTCTACTGCCAACAGAAATAGACGCAAGCATGAGAGAAAACAAACTCCTAAGAATTAGTAGGTATTCCCTTTATAAATAACAGATGTGAAGCTATTTAGGTGGGCTGCAGAGAAGAGATTGAACGGTGTGGCAAATGCAGATGAATTTTGAACAGATATACTTACACATTTAGAATAAAAACACAGTAAGAGAGTGATCTTAAAAGATGCATTTGCTGGGATGTTTAACTGTACGAATGGGGGACAGGGTCTTCTGAGGACATATTTAAGGTGGCTTTTTTATTGTATTCTATTACTGGCATGGAAGTATCCCAAAGATAGCTATGAATTGCTTATGTCATGGCACTGCCTTGTGAGCAACATGCTCCAAGCACTAGTTGTCACTACAGTGACTTGGAGAATATGACCTAGAGAAGAAAATGTTAGAAACTGCCACAATCCACTACAAATGATAAAGTAAGCAACTTAGCCAATTTTTTTTTTTTTGCAGAGTTCACTTTTTCCTTCAAATTCTATCAAAAGCATGACTACAAATGCCTTATAAGATATCCATTCACAGTATTTTACTGCATACTGAAAATATAGCTTAAGATAGAATTTCCCCATCTCAGTAATTGCCAGCATGTTTGGCTTACTCAGTCCTTCAAGAAAGAAGAGTGAAATGATTTCGTAAATTTGAGAGGAATGATTACAACACTATATAAGAGTGTCAATCAAGCATGATACTCCTCATTTCTAGTTCAACTAAATATAGGATAATCTAATAATGCTTTGATGCTTCTTCAAAAATATCTGGGAGTAGGTAAGGAAGGACATTAGGTGGCCAAGACTCACAATTAAATTTCTTAGGAAACTATTTATTTATTCATTCAACAAGCATGTATTATCTCTACCATAAATAACATAAATAATTGTTGTTGTAGCACTAATGACACATTAGTGAACACAGCATAATCTCTGTCCTGAAATATTTCTTAGTTTATGATATTTCATGGGAAAACCATGACAAGAAGTCATTTATCATGATCAATGAAATGACTGAGGCATAACCCAGATGCTGCAGGAGTGGAATGAGTAGATTCCCAAGTAGGCTTTGTTGGGCGGGCAGTTACAGAGATTTCTAGGAGGAGAATGTTTGATATTAGTAACAGTGTGGGAGAGGAGTAAATGTTCACCTTGTCATAGCCAGAAGACATAGCACATGCAGAGGAACAGTGGGAAGAACATGTGGTATCTGCAGGTTTGCAGGGTCACGCTAACATTTCAGTGTGCTGTGTGAGGAGGGTGTATGTGGGGTAGAGGTAAGAGATGAGAAGAGATAGTAATTAGGCAGGTGCAAGATCATGAAGAGCTAAGGACTTTAACGTTGGTTTTTAGTTGCAGGTAGTCACTTGCCATGCCCCTAGAATTCATCTCAGCATCAATCTGTAATGTGCAAAGTGCTTTTCAAAAGAAAAACAGATAAATTTGGTTTTCTCGATGGCAGCTTTGGTAAGAAAGTTGGCTTTGGAAGTTATGTAAGGTTAAGTTAAGGATGGGCCCTAGAAACTGTGACAAGAGGCCAGGATCCTAGGAGAAAAGGCAGCCAATTAGTGACCCAACAATTAGACAACTCTCTCCCATAGAGAAAACTTGGATAGATATGGAA
Organism: Homo sapiens; assembly: GCF_000001405.40. Classification (NCBI taxonomy): domain Eukaryota; kingdom Metazoa; phylum Chordata; class Mammalia; order Primates; family Hominidae; genus Homo; species Homo sapiens. Next base: position 24,685,061 of record NC_000011.10, on the reverse strand, counting down.
AACACACACACACACACACACACACACACACACACAGAGCAAAATACAGTAAGTGGTGACACTTTAAGAGAAGCACATAAGCATCCACTTTAAGAGAAACACATAAGCATCCAAAATGAGGGAAAACACTCCCAGCTACCGAAATCCAGGAAGGCTGCATGGAGGTAACTTTTAAGAATAACTATTGCTTTATGTTAGCCCTGATACAGGATCTGATATGAATCATTTGAGTGGTGATCCCATAAATTCCTAGTTGGGGAGCTGGGAAGTGAGACAGGAAGAAAAAGGAAACCAATTAAGTTGACTTAAGGAGAAGATTGACATTGTGAGCAAATGGAGAGCAAGACAGCTGGAGACCTCCACTGGCTGGCAAAGCAGGCACTTCAGAGTTGTCCTCCCATAAGGGCAAGAAAACCAGGATACTTTTCCCTCCAATTTCTATCTGTTATTGATTGAGCACCGTTCCTTTGGTTCCTATGGCTTCAGCTCCCTGAAGCTTACAGCACACCATCAGCGTGCATTTGAATCATGAGTGCTCAGGGCACAGAAGAAACATTATCTGCCACAGCCACAAAAATTGGATTAGTCCTAAGAAACCAGAGGCAGAAATCTGTAGGACAGAAGGAACACTACAAGCAAATGCACATCCATGAAAGAGCTTGGGAGAAACCAGGGAAATATGTAAATTAGTTGTTGTGAAGGCTAAAGGAAGTAAAGGGAAGTTCAGATGAAATAGGATTGAAAAATGATCATCTAGAGGCCTAGGTTAAAAAGTTTATTTTTTTTCCTATGGGCAATTAGGATCAAAAGATAGTTTTGAGCAGTAGAGTGATGCAAACAAATTAAATATTCATAAAGCTCAGACTGATGATCAGGTGATGAATTTAATACAAGGAAAAGGGGTCTGATTGGGAGGCCTATTAGAAGGCTATTGAAAACATTATAAAGAGAAGTTTTGAAGATTGGACCTGAGATTGAAGCAGTAGAAATTGAGGGGAGGAGAACAAAGGAGAGGTATTATACAGGTATATTTCACAAGGTTTGACTAATATTTTGATATAGAACATATATCAGGCAAAATAAATGATTGCTATGTGAGTCTGTCCCCCGAGATCAAGAGGTCAGTATGGGATCTTACATACTTATTGGAGGTAACAATAAAGGGATGGTGGGTTCTGTTTTGGTTTTCTGTGTTTGCAATGCCAGTTGAACCTTCAGACAAACAGCATGAACTGAGATTTATCATAATAGACCTATTAAAGGAAGTGAGATGAGTCAGCTTAGGGGCAGTGGTAAGTGCAAGAGGCACTCCTGCTGAGTAGGTGATGTGTAGGTGCCATTGAAGAGAAATATAAATTATGTCCATGAGGTCAAATAAACCAAATCTCCTTAGTTAAAGGCAAATGTCTCTAATGAATGAATTGATGGATTAATGAGTATCATGATTAAATATGCTATGTAAAGTATGGTATGGAAGCTATCATCTAATTTTGAAGACTGATGTAAAAAGAGAAGAAAAATAAATTATGCAAATTTAAGAATCTATATTAATGACATCTTAAAATTATTACCACTAAAAGTGAGTAGAAATGAATGTTGAAATATAAAGTGAAATTAGATGAACATGTTTTCAGTAAATTGTCAGATTATCAGAGGAGTTTCAGGAAATCAACACTCCTAAATAAAGAAGCCCCCTAAATCAGTCAAGCTGATCTTCTGTACTACCTACTGATATGTGACAAGAATCGTGTCATTAATTCAACTCCAAAATAATCCTTTAAGTACTCACAGTCTTTAATTTAGTCTTTGCTCAAGAAGTTTAGAAATGACTAAAAAATGTAGTGAAATGAAGCAGCATAAGGTTCAACACTTCTCTTTGTCTAGCCTGCCGGCCTGTCTTCCAATAAGTGAAGACAATTCTGTAAATATTGGTTACAAAACCAAAAAAGGAAAACTGAAAAGCTTGGAAAGATCTTTAATCTGCCATCTCCTGAGTAGTTAAGAGCTGATATGATGTTCAATGAGAGCACATATTTGGCTTTCCCACAATCACTAACATTCTCTTTTTTTTCTTTGAGACAGCCTCACTCTGTCGCCCAAGCTGATCTCGGCTCACTGCAACCTCTGCCTCCTGAGTTCAAGTGATTCTCCTGCCGCAGCCTCCCGAGTAGCAGGGACTAGAGGCACGCGCCATCACGCCCAGCTAATTTTTGTCTTTTTAGTAGAGATGGGGTTTCACCATGTTGGCCAGGATGGTCTCGATCTCTTGATCTCGTGATCCACCTGCCTTGGCCTCCCAACGTGCTGGGATTACAGGCATGAGTCACTGCACCTGGCCACTAACATTATTATTCTTAGTTCTTAGTCATCAACACCTTCCTTAATATGGATTTAAAATATATGTGTATGTGTGTGTGTGTATATATATGTGTATATATATATATACACATACACATATATATACACACACACACATATATATATATAAATTCAGTAGGGTTCAGTGTGTATATATACATATACACACTGAACCTACTGAATTTGCATTTTTGCATTTTTTTTTTTCCAAGGTGGAGTCTTGCTCTGTAACCCAGGCTGGAGTGCAGTGGCACGATCTCAGCTCACTGCAACCTTTGCCTCCCAGGTCCAAGCCATTCTCCTGCCTCAGCCTCCCGAGTAGCTAGGATTACAGACACTTGCCACCGTAGCCGGCTAATTTTTGCATTTTTAATAGAGACACTGTTTCAGCATGTTGGCCAGGCTGGTCTCACACTCCTGTCCTCAAGTGATTTGCCCACCTAGGTCTCCCAAAGTGCTGGGATTACAGGTGTGAGCCATGGCACCCAGCCTTGCTCTACTCTTTTAACATATAATGTATTAGTTGCACAGTCTTTACCACATTTACAGTAAAAGTTGATGAAGGTGGAATATCTTAGAACTATTTTCAATCGTCATTAACTCAAGACTGTTTTTCAGATGTGCTGAGATAGACACCTTTGCTTATTCTGAGATAAACTTTTTAAAATGTTATGTAGATAAGGAAAATCAATGGAAATAATTTGTGATAGTATAAGAACTCTTCTTTCTGGCTAAAGAAAACCCACAAATGTTTCTGCATGCATGTAGATGTTTTGCATTTTAACCAAAGTACCTGTTAGCATGGGGTGATTTTTTTTATTTCAAAAATGCAATTTATTCCTGGAAAAATGCCATAAAATCCAATTAAATTAGATTTGTGATGCTTGCTGAACTAATGTAAATAGTGTATAGTACAAAATAAATTGAATTTTGAAGAGAGAAAAGTGAAGTTTATAACATTTCATATTAATGTAAGCATTGAAAATATCCAGTCTATTAATTCAAGATGTGTTAAAAATGAAGCTAATTATCCTTAGTGTAAACTAGATAGCTCATTTCTTTATGATGAAGGAAAGACATCGATAAATCCAAAATACATTTAAGACTACAATTAGAACAGATATGTTAGATAATTTACCAATATGTGATACTGAAAATCTAATATCTATTTCGTTCCTACCACTGTCTCCTATGCATGAGGAAAGAAAGGTAAGGACATTATAAATAGAAACTATAGGAGCCATAAGGGTGAGAATTCCTTAGATTTGAAAAGCTCAAAAGAAAGATCTCCTCTTACACTTATAACTTGAGTAATTATTAACCTCCTAAGTCTTTCTTAGAATGTCTCTATGAATGAATGTCTGAGAAGGCTCCCAAGATCACAGAACGTTAGAAACATGGTCTTAGAGAAATAAGGAAATTAGGCCGGGCGCGGTGGCTCACACCTGTAATCCCAGCACTTTGGGAGGCCGAGGCGGGTGGATCATGAGGTCAGGAGATCGAGACCATCCTGGCTAACAAGGTGAAACCCCGTCTCTACTAAAAATACAAAAAATTAGCTGGGCGCGGTGGCGGGCGCCTGTAGTCCCAACTACTCGGGAGGCTGAGGCAGGAGAATGGCGTGAACCCGGGAAGCGGAGCTTGCAGTGAGCCGAGATTGCGCCACTGCAGTCCGCAGTCCGGCCTGGGCGACAGAGCGAGACTCCGTCTCAAAAAAAAAAAAAAAAAAATAAAGAAAGAAATTAAAGACTCATAAAGAGTGTTCAAGTTCAGCTCCTTTATTTTTCATGACAGTTGTTGTTACAGCAGTCCAAAGTTTGAGAAGCATTTTTACAAGTGGAAAACGTATGGACTTTGAAGTCAGGTAGATTATCCGTTGACCTTGAGCAAGTTAATTGCATTTAGATTCTGAGCCTTGATTCCTATATGTATAAAATGAATATAATAATATATTTCGTAAGGAATTTGTTAGTAGTATTTCGGATCAGGTGTATGAATTTTCTGGCCAGTCATTATAATTGTGTTGAACATAAAGGACTGTTATTACTGGCCCCACACCAAAATTTTTCCTGCTAATTATCTCCAATCACAATGAAGAAATCTAACTCATCAATTCTGCAGACAGAAAATAGAGGAACTGAAGATCTTTCTCTCATTCCCTGTATGACATTGAGACACCTACCTTCAGTGCATTGATCATTTCTTTCCACTTGTAGGAAATGAAGTGGTTAAAGGAACACTGGGACACTGAGAAGTCTGGGTTGGATTAGACAAAGCCTTCCCACTGAGGAAGCACATTCAGGGTACTGTTAATCGTGCTTTGTGGAGAGGACCTAGGGCAATCTTTTATAAAAATGTAAAACCCTTCTGACATGTTTGCCATCTAAGCAAGTCTAGTGCTGCTACAGAAGCAGCACAGGGAAGCTGGGAGCAACTTTACAAAGTGTGAAAGTAATGAGCCTTGCTCCTTTTCTGCCAGAAGGACATTAGCAACTCTGTGCCTTTCTTTTTGCATGCCTGAAGGGGAGAATTTACACTGGCCACTATTCTCCTTTTATTTTCTTTTATAGTTTTTATTTTTTCTTTCCCTTAGCTTTTGTCCTTTTCTCCTTGCTCCTCCACTACCAGTAAAGCGGTATGAATTGATCACCTACTGTTTGTAAATGCCAATGTCTACAAAGAATGGGGATGTTAATTTCCCTTTTCTCCTGTCAGCATCTTCTGGGAGAAGGCAGGGTATCCAAGGAATAGCACTTCATCGCTCAGCACAGTGAGCAGCAATCCATTCATTCAATAGTTATCCAGTGAGTGTATATTATGAGTATGTAACAGCAAATAAGGCAGACACAATTCCTATAGCTAGGAATTTATATTCTGGTGGCAGATACAACTGAACTAAGGATTGAAGTCTTAGTAGGTAAGGATTATGGTGAGTAATTACAGGTCCCAACAGGAAGACATTGGAGAGAAACCTATATTTCGCACTTTTCTTACAAGTCCCATGATTTTCTTAAAGGTAGGGGACAAATTCTAACTATTGTGTCACTTGAAAAGGAATGAGAATGATAATATTGGAAAAGTTAAATATTAATCTTACCATATCTTTTAAAAATAAAGGATTTTTAAAATAGTTAATTTAAAAAATCTTAAAATGGAAGCAATAGAAAGTAAAGTGTAACTCCAAAAAGGAAAACACTGCTGTGGTTTTATTCAACAATTTGTACCTAGCTTAGTGTCTGTCATACAGTAAGGTCTAGTTAATATTCTTTAAATAAACAATAAATAAAATAAAAATAATTAAGAAAATATACTGAAATTTTTACATTTTCATATCTCAGTTCTATGGTGTTTTGTGAAATGTAACTTCTCTACATTATTATTGTTTTTATCACTTGAAGTAACCATGTGTTGAATACCTAACATGTCATGAAAAATTTTAACACATTATGAGAAAGGTATGCTCTAATATTTGAGTAAATAAAGCAATAAAGATCAGAGTTGAGATATGAGCTCTTATCTATTTGACACTGATGAGGCTCACTGTATTCCTATGACATAAGGTTTCTTTAAGGAACTACCTGAATTCTTTCTACACATATTTTACTTTATGACCCAGTGAAAATAAACCTGCTTAGCAGTGGCCGTCTCCATATAAGCTTACTGACAATGTTATTATAATCAGAAGTTAGAAATGAAAAATACCTCTCACAACTCATTTCCTAGCTAGAGGACATAACACTTAGTCTAAATGCCAAGGATTGTTCTCTTGCGGTGCAGGCTTGGATGCCTGGACGCAGCACTATATCTTATTTTGCAGAAAATAACCTTTCAAGGAAGAATAAATGCTTCTCAATGATTATATGAACTCTCTTACAAATAAATTCACCTCTCATTTGTCAAGCTTAAATTAACATTGGGCGACGTGCTGTGCTTTCCAGAGGGACTGAAAGTCATGCCTTTGAGACAACCTTGTTCTCTTCTGATACATTCCAAAGTTAATAGGCATGTATTAAAGTGAGAATCTACCTAAGGACCTGCTTTAATGTCAGATACCTGGGATATTTTTCTTAAAAGTAAATTATGTCTAAAATTGAAGGCTGCTATTGAGTAGCTTAGAAGTAGTTGGGAACATAAAACACAAGACACAATCTCAGTTTTTTTTTTCTTTTAATATTTTTTCCTTCTTTTCACAGGTGTTTAATTCAGAGTGTCAAATTAAATATTTGATTTAGGACACTTATAACAAGCACACTGGGAATACAGCAAAAGGGAGAGACTAAGGAAATGCTATACAAGGATGTGGAAATTCTGCTGGGGTTTGTGGCCCATCCTTGCATAGCAGAAAGGTTTGGATTGAAATTCCCAGGGTTGATTTATCATCACCTAATGGTGTAAATTAGATATGCATTCTTTTATTCATTCCTTTCATTCATTCATCCACAGATAATACAAAAACGTATTGAATGGTTACTATGGGCCATTGATTGTCCTGGACACTGGATACATTTTAGTGATTAAAATACCCAGTATGATCCTTGCCTTTATGGAGTTAGCAATGGTCAAATAAAAAAAGTCAAAAACAACAAAAAATAATACACATAGCTACGTAGTAATCACCCCCCCCCCCCTTTCTCCTTTCCTCCCTTTTCTTTCTTTCTTTCTTTTTTTTGACGGAGTCTCGCTCTGTCGCCCAGGCTGGAGTGCAGTGGCACTATCTTGGCTCACTGCAAGCTCCACCTCCCAGGTTCACGCCATTCTCTTGCCTCAGCCTCCCGAGTAGCTGGGACTACAGGCGCCCGCCACCATGCCCGGCTAATTTTTTGTATTTTTAGTAGAGACGGGGTTTCATCATGGTATCGATCTCCTGACCTCGTGATCGGCCCGCCTCGGCCTCCCAAAGTGCTGGGATTACAGGTGCGAGCCACCACACCCCGCCCTCTCTCTGTCTTTCTCTATTTCTCTCTTTAGATAGAGACAAAGATATACACACATATGTATGAATGCATGTAACATGAACATGTTCATATATATTTACAAATTGTGATAAATAATTTAAAGAAAATGAATAAAGAACAATGAGAAAAAGATAGATATAGACAGACCTACCTAGAATGGTCAGGAAAGACGTTGCAGAAAAGTGACATAAGGAATCTTAAAGAATATAAAAATGCCTAATTTGCAAAGAGCAGGGGCTTTGGAATTCCTGATAGAGAAGAATATGTGAAAAGCTCTGAGATCAGAACAATCTTGAGTGTTCAAGGACATTAAAAGATCTACCATACCTACACGAAGACAGAAGTAGCACAAGATGAGTTGGAAGGTCAGACAAGAACAGAGTCATGCAGGCTTTATAAGCACAGGAAAATTATTGGTACTTTATTATTGTTTCATAATTATTCTTTTATTATAAGGGCAAAAATGTTAATGTAGAGAGAAATTTATGATTTCAAAGATTTTGATGGATTATAAGTGAAGAATAGTTCCGAGAAAATAGAATGGAAGCATGAGGGCGGCTGTTACAATAGTGCCAGGCAGCTACAGGTGGAGATTTTCATAACAATTGTCAAAGTGGAAATAGACAAAAAATGATATATATTTGATATATACATTAGGAGGCAGAAAAGGTAAAGCTACACATTTTATTAGTCCCTTGCTTATATTCACCATGAAATTTTTTAATGTTATTATTTAGAATTTTTTGTGGAATTACAAGTTCTGTAAAAGCTATGAGAGGCTTGGCCGGACATGGTGGCTCACGCCTGTAATTCCAGAACTTTTGGAGGCCTAGGAGGGCTGATCACCTGAGTTCAGGAGTTCGAAACCAGCCTAGCCAACATGGAGAAACCCCGTCTCTACTAAAAATATAAAAAACATTAGCCAGACATGATGGTGAGTGACTGTAGTCTCAGCTACTTGGGAGGCTGAGGCAGGAGATTCACTTGTACCTGGGAAGAGGAGGCTGTGGTGAGCCAAGATCACACCACTGCACTCCAGCCTGGGTGACAGAGCAAGACTCTGTCTCAAAAACAAACAAAAAAAAAACAAACAAAAACAAAAATAAATTATGAGAGGCTTAATCAAGGATATTAGTATCTCGCATACCACTAAGAAAAGTTTAGTGCCATTTCTGCATTAAGTAAAAATTATCTGATCCTATTTGTAACAGACAGTTTTATTCACTTTTTTCTCACTTTTCTCATTTTAATTTATGTTACAATCTCTGGATTGCTACACTTTAATGATAGTGTTAAACAGCTTTTATTGGAGGCATTTGGATTATATTCTAACTAATGCTTTGAGATTTGGAGAAGAAATTTGTAAAAATACCTGCTGAAGGAGAGTATCTTCAATTAACCGTGTATATATTATTTATTTGATTTTTCCGAAGCTACATCAATGGAGTCATTTGGGCTTTATAGAAAGAATTTCAGCCTATAAAAATTACCTGTCTTTTAAAGCTCTTTCATGATCTAATATTATTTCATGGATTTCTAATCTTCTCTTTCAATTATGCCACATAAGATAAGGAAGAGTAAAATCTGCCATTAGCATTGTGTTGATTTTTCTGTGCTTTAAGAAATGTGAGGCTAGGCATGGTGGCTCACTCCTGTAATCATAGCACTTTGGGAGGCTGAGGTGGGCAGATCACTTGAGGTTAGGAGTTCGAGACTAGCCTGACCAACATGGTGAAACTCCGTCTCTACTAAAAATACAAAAATTAGCCAGGTGTTGTGGCACACACCTGTAATCCCAGATGCTCAGGAAGCTGAGGCATGAGAATCACTTCAACCCGGGAGGGGGAGGTTGCAGTGAGCCGAGATCGCACCACTGTACTCCAGCCTGGGCAACAGAGCGAGACTCTGTCTCAAAAATAAATAAATAAATAAATAAATAAATAAATAAATAAATAAATATAAAAAAAAGAAATATGAAAACTAATTAGGAGATTTGTAGGGCAGACATATTAATAGTAATAATAAGGACCAATCAGGTTTTTCTTGAATGTATCATTCAAATAGTGAAATTGTTTTTTCTTATTGTTACCACTGATGTTCACTAGAGTATTAATACAGCAATTTTTATTCAAATGTAGAGCTTACTTTATTCAAATGTACAGCAAATTTTATTCAAATATAGAGGTTGAGTAAAGAAATAATATTCCATTTTTAACCATGACAGTTCTATTTTGAAAGTACTCTATGGCAAGCTAATTTTCTGCTGAGCAGTTCTGCACTTACAAACACTGCATAATGTGAAAACTCTAAAATTTAACAAATAAGCAAAAATTTGACCATCTAATTTGTACCAATAACCCAACATCATCTATGTTCTCTAAAATTTCTATAAAAATTCTCAAGGAAATTGAGATTTTTCTGTTCCCTTAATAGCAAACAGATTTTTAAAGCATCCTACTGCAAAGTTCAGAAATGCCAAATGTGTTTGATTCTGTATGTCTGTTAGGAAAATGGGATCTAATTTTCCCCTAGATGTTGGTCCATGGCTTAAAATTAGTGTTCAAACAACCCAATTCCACTTCAAGGGGTTCATTGATTTATCTCATACCTGAACCACACTCTAATTTTCTAAACTTCAACGTCACATCTACTGTAAAGATAGGACTGTATCACAATTTCTAACTTTAAGGAGGCAGATTTCAAAAGATTGGCTAACTGCCTAGAAACTAGTTTAAAAGTACAGTCAGGCCACGATATATGTGCTACACAAACAACATTTCTAGGTAAAAACTGAGTTCAGATTTTTAAGTTAAAATTGCAATATTATAGTTTCCTTGCACATTGGGAAAAAGGGAAGACTATCTAAAATTTCTGAAATTCCTCTTATCCAACCCCATCTGTGGGGAAAAGGCATAAGAGGAAATGCCATTTCATATTACATATGGAATTGTTAAATGCGCAGGGAGCAGGCAGGAGAGGGAGAAAAGGGGAAGAAGGAGAAACAAAGATGCAGATAGGAAATCTCACAGACTTTTTTTTTCTTCTCTGTGTCCATGGGCAGTAGCATTTTGTTGTTTAGGAATACAGGGGAATAAAGTTTGGGACAAAGGTTGCATATAAGCATGTGACCTTCTTTAAATATGAACTAAATAAGATAATAGAGGGGAAGAAATGTCACCGTCCATATCTTAAATTAGTGGGAAAACAAAGATCATAGCAATCACCATGACTTCCCATTTACTTTAGAGCTTTTTCCTTCACCTTATTTTTGTGTCATTGGTTGTTGTTATTCTCCTGGTGATTCCCAGTAAAGTGACAAAATGAAAAGGTGGGACACTTGTCTGGAAAAGCTTCATAGAAGGAGAAAATCAAGTTACCGTATTTCATCCTGTAACCAGAACATAAAAGTACCCAAAGGATGAAAGAGATGTCGGGGCTAGCAGAAGGTCACAGGCTGTCTCCTGAAAGTGGCAAAGGGAAATAAAAGTGGAACCAGAGAGCCTGGACACATGACAGGCATTTGAACTGAGAAAAGGTCAAGTAGATTTCAAGAGGCCCATGGTAAAATGAGTCTACTAATTCCCACTCTACAGTTATTATAAAGATTAAAAATATGTAGAAAACAATGTCCAGGACAGTAACCAATACATAGTAAGTTAATGATAAATGGCAGTTCTCATCCCTAAATTATCTTATAAACTGTGGCTGTATAAAAAATAGTTTCATTAATTGAAAGATGATTAGCAATGTTAAATACTTCAGAATTCAAAACACAGAGGCACTCAAGGGATTTATCAATTTGAAGTTCAATGGCAATGTTGATGAGAAATGTCAGTACTAACATAGTCATAGAAAACAAATTTAGATGGTTTAGGAAGTGAATATGTGTTAAGAAAGTGAGAACAATAAAATAATCCTAGATTTCAAGAACCTTTGCTTTAAAAAGAAAGAGCTAATGCCTTGCCCTCAACTGTGGGCAATTTTGCCCTACAGGGGACATTTGGTAATGTCTAAATCATTTTTGATGCAGCTGACCATGTGTACATGTCATATCTGTTAAACATCCAACAATGCACTGGACAGGCTCCCCCAACAAATAATTATCTGGCCCAATGTCAATATTGCTGAATTTGGAAACCCTGAGCTAAAACATTCAAGACAGGGTTTCTCAATTTCAGGAAGAAAAGAAAACGGAGGTGTCTTCTAAATTACAAATACAGAAGAGAGAAAGTTTAGCTGAAGAAACAAATCAAAGTATAAATCTCTTAACACCCATGACCACCCCTGCACCCTGCAAGGACCATCTAGGGCCCTTCTAGAACCAGATGTAAGGACTAAAGCTGGTGTAGAGAAGGGACATGGACTGGTTTCTGAAGCCACATTGGACTTCATGAAATCAAAAATAGGATATATAGGATATATAGTCGTGTACCACATGACATTTTTGTCAACAAGAGACCAGATATAACCAGATATATGACAGTGCTTCCATAATATTATAATACTGTATTTCTACTCTACCTTTTCTATGCTTATATTCACAAATACTTATCATCATGTTACAATTGCCTAAAGCAGTGGTCCCCAACCTTTTTGGCACCAGGGATTGGTTTCATGGAAGACAATTTTTCCATGGATGGAGGAAGGGTGGGGGTGGTGTTATGTTGGGAGGATGGTTTTGGTATTAAACTGTACCACCTTAGATCAGCAGGTGTGAGATTCTTATAGGGAGCACACAACTTAGATCCCTTGCATGTGCCATTCACAATAGGGTTCAGGCTCTTATGAGTATCTAATGCCACGGCTGATTTGACGGGAGACAGAGCTCAGGCAATAATTCTCACTCGCCCACTGCTCACCTCCTGCTTTGCAGCCTGGTTCCTAACAGGCCACGGATTGGTACTGGTCTGTGGTCCAGGGACTGGGGACCCCTGACGTAAAGTATTCAATAAAGCAATGTGCTGTACAGGTTTGTAGCCTAGGAGGCATAGGATATACCATATAGCTTAGGTGTGTAGTTGACTATACCTTCTAGGTGTGTGTAAGTACAGTCTATGATTTTTGCACAAGGACGAAATCCCATGACAATGCATTTCTCAGAATATATCCTTGTAGCTAAAGATGCATGACCATATTTCAATGAACACAGAAAGCAAAGACAGTAGTTTTTTATTTTTAATGGTATCTAGTGGGGTTTTCAATGGAATCTTGGAGAATGCGCTTCATCTTAAGGAGACTTATCTCAAAAATGTTTTCTGAGTTGTTGAATTTATACAATTAAATACAATGAATTAAATATAGTAGCATATGTTAATGTATACAGTAATTTTGTAATAAATATAAATTATCTTGTCCAAAGGTGAAAGTTAATTTATTGTGGCTTTCCCAAAATAATAGCAAATAAACTAAATACACAAAAATTACAATTTTAAGTATCTTTTGATGTTTAGTACCATATTGTACTCAGGGAGACTAATTTTACAATACTGGTCAATTTGTAACTACTCTCAAAGAAACTAAATGTTTCAGTAGAAAATCTACTTCAGTAAGCAAGCAAAATTTGAGATCATAACACAATTCCAAATATATAATAATATAAGTATTTCCTAGCACTGTGTAAGTGGGTTCAATACTTGTATAGAACTAAATTGTACAGCATGTAATAAATCAAACACCATGAGAGACATCTCTCAGTTACAAATGCAGCTGTTCTGGAATGTATTTTGCCAAAAAGCCCATTCCCTCACTACATTTATTGTCAGTCTATTAATAAGCTCTATGCATGGCAAATTGAGTGGTTTTTTTTCCTACTGAGAGCAAGCAAAAAGAAAAAGAAAAAGGAAGTAAATGTCCTTGAATATTACTTTGAAAACTAAATTAAAATATTTATCCCGTACTCATTTAGCCTATTGATTACATGGGCTACCTTTATGTTTTATAGTCATTAGTAAGGCCATACTGTTTTGGAAGATTTAGTACACGTTCCAACTAGGTTCGTGTAATGTTCAAGGAATGGGACTCTTCATAGATTCTCTTGCATAAAAATGCCATCTCTCTTGTGTGTCTGTTAAAGTTATCCCACTTTGAATAAGACATTCATGAGGGAACATCAGAGTCTACTTGTAAGCAGTAACAAATATCTGAAATATTTGTGAAAGTGTGTGTGTGTGTGTGTGTGTGTGTGTGTAAGACAGAGAGAAAAATAATTAGGTGAAAGATTATTTGGCCAAGAAAGAGAGAGAAATCCTTCAGACTTTAACACCTAGCATTTTGTTATAGCTGTTTGAATAACAACTATTTTAAAATCAAGTTTTCATTAGCAAATATGGTCAAGGCAGTGTTACTTAGAAGAACAAAATTTAGATGTTAATATATCAATAAAATGGCAGCTATGACAATTAAAAAGTTGTGGGAGGGGAATATTTTCAGTTCAAGGAGAAAAACTTCAGATAAAATTTACAAAAAACTGCTAAAACTGCTGTAAATAAGTAAAACAATAATAAGATCTATAGGAAGAAAAAATATCTACACAGATATAGAAGAGTTCTTAATGTAAGCAAATACCAATTTTTTCTTGGAATGAGGCCCAAAAATATGTCATTTCTATCAAACCTAAATTAATAATATAAATTGAATTGACATTAATTACCATTTGATAATTTAAAAATTACCAAAATTTTTGAAAATAATTCAAAAAATTGTTCTAATGCTCATTAGGATAAAAATATACACAATACCCAGGACATCTTTGAGAAAGAATAATAATGAGAGAGAATTAGCTTTAAAAGAAAATGAAAATGCAGTATGAAACTATATTCATTCACATTATTATCGGATTAATTACAGATAGATAGCTACATAGAAACTAATTAAAAATCAGTAGGAGAAATTTGGATTATTTTGTCAGGAATCCTAGAAAAGGTTTGTCTTTTTGAGAAAAATATAAATCTAAATACCAACTTTACATAAACTAAAATGAATACTTAATTGATTTTTCTGATGAAATAAAAGAAAATCTAAAATTTTGGGAATTAAAAAATAACATATAAGTTAATAGAGTTTCTTGTAAATTAATTAAAAACTCTGGAAGTCAAAACTGATTAGAAATTTATCAATACAGATATTTAAAAATCTGTCCCAAGATAAATATGTGTGTGTCTGTGTGTTTTCAAAAAAACAGCCTATTAGAAAGAACTCTAAGGCAGCAATTTGGCAGGTGATATAAATGCAACTAAAAGAATTGCCATTTGATGTGATAAATAAGACAGGTTCAAAACTCACATTCTGAAGTCAACCGGGCCTAAGTTTACATACTTATATAACTAATCTTTAATATTTAACTATTTGAAGCTTTATTTCATCCATAAAATGGGAATGACAACATTCTAGGGTTAACTTGTAGTGGCTGTGACTGTTATTATGACCATAGTCATCCTTACACAAGAAAAGATAAAATAATTGCCATTTAAAAAATTACTTAATGCTAATGAAAATGAAGTGACTTATCTGTGGTCACAGAGCTGTCAATACCAGAGCTGCAACTTGAGTCTTGTTTTCACTCCAAGTTCTGGTGTTGCTTCTATGAACACTATATTTTTAAGTAGAAAATAAGACTATATTAAGCAGCTTATCTAAGGAGCATTAACTAGACTACATTATACTCCTTCAGTGTAAACTTATTACATTGTTTTTACCTGAAGTTATTCATCGGAAATATATTGCCATAGTGAAATATGTTTTAGTTTTTTTTAATTCAGAATGTAGCCAGATAAACATACAATTTATTGTCATCTCTAGATGCCTAGAGTCCTACCATTAGCTATTTGAAGTGACATGTTCATAGCCAAAGATAGTTAAAGGAAATTTGATCATAAAGTAATCAATAGAAATTATATTTCTCCTCTCTTTGCTTCAGGACAGGATTTTTTAAGATTCATGACCTAAGCCAAAAGAATGCACCTTCGAAAAGTCTAGAAAGAGACCAGGTGCCTATTTTGCATCACAGTACAAAAGCACAATTCCTCAAATACCGCACGTGAACATCCTATCAAGAAAACCAATGAAGTTTAGCTACTGAAAGTTTCTATAAATTGTGCCTGCTTTAAATAATCCAAACAATGTGCTCTCTTCTCCTCCACAAATCTAAATATGTTTAAATATCTGAGAGTGACCATTTTCACAGCCCAGAACACAAAGAAGAAAAAAAAAATAGAAAAGATTCATTGGCAGTTTCCTCTAATGGTTTAAAACAATTGTAGCATTAATTGTAATCCCCAAAGGTTAGTTCTATAAAAATGCACAACTAATTTAAAAGCAAATCATTAATACCAATTAGGAAAGCATTCGGCAGGCCCAGACAGAATTTATTTTTTATTCCAGGAATAAGATAGAAAAGTACTGGGTGATAAAGTATGCTTGAGTAACACTGAATACAACTAGGCACAAGAATAATAAATAATTAATTTGGAAGACAAAAAATAATTCATTTGTAGTAAGGAACAAACTGCTCATTTCACTTCTGGATAAACCTGGGAGCACACACATTGCTTTTGCTAATTTTCTAATTTTACTGATGAGAAAGTTAAAGTAAAAAGAACATTTTTCCAATGTCACAAAGGTAGTTACTGTCAGAGCTGGGTCTTTAACTTGGTTCTTTTGATTTCCTTTTTTGGTGTTGCACCTTGCTGCCTGCCTAGTAGCAGGTTAGTAAGATTTTATTTCACTAGGTGCTTAAACCCAAACTTTCTGGTTGAAGGAAAAAGCCGTTTACTGAAAAATATAGAAATTCTAGTGCAAGTTTGACATTTTCTGCAACATTTTCAAACCTATGTTTGGAAAATGGTATGTAATAAACATTTAAATGTCCAGGAAAATCTAGTACTTACTCAGATTTTACTTGGGTAAAGCCACACTTTGATCCTTGCCTCCATTTTCTTCTAATCTACTTTTTGTATATTTCATTTCTTATGAGAGAAGTTGAGTTTCAGGATTAAACTATTTATAAATAATAGAAAGCGAGAGACGTGCAGTGTAACAGACATTTGTTTTATCTATTCCCCTTCTAGGAAAAAAGCATGTTCCTTTGTTTAGGGAAGTCACTCTTGTATGACTCTTTGCCATGTGGAAAGCTGATCATTTGGAGGATTTCATACTTTTGGCCACAATGATTCATTCAGTGATGGATACATGGTCCCAATTTGCTCAGTGTCCCAAAGTTTTTCAAGTGATAGTGGAGTAAAATGGTATTCTCTTTACAAGGGTTGCTAGTTTCTGAATATATGTTTCTAGACCTTTCAGCATGTCATTTGTCTCCACAGACAGAAAGCCACTTTGAGAATAAAACTATATGGGGAACTATCATACATGAAGAAACATGTATCAAATTCCAAGGACGTTCTTTGACCTCCTGCATCTAGCCATGCCTGAAATCCAGACATTTACCCTGGAATCTTCGATGAAACTCGTAAATTCCCTTTATGCTTCAGTGTTGGAGATTAGTTTGTTTTATTTCCAAACAAAGATTCCAGATAAGTACCAGCATGTGAAACCAGATTAAAGAAGCAAGAAAACCACACTTTTTCTGTAATAATTCAATCAAACTTTCATATGCACTATGCAATCACTTTCACTTTGCACTATGCAATAATGCAATCAAACTTGCACTGTGAACTTTTGAGGACAAGATTTTCTTTCCAGTCTGCTATAGTCTTTATTACAGCACTTACCATCCTGTGGATGATATTAGTTATTGCCAGTTTTACTGCTTTATAGTTCTCATTTCTATAAAAGTGAATTAATAAACTCCAAGAGGAAAATATCTATCATGTGAATTACCCTCATTCTTTCAATGTTTGCATTAGATAATTTATTTCTCTGAAAGGAGTCAGAAGACTTAAGTTTTGGGGGACTTTCATTGCTGAGGGGTCAATTCTGCAAAGGCAATGCAAATAGAAGCATTCTCCAAGCCCTTGCTGAATTCCAAGAGTCCATAAAATTCTGTTTACCCAGATGGTATATTTTATATTTTTGACTAAGCCTATTTATCACTTGCTATATTTGCTCATGTCCTTGGGTTTTTGGGAGTTAAATGCTCTTAGAAATCTGAATTCCAAGTCAGAAATCTCAGGAATAAACATCAGCTCTTTGAATGTACAAACTCTGCTTTCTCCCCACTCAGCTCCCCATTACACAGAGTGCATAGTTTAATCCCTTTAACATATTTGCATTTAAATTGCATATTTAAATCTATACATTTAAGAACATGTGGTGGACGCGGCAGCTCATGCCTGTAATCCCAGCAGTTTGGGAGGCTGAGGACGGCAGATCACGAGGTCAGGAGTTCGAGACCAGCCTGACCAACATGGTGAAACTCTGTCTCTACTACAAATACAAAAAAAATTAGCCAAGCATGGTGGCACATGTCTGTAGTCCCAGCTACTCAAGAAACTGAGGCAGGAGAATCGCTTCAATCCGGGAGGTGGAGGTTGCAATGATCCGAGATCGTGCCACTGCACTCCAGCCTGTGTGACATAGTGAGACTCCGTCTCAAAAAAAAAAAAAAAAAGAAAAAAAGAAAATGTATATTTGGGCTGTTGAAGTACTGTGTATTTTGAATATAAGAAGAAAAGTCAGGAGGTTTTCATGGGCAATATTAGTAATGCTTAATATGTATATATCACTGTACTGTTTTTAAGGAATGTTTCTCTAAGTTATTATATTTTCACAAACTATTTCACATGAAAACTGATGATGGGGCGAAAGGGTTAGGTGACATACACAATGCAAAAGAATAAGAGAATAACGGAGAGAGACGAGAAAAATAAAAACAGAATTATAAGTCAGTTGATATATTCTGTCCACCATGCTTTGCTTCTTTTCCAGATTTTTCAGCAAGATCCTGGTTTTTCTTTAGTTTTGGGTTTTGGGCTAAAACAATCCTTCATCCCCTGTTTAGTAATAACACTAAAAATCATCTTAACTTCCAAACATCGAAGATAAAAACTTCTTTTAATAATGAACTCTCTTTCTGTGGGTACTGCCCTTCCCATGATTAAACTCTGAATCTATCTCTGGAGGAACCTCTCTTCCAGGTGAGAAAAAAGATCCAATTATATAACTTTGTCTTAATTTCACAGCTTTTATAGATAATGCTAGAAAATGAAATCGTCTGAGAATAGCTCCTGCATTCATCTTGACTTCACATTTGAATCTCAGGAGCTATTTTCAATGGAGGTCTTAGCTATTTGTTTCTTTCCATCTTTTCCAATGATTAAATGTTTCTTTAGAAACTTTCACTTCTCCAATATAAATCATATAGTATAATTTTCTCCTCAATGGTTGTCTGTATTTTTCAGGCAATTTTCATTTTTTTTCCTTATAAAATCAATGACTAAAAGCTGGTGAGAAAGGAGTTAACTACAGGCACCCATGTATTTCTTCTGTGCTCTTTCACTAGTTAAGAGGATTTTCCTTCCCTGCAGATCCCCATCTCTATCTGTAGTTCTCAGCCTTTGATAGTTCCCATTGATCGACTTTCCTTATTAATAATATATTGCCCCAGCTCCTGAGTTCAGCTTCTACCTCATTTTCTAAGCAGACCTTCCCCCATTTCTAGCTCCTCCTGTTTGTGAAGTGTGGAGACTTCATACTTGCTCTGAATGTAAGTTAGTAAAATTCTTCTGGTAAATAATTTTTTGAGTTTCAAATGTTTGATAAATGATCAGACTACCTGCATCAGTAAAATTACACTCAGAGATCTGTCTAAAAATAACTTGAAAAATTATGTATAATGATAATTACATACATGTAGTAGTAAAAAAAATGGAAACAAACGAGCTAACAAATGATAAGACTATAATGAATTACTATTGTATTAGTTCACTTTCACACTGCTATAAAGAAATACCTGAGATTAGGTAATTTATAAAGGAAAGAGGTTTAATTGACTCACAGTCCCACGTGGTGTCAGGGGCGGTGGTACTCAGCAAATTTACAATCATGGCAGAAGGCGAAGCAATCATGTCCTTCTTCACAAGGTGGCAGGAGAGAGAAGAATGAGAGCCAAGCAAAGAGGGAAGCCTTGTGTAAAACCATCCGAGCGCATGACAAATTTTTTACTAGCATGAGAATAGCATGGGGGGAAATGCCCCCATGATTCAATTACCAGGTCCCTCCCATGACATTTGGGGATTATGAGAACTACAATTCAAGATGAGATTTGGATGCGGACATAGCCAAAGTATATTATTCTGCCCCTGACCCCTCCCAAATCTCATGTCCTCACATTTCAAAACACAATTCTGTCCTTTCAACAGTCTCCCAAAGTCTTAACTCATTCCAGCATTAACTCAAAAGTCCAAGTCCAAAGTTTTGTCTGAGACAAGGCAATCCTACAGACCTATGAGCCTGTAAAATCAAAAGCAAGTTAGTTACTTTCTAGGTACGATGGAGTACAGGCAATGGGTAAATACACCCATTCCAAATTGGAGAAATTGGCCAAAACAAAGGGGCTTACAGGCTCCATGCAAGTCCAAAATCCAATAAGGCAGTCATTAAATCTTAAAGTTCCAAAATGATCTCCTTTGACTCCATGTTTCACATCCAGATCATGCTGATGCAAGAAGTGGCCTCTCTGTCTTGAGCAGCTCTGCCCTGTGGCTTTTCAGGGTACAGCCATGCTCCTGGCTACTTTCTCATACTGACGTTGAGTGTCTTTGACTTTTCCAGGTACATGGTGCAAGCTATCAGTGGATGTACCATTCTGGGGTCTGGAGGATGGTGGACCTCTTTTCATAGCTCCACCAGGCAGTGACCCCATGGGGACTCTGTGTGAAGTTCCAACCCCATATTTCCCTTCTGCACTGCCCTACTAGAGGTTCTCCTTGAGGGCTCTGCCCCTGCAGCAAACTCCTGCCTGGACATCCAGGCATTTCCATACATCCTCTGAAATCTAGGTGGAGGTTCCCAAACCTCAATTTTGTACTTCTGTGCACCCACAGGCCCAACACCACATATAAGTGCCAAGGCTTAGGGCTTTTATCATCTGAAGCAATGATGTAAGCTGTATGTTGGCCCCTGTTTGCATGGCTGGAACTGAAAGTAGTTGGGATTCAGGGCACCATGTCCAGAGGCTGCGCAGAGCAGGGGTTCCTGGGACCAGCCCAGGAAACCATTTTGCCCTCCTAGGCCTTAGACCTGTGATGGAGTGGGGGAGGAGGGTGCTGCCATGAAGGTCTCTGACATGCCCTGGAGACATTTTCCCCCCTTGTCATGGTGATTAACACTTGGCTCCTCAAATTTCTCCAACTGGCTTGAATTTCTCCCCAGAAAATGGGTTTTTGTTCTTTATCTCATTGTCAGGCTGCAAATTTTCCAAACTTGTATACTCTGTTTCCTCTTGAATGCTTTGCTGCTTAGAAATTTCTTACACATGATACCCTAAATCGTCTTTCAAATTCAAAGTTCTAAAGATCTCTAGGGCAGGGGCAAAGTGCTGCCAGTCTCTTTGCTAAAGCCATTTAACAAGTCTCTAGGAAGTTCCCAACTTTCCCACATCTTCCTGTCTTCTGAGCCCTCCAAGTCTCTAGGAAGTTCCAAACTTTCCCACATTTTCCTGTGTTCTGAGTTCTCCAAGCTCTTCCAATCTCTGTCTGTTACACAGTTCCAAAATCGCTTCCACATTTTTTTTGGTATCCTTATAGCAACACCGTTCTACCTGGTACCAATTTACTGTATTACTTCATTTTTATGTTGCAATGAAGACATACCCAAGACTGGGTAATTTATAAAGAAAAGAGGTTTAATATCCTCACAGTTCCACATGGCTGGGGAAGCCTTCAGGAACTTACAATCATGGTGGTAAAGAAAACAAACATGTCCTTCTTCACAAGGCATCAGGAAAGACAAGAATGAGAGCCAAGTGAAGGGGGAAGCCTCATGTAAAACCATCAGATCTCTTAAGAACTTACTAGCACGAGAATAGCATAGGAGAAACTGCCCCCATGATTCAATTACCTCCCACTGGGTCCCTCCCAGGATGCATGGGGATTATGGGAACTACAATTTAAGTTGAGATTTGGATGGGGACACGGCTAAATCATATTCACTACATAGCTACTCAGAGAAATGAGAATTAGATATTACAAAGATTTGAAAGATAAAAGATTTTTAAAAATTGTAAAATGCATTTACTATGGGAAAAAATATAATCTTGAGAAGAAAGTCACACTACACAATTATTGTATTAGTCATTCTCACACTGCTATAAAGAAATTCCTCAGACTGGGTAATTTATGAAGAAAAAAGGTTTAATTGACTCATAGTTCCACAGGCTATACAGGAAGCATGGTTGGGATGCCTCAGGAAACTTGCAGTCATGGTGGAAGGCAAAAGGGAAGCAAACATGTCTTATGATGATGGAGCAGGAGAAAGAGAGAACAAAGGGGAAGTGCCACAAACAACTTTTAAACCATCAGATCTCATGAGCACTCACTCACTATCACAAGAACATCAAGGGGAAAATTTGCCCCCATGATCTAATCCCCTCCCACCAGAGCCCTCCTCCAATTTAACATGACATTTTGGCAGGGACACAAATCCAAACCATATCTATTACCTATAAAATATAATTACTAATATCATAAATATATGCTTAGGTAGATGGCTAGATAAAATACATCAAAATGTTAAAAGTGATTATCTTTGGAATGCAAAACTAAAAATTTATTATTCATATTATTATTATTTATTTAGTTTAGATGATTTTTCCCTTTCCTATTTTTCTAAACAACTGAATCATTTTAATGAATTTTTTGTATTTATTTAAAGGATTAACTGTCTCACACTTGTATCTTGATGTGGATTTAGAATTTCAGGTAAAAATAATTTTTTCTTGCCACTGCATATACTTCAGCATTATCTTCTGCAAAGGATTACCATTTTGACAAATAATTTTAATTAAATATTTTTTCCTGAAGCCACTTTGTTTTTATTTTCCCAGAAATGTTTAAGATTTTGTATAATTTTATTTTTCAGAAATGTTTCCTGTTATCTACAAATGTGTCATAATCATCATCTTGCTTAGCTGTGTATGAATTCTTAATTTATGAAGATTAAGCCTTTTCTTCATTATTAGTAATTTTAAAAACATTATTTTTGGAATATTTTATGTCCTCATTATCTGTTTTTCTCTGTTTTTCTTCAGAAAACTTTATAGAATGATGTTTCGATTTCAATATCCATCACTTATCTCAAACATTTTTTATTTTTGTTAATTAATGGGAGAGATATTAGTTTGGACATTATTTTGTAAATCATATTATAATTCCTTTAGCTATTTAGAAATGTTTATACAGTCTATTTATTTTGAAATCTATACATCTAAGTGTAGGCCTTTTAATATTTCTCTACATATTTTTCAAAGAATTATTTAAGAAATTTTCATGGTCTACAATTGTTGATTTTTTTTTCACAGAAAACTGTTTTGTTTTATGAATGTGATGTTTTCTCATGCCTCTGAAGCTAAGAATAGTGCTTGTTTTAATGTCTCTTATTTGCTTACTAACTCCTTGTTTAAGTATTTATATTTTGGTTTATCATGTTGATGCTTCTCACATATTGTTCTAATTTTCATTTTAATTTCCCAGAAATTGTTGGTGATGGTTGGTTTTCTGCTTGCTTTAGGATTTGAAATTCCCTGTTTGCCTGTCGGTGGCATTGTCTCACTTTACTATCAAATGCATCTGGTGATTGTGGAAAATCTGCCTAAGTTACTGTGGAGAATTAAAAAGCAGGTATTCCATAAATTAAGGTTTTCTCTGAGAAATAGGCTGCCTCCCCTCTCCTTTGTGGTATATGTCTACTTCAGGCATTACTCTTTCTCTCAAGAGCATTAACATTATTTTTTAATTTATTAACCAACTTCAAAGAAAAGTCAACAGAACAGTATAATGAATCTGCAAATGCCCTCTACCTAGGTTCACGAATAGTTACTATTTCACCATATTTATAAAAGCTTTATTTTAAAATGTTATGGCTAAATCCCAAATCATAGGGAAATCTGAACCTATATTTCATCAGCCAAGAAACAGAATATCTAGAATACATTGGATTTCAATACAAAGAAAAACTGAGCTCAGTGGTCCTAGAAACACTCAAATCCAATGTACTGAAAATTACAACTGTGCTGCTGACAAGTAGACAAGAATGGAGCAGAAAGGTTCATGCTGACTCTGCAGCCCCAGCTGTGCAAGTGCAACATCTGATCCAAGCATCTGTCTGCAGCCCATTGAACAGATCCCACAGAATCTAATAAAGATGATAATTGTTTTAAAAAGGCAGCAGGTGCTGAGTGCGTTTCTAAGTTGGCACAATCCTCACCAAGTTTTGTTCTACCTTGTATGCCAACATTGGATTCTTTTTCCAATTAGCAATCACATAGCAATGAGGCAGAATAGCTCAAGATGCATTTCTCCTGGTATTTAACATTTTATTATTGAATGTATTAATAGATAGAAAAGAACACTTCTGAAGAAATAAGGTAAAAATACATGTTGTATTTTTAGAGTATTAGAGCATGAAGTTTCAAAAAAAAATGTAAAAAGAACAATGTCAAATATTTCTGGTTTAAAACCCACCTACATATATGAATTGGTAGCTAAAGTCAATGTTATCTCTAAAGGTCATATACTTCTTTCATAACGATATGGCTTCAATTCTTTTGAGAGAGTAAAATTACTGAGCAATGTACGGCTCTCTTCCATGCAGAAAATACATTTCTCCAAGAAACAAGAATATAGATTTTAAGTGTCAAGATTTCTGATAAAACTATGACCCACACCTCCCAAACATATGAATTTGCAATTTAAGTCATTATATAAGCAGTATTATTTCATATCTTTTATCATAAGAAGCCCATTGTTTTATGAAAGTGGTCTAAGTAAAAAAAAAATAAGGTTTGGAAAAATCACCTAATTGTTTCACTATTGCATCCAGCAGGTTAAAAAAACATACTAACTAAAAGGTAACTCTGCTTAATCGAATGTTTTGGGGTAACTGAGGATTACGGTGAATGCATTTTCTGACAGTTTGCACAAAGTCTTTCTAAAAATATTTCATGCACATTTTTACTCAGGAAGAACATTTATGATCAGGGGTTCTTCGCTTTAATCCAGACACTCTCCCCAAGCAATCCATGGGTAGAATTTAAGATATCAGTGAATTCAGTTGGAGAAAAATTATATCATTATTTTTATTAATCTATAACTAAAGTTGGTATTTTTTTCCATCAAAAATGCTAGAAACAAGTCATTGTAAAAGTTCTTGTGACTTCATTACAAATAGAAAAACACAGATATTTTCACATCACATTATAGTTGTAGCAGATAATCTAGAAATGTAGCTTACACTCCTCAGCACATTAAAATCATGAAAGTTGTCAGCCCCATTATTTTATTTCTTTTGCTACATAACACATTTACTACAAACTTATTGGTTTAAAACTACATGGGTCAGATGGACTGGCACGCTTTTACTGGGTCCTATGTTTACAAGATTGCCTTCAAACCAGGTTCCTCTGGATCCTCTTCCAAGTTCACATGGTATTGGCACGATTCACCTTCTTGCAGTTGTAGAATGCATGGTCGCTTCCTTCTTTAAGGCTGGCAGGAGAGTGTCTCTGCTGCTTCCACTCTCTGAACTTTAGATCCTCTTTCAAAGGGTTTGTTTGATTAGACCCGGTCCACCTAGGATCTTTTTCGTTACTCCAAGTGAACTGATTATGGACCTAATTACAACTGCAAAACTCCCTCTCACCTTTGCCATCTAATCTAATCTAATCTAACACAATCTAATCACACCACAGGAATGACATTCATCATATTTCATAGATTCTGCTCATATTCAAGGAGAACAGGTTTATATCAGGGTGCAGGACTCTTGGGACCATGTTATAATCCTTCCTACCATATTATATGCAATACACTAATAAAGAAGCACATATATTACAACATCACAATTTTAAAAATATTTTAATAATTTTATTTCAATAAATCAATTTTTTTCATCTTATGCATATTTTATGTATTTAAAAATATATTGTGAGTTCCATAGGCTTGAACGGGCTGCCAAAATTATGTTTAGAATATGAAAAGATTTAAATCCTAGTTCTTATTTTTTTTTAATTATACTTAAAGTTTTAGGGTATATGTGCACAACATGCAGGTTTGTTACATATGTATACATGTGCCATGTTGGTGTGCTGCACGCATTAACTCGTCATTTAGCATTAGGTATATCTCCTAATGCTGTCCTTCCCCGCTCCCCCCACCCCACAACAGACCCTGGTGTGTGATGTTCCCTTTCTGTGTCCATGTGTTCTCATTGTTCAATTCCCACCTATGAGTGAGAATATGCGGTGTTTGCTTTTTTGTCCTTGAGACAGTTTTCTGAGAATGATGGTTTCCAGCTTCATCCATGTCCCTACAAAGGACATGAACTCATCATTTTTTATGGCTGCATAGTATTCCATGGTGTATATGTGCCACATTTTCTTAATCCAGTTTATCATTGATGGACATTTGGGTTGGTTCCAAGTCTTTGCTATTGTGAATAGTGCCACAATAAACATATGTTTGCATGTGTCTTTATAGCAGCATGATTTATAATCCTTTGGGTATACACCCAGTAATGGGATGGCTGGGTTAAATGGTATTTCTAGTTCTAGATCCCTGAGGAATCACCACACTGACTTCCACAATGGTTGAACTAGTTTACAGTCCCACCAACAGTATAAAAGTGTTCCTATTTCTCCACATCCTCTCCAGCACCTGTTGTTTCCTGACATTTTAATGATTGCCATTCTAACTGGTGTGAGATGCTATCTCATTGTGGTTTTGATTTGCATTTCTCTGATGGCCAGTGATGATGAGCATTTTTTCATGTGTCTGTTTGCTGCATAAATGTCTTTTTTTGAGAAGTGTCTGTTCATATCCTTCATTGACTTTTTGATGGGGTTGTTTTTTTCTTGTAAATTTGTTTGAGTTCATTGTAGATTCTGGATATTAGCCCTTTGTCAGATGAGTAGATTGCAAAAATTTTCTCCCATTCTGTAGGTTGCCTGTTCACTCTGATGGTAGTTTCTTTTGCTGTGCAGAAGCTCTTTATTTAATTAGATCCCATTTGTCAATTTTGGCTTTTGTTGCCATTGCTTTTGGTGTTTTAGACATGAAGTCCTTGCCCATGCCTATGTCCTGAATGGTATTGCCTAGGTTTTCTTCTAGGGTTTTTATGGTTTTAGGTCTAACATTTAAGTCTTTAATCCATCTTGAATTAATTTTTCTATAAGGTGTTAGGAAGGGATCCAGTTTCAGCTTTCTCCATATGGCTAGCCAGTTTTCCCAGCACCATTTATTAAATAGGGAATCCTTTCCCCATGTCTTGTTTTTGTCAGATTTGTCAAAGATCAGATAGTTGTAGATAGGCGGCATTATTTCTGAGGGCTGTGTTCTGTTCCATTGATCTATATCTCTGTTTTGGTACCAGTACCATGCTGGTTTGGTTACTGTAGCCTTGTAGCATAGTTTGAAGTCAGGTAGCGTGATGCCTCCAGCTTTGTTCTTTTGGCTTAGGATTGACTTGGCAATGTGGGCTCTTTTTTGGTGCCATATGAACTTTACAGTAGTTATTTCCAATTCTGTGAAGAAAGTCATTTGTAGCTTGATGGAGATGGCATTGAATCTATAAATTACCTTGGGCAGTACGGCCATTTTCACGATATTGATTCTTCCTACCCATGAGCATGGAATGGTCTTCCATTTGTTTGTGTCCTCTTTTATTTCATTGAGCAGTGGTTTGTAGTTCTCCTTGAAGAGGTTCTTCACATCCCTTGTAAGTTGGATTCCTAGGTATTTTATTCTCTTTGAAGCAATTGTGAATGGGAGTTCACTCATGATTTGGCTCTCTGTTTGTTAATGGTGTATAAGAATGCTTGTGATTTTTGTACATTGATTTTGTATCCTGAGACTTTGCTGAAGTTACCTATCAGGTTAAGGAGATTTTGGGCTGAGACGATGGGGTTTTCTAGATATACAATTCATGTCATCTCCAAACAGGGACAATTTGACTTCCTCTTTTCCTAATTGAATACCCTTTATTTCCTTCTCCTGCATGATTGCCCTGGCCAGAAGTTCCAACATTAGTTGAATAGGAGTGGTGAGAGAGGGCATCCCTGTCTTGTGCCAGTTTTCAAAGGGAATGCCTCCAGTTTTTGCCCATTCATTATGATATTGGCTGTGAGTTTGTCATAGATAGCTCTTATTATTTTGAAATATGTCCCATCAATACCTAATTTATTGAGAGTTTTTAGCATGAAGGTTTGTTGAATCCTAGTTCTAAACGTACACTATTTACTCAGTTTCTCAGTCCAAATTTAGCATTCATTTGGCCTCTACTTTTTCTAATAATCCACATTTAATATATAAGTTTGTCCTGTCAGCTCTCCC
This sequence comes from Homo sapiens, assembly GCF_000001405.40. Lineage (NCBI taxonomy): Eukaryota > Metazoa > Chordata > Mammalia > Primates > Hominidae > Homo > Homo sapiens. The sequence goes on along the minus strand of NC_000011.10, from coordinate 24,657,250 downwards.
TTCAAAATATGTCTTAAATTCAAGCACTGCTATAACTTCTAACATCTATTCCAAATCATGCCTCCATTATCTCTCAACATGACTACTACAATAGCCTTCTAAGTAGGTTTCTTGCTTTTATTCTTGTTTTTTTCTCTACATATTAATATCTTTCTAAATAATGCAAATCAAGTCAGTTTCCAGGATATAGTATCTGAGGAGCAAAGACTTTTATTATCAGAATATTATCTCCATCCTGCCCTCCAGCTCTTAGTTTCCACGCCTTAATCCTCAGACTCTGTGAATAGTTACATGGCAAAAGGGACTTTACAAATGCAATAAAGTTACAGACATTAAGATAAAGAGATTACCCTGAATTATCCAGGTGAGCTCAATCTAATCATATGAGCATTTACTGGCAGAAAACTTTCTCCAGCTGAGGAGAGATGAGGGGGATACGCAGAGGAGGAGACCAGAGGGGCTCGGAGCGCAAAGCGGACTTAGGACTTGGCCTGCTGTTGCTGGCTTTAAAGTTGGAGAAAAGGAGCCTTAAGCTGAGGAATACAGGTGCCCTTTAAAATGGCACTCAGCCAACTTCCATCAAGGAAACAAGGACCATAGTTCTACAATAGCATAAGACTTAAATATACCTAAACCCTGAAGGAGCTCGGAAGAAGATTCTTTCCCAGAGCCTCCTGGAAGGAATGAGGCCCTGCAGACACCTTGATTTTACCTCAGTGACACATGTGCCAGACTCCTCACCTACACAACTGTAAGAAAACAAATTTGTGTTCTTTTAAGACACTAAGTTTGTGGTAATTTGTTACAGAAGCAATAGAAAACCGATACAATAATCCATACGGGCTTAGGTAACCAAGCCTCTATCTACCTATCTAAACTGATTACCAACTCATTTATTCCTCACTTACTCTGCTTAGCCATATGGGTCTTTTTTCCTCTTAAGAATATAAATTTGTGATAATTTATTACATAGCACTAGAAAATTGATAGAATGGAGATACTTGTTTTGACATTATCTAGTAACCAGTAAATACTTGACAATGTATTTGTCCTAGACAATTAAGACACTCCTAAGCAGCATTGAGAATCTGATACTAATAGATTTAACTTCATTTTGAGTTACCTATTTCTGTTTCAGGAATGATAGAAACTTTTAAACAATTATATTAAGTTCTCAGATATTTGCCTTCATCCCTCAGAGAAATGAATAACGACTTTGAAGTCCAACAGAACTTTGTTCAAATCGCAATTTTGTAACAGTAGGCAAATGCTTTAATATTCCAGAGTGTCACTAACCTCATTTGTAAAACAAGGATAATCTTTAATGAAGGAAGTAGTTAGGGAAAAACAGAGCTATCATACTCGTATCTCACTTACCAAATGCCCAACATCTAAGAGGCACTCACAGAGTGTTAGTTTTTCTGTCCTTATCCCAGAGATTGGTAAGAAACATAGTAAAGGATTGTAAAAAGTCACAGGATGAAAATATCACTTAGATACAGCAAACTCCAGTGGACAAGCAGGCTGGTCACTAAATTCCAAACACTGACAATTTCCTCCCGCTTTTCAGACCACGCATTTGTTTTCTTTTCAGATGTCCTGTGTAATCTATAAACTCAGCAAGGTATTAATCTACTCTGCATGCATTTCTTTATGATCTGAACTGTACAATATTTTGCCTACTATTTTACCAATTTTCATGTTATTACCTTTTATACTACCCTCTTAAGTACCTACAATCTAAAGAGATTATGATCTCTAGCCTCTGAATGTTCAAAATCACCATGCGATCAATCCCTCAATTGCAGTTTATTTCCGAAATGATCCAAAATATTCACTGCACCTCTAGTTATTAAAAAAAAAAGACCTCTATTTTTAAAAAGCTGAAATCTTGATATCACTACATCAGGATATAAACAGCTGTTTCTAAACCTTCTGGGTTTTATGGTGCTTGAAGTAATAAAATCGTGTATAATTCTAATTCTAATCATTTTCATATCTTTAACAAACTGCCAATTTTTGTCTTAACTTGTAACAAAAGTCTCTGTTGGCACAAATAAGCCCAAAGTCTTAATTACACCAGTGTAAAATAGAAACAAAGATGTTTCAATGAAAGCATCTTTTCTTTTGCATGGTTAATTGCCACTTCACAATAAAACAACTGATGTCCAGATGAATCATAAACCTTATTTTTTCTGCAACATACTATGCTTTCAATGCAATAAGATTATGTACGGCCTAGATTTTTAAAACTTATGTTTTTTGGCTCATTTTATGTTTATTATAGGAACTTAGTCTAAGTATCCAAACAAAATGAGAAAAAAATAGGGTAAATGCCAAGGAACATCTTTATTTTTTTGGAAAAAATCTTTCCACTAAATTCTCAACTCATATTAACATTCAAAAGGTTACAAAAAAAAAAAGTAGGCCGGGCGCGGTGGCTCATGCCTGTAATCCCAGCACTTTTGGAGGCCGAAGCGGGTGGATCACCTAAGGCCAGAAGCTCAAGACCAGCCTGGCCAAGATGGTGAAACCCTGCCTCTACTAAAAATACAAAAATTAGCCAGGCCTCGTGGTGCACGCCTGTAATCCCAGCTACTCAGGGGTGGGTGGGGTGGGGGTGGGAGTGCTGAGGCAGGAGAATGGCTTGAATTCAGGAGGCGGAGGTTGCAGTGAGCAGAGATCGCGCCACTGTGCTCCAGCCTGGGAAACAGAGGCTGAGGCAAGAGAAACTCTTGAGCCCAGGGGTGGAAGTTGCAGTGAGCAGAGAGCGTGCCACTGCATTCGAGTTTGGGCAGAGAGTGAGACCCTGTCTGAAAAACAAAATGAACAAACAAACAAAACAAAAGAAAAAAGAAAAAAAAATTTGTTTAATAAGTTAAATCATCACTTCTAGGAAATTACTAAGGGTGAGGACAAAGTTTTAGCTGACAGAATATTTAACAGAACATTTTATAATAGTGCAAAATATGAAATTATTTATGTAAATCAAATATTAGGGATATTTTATTGAATATTAAGTAGACACTGAAAGGAATTCTCTTAAGTTCTTACCAACTGGCTTATGTATCTATATATTGTCATCCTTCCAGTTACGATGTGTGCATTGTCTGGCTTCTGTCTTGGCGCTGACCTCTTTGTATGTATATCTTTCTACATTTTGCTCAACGACACGTAATTACTAAGTAATAGAGATAAGATTATATCCAGAAATTATTATAATTGTTTAAAAGTCTTTATTCAAACTCCAATTAACTGTTAAATTTCTATAGTCCAATAACATTTTTCCTACTCTTTTAGACTTACATAATTTGCACTTTTATCCACACTGCTCTTTTGAAATAAATTTTGTTAAAGTTGCTAGTGACCTCTTGACTACTAAAACCAATGGTCACTTTTCAGTTCATATCTTACCGTAACACATGGGCAGTATCCTACACATTTGTAGACTCTCTTCTTGAAACTCTTCGCTTGCCTTCTGGGAACGGATCACTTTTGTGCCTCTTTCTGTCTCAGTGTGCTTTCCTTTTGAATCTCTATTGTATTTTCTTCTCACATCCTCAACCCCAGCGGTAGGTGCAGTAGGAATGCCCCAGGTATCAGCTAGAGGAATTCATCCCTATTCTGTTCACTCTTATGCTCTAGACTATCTCAACTAATCTCATGGGCTATAAATGCCATAGCTAAGCTAAAGACACACAAATTAGTATAAATAGGATCTCTTCACTGAATTCGGACTTATATAGGGAAGTGCCTACTTAACACTGGGATGTGCTATAGACATACAAAACATTCATATCCAAAATCAAATCCATGAATGTTCTGCCTTCCCCAAACCTGCCTGCTTTTCCCTCAACAGTCCTGTTTTTGGGGGTATAATGAAAACTTCTTTTAACTACCCAGACCAAAAAAAGAAATCTTATGGTTTCCTGTGACTTATCTGTCTCACTCCCAACATTCAATTCGGTAAAAAATAGTATTAAAGCCACTTAAAAAATACATCCAGAACATGATGACAGATATCCCCTGCTACCACCATGGACCAGGACAACATCATCTATTCTTGCCTGTCATATTGCTCTAGCCTCCTAACTGGCCTCTGTGCTCCTTCACTTGTCCCACTGAGAGTCTATTCTCAGATAAGTGCTTACCATCTTAGAATAAAAACCAACTCCTTATTTGTCACTAAGGCCCCACATATTTTGTTCCCCACCACTACTACTACCATTCTGACTTAGCACCTTAATTCTAACCTTTGACACAATTCTAAATTTTCCACATTAAACATGTATTTCTATTGTAGCAAAAAGAATCCAATAAAGGTTACTTAAATTTTGATATTTTTGCTCTTTTCCCACCAACTAGCTTGAACCCTATTACTTATTAAAGTTTCTGATACTAGATTATTTGCTACCTATCAAATAATGTGGCAGGCATAAAAACTGTCAAAATGCATACAGCATCATTCAAAACATAAATATTTACTACGATTTATTATATAGGAATAAATGTGAAGGTATTGTTGACATCTGAATTATTTTTCATGAAAAATTAATCACTTCAACTCTTTCTTATGAGATTATTATAAATCTCTTAGTTTAGGTATCAATTGACCTTCATCTAGAATACTGAATATTATTCTAGCATTATTTCCCACTAAAGTAAATGTTTTTTCATTTGTCTTTCACTTTGCATGAGGACATATACATAGTTTCTTAAATATTATCTATAGATTTTCACGTTTAATCTTTTCTCACTGTTTTCCTGCAAATGAAATATTATTTCTCTCTACATATATGTGAACCTAAGCATTCTTCATAGTCCATCTAAGATTGAGGCTTCTCTACTGAATTCTCCAATTTTGAATAACCTTTCTTCTTATGACCCCTTTGTTAAAATTGATAAGTATTTTAACACGTATCTTCTTAAATTATAGCTATGTGTAGTCATAGCTCCCACAAAATAATGAGATGTTTTAAAGGAATCTCTATGACAGAAGGTGTAATGCAAAGAGCTTGAACTTTGGTTTCAAAAAACACTTCAGTTCAAATCTCTTCTTTGCAGGTAAAGTACTCTATTAGCTTTCTCCAGAAGAATGGAACCAACAGGAGATACACATACGCACACACACACACACAAACACATATACACACATGCACAACATGTGTACACACATATACAACATGTGTACACACATATACAACATGTGTACACACATATATCTATATATACACTCATACACACACATACACACAAACACACAGAGAGATAGAGAGAAAGAGAGAAGAGAAAAATATTAAAGAACTGGCCGAGGGAATTGCAAAGGCTTTGCACATCCAAAATTCACAAGGTAGACTGTAGGCTGAAGACATAGGGAAGAGTTCTCATTCAAGTCCAAAGGCAGTCTGCTGGCAGAATTTCCTCTTCCTCAGGAGACCTCAGTATTTTTCTATTAAAGCCTTCAACTGATTGGAGGAGGCCTACCCACATTATGGAGAATAATCTGCTTTATTGAAAGTCTACTGATTTAAATGTTTATCTCAACTAAAAATATCTTTACAGAAACATAGAAAAATGTTTGACCAAATATCTGGCCTAGTCAAGTTGATATTTAAAATTAATCTTCACAAATACTATATGACTTTGGTTACCAGCTAATTAAAATTTTTAATTTTCTGCTTCTTCAAACCTTATTTTCCCTTATTACTGGGAATATTTGAATATGTAGCATATGCAAATTATCCAGCTCAGTAATAGAACAGGCACTCAACAAAAATCATCTGCCCCTTCTCCCTTTAGGCACATGGAATGGAATATAACTAATAAGTATTGTTTTGGTTTCTGTGTGTGTGTATTTGTAGTTGTGTCCATATGTGTTTAAGCTCTTTGCTAAATGTTCATCTCTGTGCTGGGCACTTTAGCAGAAGATAAAATTCCTACTGTCAATTAGCTAATGAGCTCTCAAGGAATGAACTAATATGCTTCAAATAGAAAGCAATCTATAAAAAGATGCCAGGTTGAACATAATTGCCTATTATTCAAGAGTATAGTTTATGGTCCCATTGGTTAGTATCAGCTGAGTAATGTTACTGAAGTACAGTTTACAAAATAAATGAAGCAAAATCCACCTGGGCTTATAAACTTGGAATTGTTGGAAAGCAGAACAGGAAAGGAAAATATTAATACAAAGGAAAAAAGCTGAAGCCAAAGCCTGAAGGTGTAATGGCCCTGGTGTATGACAAGAAGAAGCAGGGGAAGGCACTAACAGTTATTAAGTACCTGTAGAAACTGTGCTGGGAACTTCACAAGTTATTTTTATTTTTGTAAGAAATGAAGAAATTGAGACTTACAAAAGTTCAGAAATCTGCCTAAGGTAATGTATTTAAGAACTCCATGAACAACTTATGATGCATATTAATGCAAAAGTTTCCAGAACTCCAACTTACAAAGAAACAAGCTCTCACTTTAGCAGCCTCCTCAAGAACAGAAATATGAGTCAAAAATATCAGGTTATTTTACTTCAATAGTTAAACACAAATTTTGTTAGATCGAAATCTCACGGGATTATGTAGGAATTTCAGCCATTTACAAAGAAATTTTGAGTATTTCTTAAACCACTAAGAGATCATTGGTGAGTGTTCATTATCATTCTGGGATGCATTGCTTCTGGCCTCATGAATCTGGATTCTGCCACAGCTGGCTTCTGCCATTTCAATTTTGTGCCACAGAAGATCTCCTTCCAATTACTGTTATGATGGCTCTTCGGAATCTTTTAAAATGTAAACAAAATAGTTGCCCACTTTATCAGTTGTCTGTTATTAGTATGTGTGTGTGTCTGTGTGTGTTGTTGCATGTATGTTGGTGTAGTGCTAAGACACCCAAAATTATAAGAAATGTAATTTGATGCTTTAGAAAATCATTAGAATTTTGCTAGTTTTTGATGGGATATGGTCCTAGAGGAGGATTTTAGGTAATTTGAATAAAATAACACTATAGATATTTTTGGATCACCAGATATTTTTGACTCACATCTCTGTTCATAAGGAATCTGTCTGGGATGGCTAAAAATCTGTGTACAGCATGTATCTGTATATGGAAACATTACCACATCTACACCACTACAATTTAGGGAATAGCAAAGGATTTTGAATGGATGGAATTTCGCATTGTTTCAAGAAGGCCTTAATAGCTTGGAACAGATATAGGATGATCAGCAGAAGTAAGAAAACATCAAAATGTTATCTGTGTGTGTGTGTGTGTGTGTGTGTGTGTGTCTCTGTGTGTATGTGTGTGTCTGTGTCTGTGTGTGTATAAAGCTTAGAGGTGACTTTAATAATTCATTAACTCTACAAATCTCTAAAAATAAATGAACTTAATTCTGAAGAAGGACAGACAGTGGCCCAAGCTTTCAGCAAGCCAGAAATTAATAATAATCCTATTATCCCATCTTGAAAAATCATCAGCAACTTGAGATTATATGTGAGGACGGCCTTTTGCCTCTGATAGAAATGGTCTCTTAATGGAATTGCAGTCCCACCACCTGGCCCCCAGAAATTAAACTCCCGATTCAGGTTATAACACCTATCGCTATTACTGAAGGCACAGTACCAAAAGGGAATTGATGGAAATTACCTAAAGCAAAAATATATTAGTGACTCTTCGAACACCAGAAAAGCTCAGACTTCAATGTCATTAATGCTCCTAAATAGTGCTTCACTGACAACTTTGTTAGAAAAAGAAAATGACTTAAAATTCACACTGGGGGGTCCTACACATCTGACCAATTTAAATTACAAATTTAAAACTCAAGTGGACTTCATTGATTAAAAGCCTCCCTCACTCCCTAACCATTCAGGAGGCTTGTACAGATTGAAAATATGTTCCAAGTTTGAAGGAGCAGCATAAATAAAAATCACCCTCTTCAAGGGAAATAGTTTAACAAAGAAGGTGAAAGAGTTACTTCTTTGGGATCCCTGGAAAACCATTACCCACTTAGTTAGGTTCTTCAACATTTATGGGACAAATTCTACTGAGGAGCCTCCCTCTGGCCATCCACCAACACCACTATTTCTCAATAGGGAGAGTAAGGCCCAAAAAATGGAAGTCTATTGCCTTTACTTTTTAAAAAAGGCAAAGTATTAAATTGTGCATGTTTTCTCCATGTTTTGTCTTTCCCTAATTTAAGCAGAAGTTTAGGCTTTATGTTTGTTTTTCATAGGGAAGATTAGTTACAGGACAGGAAGCACATGCACTAGAATACCCTTATTGGAAAAAGGAAATCCCAATAGGGACTGAAAATTAATTCCTTACTGGCTTGATAGAAAATATTTAGAGGGGTCATTAAAGAAAATATTAGGTTAGTTCCAAAGTAATTGCGGGTTTTGCCATTGCTTTTAATAGCAAAAACTGCAATTACTTTTGCACCAATCTAATAAATTGTGGAATATTTCCTGCTCATCTGAGTTTGTAGAGTACAAGGATTTAGTAACATAGTCATTTAAATGTATGCATATACCCCTTATCGTTTCCTTTCTAGTATCCACACAGTTCTCAGGATCATTACTCCATTCTGATTCACAGCCTCCACTGTGGACTCCTACTCTTGAATCTGACTCCTTTGCCATGGTTCATTCATGTGCAGTGGCTTATGGTTCCATTTGTACTTTGGTTTCTGGAAGAAATCCTCCAGCTCAGATTAAGTCTATAAATCAGAATGTATGTGTTAAATAGCTCATGTATCAGTTTCACAAGATGTTAAATATGTTTACACAAATTATTGGATGGGTAGTAGGAAAAGAGGCCATTGGCTAGACATACCCGAGCAGCTGAATTTTGCAACAAATTCCCTAAATATGTAGTATATATTAGAGACAGTAGACAGGGGTAAGAGATAGGTTAGGGGAAAGGAGAGTAAGAACTAGAAGTCTGAGAAACTAGAAACAATTTGCAGTCAAGGCAGACAGAAGAGATGAGATACTTATAATTACCAGGTTGTATGCATGGATACCTACATGAATAGATGTGCCGATAGTAGAAATTTAAGAGCCAGGCAGGTGTCTAAGTTTATAAAGATAAGGCAAGACAAGCTTTAGGAATATCGAAATAAAGATAATATGCATTTAAACAGCATTTTTTTTGCATCAGTGTTGAACATGAATCTAACACTTAGAGATCAAAATTTTACAGAATTAAAGTCATGCTAGAGGAAAACAGGGCTAGCACAGCAGGTGAAGAAAGAAAGTTCAAAGGTAAGAATCCAGTGAGTAATGATAGAAAAGAGTACAGGTGGCTTGGTAAAATCATTAGTTTCATCCAGGCACCTTATTTCATTAAAATAATTGTTCGTAGGGATGGTAGGTACTATATAGCTCTTGAATACCAGGGTATTCAAAAAGAGAGAGGGTGATATTAAAATAGATATAGTTATTTGATAATATGCTATAATAAAAACAAAAGAATAAAATAATTGAAGTAGGTAAAAATTTTAAAAAATCGAGTATTTCAGAAATGAGGGGCAATCTTGATAAAGGCTATCAACCTTGAGATAAACTAAACAAATCAAAAAATAAGCAGATCAATAATTCTATTTGAGAAAGTTAGCTAAGAGTATAAACCATATACCCAAAGTGATGTTGATTTGTTTCTCTATGTGTGAGTGATTTCCAATTAGTAAAATGTTTCATATATCATTACATTTCACTTTATTTCATCAAGTTGAACAGACTATTTCTCATGAAAGAAAATAATTTCCAGAACTTCTTTGGGATTTTAATTTATTGTCTAGATAAACACTTTTTGAAAAACCAGTGCTATTCGTCTTTGTGGTTTGTATTCAGCATGAAGTTTCTTTTCTTTTTCTTTTTTGTTTTTGTTGTTATTTATTTAAATACTGGCTGCATTCACAGTCTTGATAATTTTCTTTCTGTATAAATTTTATTAATACATTCTGTACCAATTTAAAAAAAACAGCAATGATTGAAGGTAGAAAAATACAGAAAGGTGTTTTGAATTAAGTAGGTGCTAAATTAATTGAATAATGTAAGAAGATGGAGGGAAACTTCTCAGACTGAAGAAACAGCTTCAAATGCCATGTGATGAGGATAAGCTTGACATATTTGAGAAACAGAAGTAAAGTCACAATGAGTGCGTGGAAAGAGTGGAACAAAATAAGATACTGCACAAAAGAGAAACTTCCAAATAAAGACTCATGCAAATCCCAACTTCTTAATAAATAATACTTCTACTGGAGCTGAATTTAAAATTCAAGGTCTCCAAGTAATGAAAAGTCAACAGTGCTTCTTCCTCATGTGTAATTCAATATTAAAACAATAAATTATATATTATAACATTACTGTATGCAAGTCTAATAAAATACTTTCATTTCCCATGATGACTGGCATGCACTAAAAGTAGCTCATCTGACACTCATTCCTTCACACTTCTTTTCTGCTGACACAGACCAGTGACATGAGAAGCATGTTATCCAGCGAAATATTTGCATTTCAAGTTACCTTGCAGTTTGGAGAAACTACTGGACACAGTTATGGCCAATGAGACATCAGCAACAGTCTTTTGGGGAGTTGTGGGAAATAATTTGCTTTCTTGATTAAAGAGGAATGAATGAAAATCATTGATACCTGACAAACTCAACCAGTCTTTCTTCCTTGAATATGGATATGGAGGTTCCAGCAGAAGCAGTCATCTTGCAATCAAGAGACTATTAATTAGGAAAGCAGGGCTGTAAATTCCAATAAGGTAAAGCATTAAGATAGGAAACTCTGAGTCTCTGATAGTGTCACTAAGCAACTAAACCAATGTCAATAATAGTATTTCTCCTGACTTCTTGTTTAAGTAAGTAAACTAAACCATACGTGTTAAACGTTGTTGTCTGGAATTTCTTTGATATTAAATTTAAAACTCTCTTATATTTTGAACAATAATAAAACTGTTATAAGCATTTGTAGAAAATAATTTGGTTTTTTGAAAATCAGATATCTAATATCAGTATTACTTTCTCATTTTTACACGCACACTGTGCTTCTGCCCAGTGTACATAAACACAGAAAGCAACATTCATTGAGTTCTTATGAGAAGTCAGGCTAAGCCCTTAAATCTGGTCAAATAATCACATTAGCAACACTTTGAAGCTGATGTTATCAACATTCAAATTTTATAAAGAATCTGAAATTCAGAACTGTAACCAACCTAAGACCACACAACTCATGAGAGGCAGAGTGAGGTTTGAACAGAGGTTTGCCATCCTCCAGGACCCCTATTTCTATCATTGTTCAGAAGACTTCAGTTCCTAAAATGAATGACCTATTTGATTCCACAAGGATTAATGAAACAAGCTAATGAGATTTTATGTACATTTTATTTTAAGGATACACACACACACACACACACACACTTAATATATATGTCCAAGTTAAGTATTTCAGTTTACTTTTTGTAGCTGTCTACATAATAATTACTCACTCAGGATGTAACTGTAATACCATAATAACAAGCCAGATATTACTGCAATTGAAACTGAAAATGGACAAGTAAGATATATATTTAATTTTTTGTGAAAGCTATTTTAAGAGAAAAATTACTGGCAGATTGTTAACAGCAAACTAGCAGGTACTCTGCTAATTAGATAAATTGGATACAGCATGCCTCTGTTTGTTTTAGAACCAAAATTTGTAGAAACATTTGAACAGGAGGGTGACAGCTGTCAAGTGCTCTTCTTGAGTTAGAGGTTTCCCCATTGCTATGGCATAATTCTAGTGTCTTTTATATTCAAGAAACTGATGCCAATCTATATTTTAAAGGAACATGAGTGACTATAAGACTGCATGTTCAATACCATATAATTCAATACCATATAATTATGCAAAGCTCTAATTTGATAGAAAAGGGCCTTCAAACAAATGAGTTAGTTAGACTACAATATGTTCAACATAAAACTCTCTTTCTCTCCCTCTTTCTCTTTTTCTCTTTGTCTTCAATGGAAAGGGAGGTGGGGATTGTTAAAGACCTGACTGTATTGCCTGTGGTCTCTCTCTTTAAAAACATATTTCCTTTCTTTCTCAAATTTGCAATAGGCAAAACAGTCTGATAGTAAACTGATAATTCAAGTCATTATTAGACACAATGCCAGAAGGCTGCACAATAACTAATATTTTACGTAAACAGGATTGGAATGTAAAATAAACATTTAAATTAAGTTAGACAAAAAGACACAAAAATACAAAAAGGGCATTGGAATCAGGATCTATAAAGTGATTTACATTAGTCACTGCTGAAACTTCAGCCTAGTAAATATAAATACGTGCTGTACTTTTTCCCCACTTGTTTTTTATCTGAAACGCTTGGCCAAAAATTATGGCCTTCACTTTTGTGGTTCTCTTTGTACTTAGTTCTAGCAAAATTCCATTTAAATAACACACAAATAAAATTAAGAACCCCAGACAAACTAATTTTAAAAATAAAGAAATGTATATGCTAACACAGTTAAGAAGTCTGTTGCCTTCATTTCTGATTGAGTTTCCTGTGATCTGCAACTTGTTGACTTAGCTGCCTCCAACACTGGCATCAGTGTTGATGTTCCATACCCACCCCTGCTTGAGTCCTCCATTTGATTGCACTTTCATTTGCTTTGTGATCTACATGGAAGGTAAACGTGCATAAAACAAATGATCCACAGCAAATAACCTTGTTATCATTTTAGGCATCTATTCTAGCTACAGTTGGGTAGCTGTGAAAAAAAAAAAAAGAGAGGTTGGAAAGGAGGAGAATGTGTGTATCATTCTACTTGATGCAGCACGAACAGGAGGAAAGCAGATGAGGATGTCCTCTACATTGTGCAGTTGTAAACAGCATCAGAGTGGGCTGTACTGATTTCTAGGGAAAGCAGACTTTGAAGGACTCTCCCTCATGCTGTTCTTGTAGGCCATTACTGAAAGCTCCAACACAGCAGTGTGCATGCAGATCCAGCTGCCAGCAATTGACATTATAAGAAACATAAGAAAGAGTCAAGCATCCTTTCCATCCAAACAGGATAATGAGAGTGCTGGCTAAAGAGTGTGAATTTCTAGAAGTGTGGTAGACTAACTGTAGCACGTTCAATGGAAGACAGCAGTGAGAAAAATTAGTCTCCTTAATACTCAGTCCTAGGATGGGGATTATTCAACCTACAGAAGCAATTAATAGTCATGGAGTATAAATGTGAAAACTTCCTGAATATTTGGAAGCGGTATCATGTGAAAGAGAGAATATAATTTGTTCTGTGTGGCTCTCAAGTTTAGGCTGACCTGGCATCAGTTGTATCAACATCATTACATTACGAATAAAGGAAGAATACTCTATTAATTAGAATTATCCCAGGATGAAATGCATAGTCATGTAGTCATGGAAAACAGAGAATTTCCCAACACTGGAAGTCTTTATGAAGAAACTCTTATAAAGATAGTGTACAAACTATTTCATATTTGGTGTATCTTTTTTTTCAATAGGTAGTGACTAATGTGTGCATTAAATATGAATTAAAGACGATGCAACTAACCCACCATCTCCTACTAGCCTTACAAAGCAAGTGCTTGGGGTTGTTCGGGATAATTTAACACAACTTATTATTGATTAATCACTGTAATTCAAATTCAATTACATGATGCGTAGGCCTTATGTAGTTGGCATGAAGCAGGAAGAAGTTTTAAAGGGGAAACAAAATCTGTACTGCGCATTAGCAAGGAAATTAACATTTCCCTAACAATAGTTACATGGGGTAAGTAGCCTTATTTTGTGATCTTCTGGAAAGAATTGACTCCTAGTTCTTGTTCTACAAATAATTCTTATTTTGCTTTCTCCAGTCTCAATCAGCCATGAAATCATCCTGGTTTAACTTTTGAAGTACTTCTTAATTCTTCCACTCCTTAATCTCTTCTCTACCCCCCAACCTCCCAGACAGATGCACCACCACGCCCAGCTAATTTTTTTTTTTTTTTTTTTTTTTGTACTTTTAGTACAGACGAGGTTTCACCATGTTGGCCAGGCTGGTCTTGAACTCCTGACCTCAAGTGATCTGCCTCCCTCCGCCTCCTAAAGTGCTGGGATTACAAGCATGAGCCACCACACCCAGCCTTAATCTCGTCTTAATCTCTATTTTCAACTCTGATAATTGAGGCTCTCATCACGTTTTGCCTAGATTTTAGCCTTCACAATTTTTTCTACCTCTTGAAAGAGACCCTCTTCTTCACTCTACTTTATTCAGGCTTCTCTACATCCTTTCTCAAAGAGGCTCTCTCTTTAGGTCTTATCTTCCAGGGCAACAATCCTGCTAATTCAGTTTAGCAACAATCTCCCACTCAGATCATCCTGAGCTGTCTCCAGCAAGAATCTTGTCAAGTTGATTTATCCAGAATCCTCCCTTACCCCTGATATATCCTCTTAGTAATTTTCCATTCAATAACTTCCACCCTGCTACTTGGCAAAAGAAAAACCACTTTCTCTTACATGCAGAGTTGAGACAGACATGCCCAGTCTGTCTCCCCTGTTGCAAAATTTCATTGCAGTAGTCCCTATAATAAAGTCTTCCTTACACTCTCTTTAAGAAATGGCAGAATAATTTTTCTTTGACACTCCCCACTGTGTCAACCAAATAAACTATTTAAATTCAAATCTGTGTATATTATGCTTTCACATAAAATTATTTAAGTTTCCCCACTTCCCATGATGGTTTCTAAACCTTTCTAGATGTAAAATGAGTTACTCAAATAAAAATGTATTGGGAAGTTTAGTGGGTTGGTGGAGGACTGAACATGTAGAACAAAGGATAATTTTGGGGGACATGATATTAAGTATGATACTACAATGGTATACACATGATACAATGAATTTGTCAAAACTCATAGAGTTTTATAGTGTAAAGAGTTAACCTTAATATAGACAACTTTTGAAAAAAAAATCAGGAGATCCCAGGACAAAATGCAGAATGTGACAAAACAGTCTAATTGTTGTGTAACTCTGCTAAAGATGAACGTTTATTAGCTAAAAATCCTATGTCTTAAAATATTAACTTCTGGCCGGGCGAGGTGGCTCACACCTGTAATCCCAGTACTTTTGGAGGCCAAGGCTGGTGGATCATGAGGTCAAGAGATCGAGACCATCCTGACCAACATAGTGAAACCTCGTCTCTACTAAAAATACAAAAATTAGCTAGGTGTGAAGGCATGCACCTGTAGTCCCAGCTACTCAGGAAGCTGAGGCAGGAGAATCGCTTGAGGGAGGCGGAGGTTACAGTGAGCCAAAATCGTGCCACTGCACTCCAGCCTGGTGACCGATTGAGACTCAATCTCAAAAAACAATAATAATAAACTTCTATTTGATTATAAAACTACTGAATAATTCGAGAACTATTTGATTTTGACATTTTGAAATGTGTTATCCCAGATAACAATTGCAATTTTTTGCCAATTTATTTATTCACTGCAATTTGTATGTATCTTCAAGAAAACCCAGGTTTTCAAAGATAAATCATTGTGAATGATACTACTTATGGCATTTGTAAGCTAGAAGTAGCAAGGTGGCCTTTAATTAGACTAATCCGGAAGTTTGAAAAATATGTCTTTTTATATGTCAATGTTGCTTTACTAGTTTTCTCTAATTAGTAAATATTCAATTTGAAGGGAGTTGAAGAATGAATTCTTCAATCAATTTAGATGAGGTACCTTTCTAAATGTATCTTATCACCTTTTGATGTTCAACAGTAATATTTTAAAAATCTCAGATACTACATTTCTTGTCTTTTTCATAAATTAACACACAATTTTAAAAGTCAAATTGTTCGTTGAGACTACACATTATTTTAATGCCCTTAAGGGATTGTGTGTCTCTATGCAAAGATGGTAAAGTTGCAAATTAAGGTCATTCAGATTGTTAAAAATATCAACTGCAAGTTGTTGATATCATATTATATTTTAGAATTATTTAAGTAGGGATTTTTTCACTAAGAAAAACATGGTGATATTAGAAAAAAATCTAATTAGAAAACGTTGGCAGGGTAAGATGGCTCATGTCTGTAATCTTAGCACTGTGGGAGGCTGAGGTGGGAGGATCTCTTGAGGCCAGAAGTTTGAGACTAACCTGGGCAAAACAATAAGATCCTCATCTCCACAAAAAATAAAAAAATTGGCTGGCCATGGTGGCACATACCTGTACTCCTAGCTACTTGGGAGGCTGAGGCAAGTGAAATATATATCTATATCTATATCTATATCTATATCTATATCTATATCTATATCTATATCTATACAGATATAGATATACACATACATACATATATATATTAAAACTTTGTAGTACCACCTTTCCTTAGGACAAGCAGTACACTTTCATATAAAAAAGGAAATTCTGTAAACTATGTTTCATTTTGCTAGAAATAAATTTAGGAAAGTCAGCAATTTAAAAACAGTAAAATTCACAATGTGCTATTATTTAATAGTTTATTACTGTCATCTTCATAACTCCTAATGCTTATCTACATAACATCCTATGAATCCTCAAGCAAATTCCAATAAGAATTTTAATATGAGCTGGCAATCCTACCATTTTCTAACATGCTTTTACACCATTGATACAAATAACACGATATTTTTCACAGTTTAGTTTATGTGCCAAACATTTATCTAAATAAATAAAGTATTTTATCTTTTGTATACATGCCATGTTTTTATAGACAGAAAAAAGTCATGTAAATCCTGTTTTAACCAGATAAATCTCACAAAAATACAAGTGCTCAAACCAAACCATCAGATTTGTCAGATGCACAACCGCATCTATTTAATGTTTGCTCATTGTCTTTCTCTTGGGACAGAGGTCCTTATATAAATTCACAGCTTCCCACAATTAGCCATCTGATTGGTACCAGTCATCTCTTGTACTGTATAATATTGCATATTTATTTGTTTACATAGTTAGTAACGACCAAGATGCCCTTAACTTTCCGCCCAGCTTGACTAAACATACACAGGAGTCTTTTTGACTCCTTTTAGAACATTTACTTTCGAAAAACACCAGTTGTAAATTCTTTCTTTAGCTCTTTGAGGTTTACACTTACAACCCAGAGTTGTTTTTCTCAAGGACTTGGGAATCATCTCTTTGAAATACAGATGTCAAAAAGATAACTTTCTTATGCCTCTTCTCTATGGGAGGGTAGGAGCCTGTCTTCAATAAGCAACATTAGCAAAAACAATGGATAACTTTTTAATAAGACATTTAACCTAATGTCAGAACAAAAAGCAGACCTATTGCTTTAAATAAAGTCTTCACAGAGCTGGAATTGAACTCTTGTGCTCCCTGATTGCATTGAGGTGTAAAAGAAAGGACACACAGGGTAGTGAGGAGAGGAAGGTAGAGAGGATTCAAGAAAGTGGAACTGCAGTGAGAGAGAATGTCCACATATTACAGTAGAGGAAAGAGATGGTTTGTGCAGAACTACTCATATAAAACAAAACATTAAGGCCGGGCACAGTGGCTCACGCCTGTAATCCCAGCACTTTGGGAGGCTGAGGTGGGTGGGTCAGATGAGGTTGTGAGTTAGAGACCAGCCTGACCAACGTGGTGAAACCCTGTCTCTACTAAAAATACAAAATTAGCCAGGTGTGGTGGCGGGCACCTGTAATTCCATCTACTCAGGAGGCTGCGGCAGGAGAATTGCTTGAACCCAGGAGGCGGAGGTTGCGGTGAGCTGAGATCTCACCACTGCACTCCAGCCTGGGCAACAAGAGTGAAACTCCGTCTCAAAACAAACAAACAAAACAAAATATGAACAGACAAGTAAAGGGTAAATAAAATATAAGGGGAAACATAAAATAGAGAGAATTACATATCTATGAGCTGAAAAAAATTGAAGCTGGAAAATATACAACACAATGGAAGAATATAATGTATTACCAAATGTTGCTATAAAAATTTAATGAGAAAATCACTATGACCCATCATAGAAATGCAGAGGTAAAAACAGGAAAGAAATGTGAAAATGTAAAATGCAAAATTAAGAAAACAAATAGAGAAACAAAATGATTCTACTTTAGTGAAAAATATATATTAACTAAAATAAGCAACTAGTGACATGATTGAAAATTAATTTATTGCTATAGAGAAAAAGTTTCATATTTCAATAAATGAAGAAATGTCCAAAAAGACTGAAGATTTGTAGAGAAGGTAAGAGTCTAGAGCTTTTAGTATAACAGGTCTTTGACAAGTTTTTGAACATTTTCTCTCTTTTTCCTTGTGGCATTTGGTGTGTTTAGATTTTTAAAATCTTTTTTTAACTGTTAAAAATATTTTTTTCTGGGAAAATTATCTTTCATAAATGTATTAGAATTAATTGTCTTTTCTTTGTTAATATTTATTTGATTCAGTATCTGTGATTCATTTTCCATTCTCATCCCTAATACTATATTGAGATTTGTTTTGTTGATTAGGTTAGTTAATGTATCAATTTTATTTTTTAAACAATCAGTTCCTATTTTTAAATTATTTTTAATTATTTCTACTTTATATCTCACTAATTTCCACTTTCATTATCATAAATTATTTGTTTCTTTTCACAATATGCCCTAATTTCTTAACAAAATGCATAATTTAGAAAAAATTCCAAGTTAATCCTTCTTTTAAGGCCATAAATTATCAACTAAGCCCTGCTTTAGCCATGTAGTAAATACTGTATACTTTGAATTTTTATTTTTTTCTAGCTTGCAATTACAGCTTGAATGATTTTGTCAAACAATTTTTTCCCTATATAGTTTTTAGAATACTTTCTTAATTAAAGTGTCCTAGAATTTGGATTTTTGTATTTTGATTTTTTAAAAAACTATATTTTTAGTCAATATATAATGTTATTCTTCTGTAGCTAGAAATTTAATTTTTATTAAATTTCTAGTATAATTTCTATTTGGGGAAATTAATTTTTTGTAGCTAAATGTATAATCGATTTTATAACTATTTTATTGACAATTTTAAAGAAAGTCTATATTTGATTGTAGGTTCCAGAAGTTAATACATTACATATTAGACATCTATCTTTTAAAATGTTACTTTCATATAGTTTTGTTTTGTCATGGGCTAAGTTAAATAAAATGATTTTATATCAGGGAACCAGCCCCCAACATTTCAACGTAGGTTCTTTTCTATTTTCCCTAAGTGTTGGCCAGTCTGAAAAATACAGAGAAAGAGTACAAAGAGAGAAATTTTATAGCTGGGACTTCGGAGGTGTCATCACATATTGGTAGGACCATGATGGTGACCCTGAGCTGCAAAACCAGTAAGTTTTTATTAGGGATTTTAGAAGGGGAGGGGATGTACGAACAGGAAGTAGGTCACAGGGATCACATGCTTCAAAGGGCAATAAAAGATCACAAGGCAAAAGGTAAAATTAGAATTATTGATGAGGGTCTGTGTCCCTCTGTGCACTCATTGTCTTGATAAACATCTTCAGGAAACAGGGTGCAAGAGCACAGAACCGGTCTGACTAGAATTCACCAGGCTGGAATTTCCCAATCCTAGTAAGCCTGAGGGCACTGCAGGAGACCAGGGCATATTTCAGTCCTTATTATCAATCACATAAGACAGACACCCCTAGAGCGGCCGTTCATAGACCGCCCCCCAGGAATGCATTCCTTCCCCAGGGTTATTCCTTGAAGGGAAAAGAATTCAGCAATATCTCTCCTACTCGCTTTCTGCAAGGAGAAAAATATGGCTCTATTCTGCCCGACCCCACAGGCAGTCAGATCTTATGGTTATCTTTCCTTGTTCTCTGAAAATAGCTGTTATTCTGTTCTTTTTCAGGGTGCACTGATTTCATATTGTTCAAATACACGTTTTACCAACAATTTGTACAGTTAACTCAATCATCACAGGGTCCTGAGGTGACATACATCCTCAGCTTACAAAGATGATGGGATTAAGAGATTAAAGACAGACATAAGAAATTATAAAAGTATTAATTTGGGGAACTGATAAATGTCCATGAAATCTTCACAATTTATGTTCTTCTTCCTAGGCTCCAGCCGATCTCTCTGTTCGGGGTCCCTGACTTCCCACAACAATTTTATAATGCTTTTATATTTCTAACACTCTGCTCATCCTCTACAATTTTTGTTTTATAGATTTTTAAGATTTTGAATTTTATACCAAAAGATTATATATTAATGTAACATCAAGATTTTCCCTTTTTAAACTGTTAATCAACATTTTTAGCTTTCTATTTTATCACCTTAACACTGATAGTTTTTAATATATATTCTATAATTTTTATATTTAAAATTCAATTGAAGCATCTTTTTTTATAAGCAAAAATTGGCTTATATCATTTTTATTTGTTGGAATTTCATGTCTGTTTGCCCTCTGTTCTTTCATATTACCTCATGTAAAAAATTTTATTTTTAATCTTGCTTTATTTTCTATATTTTCTTATGTCTCTGGTTAAGTGTGTGTGAGCTGAGCTCTGACGAATTATTTGAAGGGTGATAGGAAAGAAGTGTAGACACCATTTTAATAGTTTTCAAAGTATGCCAGGCAAGTGAAGATTGTGGGCTGGATTCATGTTACTTGTGGACAACGTTAGTTGTGCCAATGTAGAAAATATGATATGCATTTACGTGTGTAAATCAACTAAGGATGAATAACACCCTGTGGTGGTCATTGTTTGAAGTACTTAACATATATTATCACATTTTATACTCCCACAATGATATGAGCTAATATTTGCCCCCACTTTATCAATGGGGAAAATCTGATGTGCAGAGAAATCACTCATTTTATAACAGAGTGCTCTGGATTTGAGCCCAAGCAGTCTAGGTTCAGAATCCACCCTCTTAACCCCTGTATTATAAGTAAGCATGCTATCTATGCCTTAGCTCCAGGTTGATTATATTTAATTACTTATTGTTTTGAATAGGGAATGTTTTTACCAGTGTAGGTATTTGTTGAAAAGTAGTATTGATAGAGAACTGATAAATATGCTGTGGCTGAAACTGTCTCCAATTGGGGATGATGATATGACTCAGAATGCCATCATACCATAAATGAGGCAGATAATGATCAGTGTTCTCTTACAGTGTGTAGTTCCATTGGACAAATAAAAAAATCTTCCTGGTTCCCAGACAAACCCCACTTATTTTAGGTTATTTATTTTTTACAGGTAACTGAGTCAATTTATTTTTTCTCGACTGACAATAATCAGAAGTTCCAGAGTAGATTGCCACCCAGTGTGATTTCTTCAAGCCACCACACTGACAATATGTAAGGATAGCATGTCTCTGCAGTACTTTTCCCCAGTTCCACTTTTGCTGTTATTCCGCAGAGTCACCTTGTGCTTAGACCAGCTTGCAAAGTCTACCTGCACCGCAGGCCTTGTATTTCAAGTAAAGTATTGCTGTGGGGCCTCTTAAGGCATTGAGATCCACTTTTAGTCAACGCTGTCTGTGGGCCTCAAATGTTCTCCCCAGCACTCTGCGTTGATTTGTTTCAAGTTTCACAGGGTCTGACAGCTTCTTTTCTCTCCAAATTTCATTACAGATGAGGTTTTAAAATGTATAACTTTGTTTTCAGTTGTTTTATAGAAGACAGTGAGATAGAAATGCCTGTATTCTGACATCTTTAACCAAGTTATCATTAGTTTAATTTAATTTAAATTGATTACTTAAGGATAAACAGCATACTTTGCATAGAAATGTACTGAAAATGACATTTGACTGTCTTTAGTTTGGTGACAAAATATATTTTAATGTAGATTGAAATGTGTTTATTTCTTATGACTTGTGAATACACACACACACACACACACTCTTTTCTGATTTGAGGTTTAAAATCTTACATGTTGCTTATAACATGTTGTTCAAAAATCAATTTTTTAATGCCAATTATTTTTATCATTTTAATGTCAAGATAAGATCAAGTGTTTGCATTTTTTTGGTAATGCTCCTATACAAATTATAAATAGTGTCATATTTCTTTTTATTTACAAAAATAAAAAGTGAAATTGGTAGATTTATTTCATTATCTTTTATAATTTTTTTTTATTTGTATTTATTTAAAGGGTACAAGTGCAGTTTTGTTACATGGGTATGTTGACCAGTGGTGAAATCTGGACTTTTAGTGTAACCATCTCATTAACATTGTACATTTTACCCATTAAATAATGTCTCATCCCTCACCCCCATCCCACGCTTCCTGGTAAAAGGTAACAAGGATATCTTTAGGTTATGTTTAACGTTATTATTATGACTAACAGAGATCAAATGAGAGACTGATTTATTTTGAGCTGAGTAACAAGTGTGTTCATCTCATCTCCAGTACAGATCATCCATGCTTACTAGGTTCATACTGAGAAGCCTGTATCTGTTCCAAGTCACAGAAAATAAATAAAGCAATTATTCTATTTGATGTTGTGTTTTTAAAAAATGATAACAAAATCCAGTACCGCCTTTAATTTTGTGAACTCAAGCCCTTTCACCTTGCACCTGCAAACTCAAATGCCTTGACCAGGCTCATAATGCAAACGAGTAAACAGAATCAGCTGCAAAACAAACAGCTCTATGGTCAGTTTATTGCTCATTTACTTTTTTTTTTTTTTGAAGTTATAAATCCAGAAAAAATTAACTTTAAAAAAGCAGTAATGCAAAACACTAGGAGAACTTGAAGATGATACTTAGTTACAGTATGGGGGAAAAAATAGGGAATGAGATCTTGAAAAACCAGAAAGAAAATGCTTGATCTCTCTGTGTTATCGATAGCTGGCATATCTTGGCTTATCTTCTGATATGTAATTTTTAGCCACTACCTCAATGAAAATAAACTATGTGGACCAATTCTGTGATAGCCATACAAAGACAATCTAGATGGGAGCTACCAGTTTAGGACCTCTACCATAATGTTTGTATCTGATTATGGTATACATTACCACCCTTGTAATATGGAATAGTACTTCCAGGGTATCTGTGCCACATTTTGAAAATTATGCTGTTTTTATTGCCATGTTTCACCAATATTTTGCCTTTAAGTTCTTAGATTTATTTTTTCTAAGTCATACATGAACTCATATAATTCTCACAAAAATTCATTTACATATAAGATGACTGAAGTAGAGGGTTAAGTAATTTGCTCAAGATCATACTTCTAGTAAGTTTGATTGCTATAGAAAACCCAATAATTCTGTCTTCAGAGTCTCAGCTCTTCATTTATTTGCTTTAATAGTTAAACAGGTTTAGACTTTATTGTCCTTTAATAGACAGACTATATATACACACACACACACACACACACACACGTGTGTTAGACTAAAAAAATACATTTTAATAATTTTTTTCAAATTTGAAGGATGTCAAGAGTGATGATTACAAAGCATAAGAATGTAATTAATGTATATCTTTTATAGAAAGTTAATGGTTCATTTTGTGAGCAGAAAATAAATTCATGCAGTTGCTATATAATCCTATAAATATAAGCAGCCACCTCTTGAGATATTAATTCATTCATTATGAGATAGAAAACATCATACTTAAATATATAAAAGGTCAACATTAACAATGTATATTTTCTCTATAAAACTTTTTATAAAAGTAAATTGTGATTATTTTAAACATATTTTATTCTGAATTATATTACTTGCCTAAAATTTTGAGCTTATACCTTCAAGAATTTCTTTGCAATGATAAAATATACTAAAATACAACTGAGAAGAACACATCATTTTTTTCCACTGCTTTTTCTTCTCAATTATTGTAAACTTTTAAAGATTCTGATTGATTTTCATGGAGTGGCTAGGTAACTCACATGAGAAGGTGACCTTTTAGAAAATTATTTTAAAATGTTTCAATGGCCTAACTTGTGTGTATCTTTTGCTAAGAACATAGTGGCAGCTAAAGTCAACTTTATATATTTGGATTTGGTTCAAAATAACCTATATATCCTCATTTTATTTTTAAATACTTGAAAGCATTGTGGCAGATCTGTTTGTTTCATTGTTTTTGGATGGAATATTTTTATGTGTCCTCTACTCCTGAGTGCCTTTGAATGTGAGTGCAAGATAAGTGTAAATAAATGTGGAAAAATGCCACATACATATGAAGGTAATTTTACATATGGTCATCATGAAGGCAACAAGAAAATCTCCCAGACTAGAAAAGGCAATTCACATCAAAACAAGATAATCTTTTACTCCTGTTGCTCAGATTTCCTTTCTATATCCTATCATTCTTCAAGACCCCATCTTTCCTTAACAAACAGGAACTCAACATGTTTTACTCCTTTGAGATCCATTGGTTGCAGTACATATCATTTCTTAATACATTACTTGGTTAAAGGAGTTTGAAATGGTGTTCTCTCAAACAAGATTGGGTGAGTACTAATATCCCCATAATGCCTGCAAGATGCATATATCTGACAACTTCAGGCTATCTCATCAGCTTGGTTTATATTCTGTGTGATATTTTGCATTTCCTTATATGTTGGAACAATCCAGTCTCCTCTTGAGATTAAGTTCAGTCCACTGTAATTGTTTATGTTTTTCACATAGGCTAGGGAGGACTTGAGATTTTGGAGCACGTCTATTTTAAATGTTTGTTGGGGATGCTGTTAGGATTGCCCTGATGAGCAGACAGGAATTTTCATGTGCTGATTAATGGACATTTACATAAGAAAAATTCTGTGGTTGCCACGTGGGATTCCTAAGGCCATACATTAAAAATCATACTTGTAATACCTGTGCTGATAATAGAACTCACTTCTTGCAGTGCACTGATTGTAATGATATGGGGGAAGCTAGTTAAAAATTAATAAGCTTTTCATCTATATGCAAACTTTATTAGACTTCTGTTCAATTTTCTAGGTGACATTTGCTCTAGATTATTTCAAATTATTTGTGTAAAAAATACATATTGGATCAGAAAACAGCAAGCTCTTTCACAATGCTATCAAATGCCGAGGTTTTATGTCCCTCATTATACCCAAATATATGAATAAATATTCTATTTTGAGTTATACAATGGCATCCTGATACCCACACAAGTTCCTTCAGTTTTGTGTAAAAATTCAGTAGTGAAATGCCTATCTTTCAGGTGTTTAGTGAGTTGGTAAGTATTAACATATTCTCAAATGTGAAATGACATTACACAGTTATTCTGAAAACTAATATAAAATCCTAAATACCTATAAATGCCCCACTTCCATAGTAAAAAGCAAAAGCCTATCCATATTACATTTTGATTGTGGGTCACTTCCAATGCCAGAAATAGGCAGCAGCAGCAGGCTGTTTGATCAGGTTTGGTAATTGGTACATTATATTCATATGCCCTCTTTCCTGTATTAATTTGCATTCTCCAAAACCTGAACAGACCACTAATGACTAGAAGGATTGAATCAGTAATAAAATATCTCTCAAAAAAGAAAAGCCAGGACTAGATAGATTCACAGCTGCATTCTACAAAACATACAAAGAAGAACTAATTCCAAGCATCCTAAAGCTCCCAAAAATCAAGAAAATTATCTCTAGCTTATTCCACGAGGCTAGTATCACCCTGAGACCCAACCAGACAAGGACACACACACACAACTACAGACCGATATCCCTGATAAACACAGGTGTGAAAATCCTCCATAAAATACCAGCAAACTGAACTAATAGCACATCAAAAATGTAACACTACAACGAAGGGATACAAGGATATTTCAACATACGTAAATCAATAAATGTTATGTATCACATAAACAGGACTAAGGATAAAAACTATCTGATCTCTCTATAGGCACAGAAAAAGCATTTGATAAAATTCAGCACCACCTCATGATATGAAAAGAAAAGAAAAAAAAAAACAATAAAGAAAAACACCTGAACCTACTAGGCATTGAAGGAAAGTACCTCAAAATGATAATGGCCATATACAACAAACCTATAGCCAACATCATAGTAAGTGGAGAAAAGCTGAAAACACTTCTAAGATCTAGAACAAGACAACAATGCCCACTTTCACCACTCATTTTCAACATAGTACTGGAAATCCTAGCCACAACAATCAGGAAAGAGAAAAAAAAAGCTTCCAAATCAGAAGAGAAAGTCAAATTATCAATATTTCCTGATGACGTGACCTCATATTTAGAAAAACCTAAAGATGGC
Source organism: Homo sapiens (assembly GCF_000001405.40). Lineage (NCBI taxonomy): Eukaryota > Metazoa > Chordata > Mammalia > Primates > Hominidae > Homo > Homo sapiens. The sequence continues at coordinate 24,631,095 of NC_000011.10, read as the reverse complement.
ACCAGAAAACTTTTTAGATTTAATAAATGAATTTGATAAAATTGTAGGACATAAAATCGATGTACAAAAATCAGTAGTACTTCTATACACCAATAATGATCTAGCTGAGAATGAAATCAAGAAGGCAATTCCATTTACGATAGCTACAAAAAGATACCTAGACATATATTTAACCAAGTAGAGGAAAGATCTCTACAAAAAGAAACTTATAAAGCACTAATGAAAAAAAGTGTAGGTGACACAAACAAATGAAAAACACCCCATGCTCATAGATCAGAAGAAACAATCTTATTAAAATAACCGCTCTACTCAAAGCAATCTACAGATTCGGTGCAAACTCTATCAATATAACAACATCATTTTCATGGAATTTTTAGAAATCTTAAACTTAGTATGGAACAGCAAAAAAAAAAAAAAAAAAAGTCGGAATAGCCAAAGCCATTACAAGGAAAGAGAACAAAGCTGGAGGCACCATATTACCTGACTTCAAATTATGTTACAAGGCTATAGTAACCTAAACAGTATGATACTGGCATTAATGTAGACACATAGATTAATAAAACAGAATATAGCACCCAGAAATAAAGCAACATATTTAAAGCCAACTAATCTTTGACAAGGTCCACAAGAACATACATTGTAGAAAAGACACCCTTTGTAATAAATGGTGCTAGGAAAATTAGAATGCTTTATGCAGAAGAATAAAACCGGACCCTTATTTCTCACCATAAACAAAAATCAGTTTAAAATGAATTAAAGACAAATGGAAGTCCTGAAACTATAAAAGTCCAAGAAGAAAACATAGGAACAACTTTTCTGGACCTTGGCCTAGGCAAAGAATTAATGACTAAGACCTGAAAAGCACAAACAACAAAAACAAAAATAGATAAGTGAGACTTAATTCCACTAAAAAGCTTCTGTACAGGAAATAAATAATTAACAGAGTGAACAGACAACTTACAGGATGCAAGAAAATATTTACAATATATACCCAACAAGGAACTAATATATGGAATATATAAGAAACTTCAACGACTCAGTAAAAACAAAAAAAGTAATCCCATTAAACAGTTGGCAAAAAAAAAATAGACATTTTTCAAAAGAAGACATACAAATGGCCAACACGTATATGAAAACATACTTAACATCACTAATCATCAGAGAAATGCAAATTAAAATCACAGTGGTACTTTATCATACCCAACTCAGAAAGGTTATTATTAAAAAGACAAAAGATAACAGACGTTAGTGAGGATGTGAAGAAAAGGGAACACTTATACACTATTTTGGGAAAATAAATTAATATAACCTCTATGACAAACAGTATGAAGATTGCTCAAGGAACTAAAAATAGAACTACCATTCAATCCAGCAATCCCACTACTGGGTATCTATCCAGCGGAAAATAAATCATTTTATCAAAAAGACACTTGCACTTTTATGTTTATTGTGGCACTCTTCACAATAGCAAAGATATGGAATCAATCTAAGTGTTCATCAACGGATGGTTAGATAAAGAAAATATGGTATATATATATATATATATGCAATGGAATATATATATATGCAATGGAATATATATAATATATATGTAATATATATATGCAATGGAATATATATATAATGTATAATGTATAATGCATATATATATATGCAATGGAATACTGTTCAGCCATAAAAAAGAATAAATGTATTTTACAGCAATATAAATGGTGCTGGAGGCCAGAATTATAAGTGAAACAATTCAGACACAGAAAGACAAATATGGCATGTTCTCATTCATAATTTGGAGCTAAATAATGTGTACATATGAACGTAGAGTATGTAATAACAGACAATAGAAACTGAGAAGTGTAACAGAGTGGTGAAGTGGGTAATAACAAATATTTAATGGGTACAATGTATGTTATTTGGATGATGGATACCCTTAAAGCTCTGATTTGACCACTATAAATCTATGTATGTAACAAAATTGCACTTGTATCCCATAAATGTATAGAAATAAAAATAACTAATTTGTATTATCAGCTGATAAGATAAATTTATCATAGAAAGTTTGCATTAACTACCTTGTTTATTACATTGCTTTTTTATATATAATATACCATATATTATGCACATTATATAGATCTAATCTTTTACATTAATTCTGCTACATGCATATCTATACGTGTATATGTATGTATTCACACACACAGATTCTCTTATCTTTATTCACCTGTATAAAGGACCAAGCAGGCCGGGCAAGAGGCCTCATGCCTGTAATCCCAGCATTTTGGGAGGGCAAAATGAGCGGATCACTTGAGGTCAGGAGTTCCAGATCAGCCTGGCCAACACGGTGAAACCCTGACTCTACTAAAAATACAATAATTAGCTAGGCATGGTGTTGTGTGGCTTTAATCCCAGCTACTCAGGATGCTGAGGCAAGAGAATCGCCTGAACCTGGGAGGTGGAGATTGCAGTGAGCCGAGATGGCACCACTGCACTCCAGCCTGGGAGAGAGCGAGACTCCATCTCAAAAAAAATAAAAAGATAAATAAAATAAAGGACCAGGCAGTATGAGGCAATTACTTAGAAAATGCTTTTGAAACTAATAAATCAGGACTCAACTGCACATAACTCGGGAAAAGAAAAAAAGCATCTTAAGGATTAAAGCTATGATCTCATTTGAAGTCTTAGATCTGTGAGTGGGCCTCTATAAATAACAGAGAAGGAACCAATTCTCATTTCCATGGCAATCCATAGTACATTGTTACATTTTTGCAATGTTTTGAACAAAGCAAAACAGCATAATGATCAAAGACCAGCATGTTTCTTAATGATAAACATCAGCTACAGGCATAGATAGACATGTATCCCAGGTGTGTGTGTGTGTGTGTGTGTATGCATGGGTGTGTGTGTGTGCGTGTGTATGCAAGTGTGTGAGTCATAATTTTACAAGAATTATCTGTGTTCCAAAATTTAAAAGTACGCATCTTAAAACAGTGTGCCATGCAACCCTGCTCCTTCCAGAGAATATTTTACTTTATAACTGCTTCATCATGGATGAATTGTCACCAGCTCAACATGGAGCCAAAGACTGAAAATGCCCCAGACAGTAAATATTTCAGGGTCTAATTTGTTTGACTAGCTCTGATTATGATTAGCCTATTTAAAATATGTGATAATAATTAGTAAATGTCAGTTAAATATATGCACACATTGAAGGGAGGGGTGTCATTATCTGTATTACATTTGGAGAAGAGTAAGCTGGAGGGAATGCTCTGAATAGTGACAAGAGACACTGCCTGTCATCCAATGGGTGTCATATGTGGCATGACCTTGTAAGGCTACCTTATTCTAAAGTCTGTCTCTCAGGCCTGCAGCTTCAAACACTGGAATTGTCAGTACTTCAGAGAGGTTCCATTTTGCAGGGAAAATTCAAGTTGAGAATCCTTCCAGAGGTGGGTTTTGCAAACAGAACACTGGTTATTCACATACTGCAAGCGAATATCTGGATTTCATGTTCTGCCTCTACTCGGTAAAGCAAATTGCTATCTGAATGTTCTTGGCCTTCCTGGGATCACAGAAAGAAAGTCGGTTATAATAGTTAAATACCTGATTTCTTTAAAAAATGAATTTGGGTCTCCATTTTTGGTATACCAATAGACTTGCCACTCCGGGGAGACAAGCTAGTACTAAAGAAAAAGCCTGGTCCCCCACAACAGTGCCTGAATGAGCACTGACATTTCTGGCCATCAATAAGCTTTCTTCTTATAGCTGAAAAACCTTCTCTTTTTTCTGGGCACATTTTCCCAATGTTCAATTATCTGATTATGGTCAAATCTTGTTGACTTAGGATATATTTAACAAACCTTTGCCTATGTCTGCTTTGAGGTATTAAATATTAATTCCAAAGTGTATTTCCCATAAAGAAACATCTTACATATTTTTGTACTATAGGAGCATCTCCCTGTATTATCTGTGTACTCACATCTTGTATTAGGAGAGTTTTAAACAGGCTGATTTATTATTGTCTTTCTACTCAATCAAAAGTGTTTATTAACTTTTTCTCTTTGTTTTAGTTTAATAACATAAGGACCAAAAGCATCCCAAAGCATACAGACTTGCCCTGTCGATTAGAGTTGGCAGATCCCTAATATAATGAAAAGCAGAACATGTCACTTCAAATGTCACATGGAGTAGCATGGTACTTTCTGTAGTATTTTGTGACATACCATTTTGGACTATGAAGCAAGACTTGATTTTTTTCAGCCATTATAAAGTGAAGCAGATTCTCAATTTCATGATGTCTATTAATTAGTTTAATGTTGATCAGGTTCAGAAAAAAATACTATCTTCTCAGTATTGATTTTAAGTCATTTTGATATTGATTAGCCTTCATTGTTATGTTAGCCCACAGAGTTGATTCACAATAGTATTTTCCTTACAAACAATTGGCTGAAGTTCAGTAACAGTTAGATGGAGATTATCAAATTGGCTATGTCATTTACAAAGTCTGTGTGTTTCATTGATTTCTGGTCTCCCATCTCATCCTTACAACTGACTGAAAGGCTACCTTGTCATTGATGAAAGTCAACCAGCAGAAAAGGAAATAGGAACTATTGATGGAATATCTAGAGGAGGAAAATGTAATTGTGATTCACTGTGAAATTATACTTGGGAGTGTATTTTAAGACTTCACAGTTGAGCAGTTTAATTTATTTTCTCCTGATTGTAAGCAGGTGTTTTAAAGCCTGCTGCTTGCTAAGGATGCTGCAATGATAGTTTCTGCATTTTTGTTTTGCAGGTGATAGGATGGCACAATTGAGACAATATAGGCTCTTCCCTGATACTCCTTGCCTTGGCTGAAACCTGATTCTCCCCCAGGACCATTTTCATTCCCAGCTTTTCTCACTGGAAGAAGACAGTTGAGATGGCTGCCATTTGTTGATGAATCACCAGTATTCACTTCTCTGTTTGGCACTTCATGGAAATTGACTCATTTATCAGGAAAATAACCCTCCGAGGTTGACACTTTATACTAGAAAACACAGAGACTCAGAAAACCTTAAGTAAATTATTTAAGGTTAAAAAGTTAGTAAGTGGCAGCCCTTATATTACAAATCTCTAGTTGGTAACTATTTATGTTCCTACTCCCCATACACTCTAAGACCAATGGACTAGAAACATTGATTTTTTCCAAGATGTTTTCTGGAAACATGCTGTACTCCTGTTGGTCACCACATTTCCACTGTCCTGTACAAACATATTCTTTGAATACCATGCCATTCAGCTAATCTACTCTATTTCTTTATCAATGCCTTTTGTGGGTCTAGTTATTCCCCTACTTCAATTGAAGGCTGTGATTCTGGTTTCTGGAGTTGGAAAACTTTGATTTTTTTTTTTTTTAGATAATACAGTCATTTTTCAAACGAATATTTCTTAAACTTTTCCTCAAGGACTTTCTTCTTCACCTCAGCAAACAGAGAATGCATTTGAACTTTGTAATTTCCTGACAACATTACATTTATTAAATATGTTCTAAATTTATTTTTCAGCTTTATTGGAGGTATAATTGAAAATAAGTAGAATTATATTTAAGGTGTACAAATTGATTTTTATATGTATACATAGTAATAAATCACCACAATGAAGCTAATTAACATATTTTTCACCTTATATAGTTAGCATTTTCTTTATTTCTCTTCTCTGCTTTTTTTTCCTACCTTCCTTCCTTCCTTCCTTTCCTTTCCCTTCCTTTTTTTTTTGAAATGAGAACACATAAAATCTCTCCTCTTGTCAAATTTCAAGTATACAATACATACTGAAACTATGGTAATCATTCTGTACATTAGCTCTTCAGAATTTATTCATTTTGTATATGTGACATTTTGTGCCCTTTGACCAACATAATCTCATTTCCCCTTCCCCAACCCACCCCTGGAAATCACTATTCCACTCTATTTTCACAAGTTTAATTATTTTAATTTTCATGTATAAGTGAGGTTATGCAGTATTTGTCTTTCTGCATCTGGCTTAATTCACTCGGCATTATGTCATCCAGTTTCATCCATGTCAATGGCATTTGGGAATGACAGGATTTCCTTCTGTGCTCACCATGCATACCAATTGCTCCCTCTGTCTCACTCCTTCTTCATATTTATTCTTTTTCTCCTATCCTCCTATCTTTGATCTTTTCATTTTACTATGGTCTATCATCTTATCAATTTTACTTCTCAAATACAGCCTAATAATAACAATAATAAAAATAAACACAATTATAATAATACTACCCTTTTTGAAAAGCTAGGTACGAGGTACTTCATAAAGCACTTTATATTATCACATATGGAGCTCAGAGAGAAGTTAGCCATCCATGACTACACAGCTAATAACATAATAGGATAAAAGTGCAGGTATGCCTTTCCTATTCCAAAAGTCCAAACATCTTTCTTTAACTATACATTTACACCTCCATAACTTAGAACCATATAATCCACACCTATAATAACCTCTCGCCATTACCAAGAGCTTTCTTATCTCCCTATCCTTCCTCATTCCTTACAATGATTGCAGGGAAATAATTATGGAAAGCTCAGTTCTTATATATATGACTTTATATATGTTTTATACTTTGACTTTCAATTTAATATGCTCTTGAAATAATAGACATAAACAAATGTTTAACCAGCTATTTTTGACTAAGAGTTTTATTTCATTTTATTGTAATAATTGACTTATTTTTCTCACTCTGCCTCTAAAACAGGAGTTCTGAGGACAAAAAAAAATCATTATTATTTTTATTACCAGCACCAAATACACACAGGACACTCGTGACTATTGTTCACTATTAGTTAATGAATAGACACATATCATATATTAATGAATGATTACTGATCATGTTATTAAGTCTGAAATTCTGGCATTGTGATTAGTATTTTTCTTATACTAGCTGAGTGAACCTGGAAAATTCTTCTTATTTATCTGATTCTCAGTTTCCCTCTCTGTAAATTAAAAATAATATCAGCCTATTGCTATTCTTAAGATTAATGATATTTAAAAGATATTCATAAGATGAAATCAAGTCATGATTATGAACACACTATATGAACAATAAATATTTCTAAGATGATCAGCAGCTAATTTTAGATGAATTTGTCTCTATCATCATATAGAGGCAAAAGCATATGGATGAATGTAAGACAGCAAATGTTTAACAAGTAGTTATTGAACATTAAATAGTGTTTCGACATTTTCTTTAATTTTTGATATGGGGTCTCACTCTGTCGCCCAGGCTGGAGTGCAGTGGCGTGACCTCAGCTCACTGCAACCTCCACCTCCCGGATTCAAGCAATTCTCCTGCCTCAGCCTCCCGAGTAGCAGGGCCTACAGGCACCGGCCACCACTCCTGGCTAATTTTTTGTATTTTTAGTAGAGAGGGGGTTTCACCATGTTGGCCAGGCTGGTCTCCAACTCCCGACTTTAGGTAATCTGCCTGCCTTGGCCTCCCAAAATGCTGGGATTACAAACGTGAGCCACTGTGCCTGGCATGTTTGGCAATTTTCTAAGTGATGGGGACATAGCTGTGATACGACATTTCCAGCTCACAAGGAGTAGACCATCTACACAAAGTAGATCCTTGTGTTCTTTTCACAAAAGCCTGCAAAATTCCATTCAACTTCTATATGAATCTGTGTCATATCAAAAAAATGACAAAAAGAAAACTTAAAAGAGATAACATACTTTTACTATGAGTAGGTAAGCATACTGACATTCTTCCTCAAGTAATTCTGATTTTATTATTTTAAGCCAGCACTGGCTTAAGAGTTTTGCAATCCTCTTTAAGTCCCGTAAATTTTTTTTTCCTTTTCCCATGAGTTTTTATGAGTACAGCCTACTCTGAGAATGTGGTGGGACTTTTCATTAATAAAAGGAATAGATTTATGTTGTTTGGGGGGGAGTTCAGTAAATGCCTGCTTCTCTCTCTCAATCTCTCTGTGTGTATGTGTGTGTGTGTCCTTTTCTCTCTCTCTCTCTTTAAAGCACATTTACAGTACGAAGCCTGGACATTCTTTCCTCCATACCATCGGGGCGGAATGGAAATTGATGAAATGTAACATTTGCATCAAGAAAACTTTGCAAAACAGTTTTGCTTCTCTTTTCTTCTAAAGTGCAATGCTGATTTTAAAACAGTTCCACATATATTTAGAAAGTAAAAAAGACAGTTTGCCTAAAAATTATTTGAGGACAGAGATGGGCAGTTTTGTAAAGTGAAAGGTGTGTGTGGAGAGGATAACAACTATTTTCTCAAAAACTTGGTCAAGTAAACTATTTATATTTCCAAACTCCGTCTTCAAAATAATCCTAGGAAGTGGGATGTATTATTATTCCTAGTTTTAATTACCAGATGAGTAAATGGAGGCTCAGCTGGATAAAATTAATTATCCAAAGTTAAACTGTTAATAAGCACTTTAGTCAGATTTGAAACTGAGAACTAAGTTTAGTTATTTTTTAACTTAGAGATAAAACCCTGAGATTATCATTGTGATAAGACCCTGTTGTTTCCCAACCTAAAAAATCTACCTGAATAAAGTTTGTGAGGAGGCCTGGTGCGGTGTCTCAGGCCTTTAAATCCCGCACTTTGGGAAGCCACGGCCAAGGCAAGCAGGCTGCTTGAGCTCTGAAATTCGAGATCAGCCTAGGAAACATGGTGATTGCAAGGACAAAAAAACAAACACCGCATGTTCCCACTCATAGGTGGGAATTGAACAATGAGAACACATGGACACAGGAAGCGGAACATCACACACTGGGGCCTGTTGTGGGGAGGGGGGAGAGGGGAGGGATAGCATTAGGAGATATACCTAATGTAAATGACGAGTTAATGGGTGCAGCACACCAACATGGCACATGTATACATATGTGACAAACCTGCACATTGTGCACATGTACCCTAAAACTTAAAGTATAATAATAATAACATTAAAAAAAAAAGAAATACAAAAATTATCTGGGCCTGGTGGCACATGCCTGTAGTCCCAGCTGCTTGGGATGCTGAGGTGGAAGGATAGCTTGAGCCCAGGAAGCAGAGGCTGCAGTGAGCTGAGACTGTGCCTCTGGGTGACAGAGTGATACCGTGTATTTTTTTTTTTAAAGATGTATGTGGAAAGGAGTGTTTTGCAGTGTTCACAAGAAACTGTATGTAAAGAGAAAAAGAAGAGAAATTATAAAAAATAAGAAAAGGAGACTACAAGGCATACCAGAATGAATTCACATGTATTTTTCTTTTTGCAGACTTAAGCAAGACTGAGGCAGTTAAGAACAAGAGTTTTGAAGACAATGTTCTATTAAGAGGAAGAGAAAGCAGATACCGCATCACTCTATTTGTAATTCTTCTATGAGAATAATGAGCATCATAAAATGCTTGAAATAGCAAAACCTTAAGGAAAAATATAATATAGATACAGAAAATAGCTAAAGTGAAGACAGAATCATAAAGCTTTCACAAGTAAGAATCTCAGGCTTTTCAATTAATGACAGAGAGAATTTAGGAATTCAGTGACATTTGAATTTGATGGCTAGGTCCATAAGAGAATCTTTGTTGCTAGTGTTCTCATGGGATGAGCTCTTCAATGGAAAGAACCAAGTCAGAGATTAATAGGACCTGCTCAGTGAGTCATTAAAATTCACTGACTTCATAAAAAAAAATAGATTTACCTGTCTCCACAAATGCAATGTGATATTGCTGCAAGCATAGGGCTTTAAAGTCAAACAGACTCCAGTTCAACTACACGCAGTATTGGTATGTGACCTTAGCAGGTTAGTGTCTTTTTCTGAATCTCAAACCTTTTGTCTTCTAACAACAAGGAATTAACCAAGATAAAATGTTAAGAGTCAAACACAGAAGCTGTTATAAATTAAACTTCAATGCACTAATTTTGCTTATGCATTCATTTGTGCCACTGTGTGATAAGCTCAAGAGACATTTTCTACTCTAAGGATGATAAAATTTAGAGGGAGAACAAAGCACCAGTATCAGATTAGTAGCTACCTTAGCATGGGAGCAGGCTCACGGAAGCTTCTCATGACATATGTGTTAACCCATGGGAGTTTTAAGGGGAAGAGCTCCAGGGAAGGGGTAAAGTTGCCCAGGGAGGATCAACATGTAGAAGGCTATTTTCAACTGGTAATGACATTTTTTAACATTTAGGAGCAAGCATGATAATCTTATATGTTCTCACTGAACATTAAATCTGGATTTATGTGAAATGACTGGTAAATCAAGTCATGACTTAATTGCTTTGACTTACATTGTAGCAATTCAACATCCCCACTCCCACTGTGAGTGTATGTGTGTGAGAGTGTGTGCATATGTCCATTCTGGAGCATGTACTTATGGGTGTTTCTCACAGGACTTACTTTGCAGCTGTCCACAGATAGGTCAAATGTTCAAACAGTGTATGTTACCTGACAAAATTAAATGCACAAGAATTTAGTGACTTTGACATTTAGGATTTGAATTTAGGATTTTGACATTTTCCAAGCACTTTTGCAGTATTTGATCTACAGAACAACATTAAAAAGTAAGCAGTGTAGGAAGCTAATAACTTACTAATTATCTTCAGGTTATTTTCCTCAGGTGCAAATATTACCACTGAGCAAAAAGGAGCAGGTATGACAATTGCCTCTTCTTTAAATATTAGAAAAGTCAGAAGTAGAAAGATATAATACCTTGACAAAACTTAAAATGAGTCTCAATACCCCTGTACTGCAAAAAAAAAGTTTATTTGAACATAACATTTTAAAATAAAAGATCTTTCATTTGTTGAGTTAAAAATTCTTATTGCAATTTTTATGGCAAAAATCTGTAAAATATTATTCCCTAACAGTGGGAAAGTACACAAATAATGGAATGAAATTCTCATCTTAAAAAATTTATTTCAGTTGACTGTTTTCTGTGGAATTACAGATAATTAGATTTTGGCTTTAGACTCACTGACTAAAATATATCTATTTAATTAAGCTTAAACTGGAATCCACAAAGTACGTCTGGCATTAGAGAAAACAATGGCAAGCCTTCCAAATGAGAAATAGAGAAGAATAGAAATAGAAATAATGCTTATGTTAGCATGATGTACAGATCCAAAATGCTTAAACAACTTTTAAGAATTACTACCTATTTTGAATGTACAGTTGGCCTTCCTTATCTGCAGGTTCTATACCCATGGATCCAACTAGAAGAGGATTAAAAAAATGCATTTTAAAAAATTGCATCTGTACTGAACACGTATAGACTTTTTTTCTTATTATTATTCCCTAAACAATGCAGTATAACAAATATTTACACTGTATTAGGTATTATGTAATCTAGGGATGATTTAAAGTATACAAGATCATATACATAGATATATGCAAATACTATAGGATTTTATATCAGGGATTTGAGCATCCTCTGATATTGGTTTCTGTGGAAGGTACTGGAACCAATCACACATAAATACTGAGGGATAACTGTACTAACTATAATTTTTATACTACTACTTTTTCCTATAATGTGGTCTAAAAAGCTCTAGCATTCTTTTCATGAGATTAAATGTCAGGAAGCCCAAATAACTGAGTTATTTAAAAAAAATGTGCCAGTGTCTTTCAAGTATATGGCACTGGGATAGGTATTTTAAGGATAAGAAAATTCTGGTCTCCTTTCTAAAGGATTTGGGAGTCTAGTACAGCAGATGCTACAAATGTATGTAAAAGAAATCTGATTTAAAATGCTAAGTTGGCCTCTGGCAGGGTGACATACACCCATAATCCCAGTATTTTGGGAGGCTGAGGCAGGAGGATTGCGTGAAGCCAGGAGTTTGAGACCAGCTTGGACAACATAGCAAGATACTGTCTCTACAAGAAATAAAGAAAAATAATTAGCCAGGCATGGCGGTGCACATCTGTAGTCTCAGCTACTCAGGAAGCTGAAGCAGGGGGATAGCCTGAGCCCAGGAGTTTGAGGTTACAGTGAGCTACGATCATGCCATTGCACTGCAACTTGGGTAAAAAAGCAAGACCTATCTCAAATAAATAAATAAATAAATAAATAAATAAATAAATAAATAATGCTAAGTGGTTAGAATTACAAAAATAAATACATAAGAATTTTTCAGTAATATAGTGAAAACTTCTAGCTGAAGCATGATGGCAAGTTTCACAGAGAAATTTTCATTTTATAAATGAAAAATTGCATAAATAACCCAAGGATGCTCAATAATCAGTGGTATAAAATTAGGCGTATTCCGTTTCCAAAACATTGGCATAGAGGTCCTTGTCCCTGTTTCTCCCAGTAAATACAACTAAAAGCCCTGGCCATTATATATAAAACAAACACAAAACTCTGAAAGGTGAAGGGAGGAAAGCAGACCGACTGATGAATCTAGAACTCAAGGAAGTAAATGCTGCGTAATTGTTTAAGCTTTCTTTTTGTCTCATGTATCTCAGACTTGGAATTGAAGAAGATACAACTTAGAAACTTGTAATATATAGACAAGTAGAAGCTCCAACAGAAGCATGTTGTCTCTTATCAAAGGATTAGAAACAAGAGGAAAGCCTAGCAATGCCAAAAACATAGGCAACCACCTCTCTACTCTAGTCAAGCACAGCAAATAAAAAATGGTGGCTCCACTCCAACTCATGCCAACAAAGGCCCAGTAGGCAGTCTGACCTCCACTCTCATGAGGCACCCTAGACTGGAAATATGGTAATATAAGAGAAGGCTAAGTAGGGAGTTGGGACTTTCACCCCTATGGGAGCTGATAACCTCTCCTCAAGGTGTTAGTGAAGACCTTCTGGGGAGCCTGGACTTACATCATATCCAGCAGTAATGAAACATTTTTCCTATTCTTGGCTGTGTTGCTTCCACATGTGGCCTAGTGGAGATTCGGGACTTTCATCACTGCCCAGAGGTTAAAAGGCTACATTCCCCCATCCCCTGAGTGGTATCAGTGTAGGCCACATTGATAGTGAAAACCCTCACACATGCCCAGCAATAATGAGGAGTTCCCTTTTTTCCACAGGGTGTCAGTGGAGGTCTGCTGGGAAACTGGTACCTCTTCCACTATCTGGCAGTAGTAATAAGGCATTTTCTCTTACCCTGCCAGAGTAGTATCAGAGGAAGGCAGTTAAAACAGATGGTTTAAATAAGACAAGAGTTTCATAACATAATACCCCAAATATCCAGGATCCAGGTGTTTTATTTAATTTATTTATTTATTTATTATTGTTATTATTATTACTATTTTTGGAGGCAGAGTCTTACTCTGTCACCTAGGCTGGAGTGTAGTGGTGCAATCTCTGCTCACTGCACTGCAACCTCCACCTCCGAGGTTCAAGAGATTACCCTGCCTCAGCCTCCCAAGTAGCTGGGACTACAGGTGCCCTCCACTATGCCCAGCTAATTTTTTGTATTTTAATAGAGATGAGGTTTCACTGTGTTGCCCAGGCTGGTCTCAAACTCCTGAGCTCAGGCAATCTGCCCACCTTGGCTTCCCAAAGTGCTAGGATTACAGGCGTGAGCCACGGCCCCCGGCCCAACTATCCAAGTTTTAATACCAAATCACTATCGTACTAAGAATCACTGAAATCTCAACTGAATCAAAAAGAGAATTAATGCCAACATGAAGATAACAGATGTTAGAAATATCTCACAAAGATTTTAAAGAAGTCATCACTAAAATGCTTCAATGAATAACGATGAACACACTCTAAACAAATGAAAAGAGAGGAGGTAGCCACAAATCAGGTGAAAAATAAGGCAAAATTGGATTTTTTTAACTAAAAATACAGAAAAAACAAAGTTAAAAACTCAACAAATAGGCTCATGCAGAATAGAAAGTACAGAGGGAAAAAAAAAATCAGTGAACATGAAGATTGATAGAAATTATCCAATCTAAACAACATAAAGAAAATAGAATGAAAAAATAGCATAGCCTCACCATGAACATCAGGAACACCTGAGCATATGATGAAACATCTACTACCTCTGTTTTAACAAGCGATAGAATTAGTACACAGAAAATTTACAAGAATATAAAATAGTTCATGCCGTCAACCAACAGGAACTAATCAATGTTTATACGACATTTTACCTAACAAAAGCCGAATACATTCTTTTCAAGTGCCTATGGAGTATATACCAAGATTTACCATGCTGTGTGCCATAAAACAAACCTCAACCAAAGATTGCAGTTCTCTCCAACTTGATATACAGATTTAACAAAATTCCTATCAAAATCTTAGGAACATTTTTATAGAGGTAGACCTGCATATGGAAAGGCAGGAGATGTAAACCAGAACAAATGATATTGAAAAGAAGAATAAGGTCAGAGGTATCAGTCTACCAGATTTCCAGACTTAATATACAGCTACGTAATAAATAATGTGTGGTATTAGTGGAAGTACAGACACATCGATCTGTGCAACACCACTGACAACTCAGAAACAGACAAAAACAAATATGTCCAACTGCATTTTGACAAAGGTGAAAATTAATTTCTATGGTGGAAAGGTAGTCTTTTCAAGAAATGGTGTTGAGGGAATTGAACATCCATGGTCAAAACATTAACATACACACACACACACACACACACACACATGCGCACGCCAAATACCACACACACACAATACCACCAAACAACAAAAAAACATTAAAAATTGTCGACTTAAAGCCCATACTTTACTCAAAAATTAACTCACAATGGGTCACAGCGTTAAGTGTAACATGTAAAACAATACAGTTTCTGGGATAAACAAACGAAAACATAGGGGAAAAGGTGGGGTGAAATCTTCTGGATCTATGGCTACGCAGAGAATTGGCATCAAAACTATTATCCATAAAAGAAAAAAAATGGTAAGTTCTCTTTCATAAATATTGAAAATTTTGCCTCTGCGAAAGACCCTGTTAAAGGAGTGAAGTGGGGTGAAAATTATATACTGGTATATAAGGGTGAAACTATATACTGGTATAAAATATTTGCCAACCACATATGCCACAAAGGACTTGTACCAAGAGTATATAAAGAGCTCTCAAAACACCACAATAAAAGAAAAAAAAAAGGCAACCAAACTAGGAAATGCACAGAAGAAAGACCCAAAAAGACACTTCACTTGTGAAGATATACAGATGGCAGTTAAGCACATGACAAAATGTTCATCATTATCCATCAGGGAAATGCAAATTCAAAGCATAATGAGGTATCACTATACATCAGAATGACTGAAATATTATATATATAATATATATATATGAGACATATATAAAACCAAAATGGCAAAGATGTGCAGAAGCTGGGTCACAAATACATTGTTGATGGAAAGGTAAAATATTACAACTGCTCTGGAAACTGTTTGAAAATTCTGCTGAAACTAAACATGCTACTACTGTACAACCAACAATTACATATTCCTGGGCATCTATCCCAAATAAGTGAAAACTTATGTTCACATAGAAACTTGTTCAGAAATATTCATAGCATTTGTATTGGTAATAACTCCAAAACTGGGTAAGAAAACATATATCTTTCAACAGATGAATGGTTAAACAAACTGGTACATCCAAATTCTCAGCAATAAAAAGAAAAAGCTATGATTCAAGCAACAATTTGGATGAGTCTCCAGAGAATTACACTGGATAAAATAAAAGGTCAAATTCAAAAGCTTACATACTATATTATTGTATTTATAAAGCATTATTTAAAAGACCAAAATGTAGGCATGGAGAAGAGATTAGAGGTTGCCAGGGATCAAGAACTGGCATTCATAGGTAAGGTAAGTGGTATGGCTATAAAAAAGCAAAAAGGATCACTGTGATGATGAAACTGTTCTGTATCTCGATGGTCTCAGTGTTAACATCCTTGTGATACTATAGTTTTATGAAATGTCATTATTAGAGAAACTGGGTGAAGGTACATGGAATTTCTCTGTATTACTTCTGCATATATGTATATTTACAATTACCTCAAAATTAAAAATAAGATTTAATTGAATAACTAAATCCATAAAATATGTTTTAAAATTAATAACAAAATTACCTGTGATTTCAAAATTGAAATTTCAACCTTTTTTCTTAATGACAGGCAGTAAACTTTAATTCTTGAACCTGGAAGAGGTTTAACATATAAATCTCTAGTTAGATTATATTCCATTAACACTGTTCTGGATGCTTGTGATAGAAATATGCATGAGGCAGATAAAGTCTATGAGGTTGAGATAGAAATTATAAAGAAGTAATCAAATTAACAAGGTGATTTTAAATAATAATGTGTACAAAGGTAAAGAAAGCAAAAGATAGTAATGGACAGGAACAGGAAGATAATCTACTTTAAGGTGGGTCAGGTAATGGCTTCCTGAAAACACAGAAGATTGAGCTATGTGTCCCTTCTCGAGGAAAAGTTTTCCCAAGAGAGGGAAAATGCAGTACAAAGATCTAAATCAGGAATAATTTTTACGCATTTGAACATAGAAAGGTCACTGTGGCTATAATAGAGAGAACACAGAAGAAATTGGTAAAAAGCAACATCTGAGTGATAAGCCGTACTGAATATGCAGAGCCCTATTTTCCAGACGTAGAAATGTACATTTTACTACTAGTGATAATAAAAGGCTTTTCAAATTCTTTTTTAGGGGGTTAAATGAAATGATATAAATTGAATATTTCAAAATGTGTGAAGATTATACGTGGCTCAAGAGTGAAAGTAGGAGCATCAGTTAAAGTAACACAAGTTCAGAAAAAGATGGTTATAGTTTGAATCATAGTAGGAGAGAGAGCAGAGATACAAAGAAGTTGATTAACAATATGTTTTCTAGAATAGAGAAGACTTACCAAAAATGGAATGGACTGGATGGTAGGAAGAACGAGGATTCAAATATAATTCCTTCATTTTTGTTTTTAGACAGCTGTATATTAGCTATTTTTAAAGAAAGAGGTTTTAAAGGTAGAATCCATTCAAAAATCTACTCACCAAGCATCTATTATGATTTATTAAGTCAATCATACGACAAGTGCTATGGTACTGGACAATGAATGAGTTTAGAGTAGCAAGAGAAACAAGCTCATAAACACAGCTGATGGAAACCTACCACAAATGTAAATAGAACACACACCAAAGAGTTGGCGGTTAACTGTGCCTAGTAGATTAGGATCACCTCTAAATTCACTGATAAAATGTTTTCATGGGATATTTAAGATGCACAGATATTTCGCATATGCAGAGAGGGCATTTTTGAAAGATTTAATATACAGCTAGTTATTCTGGCAGAATAAGAAATATTTTCTGATAGTCCAGTGACTGAGCATTATCCTCTTTTAATGTCTCTTTCATTCCTTCCTTTTTAAAAAATAATAACTTCATGTTATCTCTCAAAATTTTAAGTCACTAGTACTTATTGTTCATCATCACATTTTCTATATTTGAATTTTTTTTCAAGGAAATGTAGATTCAGCTAATTCTAATCTATTGTTGCTTCCTCCCACATACTTTTCCAATTCAACATGCCCAGGTCTTATTTCTTCCAGAAGAATCTGAACTGGGACTTATTAATTACAAAATTTTCCTACATTCCAAGCTGAAATTAAAAAAAAGTTAAATGTAGTGACTTTTAAAATTTAACTACATATGCTCATTATTTTGTTTTACCCTATGTCATTTTTTATTTTATGGTTTTAAACTTACCTATGATAGTTTTAAATAGATTAGGAAAAGAAAGAGAGAAAGAAGTGTGTTTGTGCATGAGAGTGTGTGTGTGCACCCATGCACATCCACACACACACCTGCATTCACAAGTACAATCTGTTTATGTTTTAACATCATTTCCTGGTCAAATATAAAAGCATCACCTCTATGTCAGATAGAATTCACCCCTTTACCAAGTATCTGAAATTTCATTTGTTCTTAGAGTCTGTAGAACAGGAAAACACTACCAGCAATGCAAGTAGATTCACTATCCAGTAGCTGTTTTTTGGTTTTAGGAAGTTAGAGAGGGAGAAATAGCTACTGAAGAAGATCTTCTCTCTAAATGTTTATTGTGAAATTCTACATAAGAGTTGGCATGGACATTTGTTTCCTGTGGATTCTTCACAAAGATGCTGTAACTGCTTGTTTGCTAAACATTTGTTAGTACCACTAGGGTTCCCTAAGAGCAGGAAGCAAAGAGCAAGTGAAAGAACTTCAAAAGTGGGTAGATGTCTATTGGAGAAAGGAAAAGATGCACCTCCCTAAAGAAAATTAAAGAAATATGTCCAATGGACACTTTATCTATCTTTACAAGAATATGACTTAAAATGTCTCTTATAATCTGTCTGCACAGAGAAAATTAAACACAACTAATCATGTAAAGAAAATGGATTAGATTATGAACAATGTTATTATCCACTTTATACCCAGCAGAAAACATAAGAATCAAATGTTCATCTATTTATATTCTGCTAATCATCTATTATCTTTAAAAGTAGGGTGAGGCTAGCCCTATTCACAAAATTGTAAGAGTGTGTGAGCAAAGTTGAGATCTAAATCCAAACCATACTTCAGAAAGAAAAAACTGGTACTTGATAGCTTACTTTCAATATAAACATAATTTTAATAGAAACTAAAGGTAAATCACATTTAATGGGAGCATATCATGGCAAAATGAGTCTTCATTCCAAAGAGTATCAATTTGTAAAGTCATGATTTGGCCTAATTTTTCAAATAAAGAAATCTTTAGTCAACTCTAGAATTTTGTTTTATTCCTCTACCACAAATATTTAAAATGCAACGTTTTCAAAACTAAAATTAACTTCCATCAAACCTGTTCCTCCACTGCATTTTCTATCTCTGATAGTGACCCCATCACTAATTTGTCCAAGTGTAAAACTATGTAATCCACATTAATTCCTCTTTCTTTCCCTTTAACCCTGTGCCATCCAAATGATCATTACATCTGTCAATTCTATGCTAAATTTAATTGGGTTTTAATATATTTTTCTAGCTTCATAACTACTCACTATTTCAACTCCCTTCCTTCCTTAGAATTTCATAATTTTCTCCTAATTGGTCTCTCTTGCTCACATTTTTTCAGTACATGATCTTTTAAAAACATAAATCCTAAAATGCTTCTTCCTGAAGTCATCAATGACATGTTTTTCAAAGTTTAAACTTCTTGGCATAACACATATTGTCTGACTCAAGACTACATTTATATTATCTCCTGTGATTATTTTAATATTCCAACCAGTTCCTAGATATGTCATGCTCCTGTGAGAGTCAGTTTATATAAATTACGGTTATGTCTCTTTGTATCCCTTTTCTTATTTGTATAATGGTGATAAATGAGGTAGTTATATCTTGGCTTGGTGTGAGGAGTGAAAGAGTTAATATCTGGCACTTAATAATATGCAGGACATGTGTTGAAGGAGGGCTCAATAAACGCCAGGGATGATGATGATGATGACGATGAATGATTATGATGAAGAAAACCATCTCCATAGTCTCGTAAGTTCCATTTTTACTTTCCAGTAACTGCCTCCCTTTCCACCCTAGTTCCATAATTGCCAAACTCTGACTCAATGTATCTTTTCACACAATCTAACAAGCCCTGTCTGAGATCACCTATATCTATTAGAGTGTATATCACATTGCAACATGAATATTTATGCTTTTATTAGTGTGCAAAATATATCTTATATAGCTGTATGTATGTATATATAATGGGGTAAATGGTACTTATCTCAGTTAATTTTATGAAGATCAAATGAATTAGATATATACATTCTTTTGAATAATGGACTGTAGAAGCATTTTTGTTATTATTTTGCTCCCTTAAGCTTTGAGTTGCTTGAGGGCAAATATAGGCACCATTACAGTCTTAGTAGCTAGCACAACCTCGGCACAAAGTAAAAGTTGACTATTTTTGAATGAATAATATAAACATTTTAACTTCACAAGATTTATAAATGTAATATAAATAAAAGTCACTTATATGTTACTTCGGATAGCCAAAACAAAACAAAACAAAACAAAAAATAAAAATAAAAAAAAACAAAGCTATGTCATGTAAGGTACATTATAACAATTTAAGACCTAAAACATATCATGTAGGTATAACTCTGGTTTAATCATATTAAAAAGGAGTCTTAAATCCCTAAAATATCATTAAAAGTTATTCTTCCTAGCCCATGCTGGAGTGCAATGGTGCAACTTTGACTCACTGCAACCTTCGCCTCCTGGGTTCAAATGATTCTTGTGCCTCAGTCTCTTGAGTAGCTGGGACTACAGGCACGTGCCCCCACGCCCAGCTCATTTTGTGTTTTCAGTAGAAACAGGGTTTCACCATGTTGGCCGGGCTGGTCTGGAACTCCTGGCCTCAAGTGTACTGCCTGCCTCACCCTCCCAAAGTGCTGGGATTATAGACCTGAGCCACCGTGGCATGCCCGTGAATTCTTGAAAATTATGAAAATAGAAAAGTTTACTCTTTAAGTAGAACCACTCATAGAACATAATTAGAACCACTGGATTCTGTGAGATGTTATTTTCTTGAATATTCTCTTTGAGCCACCATAAACAAGGGCCAAAATGCATGGTTGGATGGCTTCACTCACTTGTTCATTCAATCATTCATCAAATGTTTACTTATTCAGCAATGTTTTCTAATCACAGTTCCTTAACGGAAAATGTCTTTGTTAAACCTGACATTTGGGCCCTCTCAAAAGGCAGTTTCTGCTGCCTACCGTTTTTTTCTGCATAAGTTACCCTTTTCTGTTTCTTTGCATGTGTCATAATGTTTTCTTCAGTCCTAGATGTTTAAAATAATTTACTATAGCAACTTTGGATACTGATTTTCCCCCACAACCTCCAGAACTGATGAATGTCACTATTTGTGTCTCTATTCATTTAGCAACTTTGCTGGACTATTCTAGCAAAGTCTATTTTTCCCCATCACGTTCCTCTTCGAACGCCATTCTTCAGTCAGTGCAGACTTGGGTATTTACACAGTTACGTTGGAATGGCAAGTGAGTTTATTTGAGTGATTGTTTCTTTGACTGTCTCTTTCTTGATCTTTCTGTTAAATTGTCTGCCTCAGTTGTTGTTACTCCCAGGTTAGCCTTGGCTAATTGCCAGCTGATTGCATCATATATTTTTAGTTCCCTGGGGCATAAATTGCTCTACAGTCTGATCCAATAAAATCTGGGCCCCTTTAAAGGGATAATCTTTAATGCCAGTCTTTTTGGTTTGCTGTGACCTCCAGCAGGCTCTTTGCCATGCATTTTCCTTAGTTCTCTGATGAATTTCTAGCTGGTTTGCAATTTAACTTGCTGCTCAAATTATGCTACCATCTCTTTTTTTTTTTTTTTTTTTTTTTTTTTTTGAGCTGGAGTCTTGCTCTATCATCCAGGCTGGAGTGCAGTGGTGTGATCTCAGCTCATTGTAACCTCCGCCCCCAGGGTTAAAGTGATTCTTGTGCCTCAGCCTTCCGAGTAGCTGGGATTACAGGCACATGCCACCACATCCCACTAATTGTTTGTATTTTTAGTAGAGACAGGGTTTTTTCACTATGTTGGCCAGGCTGGTCTTGAACTCCTGACCTCAGGTGATCCATCTGCCTCAGCCTCCCAAACTGCTGGGATTACAGAAGTGAGCCACCGCCCCAGCCTTTTATTAATTGCCACAATTTATGTTTCCTAGAGCACTCAGTTGTAGCCTTCCTCCTACACTATTTCAAATGAAAGCAGCTGCTTCTTCTACAACTGTGGAGAGTTTCAGAGTTCTTTGCTTTCACAATCTGTCAACTTGGCAAACACACTACACCACTGCTACAGAGCTAGGATTGGGGTTCATCTCTCAAAATGACTCCTTCTTTAGAAGTAGGCAGTAGGCTGGTAAGGTAGCACTATTTTTTTTAAAGCTTGCTTGTATCATACAATTCTGCCTTATGCATTAAGTGAGGCTATGGTGGTCAGTGCCTCGGTAGTCTACTAAGCCTATCACAAATGGGATAGTTTCCAACCTACAAGTCCAGGCTGGGTAGAATGTTAGGGAGCCCTCCTAGATGATGTTATCTGGATGTTACGTTACCATTTCAGAAGTCATCTCCACTTTGTATTTTTAATAATCTCCTCTATCACCTGTGAAAGGCCTCCATCTATGGCAGCAAATACCACTAGATATCTAAACCCAAAGTATTTGGTTGGAGAACTCCTGTATATATATATTTGAAAAATGAAAATCTGAAAGAAGTTTGACCACTTGCCCTCCTCAAAATTTTTGCTATTTTATAATGTAATTATTTGGAAGATAATTGTATCATACTGAAATACTTTTTTAAAAAATTTAAGTCTATAGTTTGTATTAGTTTTATCATTATAATATTTGTTGAACAAGGTTCACAAAAGTATACAAAAAATCAATTTGTGTGTGTGTGCATATGTATAAACTGAACATTCTCAATTCAGGTTATTTCCCCTTGACTAAACTTACAATCACAACTCTTCCTTGGAGAAGCAGTTCATGCCCTAACTCTAAAAATCTTAACTTTTTCTTCTTACTTCTCTTATGTCTTTCAAAATGTATTCACAGGATTGTCTACATTTAAAGAGAGTTTGTTATTGTTTTAGTTCCTGTCATATCTTTACCAGAAGAAATAAAAGTCTACCCAAAATAATTTTCTAAACCATTACAATTCATGGTTCGTTAAATTATTACTTTAAACATAACAGAAATCAAAAGTTTTATTAAAACCACTATTTCTATGCCATATAATTGTATAGTGTCTGATGACCTTCTGTGTCTGCCTTGTAGAATTATACTCACTCTGTGTTAAATTGGTAGTCAATGCTGTGAATTCTCTAAGTGGGTGTTGCAGTTGGGTTGGAAGGTGAATACAGGACAGAGATTATTAAACTTTTTCTTTGCTGGCTGTACCCTTAATACCTCTATTAAATAAAATAGATGCCGGGCGCAGTGGCTCACGCCTGTAATCCCAGCACTTTAGGAGGCCGAGGTGGGCGGATCATGAGGTCAGGAGATCGAGACCTTCCTGCATAACACGGTGAAACCCCGTCTCTACTAAAAATACAAAAAAATTAGCTGGGCGTGGTGGCGGACATCTGTAGTCCCAGCTACTCGGGAGGCTGAGGCAGGAGAATGGCATAAACCCAGGAGGCGGAGCTTGCAGTGAGCCTAGATCGCGCCACTGCACTCCAGCCTGGGTGACAGAGCGAGACTCCGTCTCAAAAATAAAAACTAAAATAAAAAATGAAAAAAAAAAATAAAATAGAGATAGATGTACCAACAGATGTACTACAATGAATTAGGTAGATATATTTTAACTAAAAGAGAAATTTGAAAAAACAGAATCAACGCTATGAAAAAGTCCATACTACCCCAACAGATCCAATGCGATCCTTATCAGGCTCCAACAGTATTTTTCACACACGCACAAAAATCCTAAACTTTGTATGGAATCACAACATACCTGACCCCTTAAAGCAATTTTTAACAAGAATAACAGTCGAAGGCACTATACTTTCTGATTTCAAGTTATATTTAAATGTGATAGAAATCAAAACAGTATCACACTGACATAAAAGCAGACAATGGAATATAAAAAAAAGTCCAGAGTAAAGCCATGCATATATGTTTAATTTTTGACAAAGGTGCCAGGACTACATAATGGATAAAAGATAGTCTCTTCGATAAATGGTGCTGGAAAAACTATATCCACAAGCAAAAAAAAAAAAAAAAAAAAAAAAAAAAAGACATAATATCCCCATCTTATACCACACACAAAATCATCTGAAAATGGATTAAAGGTTCAAACATAAGACATGGAGCTATAAAATAATTAGAAGAAAACATAGGAGAAAAGCTACTTAACATTGTTTTTGACAATTTTTTTTTTTGGATTTGACATCAAAAGCCTAGGCGAGAAAATAAAAAATAAATGATTGGAAGTACATGAAACTAAAATGTTTCTGTACAGTAAAGGAAACATTCAACAAAATAAAATGGAAGCCTATAGAATACAAAAAAATAATTTAACTGATAAGAGATTAACATCCAAAATATATAAGGAAGTCGTACAATTCAGCAGCAAAACAACTATAAAACCAAGTAAAGAATGATTAAAGGACCTGAACTCAAATTTTTCGTAGGAAAACATACAAATGGCCAATAGATATATAAAAATCTACTCAATATCAGTCATCATTAGGGAAAAGGAAAACAAAACGTCAATGAGATATTACCTCACATCCCTTAGGTTATTAATAAAAAGTCAAAATATAATGAGTTTTGGCAAGTAGGTGGAGAAAAAAGAACCTTTACATTGTTGATGGAAGTGTAAACTGGTATAATCAATACGAAAAACAGTATGAAGTTTCCTCAAAAATTTAAAATACAACTATTATATGATGTGGCATCTCTACTTCTGGGCATACATACAAAGGAAATAAAATCACTAACTCAGAGAAATATCAGAGATATCCTCACCCCCATGTTCACTGCAGCACTATTCTAATAGCCAAGATATGAAAACACCTAAGCATCTTTGGAAAGATTGATGAAAAAAGAATTGTCACTCATATGATAGTGAGTGTCTGTGTTTGTATAGACACACACACCTACAGGTTCCTCAACTTACAATGGGGATAAACCCATCTTAAGCTGAAAATAATCCAAGACAAAAATTCATTTTTACAAAACTTCATAGCTTAGCATAGCCTACTTTAAATGTGCTCAGAACACTTACATTATCCTACAGCTGGGCAAGATCATTTAATCCAAAGCCTGTTTTATAGTAATATATAATAATACTATATTGAAGTATAGTTTCTACTGAATGTGCATTGCTTTTGCAGTATCATAAAGTCCAAAAATTGTAAGTTGAACCACTATAAGTTAGAGATCATCTTTATGTGTGTGTGTATGTGTGTCTACCCACATACACATACACATAAATGTGTGGTATATATATATGTATACATATGCATATATACGTATAAATATATACAAATATACCTATATGTGCACAGTAGAGTATTATTCAGCTATAAAAAATATGAAGATTCTGTCATTTGTGACAATATAAATGCAACTGGAAGACATTATGCTAAGTGGGATAAGTCAGACATATAAAGACTAATACAGCATGACCTCAATTAATATGTAATCTAAAACACTTGAATTAACAGAAAAAGAGAATAGAAAGGTGGTTATCAGAGGTCAAGGGTGAAAAAAATGGGGATATGCTGGTCAAAGGGCACACAATTGAAGTTATAAGACAAATAAGTTCTGGAGACCTAACATATTGCATGATAATAAAAATGTAAGGTACACTTGAAATTTCCTAAGAGAGTATATCTTAAGTATACAAATGTTTTAATTATCTTGATTGTGGATATCATTTTACAATGAATTCAAAATTCAAAATTTCACTTTAAATACCTTGAATATACACAGTTGTATTTTGTCAATTTTACTTCAATAAAGTTGAAAAATACCGTAAGAAAATTATCAATGTCCATTCAATAAAATAATTATTTTTATTTTATGCCATAATTCTTAAGAGAAATAAAAACATAAGAAAATAAAATATTGAGATATATTCATTTTATTATATAACTTTATTGTCACATTTTTTAAAAAGGAAACAAATTTGGGGGGTTTTGTTTTGTTTTTAAAGAGCTCAGATTCAAGGCATTGTAATACCCCAAATGACATATCCTCAAAAGTTTTATGTAATAAAGTTAATATTTTCAGAATTTTTTATCATTCTTTTATTTGTATTTAATTTCTTGAGTTTAATTAGAGGACATGTTTACTTTTAAAAAGGAGCTCTTTATGTAAAATGGCTCAGATTAATATCTACATCAGAAATCTCTAAAACTCAGCATGGTCCTAAAACACTGATGCCACTCTCTGTGAAATATAATTTCAAAGTCACCATTAATAATCAGAACTCATTGGGAAACTTCTACAAAGAAGAGACCTACTTTCTTCTTTGCACCAATGACAAATTTAGAGGCTGGTTTTGGGGATGATTAATAATTGTTATTATTATTACACATATGATGTTAACTATATCCAGCCGTGTTTGGAAGGTCTTGATCTTTCTAGCTTGATCATGATGGAATTTCTATAAACAAGCCACTCCCCACAAAAGAGATAACTATGAGTTTTTTAAAATCTCATAAAATAGTTATTTTGCATATTAGACATAGCACACCAACTGGGTGCTGCTTCCACCAAATCATAGTGGGTATTTGGAGAATATCTATCTAAATATTAGTGCTTGGAATTCTTGAAGAAAAAAGTCAAACAAGTGAAGATTCTCATGACTGATAATCTGAGAAAAATGTAAGGTTACTCCTTGTTCGCTTCATTTCATTACTTTGAGATAACTAAAAGACTGTAAAGTTAAATACACCGGACAAAGTCAAACAAATGGTAAATGACAGAGCTAAAATTGGAACCCAGGCAGTCAGTGTCAGAGACCATACTGCTGTCCCTATGCTTTTAGTCTATGCCACCGTTTTTTATCTGGTGTCTTCACTTTCTCAATAGAATAACATGTAATTTATATTTTATATTTTCCATAGAAGAAAAAATTGCATACTAGGAAAGAAAGCTAAACGGTGTTTTAATATTATTATTAATTTATTTTTGTTTCATTATATCTTGAAGCTCTCAACTCAGGAGTAGAAAGAATGACTCTGCATTGCTTAACCTTGTATTATTAGCACATATCACAACTTGGATCATATTATATCTTCAAGAAATATCTGTTGAATGAATAAATTTATCCATCACATAGTAATGTGCTTGCAGGATTATATGCAGTGGGCAATGAAGGATAAAAATATGAATCAAATAATTTATGCTTTCTACTCACATTTTAGTAAAAAAGCAGACTACACTGTTAAGATATGGCAGAAAATACAAAATAACACAGAATATAGTATGCTGGGGGTGGTCAGAGTGATAGTTCTAATTTTATTTGATCCTAAAGGAGGGAAAGCTAAACTAACATTCAATTATTGCATTGTAAATTACACAGAATTTTGCAAATACAGATCTAAATTTATGCCCACAATTGAATGTGCTGTAGATAATATCTTTTGAATCTTACCCTAAAATTTTTAAAACTCAGGCCTGAAGAGGTTATATAATATAGTAATGTGGATAATATCACAATAATAAAAATAAATGACAATAACAGGATATGACTTTTTTTAGGTGATTATAAACCCTGTATTCCTGTATCTTTTTCTTTTACTGCCTCACAAGAAGGTTTTATACAAATCATGTAAGCTGGACAAGAACATAAATTCTTTACTTTGTTAATTGAAGCAATACTTATCCACATGTTCTGCTAATAAATTATTTTGTAAATTAGATCACACCTTCATTTTATTAGGCTAATGTAGTGTAGACACAGAACAACAATGCATATTTACATACAGGATTGTATACTTATATTTATATGTATCTAGATATTTGAATTTTTCCCTTTTATATCTGTACCATTTTATAAAATATTTTTTTGGAAAAGTATGGTTATGAGAAAAATGGTGTTCTATATTTTCAGAAACATAAAATTTCTCCTGAATTTACTGTTGTCATTTCTGTGTCAAATTTCTGGTTCTCACTTGGATGATATTCAAATATTTCAAAAGAACATTAACATCTGGAAGGCTTACATAAAGATTCCTTTGACCTGGAAGTTAATGAATTAAACCTTCTCCTAGAAAATCGTCTTCTCTTCAAAAGATGAGTCAAGCTGAGCCTTTTTGGGTCACTCAGAAATAAGTTTTGAAATAATACATTGTGGAGTCAGATGCAACGGCAGGATGGAAAATCTTACTCTTGAAAGCTTGATAGCCTCTCCACTTCATCCTCATCTTGGGGTTTCACATTAATTCTCAGGACCTTGTTTTTTCCTAAAAGAAGCTACCTGTCATACCATTTGAAACCAAATATACTGCTTGTTATAGACTGTTGGGACCTGAATGTGCCATAGCCGTATAGAAGCTATACAAAAATAGATAATAACTACATTTTACTTTAGAAATTTGGAAATCACAGTAACATGTGTACATTATGAAACTTAGATATTCTGCCAATGTTAAAGATTTTAATATAAACATTTACATTGTTCTACCCTAGATAGTTATTCTGCCATATAATAGTAATTTTCGTTCTTTGTGAAATAACAGTAATAGACTTCCACCTTCCCTTAATCTCACTGTACTTCTTCCCTCCAGGAATAAAGAAAAAAGTTATCAAATGGGAAGCCATATTGGTGAGCAAGCTTGAAAACAGAGGAAATGAAAAAGAACCTGATTGTGCCCATACATCCAAGGTGCTTTTCAGTTTGGCGTTTTCAATAATAATATAATAATAATAGAAATGAGTTGATATTTGCATTTTCTGCTTATATTTTTTACTTGATTCTAGGTTAGGGGAATGAAATTGTCACTCTCAAAATTCAACACATGATATCTGAAATAAAGCATTTGTGAGACAAAAATCCCCTTTCAAAATTCTGAGTCTAAATCTTCTAATAGGAAAATGCTCACTTAGCATTTTAATTTATTCAGATTAGGTCCAATTTTAACTTTATTAAAGATCACATGTGCCCATAGTGCATTTATTTATTTTCCCCATATTTATAGGGATGTATGTGTGTGTGTGTGTGTGTGTGTGTGTGTATATATATATATACACACACACACTTTAAAAGAGATTTATACATATATATGTATATATATGTGTGTGTATATATGTGTGTATATATGTATGTACATATATATGTGTGTATATATGTATGTACATATATGTTTGCATATATATACATATATACACATATATGTACATATATACATATATACACATATATGTACATATATACATATATACACATATATATACACATATATACATATATACATATATACATATATACACATATACATATATACATATATACACATATACACATATATACATATATACACATATATACGCATATATATACACATATATACACATATATACAGATATACATATATACACATATATACATATATACATATATATACATATATACACATATATATACATATACACATATATACATATATACATTTATACATATATACATATATACATATATATACATATATACATATATACATATATACATATATACATATATACATGTATACATATACACATATATATATATATACCTGTTTATTTGTGATAAACTATATCTAAACAGTCTTGTATTGCTGCCATGGATAAGAATTAATATACTTGGTTAAGTCAGAAATTC
This sequence comes from Homo sapiens, assembly GCF_000001405.40. Taxonomy (NCBI): domain Eukaryota; kingdom Metazoa; phylum Chordata; class Mammalia; order Primates; family Hominidae; genus Homo; species Homo sapiens. Next base: position 24,601,761 of record NC_000011.10, on the reverse strand, counting down.
TAAGAGATTCTGAGGTATTGTGTCTTGGTTGCTGGTAAATGCTAGCAGTAAATGGAATTTATTTAATTTTTTCTCATATTATCCATTGAAACAATTTAAAATTTAAAATAGTGTTTCCATAAAATATATTGGGCAGAGAAAATTCAAATTAATTTGGATAGGCTACCCGATAAAATAATGCATGACTTTTCTTATTCAACTTCATTAGAAATGTATTTGTTTAAGTCAACTCAAAATGTGGATGTAATCTATTAAGAAAGCTGGTAAAGTAAAAAGAAACCAATAAAGAGAATCAGAACTATCATCTTTATTCTATCTTTACATAGTTATATGCATTAGTTTTCTAATTCTGCCTAAAAAAATTGTTAACTCCACCAATTTAGTGGCTTTTAACAACATACATTTGTTATCTACAATTCTATAGATCAGAAATTGAGTACCACACAGCTGACATTTCTGTATAGGGCCTCAAAATATAAACAATAATAAATTAATAAGAGTAGTTTGAGAAGGATATATTTCCAAATTCATTCCATTTGTGGGTAGAATTTGGCATCTCAAGTTTGTAGAACTGAGATCTCCATGTCTTTGATATTTGTACCCCTCCATCTTCAAGTCAGCAATGACATATTCACTTTTTCTCACACTTTAAGTCTTTCTGACTTCCCTTTATGTCTTCACCTAAGGAAAAGGTCTGCTTTTCATCTAAGAGAAAGGTTTATTTGATTAGATTGGGTTCAATCAGATCATCTAAATAATATCTTTCTTTTAAACTGAACTGATTAGTACTCTTAATTACATTTGTGAAGTCTGTTTTGCTATTTTCAGGTAACATATTCATATGAGTAACACCATGGTGAAAATCCTGCCAACGACATTGTATAACCACAGTAATTTTACTTTTTGTTTTTGTTTTTTATTGAGTCTAGCGTGTCTACCTTCTTTTTAAACAGCTATAATAGGTAATGCAAATGCATACCATGAGCACATCCTTCTCTTTTTTCCTGTGCTTACGTTTATACTACCTTTCCTTAGGCCTAGATAAAGCACTAGGCCTTTAAGACACATAATCTTACTTAATATTAAAAATGGTAGGAAGCAATCACGATCTTTATGAACAGAAGTGAGCTAAGTTTTAGTTAGAGTTTGATAATTTGCGGAAAAATACAAAGCTTCCAAGTGAAATTACTAGAATTTGAACTAGGGTGTCTCTGAGTTACAAGCTTTCCTCTCTATGAAATAACCAGAAATGGCAGCGAAACTTTTTTAACCTGTAAATTTCCATTCCCCCTCTGTTAGTTTCCTATTGCTTCATAATAAAGCACCACAAATTCGGTGGCTTAAAACAACAGAAATGTATTCTCTCAAAGTTCTGGAGGCTGGAAATCTGAAATCAAGCTCTCTCTCCTAACTTGTGGTGGTGGCCAGCATTCCTTGGTGTTTCTCATCTTGCAGCTGTATAATCCTGATCTCGGCCTAAGCTGCAACAGGGCTTTCTTCCTTCTGTGTGTCTGTGACTTCACATGATGTTACCCCATTGTGCGTGTGTGTGTGTGTGTGTGTGTGTGTGTGTGTGTGTGTGTGTGTTGTAATCTACATTATATATCCTCTTGTTTAATAAAGACACCAGTCATTGGATTAAGAGCCCACTTTACTTCAGTAGGACCCATCTTAATTTACATGAAGACCCTATTTTCAAGTAAGGTCACATTCACAGGTACCAGGTGTTAGGAATTCAACATATCTTTTATGGAGAATATTTTATAGCTGCTGTTTTTAATAATATGAGTTTACTTGAAAACAAAGAAGAGCACTGAAATGTGTTCCCCATCAACAAAATGTAACCCATGCTTATGTGTGAAAATAAGATGCAAAGAACTTTGAGTCGTGAAAAATTGCAATGTTACACAAGCCATATGAATGAGGAAAATCTTGTTTTTTTTACGTACTTTTCAAATTTAGTAGTTTCACCAAAATAGTAAGAATATATTAACAAATATCTCAGTATATCTCAGCTATTCGATGAGACTCTCAGATGTTTCTGTATTTTAAAGGCAACACAGAAAAAAACTGTGAAATATGGTAACTGAGGAGAAAGAAAAGACAATAAACAAAATAACAACCAAAATACTACAGATGTGAGTAAGGTCAATTGATCATTAGCTGCTTAGTTTGGACAGGTGTGATTGATTATCTATGCTTGCTATATTTGAATTGAGGAAGATACTGTGGCAGAACAATGACTAGGAAATAGGTGGAGATGTGGAGGATACATACAAGGGTTGTCAATTGCAAATAAAGTAAGAATTTTCTGACAGTTGAATTGGCCCAAATGTGAAGGAATTCTACTTGAGCATGAGTGGAGAGTAAACTTGCAAGAACGATGGTCAGATGATCTCGGGGCAGTGATGGTATGGTGGGAATTCACTTATAAATTGAATCAGAACTGGGATGATGATACATTTCACACTTGAGGATCTATAACATCTATAACAAATCATCTTCCTGGTTTGACTCTGGAAAAGTAGTTTCTCTTTAGAATCTCTTTTTCAGCATCTTTTCTTAAACCTAAGTGCCTCAAGACCTAAAGCATGACTATCTTCATGTCTTCATCACGTTGTTGATGAAGAAAACATTTTCTAGCTCCAAGGGAGGTTCAGCATTTGACAGTTAAGCACACAGTACATAATCCAATTAGTACAGCACCAGGGAAATTTTGCCCTCTGTTATCTACCTACATTACTGACTTAGAAAAAGGTTCCCACATGTACTGAATGGTTTAGAGAATGAAAACAACAACAACAACAAAACATTTGGCCGTTTGAATAGACCCAGAGATTTCACCATAATTACTACACCAACCTCTCATTTGTCCCTGACTTTCTGGTGTCAGCAGGCTTGTAGTGTTGGCAACAAGCCTATCTTTGGAATTGTTTTTCTGGAAGCAAAGACATCCCATTGTGCTGTCAACAGCTGCAGCCTTTCCATTTGCCATAAAGATTTGCTTTAGGTAGACACAAAACTAGACTGATTCCTGGCTATTGCAAGCCTCTATTTTTGAAGATGGCATAATAATATGCCTTGGAGTCATCTTTATTAATAATATCTCTTTTCTCGGGATATGATTAGCTTATTTTCAGGGACCATATGAAAGCATCATTTTTGTTTTTTCTGAACACAGTGAGATATAGATATTTGCACAATCGTCCCTCCTCATCTTCACTTGCACCTAACCTGCTGATGCACTTATTTTTTTAATCATCTAATTTTGCTTAAAAATCTAAATCATGCAGCAGCTTCTATAGAAGCCCTCTATTACATCTTCTGCCTTTTCTTCCCCTACTTTTAGGAAACTCTCCTACATTTAGGGAGTTTCAACAGATAAAAGTTTCTGACAAAATAAGGCTCTTATTTTTCTTTATATTCTTATTGTACAGAAGCTTGTACAAAAAACATTTTGATTGCTTATATTTTACTAATGAGTCTTATTTATGTAATTGTCTCTCACTTCTTGGGGGAAATAACTCTCATTTTGCTTTTCTCATTCCCAGGGGATGGTCCAACAATTCTGTCATCTACAGGGCACAATCCAACAATTTTGTTATCTACAGGGCACAAAGCAGGTGCTTAATAAATGTCTCTCTCTTTTTTTTTTTTTTTTGAGACAGAGTCTCACTATGTCACCCAGGCTGGAGTGCAATGGCGCAATCTCTGCTCACCGCAACCTCTGCCTCCCAGGTTCAAGCGATTCTCCTGCCTCAGCCTCTCAAGCAGCTGGGATTACAGATGCCTGCCATCACACCCGGCTAATTTTTGTATCTTTAGTAGAGACTGGGTTCACCATGTTGACAAGGCTGGTCTTGAACTCCTGACCTCAAGTGTTCCACCCGCCTTGGCCTCCAAAAATGCTAGGATTACAGGCATATAAGCCATGGTGGCTGGTGATGAGTATCTTCTATGTGACTAAAGAATAAGTGAGTATAACTCCTTACACTCTAAACTGATTTCTAATGTGATACCATATAAGACCAATGGGAGACAGATGCAGGAGTTTAACAAAAATAACACTGCAAGAAAAACGCACTTTTATTGCTTTATTTATCATAGGATCTAACCATGAACTACAAGGGCAATCCTATCACGTATCTAGAGTCTGATGCTTAGCTAATTTTTGTCACAAAAAGTAGTTATTATCTTCTGGAAGCATATCATGTCTTATTCTTTTCAAAAATCTGATTACATTTGTATGCACAACTTTATCTGCACTCAACAATCTTTAAAACCACAGCACACAACATACTTTGGGAAACACTGAACCTTTGAATGTATAGGCTGTACGCTGACTACGAGTTTCGATTAGAGAAAATTAAAGTGTGTTTTATCCCATATGGAACTACTTTGAGGGAAGACTTACTGTATATCAATAGAGTGCATTACTGTGCAGGAGATTCCTGTATGCATTGAATAATAAAGTCAAATGCACATATGAACAGTTTACTGGATAAACTGTTAAGACAAATGCTAATAACTAAAATTTTAAAAAGATAGATTTATGTATATATCTATACACATGCTTATACATATAGTATACCTATTTAATATTTTTACACTTCACTTTATGTCTGCCCTTAATTACTCCTTCGTAATGCACAAGTGTTGTTTTTGACTCTAACCATTTTATCTTTCTAATAGCACTCATAATGGCACTCTTTTATTGAAATTACTACTTCATCCCTAAAACAAGCTATAAACCATAGTCTCATTTCTCCTTAATCACAGCATAGCATGATCACATAGACCAACTGGACATAACCTCTTCATATTTTGACACTTCAGCTGAAAAACAGAGATTTAAAAATTGCTGGAGTTCCACTTATTCAGAAAAGGTGGACCTTAAATTTTTGCAGCATATCGTAGCAATCAATAGCAGATTATTCCTGTGACTGTACATAGTTTTGGTTCCTACATTCCACTCCTCGGAGAACACCTGGTTCTTGATGATTCCTCAGCCAAGAACTGTAGTTTTTTTAGACTCTCTGAGGCACTAAAATCCTACCCAAAATTTGTTTTTGATTAACACAGAATTAGAACGTATTGCTTACAGCCACTGTCTTTATGGATTCCTGACTAAATATCTAGATGTCATTTTAGGCACTCTGTTATAAGGCACCAGTCTACTTTAACCAAACTCCATTAACTTGCTAATAAACCACTTGGTCTCAGTAATAAACAGTATATTTGCCTATATAGTCACTGTATTCTATTATCATTGATTACACTGCTGCTGTTCCCTAAACTGGAAATACCCTCCTTAGATCCTATTATTGCATAAAAGTCCTACAAATCTCTCATTAAGTTTAGTTCAAATGAAAACCCTCTATGAATTTTACCTATCTTCAGCAGCATTAATCTTTTCTTAATTTACCCACAAAACTTGAAAGCTGATTTTACATCTTATTCTTTCTTATCTATGAGTATTTGTAGACACATAGGAAATAGTTTTAAAAGTACTGTATTGTTTGATATAGAGAGGAAAAGTAAAGTGCAAGATAGGTGGGAGGTTACTGAATTGATGCTTCAAGAAATATAAAGCTGGTGCCTTGGGATTATATTCCTGTGTGTTGTAACATTTGAAGCTGCAACGGATAAAAGGGAGATATTTCCCAGTATCCCATAAGGTTCTACTACTGCAGTTTAAAAATTCTCCATGAAATGGATAAAACTGAGTCACTTTGGCATGTAGAGGAGGAGGTATGCGTAACACTTCCATATGCACATGGAACTTGCTGTCTTAGATAAACTGAGATAAATATGTTACTAAAAATTTCTCAACATTCTTAATGATTAAACTTATCAAATTGACTCCATGTCTCAGTCTGGAGCCAGGGTGCCCCAGGAGCAGAGGCTTGTCCTATGTTGAATGTAAGCTTCTTGAAAGCAAAAGCAATAAATATTGACTGGCTTAAATTTCAGTGTCAGTCTCACTTGCCATCTCTTCATTGAATAGGCAAAGCAGTAAGCTGTTTTACAGTCCTGCATCATCTCTGCAGAAGTCTCTGGAATGTTCTGATCCTAGCTTCATTTATTTATAAATAGCTATGATCTTGCTTTTGTAACTGGCTATGGGGAGGCATAAACTCATTTCCTAAAATGCAATATTTGAACATTGAAGTTAAATATCTCAATGATGAATAACCTCTAATGTAAAAAAATTGACAGGTGCACTTTGGTTTTGATGTTCACATACCATCCAGCAGAACCTGGACTGCATCCAGTCCTGATTTCTCATAGAGCGCTTTGCCCCCGAAGAGAATGAATTTGAGTTATTACTGACCTGAGACTAATGTAAACCGCTAACCTAGAAAAGCTTCATGTCCCAATACCAATTAGTTCCCCAGTGCCTGTGCTCCTTTGCTCCTTCTTGGAACACCTGACATTTTAAAGCAATTAGAGGGTATCCGGATCTGTAAAATATACTTAATGTTGATACTCAACAGAGCTGAACTTCTGTGCTTCGGCCCATGTAATAAAAACCATCAGAGATGCTTGCAAACTGTGACCTACACTTTTTTTTTTTTTTCAGAATCTAATAGAGTTGGACTTATATATTGACAAAGATTAAAATTGCCTCTGTGTAAGAATTTGAGAAGCACAGCAATTCCCAGGCCTGAAAAATATCTTCTAAGGATCTGTAAGAGTGGTCAATGGGCATGGTGGCTTACGCCTGTAATCCCAGCATTTTGGGAGGCCGAGATGGGCGGATCACAAGGTCAGGAGTTCGAGACCAGCCTGAACAATATGGTGAAACCCCGCCTCTACTAAAAATACAAAAAAATTAGCCGGGCATGGTGGTGCATGCCTGTAATCCCAGCTACACAGGAGGCTGAGGCAGGAAAATTGCTTGAACCCGGGAGGCAGAGGTTGCAGTGAGCCAAGATCACACCAGTGCACTCCAGCCTGAGCGACAGAGCAAGACTCCACCTCAAAAAAAAAAAAAAAAAAAAAAAAAAAGTGTCCCAAACCGCTATATTGAATGCCAATTTTCTATGTTAAAATATCAAGGCCAATGTTTCCATATGAATATTTACTTAGGAGACATTAACACATGATATAATTGTGAATCATTGACAACTAAATATTTTGTTTATAGAATTTGGCCTTGGATTTATTACAGTTCATTTGGAAAAATAACCTCCAAGGTATGTTAAGTAAGAGAGAGAAAGGCTGTTTATCTACAGGGATGACATGTCTCATTGGGTCATCAAAGTATCGATCCCTGAATAACTTGAGAGTATGCTTCTTCACAGGGCATCAAAAGAGTGAAACAAAATTCTGAAACAAAAATGGTGGCTCCCTGTTAGTCTAATTTTTATTGATTCCTGTAGTTGTAGATGCATAGATAGTACACTGCCTGAGTTTCTTAAGAGCACTATTAGTTACTGTCCTTCCAAATATTACCTATGATTCTGTCAAAACACTGCCCAAGATCTGAAGTCATTGACATATTCCAGAATGCTCAGCATTGATCTTGGAATAACAAATATGGATTTTATCTAGGATATTTTCCCTTTAACTTTCTCTCTGTCTTGATTGAAATTTTTCACTTTCAACCACATAAATTAGGCAGTAATCCTTCACAAATCAAGTAAAATGTATTTTTTAATCCAAGTAAGAAACGATAGTGCATTTAGGATAAATATATTCTTGTTTCTTTATTTTTTAGCACTTATCCAGTGCTTACTAAGTGCCAGGCACTCTGGCAGGTATATACAACAGCAATGTAATTCTATTTAAATCCTGCCCTCCGGAAGATTAAGTAATACATGGTTTGGCAGGCTGTGTCTTCCAAAGGTGGCCACAACAATATCTCTCATTCCAATTACTCTCCTGAAATGTGACCTTGTCACTCCCTCAAGGTGGACTTTAGTTCTCCTCTTGAGTTGAAGCTGGCCTTAGGAATTTGTTTGACTAATAAAATACAGCAGAAGAGATGTCATGTCATATCTAAATTTAGGTAATAAAAAGCCTTGGAGCTTCTGTAAGAGCCTATTGGAACATCCTCACTGCGGGTACTGTTCTAAGGAACTTAAACTCTAAGCTGTGGGAAGCCTAAGCTGCAGTGGGTGACTAAACAGCAAACTGTGTCCCAAACTGTGAGGGTTGCCAGGACATGTGATTTTGAGTGCTAAATTTGAGATGTTCTGGGCAAGCCAAGACAAATCGGTCACCCCAAAGGAAAAGCCAATTGTAGTACTGTGGACACCAGGCTTAGCTGAGTTCTCAGCCAACTGACAGCTATGTGAGTAAGCTCGAGCTCTCTTGAACAGCCTTCAGTGGACATCTGATAGAAATCTCGTGAGAGGCCTTAGAGAAGTACTATGCAGCTTAATCATCAAGATTAATATTAATAATAAATTATTGTTGGGAAAGTTTGCCACTCAGCTAAAGACAACAGGAATAATGATATACAATGACAAAAATTAGTGATCAAAATTTACATTTATAATGTAAGACATTTGCAATATAAGATAGAGAGTAATAAAATGCTATATCAAAGATGGAAATACAGCGCTAGGGAGTTCGGAGCAGAGGAAAGTTGATTTTTACTTATGGGCCAAAAATGGACTGTCTAAGCTTTTGAGAGTAGTAGCACTCTCCTCAAGGCCTAATGTGTAGAAATTGAGAACAGACAAAGAATGTAAAGTATTGCAGGTATAGTGTATGGGGAAAGAAAGAATCGAGGTGTCAAAATAAACAAGAACACAAAACCATTTTGTGTCCCTTCAGGGGGACATTAAGGAATGGTTATTGTTTGACTTATGTGCATCACCAATAGATGTCTGTAATGGATTCTGTTCTTACAGTTATAGAGCATTCTACTTAAAGACTGGCCTTTGTTCTTTGTAATTTTAGTTTTCATTGCCTATCCCTGTGATTATTTGGCTCTGACTTTTAAATAAAATATTTTACTATCTCTCCTAACATTAGGTAATACCTTCATTGCCAATAAATTTATGTCATTTCAATCAAGAGCGTGATACTCAGACATTCAGACAAGCTTTTTTTTTTTCTTTTCTCCAACACACATCCATTACATCAGTAGGATCACATAAGCTGTGCTGCATAATGGATCTCACATTAGGGTTCAGCATTCAGAAGACTATTCGAGGAAAATAAATAAGGCTGAGGAAAGTCTTCCAGTTATATATTAGGTCATTCATAATGTAAACAACTATACTGAGACAATGAGAACTGAGGAAAATGTAACTGGAAAAATATCATGTAACAGGCAACTTCCCTTAATCAGCATGCCACATGCTTTTGCTCATATCATTTTTATTCTATCTTTTAAATAAACAATTACATAAAGTATTACAAATACTTTAATGCTGACAGTACTCCTGCTACCAAGTTGCTGAAAAAATCAAAATCTCAAATCAAATGTGAAATATTCCTCAAATTCTAATTACCAAGATTCATGAAAAGAGTAGCTGTAATTGAATGAAACATCAAGAAAATTATAGCATGGCATATTAGGAATGCCTGTTGTCAGGCAGATAAATCTAAAGATCCTGGAACAATATCCCAGTTAAGGTAGTTAGTGTTTGCTTAGAGTAAAACCAATACAACTCACAGTGAAAAGTGCTGTCATCTGAAAGGCACCCACACACAGAATGTGCCCTGGTGGGTTTTTCCATTTCCTACCAACACCCTCACTGCACAGTTCCTTTTCCCCAATGGCTCTTTGTTAATCTGCACAAAATATAACAGGTCTATTACAGGAAAGTCATCCTTCGCTGAGATGGACTGTAATAAAACCTGGCTGGCATTTGTTTTTAATTAAAGGACAATATACCTTGGACAATAATTGCTCCAAACATTTTCAGTGAATATCTTAGAAATGCATATTTTAAGAATTTATTATTACTTTTTATTTTATTGAATGCCATAACTTTCTTTCTCAGAGCACAGCCTGCCTTGTGGAGGTGACTGCATTCAACTTCATAGAATGGTGTTTAGATGTTATCTATTATTATCACAATTTTTCAGATGGCAAAACAGTAATTCTGCTAGGTTACATGACTTGCTCAAGGTCGTACAATTGATCTGAAACTGTGACCAGGCCCTAGGTTTTAAAGTTTTCACATTTATTCTGCTTCAAGAAGCATATTAACAGGCAAAGTCAGACTTTGAGCAAAGTTGACTCTAAAGGCTATTCTTACTGCAGTTTTCTGCTACCACAACATATTTGTATTTGTCTGCCCAAAGGAATGCAGAGAAAAAGCAATTATAACTATGATATCATAACTTCAGAAGTTAGAGAAGTAGAAGGTAATTGAATCCACTGTTATCTAAAACTATGAATACATAATCCTTGACTTCAGAAAGGCATCAGCGGTGGGATATGAGAAGAGCTTGAGCTTTGGTCTTGGGTGGACCAGAGTCTCACTGTAACCTCAACCTCCTGGGCTCAAGTGCTCTCCCACCCAAGGGCATGGCTCTGCCCTTCAACTGGTGTGTGATCTTCCTGATGAACTTGCTTTTTACCCACTTGGATGTTTCCAAATGAAAATATTGCAACACGGACAATTATGAAGAACTAAGGATATTGTTTTTGTGTTTTAAAAACATTTTATTATTACTATTTTTTAAGGGATTGGGGCTTGCTCTGTCACCCACACTGTAGTGCAGTAGCACAATTATAGCTCACTGTAACCTCAACCTCCTGGGTTCAAGTGATCTGCCTCCTCAGCCTCCAAAGCACTGGGAGTACAGGTGTGAGCCACCTTGCTCGGCCAGGATCTTGTAAATCTATTTGCTAGCGCAAATAGCATCAGTGTTCAGAAAATAGTTACGTTTAATATTTCTTACATGTCAGATCTGTACATAAATCAAAGGAGGGATGTTACTACAAAACTCCACATGTGCAATCCATGATGAAAATAAGGGAAGGTAAGGACAAGATATTCATGGGGGAAAAAAAACACATATATCCTGAGATTGATTTTAGAAGGCATGGAAATGATTAATGTACTTCCTATTCTGGATTTGCTACCTTTTTGAAGTGCTGCCTTAATGATAGCTACATTTAGTATTAAGGCAACACACTTAATTTTTTAACACCATGGATATCCTTTAAGTGGCATTTTATAAAGCAAAAGAGGACAAATCTTTACAGATTAGTAAAAAATTATTAGTCATTATACTTTATCTGTTTCTCTAAAAGTGATAATAGTGTCATTATTATAAAGTTCAATTAAAACCACTAATAAAAATGAGCAATCCCATTTCTAATTGAGGATATGCAACAAAATTGCTAGCAGAGAGGCTTTTGAATGTTCTCACTGCAGAGAAATGATAAATGCATCAGGTAATAGATAAACTAACTACCCTGATTAGATTATTATACAACACAGATATGCACAAAGACATCAAATTGTACTCCGTAAATATGTACAACTGCAATGTGTAAATTTAAAAAGTAAATAATTTAAAAACCCTATACTTGATAGGCATTATTTATATTTTCATATTAAGAATGACAAGTCACAATTCAGAAACTGCAACAGTTATGCACCTTTAAGTGTTGATTCAAAAGTGTGAGGAGATGATTCTACTGTAATGATATTATATAAAACATTCACATGTCTTGAAGAAAGGTTGAATACCAAGTACACATACCAGAAGTGTGAAGTTTTTATACTTGTGAATCAAAAGAGAAAATAGAACAATTTTAAATGCACGTACATTACACAAAAAATAGTCCATATATTGAAACCATAACTATAATATCAAACTTAGGATAAAGCACTCAACTGTTTTTTCAAACCCCAATTACTTCGGTTGTGAACATAGCTGCTGTCACTTCATGCCTAAGATTCAGTGTTAGAACTGAAAATGTTCCGTTTGGGATCAGATGAGCTGAAAAGGTCCTTGTTCAACATCCAATTATAAGCCAAATTGAAGAAAAAGAAATGAGGCAACAGGTCAAGGTCAGAATCAGAAGAGAGAATTTCTCCGTTATATATGATTTCAAGCAGTGGCCTGACTTCTTTAATGCTAACCTATAATTATGTATCTACTGCACATGGTTTGAAGAAAATTCAAAGAATTCCTTAAAAAAATTGTAACCTAAGCACCAGTTTGAGAGTAAGTTAGAATCTTTTCAATTCCTTCGAGTGTATTCTATGCTCCATTCAGTTTATACAATGCCTGCTAGAATCTGCCTTAGCAATAAACTAAGATATTAGAAGTCTGATATCAGAAATAATTTGCACTTAAATTGCAAGTTAATAAATCACAGATAATGAAGTCATGGAGCCACAGGAACTTTAAAGAATATCTAGTTCAACCCTCTTTCAGTGAGGAGGAAATTAAGGGTGTTAAATTTCTAAAGCACTTTTCTACACATCATATCACTTATTCTCACAGCCACTTTGTGAGGTAGGAACAAGGTAACTAGGGAAACCACACAGAAGAGGTATTTTGTGATAGGTCACTGGAGGAAGCAGAAGACCTGGCACGACTGAGATCTCAAAAACAGGAACAGAAAATGCAGGTGTCTTTGGTGATCAATTAGAGATCTAGGAATGATTAGAAAGCTAGAGAACATTCCCAGAAAGCAGCCAGAGGGGATGTCCAATAGCCAGGACATTGTGAGCTCTGAGATTGCTGGGGGTATAAATTCATTCACATGAAGTGGAAGAGCAGAATGAGATGGATAAATTACCAAACTGATAATTGACGTCCAGGTTAGCCTGGAAATACACCCCACCGGCAAGAAGAGAAACAGAGTTGTTTGCTACTTGAACCTTAGCTGAGACCCAAGGTGGCTATGAAACAGTCATTACATGCATTTTGAAGCAAGAATAACATGGAATATGAAGTGAGGATCTTCTTTTTTTAAAAAAAAATTATTGAGATTTTAGGAAAGTTATTTAATCTCTCTAGGCCTCAGTTTTTCATCTATAAGAGTAGTCCCCTCACAGAATGGTGAAACTTCAATAAGAAAAGTAAAATTGTTATTAAGGAGGGCCTAGACTCCCATAAATGCTCAACACAAAGAAGCTATTATTCATATTAGTATTACTATTATTATTTTAAAATATAATCTTTTTGGGAAAAAATTATTCCTTTATTTGTTTGTTTCTAAATGAGCCTAAGCTTGGAATTTAGAGATGGGTAATAGGCTGAATTATTTCCCTGATGGCTTAAATGTTTTATCCAAGGTCATTAGAGACAGACAAGGAAGTCAGGTTCTTTCTTCCAAACGTATACTTTTGCCTTTGTCTACATTTCTTTGCAATCATTTTTTACTTAAAAATAAATCCATTGCTCTTGACACTTTGAAAGGGCTAGTTAAATGAAGACACAAGTGACCACTCAGCCCATGCATTGTGGTCAATCGCAGCTTCAGAGAAACTGTCATTGCCCATGGCGAGATTTATAATTCACTGACAAGCAGGAGGCTCTCATTTACTTCTTTAATTCCTGACTTTCTCTTCTGTGTGAACTGCACGATCTATGATTCAAGGATGACTCAGAAAACTAAGGGATAAATTTTGAGTCATCTAATAAGGTGACTTTTCTTCCTTCAAGATAAAGTAAGTGACTAGAATAAAAATATAATTAAAGACAAGAAAGAACAAAGATGTAAATAGATTTATTAAAAAATACCAAAATAATAAAATGGCTAAAAAATAAAATAAAAAGGTATCTTCTATCTTCCCATACTCAAGTTTTCTGTGTTTCTCTACATATCAGACCTTGAACTAATAGGGGTGGTCAGGGGTGAACATCTCTACTGGATGATCTCTCCCCATTTTCTAAAAGGAAAATAAAATGAATCTATAATGTCCAGCATCCATGGAACATTTTGAAACCTACCCCCTCTGACACATCTGTATAATATGCCTTTTTTTCCCTCTCACCACAGCTGTTTGCCTTAAACACATATATTTCATTTACTTTTTTTAAAAAAAACTGTCTAGACTGAAAAACTCTTAAAGTCAGAGATTGTGTCATAGTTGTTTCTATGTCTCCAATATTAATCCCAGTGCTAGGCACCTACTAGGCACTCAAAAAATAGTTATTGAATATGTAGTCATCACAAGATGTTTTGAGTTTTCAAAATAACTCTAAAAAATTTCCAGTAACCTTCATATTGTATTTCACAGCTAGCTTCATGAAACTGAAGGAGACTATCACCACCAGTGCTAGGATTTATAGGTGGAAAAGCCCATGGCATAGGCTGATCACAAACTTTCTCTAAAAATCAGAAAGCTAAGAAGAAAATTTTCCGTCCAGACATTGTGCTTATGCTCGCTCAGGCTTCTTGACCCCTCCCCCATCTCTCACCTTGGAAGAGTGATTGTTCCTAGCAAAAATAATAAAAATAATTCCAGATAGGGAATTCTGAATTGAGACATTTGGGTGAAACCATCACTGTATTCTCCTTTGTACAATCCCAAATTAATACCTCCCACTGAATCTCTCTCCAAGGCTTTCTGGGTCCTGTTACTGGGAAAATATTTTGTGTATACTGTTAACGACAAAGCTATGATAAAATACATTTGAGCCTGAGTAGAGATCCTACGTACATCTATGTTTATGCTAATTGGATTACAAGGTACACATTAAAGAATTAGACTGTATATTTGTTGCCCATTTAGCCAATTTTCTGCAAGGAAAGTAGTCATAATAAAAATTGTTTGTGTTACATCAGAGGAAAATCTCCCTAGCAATTTTTTAAAAAAATTATTTGAGACAGTTAATAAAACTATGTTCTTATTTCTATTTATACTACCTAAGAGTAGAAACTTTTGATAGTACAAACCTAACATATAATTTGCCTTTAAATTAACATAATGAGATATATAATGAAGAATCTGTTCTGGCATTAATAATATTCTAGAAAATAAATATAAAAATCATAGGCCCCAAAAACATTTTTGTAATTTAGTCTTTCTATGTAGATAATACAGAATTGGGTTTCCTAGTGAGGATTAATTATTGTCTGTAAATTTCATGCATTTGAATTTTAACACTAAAGGCATCTTGCTTGTACCATTCACAGTTTTCCATCTAATTCAAAATGGAGTACCTAAACTTAATAATCCAAAACAAGGTCACTTGTATTTTATTAAGCATGGGAAAATCAAGATTCAAGATTTATTTTATTAAAATGTATGACTTTTTAATGGTCATTACTTCTTTGAAATTTAGGTAACAAAAACTAAGATAATAAGTTGATTGGGAGGTGATCTGAATGCATCTGAAAAAGAGTCTTTGTTATTTCTGAGAAAATTATATATTTTTCTTAGAATTTATTTAGAAAATTAAACTCTTCAGGTGTCTTAGTAGAAAGAAAATATGTATGTGAATTTTCTAAAAATAAAAAATACAACTCTAAAAAACACAACAAAATGAAAAACTAAACAGAAGCATAATGGCTTCAAGAGCAGATAGCAAAGGTGAGAGAGATGGGGTAATGTGATATGTAATTTTATGTTTGAAATTGAATAGGAAAAATTTAGATTCTTTGTTTCTACAGACTATGATTGAACATACATGCTTCTGTTGACTTGCTATTCTATTTAAAGTACAGAGAACTGCTTTAAAACTTTGCCTCCTTTCTCACATCAATTCTCTGTGGTTTGGCCTCTCTTTTACATCTCCACAAATGGTAATTGAGAAAGAAAAGTGATTGGAGCTAATACTGTTGGATTGAGAGGCATATTGTAAAAAATGAAAGGAAAATTTAATATACATGGAAAAGGTATAGATCAATACAAAAAATGCATTTATAAATTCCTTGTGGTTCATTTCTCTGCCCCTGAACAAGACTAATTATAAATTGGCTAAATTTTATCTTCATTAACTATCTAACGTGCAGTGTTAGAATCATCATTCTGAAATCATATTACATTGGTTTAATTCCTTGTAAGAGTAAGACAGAACTTTAAATAAAATAGGCATAGGTTTGTCTGAAAGCGGCTCATTCAGAGTTTTGTTCTCCCCTTACCTGTATGTCACTGCTATGTTCATCAGTCTCTTAAGAGACAAGGTCTCTTAAGAAATGTTTTTTCTTCAGCAGACCCAGCCAACACAAAAGAACAGAAGTGGTTGTTGTTGTTCTTGTGGGTTGGTTTGTTTTTTTAACATTCTAAATTTTAAAGTAGAAAAATATATATCATTTATTTAAAACAGAGTGTGATAAGTAAAACAGCATATGAAGTGCAAACATGAGAGTAAATAAAAAAAAGCTAAGCTGGAAAAATATTTTCTGTTGGTTTAAGCAATTCAGTGAAACATAAAAGTGATGACTCACAAAAGTAAAAGATATAAAATTCACTTCAGACTTGACACTGGCTACTGATTTACAAGCAAGTCTCAGTTCTGAATTCTGGCTGATGGCAGCTGGACAGGTCCAGTCAAATACAGTTTCATAGGATGTATGCTTGAGAACTTTTTCATTAAAAACAATAGTGAGGTCCTCTTACTGTGTTTAAAAACAGGCAAGTCAGTTAAATAAACACCGAATAGAAGATGAGGCAGGGAAAGAGGCACATATTTTCTCCATTTTTCAGTAAATTTACCTATGTTTATGCTGTCCTTGTAATTTTTTGGCATTAAGGATACCCAGAGAGAACATCTAAGTGTTCCATGTAGGTGCTGAAGACAGAAAGTAGGAGTCATCAACCTCCACACCCAGGCCCTATCCCTTCCTGGGCTGTGAGAAAATAATTCCTTATTGATAAAAAGGAATGATAGCATCTACTTCACAGAGCTTTCAGAAGAATGAAGTTAGATTATGTAGGTGGAAGGCACACAAGTGCTTAGCTCATTTTAGTTTTCTGTTAGTGGTAGCTATTTTTCTATCTGGAACTCTGAATGTGGTTGTGAGGTTGCTGGCCAGTTAGGATCAAGTATTTATGTACTTTCTTGGTCTTCTCAATCATAGTTTTGAATTCTCTAAATTTTCCTTAGAAGTTGTACTTGTTTTAAAGCCATTTTCACTTTTGTGTAATTGCAGGCTGGAGGGTAGGTGCCATGGATACTAATGTCACCACCAACCTTGTCATCAAGGAGCTCACATACACACACATGCCAGAGCACAGTAAATTACCAATATAAAGATAATTTCATTTAGTAACTTATCTTAGGAGATCTAAACAACTGGGAAAAACCCAATACTGCAACAAAACTTTACTGAGGGCTCTCTGATTGTGAGGTATGAAGTCATTTATCTATATTTAACCACTTTGGGAAGCAATAGATCAGATATATAATTACAGAATGGAAAGTATCCAGCTGTTTACTTCTTTGGTGAACAGAAATAAATGGTTGACAATTTCAGCACAAGAACTCATAATTAAATAAAAAGAACAACTTCCAAACATCACAAATACTGGAGGATAATTAGAAGTTATGCCAGAATTTAGGCTACTAAGTGATTGAGGAGGAGTGGAGGTGGGGTTGAAGAGAAGACCACAGAAGACATGAGGTTTATGCGTGGTGGTAGAAAAGATACAAAGAAGCTGGCAGGCTTCATTTGGTCTGTCCATACAAGTCCAGAGGTTGGTATCTCAATAAGGCTACTGCAATGATGGCAGGACTTTTGTTTTTTCACTAACTCATCTTTAATTGTTAGTGTCTAGAATATGATAGGCATTCTCTCTATATAGATATATATTTGAATTAATGAAAGAATAAAATAACAAAATTAAAAACAATTTAAAAGCAAGGTAGGTCAGGCGCGGTGGCTCACGCCTGTAATCTCAGCACTTTGGGAGGCCGAGACCGGCGGATCACAAGGTCAGGAGATCGAGACCATCCTCGCTAACACGGTGAAACCCCGTCTCTACCAAAAAAAAAAAAAATACAAAAAATTAGCTGGTCATGGTGGCGGGCTCCTGTAGTCCCAGCTACTCGGGAGGATGAGGAAGGAGAATGGTGTGAACCCGGAAGGCAGAGTTTGCAGTGAGCCGAGATCGCCCCACTGAGCTCCAGCCTGGGCGACAGAGCGAGACTCCATCTCAAAAAAAAAAAAAAAGTAAGGTATACATCGACTTCCCCTGGTTACTTCACTTAAAATTACAATCTGCTTTATTTTTCTTCTAAACAAGACTGAATATGAGAAAGATGAAAAGTGTCTACTTTCCCTTATGAGGGAAACAAAATTTAGAATTAGGGTTTAGGTGTGTTGGGCATGGGGTGCCAAATAGTCTGGTTATTTGGAATATTAAAAGTTATGTTATGACAGCAAATGATAGCATTTACTTATTGATAGTTTCCTCACACAACCCAGCGACCTCCCAGTGTCCCTGCTCTTAACCAAAATGCTACACTGTCTCTTAAAGTTGACCTTCTTTTCAGAATCCAGATCCCTGTGTAAAAAGAACAGAGCCCATTGGCCTAGCAGAGAATAAAGGGACAGAGTGTAAGTCGGTTGCTGGCAAACTGGTTAAGAAATCACATTGTATGCTGGCTTGTTTGAACACTAAAATAAGTTAAAATAGACCCAGGAGAATGAATGTATATATGAATATATATACGAACATAATATTCATGTATATTACATATAATGATATGTGATATTATGTGTACATACATACGTGTTAGAATGATTATATGTAAATCATTACAAAAACTATACATAATTCATTACTAAAACTCTGTGAAAGACCAAGAAAAGGGCTGAATGATAATGAAGAGTTGACTACAAAAAAATCCATGAAAGCACCTTGTTAACATCTAGTCTAAGAAATGACTGCATATCGTTTGCTGCATAGAATTTGTCCTATTCTCTCTTCTAGACTCTTGTTCCAAATGTAAATCCACTTGGAGTATCTACCCTAGTTGTGTATATTCCTTTTTATTCTCTCATTGTAAAAGACATAATTAGGCTGATTTTCATACTTATAACTCTTCATACAAGATGAGACACATGTTCAAAAAATTTTTAAATTCCCAATTACCAATGTAGTCAAAAAAAACAAAAACAAAAACAAAAACAAAACCGCTGGAACCAGGCACACATTTCTTCTAGACCTATGTGATGAGTGATAGTTGCACATTTCATAGAAAAAACATAATTCTAACTGTATACTCTGCTGCTGGGTACCACTTATAAGGTTTTAGATGAGGGCAGGGGGAAATATTTATTGAGCTCCTATTATATGAAAAAACTTGAGATATATTCTTAAAAGTTATTTCATTTTTACTTTACATAAATACAAAGTTGAGAAAGTAGAAGATATTTTGGTTAGTCTAATTCATTTTTGAAAATCTTACGTTTAAATTTTATAGTAAAATGTGCGACATACATCCTATGTACTGTGGCTTTAATAGGTTTTTATTTCTATTCATCTCTCTATTTATTTCTATTCATCTCTCTATTTATTTCTATTAATCTCTCAGATGTCTCCCTCAGCAAAAAAAAAAAAAAAAAAAAAAAAAATCAGCTAGGGATTACAGAGAGCCACACTCCTTTTAAAAAATGTGAGAACTGTCTGTCTCAGACACACCTGGAAAAGATTCTTGCAAAAAGAATATTTTTATTACATACAAATAAACTATAATCAGATTATGTTAGATAACCACATCATTCTCACTGTTGTAGTTAGAAGAAATCAGAACTTGCTTATTCTTTATGAACCATTTCACTAACATTAGGTGGTAGAAGAGCACAAAGTTTGTATCGCCCAAAATGAAATGATTCAAAATAGAATCATGGCTGCAGCACAGAAGAAAGCATGTCCAGCGTGGTTTAGAGGAGGTGGCGGTGCTTAGGAGGACCAATGTGGGCTTTGGAGTCAAGCTGAACAAAGCCCAAGTATTTGCTCCATCAGTGACCTGATGACTATCAGGGAACGTGAATCAATTCTCTGAGCCTCTGTTTCCTCTTAATGAGATGATTTGATAGCACATAACTGCTAACTTTGTTGTGAGAGTTAAATAAGAAATGTGCATTAAGCATATAAATAAAATCAAGTATACAATAAATCCTCAATGAAGGTTAGCACATTTATATTTATATTTATATTTATATTTATATTTATATTTATATTTATATTTATATTTATATTTTAGACAGAGTCTCACTCTGTCACCCAGGCTGGAGTGCAGTGGCATGTCTTTGACTCTTTGATGCCTCCACCTCCCGAGTTCAAGCGATCCTCCCACCTGAGCCTCCTGAGTATCTGCGATTGCAAGAGAGCGCCACCACACCTGGGTAATTTTTGTATTTTTAGTCCAGATGGGATTTCGCCATGTTGGAGAGCCTGATCTCAAACTCCTGGCCTCAAGTGATCCTCCTGCCTCAGCCTCCCAAGGTGCTGGGATTACAGGCGTAAGCCACCGCACCCGGCCCTCAAATATTTGCATATTCCCATTGATGTTAGATTATTAGTATACCTGTTACCATTTAAATGAAATGTAGAGTTTTGGAGATGCACAAACTAGGATCACTGTTTTTGTTTACTTTGTTGTTGTTTGTTTGTTCTTTTTATGACAGGATTGTATTCAATAATAAGTGGGGAGAATTTTTTTTTTTTTTTTTTGGCCAGTGAAAGGGTATACATCCAAGGATTGAGAAATTCTTTCTTTACTTTTGAAGAAATTTAATGGTGCTAGGCTTTCTATATACAGGGATCTAACTTGCTAGAACTTTAGATTATGCTGTACAAGACTGAGGTGGACTAAAACTGCCTCAGAGCTTTGAGAAATATGTATAACTGGATTCTATGAGATTGTTCAACAAATGCAATCTAGGAAAACATCCCAAATCATTATAACAAAATAGTTTTTTTCTTATACTTGGTTCATAATATATATGGCAGTAAAATGAATAATAGAGATAAAACTATTTTTATAGTGGAAGAAATTCTGTTTGTAATGCTAGAACAAAATTTTCTGCTAAATTAAAAAAGAGCTTTCCTTATTAATGACATATAGTATATTGATGAATGCCTTTTGGTAATGAACACTTTTCTATTCATAAACATGGAATAAAATTTATAATGTGGTATGGAAGTCAAATTAGAGAGGCTCATTAAGTCTGCAGAATGAACATTAAGTATTGAATAATTCATCAGCTGTTTATCACATTTGCAAAAAAATGCAAATTATTACTGAGCTCATTTTAATTTTTTTTTTGTTTTGTGAAAGGATTATACTTTTTTCAATGTGAGACTCCAAAAGTTTAATTGCAAAGTGATTAACATGGAGCTTTTGCTAATTAAATCAGCAGAAGATTTAGGTTGACGCTATGCTAGGTGCTCAAATTAAGGGACTGCCCCATTGTATTAAATACAGTGCATTTATCACAGGTAAACTCTCAGCCTATTTATTTGATGGGACAGCAACAGAGAAGGAAAAGGAACCTTTTCAGTATTGTAGGCAACTGATACACAGCTGTTTTATTTCTAATTGCCTGATCTACAACTTCTGAAACAATTAGAAAGGATTTAAACAATGATGTCCTTAAACAGCACCAGAATGTAATAAAATCTAAAGTTCCTTTTCAGTAAGTTAACTGGTCTCCCAGAACTGAATTAAAAAAAGACTTGCAGATGTGCGCCTAAACATCTGTGGATTACATTGTAACATCATTAAACATCAGGGAACTAGGGATATCTTAATCCTATTAAACAGAAAATAGCAACTAGAATATCCTGTACTACTTTTAAGAATCATAAAAAAACCTGGATATTTAAATAGTCTTTAACCAATTCATTTTACTAAATCTGTTAACTAATTCATTCACACTTATTTTATCCCTGTTTCATACTGATCACTAAGGTAAATTCCATGAACATAGTATAATTACCATAGTTCTTGCTTAGATGTATTTTGTAGCAAATATTTTCAGCAGTTTCTGGGATAAAGACAGTATCAGGTTAAAAGACTACTGCCTAGTATAAAATATGTCATCAGTTAGTATTGGACATGAAGAATTATAATGTATGATTTGATAATTTTTTAAGGTTTGCAATGTATATATCTTTGTATTCTGTGTAAATTACCAACTCATTTCCAGATGACACTTAACTACTGCTCAATATACCTAATCAATGTATTATATGAACCAATTGACTTTCAGACATGGATTAAGAACTACAATTCATATGATCATGATCACAGAATTATTTTATTTCTACTATACATCAGTAGTCAAGTAAATTGGTTTATAGAATAGGTATTTGTAGAGCAAAGAATCAAAAGTTGAAACCATAAGCAATTTGAGTAGTTACAACAATTTTGTCCTTTGCAATTGTGCAGAGGTGGGCTTCTATGCTCTATAAAAATAGAAGAATGGAAATCATCAGAAATAAAAATTGCTATAGTAGTATTTAACTTTATCCAAAACCTGAAGTCAACTGTCTCATATCTATAGTGTATATATCTCCTAGTCTTGAAGTTTCAAAATAGGTTCTATTTATAATAAATTGCAATTCACTCAAGAAAAATTAATAACTTTTTAAAACTAATTGTTTAAATTAATTGCAAATACATTGTGGGTTTTAGTTATAAAGGAAAATAAAAATCAAGTAAGAAATTAAAATATTCTATATGCTCTGTGTCAACACATTTATATGTATTTTCAAGATTTTTCTAATTCCTATTGATTTAATGAATATGCATCTTTTTCAAACTTATGTAATCAAACATTTAATATAGCATTAATAAAGCACTCTATGGTATTAATTATATTTAAGGTTTTAAATGGTGCTATATACCAAGAAAATGAAAATTTTTTCTATAAAGATTACAATTTCTGGATTAGAAATCAGACAAATCAAGTTTCTTTCTTTTTTAAATAATGTCAACTTTTATTTTAGATTCAGGGGTATATGTGCAGGTTTGTTACCTGGGTATATTGCATGATGCTGAGGTTTGAGGTGTGATTGATCCAGTCACCAAAGTACTGAGCATAGTACCCAATAGTTAGTTTTTAAAACTTTGTCCCCCTCCCTCCTTCTGCCTTCTAGTAGTCTATTGTTTCTGTCTCTATGTCAGTGAGTACCCGATATTTAGCTTCCACTTATAAGTGAGAACATACAGTATTTGGTTTTCTGTTTCTGCATTAATTTTTTTAGGATAAGGCCTCCAGCTGCATCCATGTTGCTGCAAAGGAAAACCTGGATGATTTTCTTTCTTTTTCATGGGTGTGTTTCTTTTCCATTTTTTTTTTTTTAATCCAGCCCACCATCACTGGGCACCTAGGGTGACTCCACATCTTTGCTATTGTGGATGATGCTGCAATAAACATATGCATGCATGTGGAATTAGACAAACCAAGTTTCAAATCCTACCTTTGCCTCTTAATGACTATGGATAAGATTTCTGGTTACCTGAATAATATACTTTCACATTTTTCTTTATCATAAAGTATTATGATACTGTTGCTAGTGGCAAATTATGAAAACAAAAAGTATATTATGAACCACATGAAATATTTCTGGACAGTAAGATGTAAAAGGAAGTTATTGCCTAGGATTTCTGAGAAAGCTTCTTAAAATTAAGAAGAAGCTCCTTAATTTTAAGAAGTTTCTTACTCCTCAAGAAATAAGTAATTTTAAAAAGCTTCCTAAAATTAAAAAGTAAGCTGAAAAAGCTTTTTAAAATTAAGGAGTAAAATAACAGTATTTATGTTTGAGTTTTTCCATTTTCTTTCTCCCAGTCTAGAAAGAAAACATTGTATGAAAGATTTTATTGTGAGCATAAAAACACATGCTGAGCGATGGCTGAGCTCTTAGAAACAAAGAAGTACAGAACGCTGATGGCATCATGAAGCCATCATCGTGGGCCTGAAATGACTTTCTCCGGACTTTTCATCATTTGAGCAAAATAAAACCCCATTTGTTAAAGCCATCAATTTTTAAGTTTCTTACTTGTAACTGCAATTTCTGATACGCTAACTGTATAATCACAGCATGACCATGAATTAAAATACCTCTGAATTTCAGTTCCATTATCTATAAAGTAGGTGTAATAGCAATCATTAGTTCATAAATCTGGGGTGGGGGTAAATTAGAATAAACATGTATATACATATAAGTAAATTACTTATTATAATGCCTGTCACAGAATTTACATTTATTTCTTCTTATGTGTTACTTAAAAGTGAGGGTCTTTTTTTTCTTTCTTTTTCCTCTTTTTATTTTACATCTGACAGAACAAAGTAAACATTCAGATACTTGATAATTTAATTCAAAGATAGCCTTAATCCTGTATTGTTGCATGTTTCTTCTATTTCTAACTCTAGTAATACAACTAATCATGAAATACAGAATTTACAAGGCATGTTATGCCTCTAGCATATTGGGAGTAACACAGAATGCATTTGCTTGAAAGGACTGTTTTTTCTAGAAATTGGTCTGATTCCGCAGCCTTGAAAAACCCCAAATTAACATATCTGTTCATTTTAAAATATATAAAATAATGTTTGCCTTTAAATAAGGTATACTACAGTTTTCATGAAGTCATAATTTTAAAAAAATATGAGTAATATAAGAATTCGTACTTACAAATGAATAACACTTTAATTTGTATAAAACTCTGAAAAAGAGCAGAAGTGTTATCATTTTAGGCACCAGCTGATTTTTTTTTCAGATAAACAATTAATTATACTATTCACCATAGTAAAATTGTTAATGATTTCAAGAGGCAAATTTAAGTAAAAATGACTTAAGCAAATAAATAGCAAAAGCATGGATGCTTAAATGTTCTGTGAAAAGATAAAGCATCTATTCATTGCTTATAGGGTGTTTTTCTTTAACCAGTCCCATCAATTTCTTCTGATTGAACATACGATTCTTTTAAAAAATTACTATATTTATTTCAATTATATTTATAAGTAGCCATGGAAGTTAAAAATAAGTTGATTGCAATACTCATATCTAATATGTCAAACAATTTCATATATATAACAAGTAATTTGGTGGTTAAGTGCATTTACCACTTTTTCCTTTGATATCAACTGTTCTACCCATTCCTCTATTTTTATATATACACTCTAAAAATTATCTACAATTCATTATAAAAGAAAATTACTATCCTTGGTCTGTTTGGACAACTACTTTTTAATTTTCACTTTGTCAATTACCTCCAAAAATAGAATGTTTGGCATTGGCAATTCGGCACTGTCTGTACGCGTGTTTTTTCTTTAACAAATCTTTAGAAAATCTCAAATTTGTTGATTACTCATTCCCTACCTCTCCTAACTATATAAGTTAACTTTTGTAATATCAAGTAAACCTTTTAGATTATAGAAAAAAATTGACCTGTGTCAAATATGGCTTGATAAGTTAGTATTTTTTCCTTTTTTTTTTTTTTTTTTTTTTGAGATGGAGTCTCGCCCTGTTGCCCAGGCTGGAGTGCAATGGCATGATCTCGGTTCACTGCAACCTTCACCTCCTGGGTTCAAGTGATTCTCCTGCCTCAGCCTCCTGAATAGCTGGGGTTACAGGCACATGCCATCATGCCTGGCTAATTTTTTTGTATCTTTAGTAGAGATGGGTTTTCACCATGTTGGCCAGGCTGCTCTCGAACTCCTGACCTCGTGATCCACCTGCCTCTGCATCCCAAAGTGCTGGGATTACAGGCATGAGCCACCATGCCAGGTGTCCATTTTTTAAATTAGAAAAATGTAATAGAGGAATTAAACCCCTTTTAGGTAAAGTATAGGAGTATAGGTTCCTTTACTTCATTCATTGATTCAATTTGTTACATACATATGTAACAAATAACATATATGACATTGTGCTAAAATAAAGATGAAGATTTTCAATTATTTGAATGCAGGCTATCTGTCCAAATGAACTTTAAATCTCCAACTTCTAGAGTATTACAGGGAAAGAGAAAAACATTACAGAGAAAAAAATGGAGGAAAATAGAAGGAAATAAAAAGGGATGCAGCATTGCAGAGAAGAGAGAAAGGCAAAAATGCTGGTAAGCAAAGATGTGGTTGTTGTATCGTGATTAGAAGCATGGAATATGGTTAAAAGAAACCTGATCTGGAATGCAGCCTCTCATATTAAAAAACTACGTGATGTTTTTATCTCAGTGTCTCATTTTCTCATGTGTATGAGTAATAACAGAATGTGCTTCATTGAAGACTTCAGGGATTAAATAGATTATCAAGCCAAAGTGCTTAAAATAGTGTTTGAAAAAGAAAAAAACACATAGCAATTGCTAATATTTGGCAGAATATATCACAGGAATCATGAATCATAGGAATCATGAATCATTCTAAATCTATGCTGATAGCATGAATAAATACATCAAGACCAAGCCAGTGAAATATGGCAATGATGTCACATTAAGTGAGCTTATTGTTATAAATGCCAGATAATTTCACCTAAAATATGCAGATCAAATAATGTTCTCTAACATGGGAAGCAACCAGGCAAATATAGGAAAAGAAACAATAACTGACCAAAGATATCAAGAAGGAAACACATAGAGTCTTCATGGACAATAAGAAAAGCAGAATTAGAAAGGACTAAGAAAACACCCTGAAAATTTACTCTTCCTTCTTTTCTTCTGTCCTTTTTCTTTCTTTCTTTTTAAATATAGCCATCCTTTAATAAAATCTTGTTTCCTATTTGGTCAACTGAATTTTAAAATGACTTGAAATTTGAAATGGTCGAAGCTTAAAAAGGTAAGAGAGAATAATGGAAAGAAAAGTTTATGAGGAAATGACAGAAATGTTTCAAGTTGTTTTACTTTGCAAAGAGTAATCTATAAGCAGTGACCAAGACAACCTCAACTCTCCCCTCAAATTGACTAAACATTACATCAGTTTCTTTCTGACTATATTCACTTAATCTCCCCTTAAGAGGATTACTTTACAAACTTGCAATTTTAAATTATTTCTCTTCCCTTTTAAGATATAAATTTTCTATCAGTATCTAGTCAATGTTACAACTCAGCAAAGTCTTTACCAAATAATTTGGAAGCCATCGTTTTGAAATGCAGTGATCAAGAAAGACAAAATCCCCAACTCCCAGTCTCTGTGAGAGGATAGGATAACTTTAACAAACACATATTATCCAACTACATTGACCAATCTCCCTGCTAACATTCTCCAGTACTTTTTCACTTACTCACCCCAGTGCTCAAGAAATGCCTGTCTTTTGTTTTAGAGGGAGTTCAGTTCAATCTCTCCTCTATTGTAGTAGTTTTAAATAAAGTCTCCCTTGCATGTTAAACTTGAACAGTGCAATTTTTCTTTGCATTATTAGCATTATTGATTTTCCTGGATAGCAAAGTGTTTGTTTAGTTTCTAAGTCACATACATACTCACACAAATATACTAACTAACACACAAATACATACACACCAGAGAGAGAGAGAGAGATGAAAGAAAGAAGAAAAGAAGGAAGGAAGGAGGGAGGGAGGGAGGAAAGGAAGGAAGCAAGGGAGGGAGGGAGGGAGGGAGGGAAAAGAAAAAGAAAGAAAGAAAGGAAAGAAAGAAAGAAAGAAAGAAAGCAAGAAAGAAAGAAAGAAAGAAAGAAAGAAAGAAAGAAAGAAAGAAAGAAAGGAAGGAAGAAAGAGAAAGAAAGAAAGAAAAGAAAGAAAGAAAGAAAATTGAAAGAAGGAAGAAGGAAGGAAAGAAAGAGAAAGGAAAGGAAGAAGGAAGGGATTAAACAAAGGAGGGAGGAAGGAAAGAAAGGAGAGAGAAGCGAAAGAGAGAAGGAAAGAAAAATAAAAGACCTCAAGCACAAATTAAAACACAGCATTAGGAGATATACCTAATGCTAAATGATGAGTTAATGGGTGCAGCACACCAACATGGCACATGTATACATATGTAACAAACCTGCATGTTGTGCACATGTACCCTAAAACTTAAAGTATAATAATAATAAAATTAAAAAAATAAAAAAAATAAAACAAGAATTCAGTTACATTTTTAAAAAAGATTCTCTTGTGTAATAAAAGACTGAAACAGGTAATCTGTGTGCTTTTTAAAGTTTCTAGGCCTGGTGAATATGTATCCTTGGGAATATTCATAAGGAAGCAAAAATTATTTTGTCTTAGATGGTTTATACCATGTGTCTTTTATTTTATGCTGAATTATTTAATGAAAATTCTCAACACTTTCAAATTCCTAATCCTAACAGAGCACGCTAATGGGGCACTGAGTATGTAAAGTACCAGAATTTAACTACTCTAAATATGGAGGAAACCTAGAATTCCTATTAGTATAATAATATGCAACTGCCAGATAATAATAATAGCTGCTGAGGACCCATTTGCAGTATTCTTTCTATAGTAAGTGCTTTAAATGCATTTTTTAAAAGGTAATCCTCATGAAAACTTTGGGAAGCCCTGATTATTATTGACATTTTAAAACTTTAAATAAAAGTTTAGAAATGGGCAAAGAGCTAGTAATTTGCAAAGCTGGAATGAAAATCCAGGTGACAGTGATGTACAAGCTCTGAGTTAATATACTGGCTTTGCAATCCTTGTAAGAACCACGAAGAAGCATACTTGAGACTCTTAGGTGCTGGAGGAGTGTGAAAGAATGAGCATTTACAAAATATGAGGTGTTGATTTGAATGCTCTTTTATTCCTACATACCAATGCTTGTTACTCTGGTATCTTCCTGCTTTAAATACCATGCTTGAAAAAACAATTTCTCTTTTATTTACAATAATTTCCTTCATTTATCTGTTTATTTTTTACCCACCTATCATGGTCTCATGCTGTTTTCTGCTTACATATCAGCTGGAAGTCAAATAAAGAATATTACAGCCTTTCATTTGGAATTAACTACTTATAAAAATTGTACGTGATATCTAAGCTTGAATTTCTCAAGATCAGTTGCATCTCTGGGACTGAATCGCTCAGAATCCAGAATGAAAAAACAGATTTTTCTTCTTTACTCAGAAAAATAAAATAAAATTTTCTGCACAGTACAAGTTTCAGAAAACAGAATATTTCGTCTTTAGATAAAGTAAAATTATTGTGCGGATGAGCAATTAGACCTTTTTAAGAACTACCCAGTCTAAATTACGAATGATTAGGCACTGAGGATATTATAATCCAAAATCCCTGATGCAGAGAGACATCAAGCTGTCTCACAGTCTCCAGGCTTCACCCCTCAGTTTTGTTTCCAGCTTTTGTATGCCACTATCCTTGCACAGAGTAGTTTTACATATGTGGTGATAAACTGTGAAAAGAAAATTGGCTGTCCATGGTTTGTGCATTGTCACATTAGAAATAGAATTCTCCCTTTCCATTCTACTTTGAGTAGTACTATATTTACACAAAGAATAATGAACTCCATAATTAGACATGGCAAAAACAAACTCTAATGAGTCTTTGGAGTAAAATGTCTTCTGTGTTCAAAAAAAAAGTATATAAACTGAATTGCTTGAGACCTGTATTACTATCACGGCTTATATAATATGATTGAAATAGTAAGAAGGTTGGTAAAGTCTAAACTAACAAATTGAGTCTGTAGATTATATCTTAAATAAATTAATAAGGATAAAATAAATTTTTACAGTGTTCTAAAAACTGAAATAATTCAGTTTATTTAAAATAGTTGGAATTTGACAATAAATCTTACTATATGCTTATTCTAAGCAGAGTAAGCATGATGGCCTGACATCATCACTTCACTATTTATTGGGCTTCCGTCCCATATATCTGCTCTTGGTTGTAGTTTTTTATTTCATCCAATGATTATTTTATGCTCCACATACACATAAATCTTAAGAATCCAGAGTGAAAATGTACATAATTTTTCTTGCTTATTAGCATAAAATTATAAGACAATCTTGCACAATTTCACAGAGAAATATGGAAAGAGTAACACAAATAGAGGATGTAGAAGTACATTATCTTACTAGGAAAGTTTGGGGTTATGTAATATTATAGTAATCACAAGCTATAATTTCCCTATATAAGTAAATAGGTGGATAAAGCCAACCTAAACCTGGTAAAAATCAGCAGATA
Source organism: Homo sapiens (assembly GCF_000001405.40). Classification (NCBI taxonomy): domain Eukaryota; kingdom Metazoa; phylum Chordata; class Mammalia; order Primates; family Hominidae; genus Homo; species Homo sapiens. Next base: position 24,571,785 of record NC_000011.10, on the reverse strand, counting down.
CAAATAGATTTAGCAGTCGTTACTTCTCAAGAAATTAAAAAGAGAATTTTAAACTTCAAAAATCACAGAGTTAAAACAAATACATTTCTAAGGCAATTTTAGATATTCTTAAGCGATTAAGTCATTTGACCATGTTGCTTTTTCCATACACCAAATTACCTATTAATTTCTTTATTGATTTACATCAGTGACACTTAATAACTGGATTAAGGGATTTTACTCTTCTTTTTGAACACAAATGACATATGAGAATTGTTAATAATACAACCTTCAAGGCATCCACTAACTTTAATTTGGAAATGGCATTTGAGTTAAATTTAGTTGCTATGAGAAACACAAGATTTAGGCAGGGAAAATATAAATATACTAATATTTATATGTACATCCTTTTCCTAGGACATTGTGGGAGGGTAAAATGTATTCACCAGAGGAAAACCTGAAAGAGCTGTCTGGACAAGGAGCACAAGGACACATTCTAATTTGCTTTTAGCAACATCTTCCACAGCCAGGAAAGCAAAAATGACAGCCTCTTAGAGCTGGAACGTTCTTAAGAGACATTCAATTTTTCCTTTGATCAAGTGCTTTCATCTCCTCTGCATCACCAGCAACACTGCCTTTCTGGATTTGTTCTCAATATCCCTGTAGCTGGAGAAATCGCTGCTTCTTGTGGCAACCCATCTGATCTTCAGGCAGCTTAAGTTGCAAGATTATTTTTGTGGAATAGTAGTCTATTTTTCTATAACATTCATCTTCCATCCACATAGTATTGCTGTCTTAGGATATTTCATTGAATAACTTCTATTACTTTCACGTTAACTTTTTCAATATTTGAACATAGGTATTTGCTTTCCATATTACCCTTCATTTCTCTGCTAGCTGTATGATTTCAGATAAATCATTTCCTCTCTGGCCTTAAGTTTTCTAATTTATGAAAAGAAAACTTTAAAAGCATTTATTCATAGAATGTTTTATATATGAAAAGTAGGTGGAAAATTTAGAACTCCACCTCTTGGCTTCCCCATTAGCTTTCTTAGACACATAACATCTATGGAAGTTAAAGCTCCATAGAAAAGAGACTGCAAATCATAAGAATATGTGGATGCTGCATATTCTTCCATCTGTAAGTTTCTGTACCATTTCTTAAAGTGAAATATCTATTTATTAAAGCCGTTGCTGAAGATGACTAATTCTGCTCACTCTCTTCTGGACATGCCCCAGTGTGTTGAAATGGAGGATTAGTCTTCAATAAATTTCCCAATTTAAAAAATCAGTCAACTTCAAAATTGAAATCAAGATGTACAAGCTATTTTACCATAAAGGCTATTTTGCTACTTTTGTTACAGGAAATAAATAAATAAACCTATGATAAATGGTTAATGCCTTAATAATACAGTAAACACTACATGTTCAATTGCCTGAGCCATGACTGGTGCAAATATCAGGCTCATCAAAAAATTTATTTTTGCATATAAAAGATGACTTTTAAGAAAAGCACTTTCCCCCTCAAATCTCAGAAAATTCTATGAAATATCAACACATCTCTTTCTAGATCCTTCAGTGTTACTGAATGAACCATGTACCATCACCGTCTTCTCGTCTATGATTCAATAAGAAAAGTATATACATGGAATTTTGCCCTAGTTTGTTTTTCCTTAGCTGATATGCTTAAAAATATCTGAATAAAGAGTAATTTGGATACAAAAAAGGTTATGTTCATCTCATTGTTAAGAAGTGTAGTAGTCTTCTGATAGAGTTGTATCAGGGTGGTAATTTTAGTTATGCTTTAGTAACTTGTCAGTATGTAAATGATGTGAAAAAATTTTGAAACACTGAGTGAAAATTTGTGTACAATAGCATATTTGTGGATACGGTAAAACATTGATTTTGATGTCTTCCAAAGCCATAATTACTTATAAATATTTTAAATTTTTTTAAAAAAGTGATTATTTATACAGATTCCCCATACTATTCCATTTTTCTTTTTCCAAGTGAAGTAGTTATGTCAGCAGTTTAGGTGCTCATTCAGCATCTATTGTTTGTTTATAAGCTACATTCTAATATTTTTTCAGCATATGTATGCAATTAATAGGATATAGAATGTGAAATTAGAAAAAGAAAATAAGTAAATATGTCTATGATCAGCATTACAAACAACTATTTTCTTCTGCTACATTTTATATAATATGCTATTTTGCATAATTTCCTATTTTCATTGGCATGTAGAGAAGTGAGTTATCTGATGAAAGAGAATTGTATATAAGTTTGCTATTCAACATGTGGTGTCAGAGTAGCAGCATCAACATTACCTAGTGACTACCTGAAAACACAGATCTCAGGCTCCTTCCTAGACCTACTGAATAGAAGTCTACATTTTAAAAGGTATTTGTGTGATTTATATCAACAATAACATTTCAGAAATAACCATTAGATTACTTATCAATATAAAAAGGATTTAATATACCATTTTTATTTTGAGTTCCTGCTTGAAAATACTATATGCTGAATTAATTTTTGCTTTTGTATTTTGTTTTGTATAACAGCGTATTTATATAGATAGATTAAATGTAGATGTAGATACAAATGCAGATTTCCTTTTTGCATTTAACCTTAATCATGCTTTAACAGGCTCCCTTAAAGAAAGCATAAGGTTGAATATTTTAACCCAAAGGTCTTTTAATATGACATTTAACTGTTTTATTTTTATTACAATAGTTAATGCTTTTCTGTCATTTTGTTTATTGATTTTAGAAACTTTAACTTCTGTTTTGTTTTGTCTTTTTAAAACCTCCACTGTTATGCATGTTATGTCTGATTTTATTTATTTTTCCCTTAAGGTTTACACATTGCTTTTAATTCTAATTATGGCTGTCATTAAATTTAAAAGAAAACATATGTATTACTATGTCTCTTAGGTCAAAATTTCAAAGAAGCAACGGCTATTTACCATCTCCATCAAATAAAGAAAATTAACAACTTTCAAATCATCCTACCCCTCCAGCTGAATTTATATAGGTTTAAATTTTGGACACAGAAAATATTATAAATCTTTCTTTTTAATAATTTAAGAAACATTTGCATAATAACTTAGAATAAAACCTATTTGTAAATGCTTGAGTAATACTTTTCGTCCTGGTGAAATAATTATATTATAATAATTTTCCTATTCTTATTTTATGCTTATTTTCTTTTGCCCATTACAGCATATTTCTAAACTGTAAAGTTCTCCCTTCAATTCTGTCAATTTTTACCTCATAAATTTTAGGGCTCTGTTTTTAGATGCATACATGTTTTTCATTGTTATATCTGCCTAATAGATTAATTTTTTATCATTATTAAATATTCTTCATCTCATGTTACAGTGATTCTCCTAAAAAAGTCTATTTTGTCTCATGTTAATATAATAATCTAGTCCTTTTTTTTTTTTTTTTTTCTGAGACAGATTCTCACTCTGTCAGCCTAGTGCAGTGGCACAATCTTGACTTACTGCAACCTTTGCCTCCTGGGTTCAAGCAATTCTCATGTCTCAGCCTCTCGAGTAGCTGGGATTATAGGCATGCACCGTCACACTCAGCTAATTTTTGTGTTTTTAGTAGAGACAGGGTTTCGCCATCTTGGCCAGGCTGGTCTCGAACTCCTAATACTTTTTTGCAATTGCAATTTGCAACATATTCCATCTTTTTAATTCCAAACTATTCGCATTTTGGAATCTAAAATGTCTACTGTAGACAGCATATAGTTGACTTTTTCAAAATCCAGTCCAACAATCTGTGCCTTTTGATTAGATTGTTTAGATGTTTTATTTTATGCAATTTTATTAAGTTGGTGAGAAGAAAGAAGAAAATATGTAAATATTGTCTTTTATATTTACCTTCTTACCAGTGTTCTTTTGTGTTTGTGTGGATTATAATTCCTGTATTGTATCACTTCCTTTCATGCTGAGGAACTTCCTTTAGGATCTCTTTTTCAGGCAGATCTGCTAGCAACACATTTTCTCAGTTTTTATTTATATAAAGTCTCATTTATTTTATCTTCATTTTGGAAATGAAGCTTTGTTGAACATAAGATTCTTATTTGAGAGTACTATTTTTTTTCATTCAACAGTTTGAAAGTCTTTTCATACTGCTTCCTGGCCACCATTGCTTCTGATAAGAAGTCTTCTTCTGTTAATCTTATTGGGGTTACCTTATACATGATGAGTCATTTTTCTCTCTCTGTTTCAATTTCTCTTTAACTTTGGCTTTCAATATTTTGACTATGGTGTATCTGGCTTTGGATCTATTTGAGTTTATCCTACTTGAAATTCACTGAGCTTAGTGAATGTATATACTAATGGTTACATCACATTTGGGAGGTTTCTATTAATTATTTAAAAAATCTGTTCATTTATTTTACTTTTTGGCACTTTCATCATGTGCATGTTGGTGTATTACTGATGCTCCAAATTTCATTAAGCCTCTGTTTATTTTTCTCTATGCTTTTTTCTTCTCTATTATTAAGATTGTATTATCTCTGTTTATATTTAACTTTTACTTTACTGATTTTTTTTTCAAATCTACTCTTTAGCCTCTCTAACCAATTTTATTTCATTTAGGTGATTGTACCTTTCAACGACAAAATTGCCATGTGTCTTAAAAATTAATTTTTTGGCTGGACATAGTGGCTCACGCCTGTTATCCCAGCACTTTGGGAGACCGAGGCAGGCAGATCACAAGGTCAAGAGATCAAGACCATCCTGGCCAACATGTTGAAATCCTGTCTCTACTAAAAAAAATATATATATATATATTCATTTATATATACATTATATATATACATATTTATATATAAATATATATATATATTTATGTATATATATATACATATATACATATATATATATATAACATATATAAATATGTATATATGTTATAAATATGTGTATATACATTATATATGTATATATACCTTATATATAAATATGTATATATAAGTTATATATAAATATGTATATATACATTATATATATGTATATATACCTTATACATAAATATGTATACATACATTATATATAAATATGTATATATACATATATATACACACACACATTACCTAGTGAATTCCTGAAAACACAGGATCTCAGGCTAAAGCCCAGCTAATTTTTGTGTGTGTGTGTGTGTGTGTGTATATCTATACATACATACATATATATATACACACATACATATATATGTGTATAGATATATATACACATACATATATATATACATATGTGTATACATATACACACACATACACACACACACAAATTAAATTATCTGGGCATGGTGGCACGTGCCTGTAGTCCCAGCTACTAGGGAGGCTGAGGCAGGAAAGTCACTTGAACCTGGGAGGTGGAGGTTGTGGTAAGCCGTATCACGCCACTGCACTTCAGCCTGGCGACAGAGTGAGACTACGTCTCAAAAAAAAAAAAAAAAAAAAAATAAATAAATAATACAATAAATAAATAAATAATAAATAATGTTTTAATCTTTATCGCTAGTCATTAGTTAATGAATTATGGTCATCATACTATTCTTTAATTTTTTAATACAGTTACTTTTGGTTATATTAACGTATTTCTAATAGCTTTTCATGAAGTCTTTGTCTTCTATGCACAATATTTAGGCCCCTTGAAAAACAGTTTCTGTTGCCTGCTTTATTTTCATGTGCATGGGTCGCATTTTTTCTATATGTACATGCCTTGTAATTTTTTTTATTATTGTTGCTAAAAACTGGATATTTTCTATCGTTTACATTACAATTATTTTGTATTATATTTATGGATACTGATAGTTGAATTCTACTATTAATACAATTTTTAAAATATTATTGAACAATTTCACTAGCTATAGAATTATTGTTTTAAAAACTCTTTACCATAAAAACCATAATTTACAAATATTCTGTGTTTTAATGCTATAAAGAAACCACCTAATATTAGATTGTTGCTTTTCAGTTATAAGAAGACAAACTGTTTACTTTTTTGTTTACTTTTGGTTTGTGGTAAGGCACTTTTTAGTATTATCTTGCTGTTGGCACTTTCTTTTCTATGTGTTTGTAATCTTGTGTATTCTTGATATTAAAACTTCTTCTAGCTATATTATCAGTTTGGTCATTTAAAAATATTAGGTGACAACCAGTGAAACCTTTGGAATCACAGCTTTAACTCAGTAAAGCTAGATTTTATTACATATGTGATAATGCTTTCTATTTCCTTTATTTTAATGCCCCTATCAAGTATAAATGGTCATAACAGATGCTTTTTTGGTATTGAACATGAGTGTTCCTTCTAGCCCATCATAAATTTTCTCAGATTAGACTGCTTTGTCCCTGACAGGCAAATATTTACCTTCACGTCCCTTATATGCTCATAGGATGTTGAGTAGAATTTTCTCATTTGCACTCACTGCCTGCAAGGTGTGTTTTGGTTCTCTTTTGGGTCTTACTAAATATAAAGGACAATTCAAAAATAGTTCCTGTCTTGAGGCCATTTCTTCTATTTAATGCATCTGCTTTTCTGGGGGCCAGTATATACATCAAGCCTTCTTTACAGCCAGTCCTAGACACAAAGTTCAGAGGGCGACTACATCCAGCCTTCCTCATGTTCAACTGCCTGGTACATCAGTGACAATCCCAATTTTTTGGTAGGAGTGGAATTCCTTGTCATTTAAAGAACTGATCTTACTAATTCACTAAGGATAGAGCACACTACAAACAAAAATAGTATTTTGTGGATACGATGTCCCCATTAATTACTCCATGCCTGTGTCTATCCCCAAATCTGGGATCACTAAAGTAGATGGTTTTAGTACAGTTTTTCCAGGGTTCTTTAAGGGATCCATTCCTTTTTGAATTACTAGACCTAATTTATCTCAAACATATACTTTTTCAAACTCGTAAGAATCAACTAACAAGGTTTATCTGTGGTAACAAAAATTTTAAAGTGACTCTTATTTACTCAGTCTCAGAGGATATTATTAGCTGACTAGATCAAATGTTATTTTTTAAAAAAACTGTGAGAGACTTTCTGCTGATTACAAATATAATTGTTGATCTGCTTGTTACCTAAAAGCAAAGCTCTTGTTCCCCTCAAACACTTTATCAACAGTAGCTTCTAGATAAATGAGACTGACCAGCTATGGAAAATTGTCCCAATTTCACTTGGGTTTCTGGCTTGGGGCATACAAATGTGCTGTTCTTTTTGATGGCTTACATACAACTATAGTGAAAGGTTCTATATCAAAATATGCCTGAAAATATCACCTTGAAAAATGAATAATCTGTATGCTCCATTAAGATTATTTTTGCATTATCTTAATAGTTCAAGAGGAATAATGTTATTTTTGTGATAGTAATTTGCCTTATTTCTATAAGCCTGAATTAAAATTTCAGTTATATTAAAAACAAATTTTACTTTATTAGTGATATATTTTGAGCTAACATCCTAAAACCAGATCACCAGAGGTCATGCAGTACTGGTTTCACTCTTTAAAAGAGATAGAAGAAAAATTTTCAGAACTAGGATATTTGTATTTTAAAGCCTTTACAGGGCATGCAAGGAGTTCACAGCTAGAATACAAAGCTTGGTTTCTATTTGAATACATGTGTTTGAGAAGGAAGATTATGTATTCAAACAACATGAAGCCCACACACTTTAAAATCTTGCAGTAAAATCACAGGAGTGTCAAGCAGGTAATGGGGCAGTTCAGTGAACTAAGACACAAGTAAACTGAAATATTTCTTGGATATAACTGTAACTCTGACCTTGGGCAGCTAACTTACTTTTCCTAGGCTTTAATTTTTAACTTCTAAGAAAAAAGTGGAGTTGACTTGAGACTAAGATATATTTCATTTAATTATTACTCTGCTTCAAAAATCCCTCTAATTACAGTTTAGTTATAAAACACATAATTAATAAAGTGATAAAAATAAAATAAAATGAAGATATAAAATGAAGAGCAAAATTATATAGCAGGAGCGGTTTGTCTTAATTACTATACTAGTTTTTTTTTAAATGTTTCTATGTTCACATACTATATTTGTTTCCTCATCTTCTCCCACTTTCCTATGCTAAGAAAGATGAATTAGTTTCTCTAAAATTGAGGTTGAGATAAAATAACAACCAGGAATCCATGTTAACATATGACTGTGCCGACAATCAAAAGGATAGAAGGGACTACAAAATAAAGAAAGCATGATGTAACTAAACTATACGAAATTTGATAGAATCGTACTTATTATATCCAATAACATAGTAATTTTATTCTTAATTTACAACAGAAGAAATGAAAACATACTAACATGTAAGATCTATGAAAGCAAGGTCTCTTAAGTTTGCTTGTGTATTAAATTTTCAATTTAAAAACCCTTGCAAATAGTAATAATCAATTAATAGTTATTTAATAAATTGATTTTACATGAAAATTCTCAATGTCATAAAACATAAGCCAACATTTTGTCCTTTTTCATGGAAAGAAACTGCTTGGTTCTTAATATAAAGCATGTTTTATAAATTGTGTTTTGGTGGTCCCTATACATTCTTCACTTGCTACTCTGACTTCCTAATGATTCCCAGTTTCAAATAGAGGAAATTGTCAGACCCATTCTTGTTCGTAGCTTCCGAATGCCTTGTCTTCTGAATGGGTGAAGCTAGTTAATTTGCATATGTAGTTTCATCACATTTCACTTTTCCAAACACAAGTGTTTTATTCAAAGCTGATTCGTCAGCTACAGTCAATATGTCAGCCTTCTTCCGTTCAAGCCATTTTTGCAAGTAGTTTGCAGAAATGCAAGAAGCCTAGTTGCTTATCTACTTCCTAGGCCCCACAATCTTACCCTTTCATCATTGCTTATCTCATTCATGACCCAGTTATTAATTATAACCTTTCTTTTTTTTTTTTTTTTGAGAGATGGAGTCTCACTCTGTCACCCAGGCTGGAGTGCAGTGGCGTGATCTCGGCTCACTGTAAGCTTCGCCTCCCGGGTTCATGCCATTCTCCTGCCTCAGCCTCCCAAGTAGCTAGGACTACAGGCGCCCACCACCACGCCCAGGTAATTTTTTTTTTTTTGTATTTTTTCAGTAGAGACGGGGTTTCACCATGTTAGCCAGGATGGTCTCGTTCTCCTGACCTTGTGATCTGCTCGCCTCAGCCTCCCAAATTGCTGGGATTACAGACATGAGCCACCGCGCCCGGCCTATAACCTTTCTTTATTGTCCCTATTTAATGGGTCCTTACCCTGATAGACTTACATCTATCTCGAAATTCTCTTATACCTGGGTTTCTTTTCTTTTTTTTTCCTTAGGACTCATTTTTGGGAACAGAATCTACTATTGAAATAAAAATTAGAGTGAACTATATCCCTTGGGGTGCCTTTCTTATCAAACAAGTAACACTTTCATTCAGAAATTATCATTAAGTTACAGTCTAGAATCTTGACCCATAGGACAAGATGTTATAGTTTCAATTCTCTGTTCTTTACCACATTTTATATTGTGGTATAAGGGAAGCCCTGCCAACTTACATATATAAGGGCAATGTCTCTTTGCGTTTCAAAAGGATTACAAGAAAATATTTATTTTTTATATTTTTAATTTTTTCTGGTACCTACTCTGTTACTCTGTGTTTTTAAACCTTTTTCCATTATTCAGTGTCAAAAACTAACGTAGATACCTCACATAAAATCCTCATCGCCTAACGTTCCCTCACATCTCCACTCATCATTTTTGAGCGTTGTCCCACTTACATTGCTTTCCAGCCACACATAATTCAAATTGTTTCATATAAAAAACATCTACTTTCTTGCATCTTTCTAGGCTGCCTTTCCTATCTGTCTTCATTTGGCAAATTTTATGCATCTTCCAAAACAAAATTAAGACTTCTTTAAGTGCTTTTTTCTACATCTAGTGCTTTCCTTAGCATAATTCTTTATTATTATCATTATTATTATTATACTTTAAGTTCTGGGGTGCATGTGCAGAACGTGCTGGTTTGTTACATAGGTATACATGTGCCATGGTGGTTTGCTGCACCCATCAACCCATGATCTGCATTAGGTATTTCTCCTAATGCTATCCCTCTCCTATCCCGCCACCCTCCGATAGGCCCCAGTGTGTGATGTTCCTCTCCCTGTGTCCATGTATTCTCGTTGTTCAACTACCACTTATGAGTGAGAACATGAGAACATGCAGTGTTTGGTTCTCTGTTCTGGTGTTAGTTTGCTGAGAATGATGGTTTCCAGCTTTATCCATGTTCCTGCAAAGGACATGAACTCGTAATTCTTAAGAACAGTGAAAAGGAGCAGAGTTTGAATTCTAGTTCTTGTACTGAGATGCTGGGCTTCATTTTTCTTATATGTGAAATGAGATTCTAATACCAATTTCATAAAAATTTTATAAAATAATTAATAAAATATTTCTCATAAGTTATTAGAACACTATGGACAACGAAGTAAACTTGTCAACCTGTGGCTGTAATACAGTTTTTAAAATATCTTTGATATGATACCTGCAATTATTATTGTCAATTAACATGACATATTAAAATGACCTAATTAAATATCTGCTTTCCCAATAATGTTATAAGCTTTTCAAGACAGGGAATGTGTGCTATCCATCTGAATATCTCCAGAGTCTAGCACAGTACCTGAAATATATAATAGGCTTTCAACAAAAGGTTTTAGAATTTTTCAACATTGTTTGTCAAATTTGAAGTGAGTGTATTTCCTTTAGAGCTGTGCAGTTTATTTTTTCCTTTGGAAAAATGTCTCTACTCCAGATAGTTCTAATAAGCTCATATCCCAAGTCTACACTCTTCCTCTTTTCTGTGATTCAGGGAATACTCTTACCAGTTTTAGATGTGCCCAAGCTGGCATCCTGGACTCCATTCCTATGCTATCCTCAATAACCAATTAATCTGCAAACTATGTCTTAATTGGTCTTGATCTCTCCAGCTTAACTACAGTTATCTTAGTTCAGGGCATCATCAGTTTTTCAACAGGACTGTTGTAATACTCCCTTAAATTAGTATTTTTGAGCTGTGGCTATGCTTGAGAAGCGCATAGGAGAGCTTTTAATTATACCTGTTCCAGAATCCTACATCAAATTATTTAAAAGAGAACCCTATACCAAACGATTTAAAAGAGTCTTTGGGGATGGGGCAAAGAACTCTGTATTTTTCAAGCTACCTATGTGTTCTTTAGTGCACCTAGAGTTGAATCTGACTTGTCGTGCTGCCTGTTTTTCTTGTCTCTCAGGTTTTCTTTACACAACCATAGTGAGTTTTTTATAATGTAAAGCTCACCTTGTCACCCTCTTTATTCTTTTAATGGGGTTCTTTGCTCTCAGAATAAATCATGATATGTCACATATTTAATTGTTTAGCCCCAGCTTAACCCTTCACATCAAGCGTTATTTGTATTTGCTTTATACAATATGTTTTAAAAGTAGAATCATAATCAGAAATTTTGCTTATTTTATTGGATCATTTCTCTGGACCTCCAAGCAACCTTTTCATCTATTGTAACTCAACACAGAAACTGTTTCTTGACTAACTGCTGTACCATCCTTCACTATGGCCCATCATTTCATAACACGTTAAGAGCTTCTCTTATGTAGTCCAGCAGGACTGTCTGCATAGCCTTAATCATACCACTCATCACACTGGGGTGCATGTGCAGAACGTGCAGGTTTGTTACATAGGTATACACATGCCATGGGGGTTTGCTGCACCCATCAACCCATGATCTACATTAGGTATTTCTCTTAATGCTATCCCTCCCCTATCCTGCCACCCCCCGACAGGTCCCAGTGTGTGATTTATCTACCTCCCTAAAGAGTCAGCCTAAAGGGTCTACCCTCCCTAAAAAAACACCAGTCTTGGAGACAACTACTGTGTTTCATTCTTCACTGTTTCCCAAGCATTATGTAGTGAATTACAAGGTAAAATCCAAATGTTTATCCCTTTCTATAAGTTTAGAGACACAACAATGCTCACACTAAATTCAACTATCATCTAACACACTGTAACTCTGATTTTTTATTTATTCTGCTCTAAGGAGAAAATTTTGACTTTCCATATTCATTTTTCAGAAAAGTCACAAGATAATTGCATAGTTTCTGTCACTTATTTAAACCTACTTTATGTACTTTAGGTTATCACAGCAGTTTGTCATAAAAAATTTAATCACTTGCAGGTAACTTGGCATGGAAAAGATGTGAGAATATATTCTGATTATGCTTCCTGTCTACCTATAGTGTCTGCTTATAAACTTGCTCTCTTTATTGGTAGTCATAAAAGGGAGAATATTTATGAGCAAGGTTAATGCTTTCAAAACTCCCTAGATCTACAGTTGTCTTTTAGCCACTGAAGTGGGTAGAAGGTCCAGTCTGATAACTAAATTTATGATAACCATCTTCACTTCACTTTCTATTGTGAATGAACATTATTTTTACCATTTAGGTTTTAGTTTGAGGTGATTTTTTCATTCTCTCTCTTTTGTTTTTAATGTTTCCAGGACTTTATAATTTAACACAAAATTTTTACAAATCTACTTGTTTTTTCTTATTTTTTATTTCTATTTAGAAAAATATTTTTTCAAAGAAATTCTGATTAAAGTGTTGTAATACATTTCAATTCCATACATTATAATGTGAATAGTGGTCAAATGTAATCTACAGGAGTTTCCTAATATATGCTCAGCCAGTTATTTATATGCTATAGTTGAATTGCTTGTTCTGAAGTCTACTTTTACGACCATGTTCCTTCCAAAATTTATTCCAGATAGAAACCGTCTCAGTCCATTTCTGCTGCTAAAAAATATCAGAGCCTGGGTAATTTATAAACAACCAAAATTTATTTCTTACACTCTGGGGTTTGGAAATTCCAAGATCAAGCCATCATCAGATTCAATGTCTAGTGAGGGCTGTTCAATGATCCAACGGGGTGTCTGCTCTTACATGGCAAAAGGACAAAAGTGACAAACACTGTCCTCATGTGGCAGAAGAATCAAAGAGCAAAAAAGAACAAAGCTGCTTCCTCAACTACTTTTATAAAGACTAATGACATCCAGCAGTTCTCTGCTCTCATGACTTAATCACTTCCTAAAGGGCCCACCTCCTAGTACTATTGAACTAGAGATAAAGTTTCAACAAGAATTTTGGAAGAAACAAAATTTTCAAATCCTACCAGTGACTAATTTTCTAATTTGCAAGATTGTCTTGACATTTTTGCCTGCGTTTCAGGATATCAATAAGCATGTCAAATTTGGTACTATCTACAAATGTGATGAACATAATTTTTTTTTTCACAAATGTTTAAAAACTGTTTGAGTCAGAGTTCTCCAGAGAGACAGAACTGATAGGCTATATATAGAGATATATGAAAAAAAAACAAAAAAGATTTATTAGGAGAATTGGCTCACTTTATTATGAAGTCCGAAAAAATCCCACCTGTAGACTGCCTGCAGGCTGGAGAACCAGGAAAGCCAGTAGTGTGGCTCAGCTCAGGTTCAAAGGCCTCAGAACCAAGCAAGTTGACAGTGTTAGGCTCAGTCTAAAGCTGAAATCCCTAGAATCCTGGGGGCCACTGGTGTGAGCCCCAGAGTCTAAAAGCTGGTGAACCTGGAATTTTGACATCCAAGAGCAGGAGAAGGATGGTCCTGTTCCAGAAGAGAGAGCAAGAATTCACCCTTCCTCTGCTTTTTTGTTCTCTTGACTCCCAGCTGTTTGAATGTTGCCTATCCATATTGAGGGCAGATTTTCCCCCACTAAGTTTACCAACTCACACACCAATCTCCTCTGCAAACACCCTCACAGACACACATGGGGCAGCTTTATTATTTGAATGAAATGCCAAATCCCCTGGGTTTTCCTTTCAGCAGAAGAGAAACGGGCTCAGCACATACTGAAGAATCAAGCATAATAGTGTTTTATTAGCTATCTGAATATCCCTAATCCCATAAAGTTGACATTCAGATTCACCCATTGCACTATCTAAATATGCAGTACAAACTACCATGAAAAATGTAACAGATTTATTTGAAAATTTATTTATAAATATTAGATGTAACTTAGACATAGACATGATAATTTGATATATCCCCTAATGGAATAAAATAAAGTGGCAACATTGTTTTCTTCTCAGGTTTTGATTTTGACTTTTTCTGATCAAGATTTGGAATTTTATTATGGCTTTGTGAGTATTTAATACAAAATGACTCTTTCCCTTGCATTTGCATTACTTAATTATAGTTTGTCCACTCATTTATGCCTTCTATTTGCTTCTATTTGACTGAAATTCATAAGATATGTCTATTCAGTCAAATTCTAAGTGTAATCATAACCAAGAAACTGCTGTACATATGGCAATAATTTTACTCAAAACCATAATCATCCTGCTCCTATGTCACTGGTCTTAAATAGGATATATTTACATTCTATTAATTCACATTTTGGCAAGATGCTGACATCTCTATTACATATTAACTCTTCTACTCATTGATTCAATAATGTATATTATTATTTATTTTTAGCAACGATAATGCTGAATTCTGGAGGCAAGAGAGATAGGACTCAGGTTGTCACAGCACCTGCAGTGTGAAGGCAAATAAAGACAAGTCATCAGCTATAACACAATGGAGTCAATGTGCTATTGTGGAAATTCAGGATAGTATGGAAATACCCGGAAGCTTCATTAGATAGGACATGAGAGAAGGCTTTCTGAGAGAAGTGGTAGCTAGAATAAGACATGGAAAGAGAGGAAATTAATTAATAATGGTAGAGTGCATGGCCTGGATGAAATACTGAACATTGCAGGGTGACAGATTAACCAATCGAAAAGCCCAGAGGCCAAAATGATCGTGGAAGATTTAGGGAAGTGAAATTAGTACCATATGGCCAAAGAGCCTATGTGTGTGTCATGTATGCTTGAGTGTTTCTGGGTAAGTTAGTGTTGAGGGTGCAAGACAGAAAGAGGCAAAAAATAGGGTTGGAGAAAAACCCTTCTGGGCTTTGGAAAATATGTATAGGACAGAGATCATCATGGCCTAAATATTATTGAAGAAATCTGATAATTGCCACTATGCTATTAGTTTTCCAGGCAAATAAATGAGCTGTAGTCTACTCAAGGAAGAACATTTGATGAGAATATTATATACTCTTCTACCTTTCTGGAAGGACCTCTCATGCTCTGCCTTACTCTACATATTCCTTGATTTCTTTTCACCACATATACCACACCCTTCATGAAGTCTTTCTTTTCATCATTAAGTAAATACAGTTTCTCCTTTTTCTAAATCTCTATAATGTTATTTTTCTTTGATATAATATGTCAGAATCTTCCTTGACATACAGATATTTGTAAATCTAGATTCTCTCACTGGACCAGATCTTTGAGGGAAACTATTAGACAATAATTTTAGCATCCTTTATGACACAGTTTTACTAAGTTGTTAAATAGAAGAGTATTATATGCCACAATGGAAAATTGAGAAAGTGAATGGCATAGTTCTTCACAAAACTTTCAACGTAATAAAAACATATATACAATGAAGCATTATTTCCCCAATTTTCAATCCTGTGTGAGATGGCAGGGGTGGAAGTATATCCACAAAACTTTTAGTATTTAGGTGATGCCACTGAAACTAGAATTCAGGTGTTTTTCAGTTGAAAAAGCATCATCAGTCACTCATATAGAGACTAAAAAACATTATACAAACTGGTAGGTGAATCACCCATAAAAGCAGGATCAAAAGGGGGTAATGGAAGCTAATTTCAGATAGCTTTCTTTTTTTTGAGACAGGCTCTTGCTCTGTTGCCCACACTGGAGTGCAGTGGCACGATCATGGCTCACTAAAGCCTTGACCTCCTGTGCTCAAGCAGTCCTCCCAGTTAGCCTCCTGAGTAGCTGGGACTACAGGCGCACACCATTATGCCCAGCTAATTTTTTTATTCTTTATTTGTAGAGAAAGGGTCTCACTATGTTGCCCAAGCTGGTCTTGAACTACTGTACTCAAGCGATCCTCCCACCTGGCCTCCCAACATGCTGGGATTACAGGCATAAGCCACCATGGCCAGCCTTGGATAACATTTATTTCTTAGAACAATGATTGAAGCCAGTTATTTGAATGAATATCTTTGGACTCAGTACATTTATTTCATGCAATGTCTCTGAGTTTGATCCTTCTGTGTAATTAGGTGCTAAGAACTAAACTAGTCCATGACAGTTAGTGGAGGTACCAGAGAGAGGTTGAGTCCAGTTCTGTAAAACTTCTGCTTATTACTTCATCTGCAATGTGAACACAGCGTATTTGTATAATAAAGATGGCTGATAGGTGTTGCAGAAATTTGCTAGAGATTTTTCCTTCATGCAGTTGTAAGTTTGTTATAAAAGCACAGAAACAACAAGCATATTTATTGAGGATTTACTCCATGATAACCCTTTAAGTGTTTTATGTCATCATTTTTTCATACAAAAGCTCTGAGTTATGTATCTTTACTATTCCACTTCTGCAGATGAGGAAAATCCACTTCTACATACTATCTTCTAATACTTATGGCTTTCTTCCATATCGCTTCTAAATCTCCCATATTCTAGGCTAAACATGCCCAGCTTTTTCATCAAATATTTCTCGAAATAAGCTGTTTAAAATTGCCTCGTGGTCTTGACTGGGCTCGGTTTTGGGTTATCAGCCTTACAAACAAGCAATCAGATCTACACAGTGCATCAATGATAGTTTGGCCAGGCAAGTAGGAGCTTTATTTCCTTTGACATGAATGCAGTACTTCATGCCTTCATGCCTCAAGACACCATAGTAGCTTTTTGGGAAACCAAATTGTATTGATATCTTACTGCATTTATGACTAAGATTATAAGGATGGTTCCCCTAATCTTCCACTTGCAAAGTTGCATCTTCCCAATTTTCTAACTGGGCTACTGTTTACACCATCATTACCGGACTTGAATGAAATAAACTTTAGGGATAACTTTAGAATTGACCCATTTTCAATATAGTCTGTTGTATACTTTCTAGATTTTTAATCTGGTAGTCCTTACCAAAAAAAAAAAAAATTAAATAACCAAGGATAAGTCTCCTGCCTTATACCACACAAACACATACGTTTTAGTGGGGTTTCATATAATTAATCAATAATGATCATTCACTCATGAAACATTTTAACAAAAATGCTGAGAATTTTCTCAGTAGATAGAAAGGACATCTAGAGATTACGCATTATTTTCAAAGGATTTTACAACAAGCTGCATTGAAAGTGGCAAAAAATTAACTTTCTTATAATTATGTTATAAAATCTAAATTGAAGTTTTAAAATTATTTGTGCAACTCATAGTATATTTCAGAAAATCATGTTAAATATTAGCATGTATAAATATGAAAACTAATATTTTATTACTTTCATGCCAAATACATTTAATAAAATTACATATTTTATTCTGAATATATAAGACAATAGTCTCTTTAGTTCATCAATGTGCCCTACAGGTTTAAAATCATATCATACATGTATTCTTAGAACAATGAGGGAAGAAAGCAGCTCCTTAGAAAATCGGAATGTGTCTACCTAGAAGATTTCAGTTTTCTGAAGTTGCAATTTTCAAATTATGCTTTTCACATCTTCTCTCTTAGCACCGTAGACGGGATATGGGAGCTAAAACTCAGCCATCAGCTTTTCAGCTTCACATTTATAAAGAAAAGCAAATATCAAACTCCCAGTCTTCAGCGCAGCAGAGAGAAAATGTGCCAGGAGGAAAGTCCGTTTCCCAGCCCTCACGTAGGCTGCACAAAGGCATTCTTTCGCGGAACTTTAGAGAGAAATACTTTCAAAGTCTTTTTAGCCCCAAGAGAGCTCAAGGAAACTCATGAAAATGGCAGTTTTAGCCATCTTTTCTCACAAATAGTGAAGTTGCCACTAAGAAGATTTTCCTGCCCATGTAAAGCATGTATGAAAATAAAATTTTAATTACAAAAATATAAAGGAGAAACACCTGCCAAAGATGATGTGGGCACAGATACGTACCATAGCTTGGCTCAAGAGTGAGCTTTTTCTCCTCTATCTCTAGTCTATAACAAAACTCACTCTAAGGGAAAATTGAACCCCTAAGAAGGAAGAGAGAACGGTCCTATTTTAAACATCAGCTTATCATTTGAGAAGTGGCTTTATATGGATTCTTGCTCATAGGTCCTGTGGCTATGATTTATCTAATTTGCCAATGTGTATTATATATATACCCTTCTATTCTAGATATAAATTTCTAATTGATTTTAAACATTCAAAATACCTTTTTCCATTCTATCAGCTGTCAAATACTCATAATTGCTTTAGCCTTTTTTTCAGCTTTTCTTAAAGAAATACTTTACGCCCTTACATTACAAAATATTCCTCTACATTTACTTTTTACCCTTAGTTTTTAATCCATGTAGGTTCTAAATTATTACACTGTATTAGAAAGGAATTCGGTGTTATTTGTCTTCATATAAGCTACTTTCTCTAACAAACTTATAAATAATATCACTTTCACATTGTTTTTGGCCCCTTCCTTCTTGTGTTTTGAATTATTCAACACGCACAGAAATGTGTGTGTATATATACACATATATACATATAATTATATATACAGATATACTGTCTAAATTCTCTGTTATTTCCCATTGACTCAATTGTCTTTGCAAAAATAACGTAACAGTTATTATTGTGACCTCAAGGTCTACAGTATGTGTATGTCTTAATGTCTGGTAAGGCACATTTCTTTAATATAGTTAGATATTTTAATTAGGTATTTTTCTTTTATATATAATTTAAAATATTTTCCTTCATTTTCATATTTATTTATAATTTAAAATAAAGTATTAATTTTCAAAATCCAATGAAATTTTTATTGGTTATTTCATATAATTTATAGATTATTAGTATAAAAGACTTTTTTAATCTGTCATATTATCTAACAGCGTATATATCATTTATAGTCCTTGTCAGGATTTAAATGTTTACCCAGAGGGCTTTGTTTTCTTGTTTGTTTTATTTGATTATTTCCTAGATATCATGGTTTATGTTGCCATTGAGAGCGGTTTATTATTTCTATTGCATTTTATGTTCGCTGTTATAGAGAATTGCTCTTATACCCAGCTGATCTTGTATCTATCAACTTTGCTGAATACATTTAGTAGTTCTTATAGTTTATTGTTTCAGAATTTGTGGGTAGATGATCTTTTCAGCTGCAAATAATGACAGCTTTACTTATTCTCTTAAAGTACTGAAAGTCTAGATAATATTGTTTATTTATAGCTTTGACTTTATCTTCTAAAACTATATAAAACAGTAGGCATCATGGTGGGCTTATATATTTGCTTATTTAATGTTTGTTATAATGTTTTGACAAAGTTTTATCAAGTTAAGGAAGTGTTCCTCTATTCTTAATTTTGTGAGAATTTTTATCATTAAAACATTTTTGAAATGTATCAAATTATGTTTCTGCAGATGACATATACTTACATGACAAAATAACTTCACTTATCTAGGTTAAACACTAATTTGATTGTGATAATTTCACAGTTTTTGTAAGTTTAGCTGATATATTATTTAAGATACTGAATCTACATTTGGAAGAAAATAGGCCAGTTTTTCTTTCTTCATGTCCCTATATCATGTTTTGTCCACCATATCACACTAGCCTTATAAATTAAACTGATTAGTTTTTGGGTTTTTTCTGTTCTCTGGAGGGGCTTATATAAGAATTACTTTTGTACAGTATTACAGAATTTATGTGTACAGCCAGTTGGGCCTGTTGCCTGAGTTTTGTTTATGTTGTAGTTGTTCTGTTTGTGTGTGTGTATGTGTGTATGTTTAATGGGTATGGGGAGGTGACATATGTGATTCCTATTTTAAGAATTACAGATGTATTTATTCAAGACTTTTATTTCTCCTTGAGCTAATTCTAGTATTGCATGTTTTTGCAGGAACTTAGCAATTTTAAAAAATAGCCTATTTTGTTGTTACTATTACCTACTTTATTCTTCCATACCTTTATTATATTTTAGGTTTGTTTCTTTGATTTTCCTCTATATTTCCAATTATGAATTACTATGACTGTGTCAAATTTTGATATATTTTGTTTTTGTTGCTTTTGTCACTTGGGTTTTTAAAAAAATTTTTGAAATACATTTCACACACCATCATATTCACTCATTTAAAGTATAATGGTATTATTTAGCATAATCAGAATTGCACAACCATTACCGTAATCTAATTATATAAAATTTTCAACACCACTAAAAGGAACCCTGTACCCTTAAACAGTTATTCACCATTCTCCTTCCCCCACTCAAGCCCCTGCTGCTGAACAAATCATCATTTTATATTCTTATGGACTTGGCTATTGTAGATATTTTCAAAAATGAATAATACAATATATTGTCTTCTATTACTGGCTTCTTTCACTTAGCATAATGTGTTCAAGGTTCATCCATGTTGTAACATAGATCAGTACTTTATTCTTTAAATTAACAAATAATATTTTGTAGTACGTATATATTACATTTGGTCACTTAGTTTTAAAATTTCACATTTTTATGACTTTTATTTTATCTAAAAGTTATTTAACATATGTTATAGTTTCCAAACATAGGCTTAAAAAACTATTTTCTTAGGAATAAATGTATACTCATATGTAATATTTTAGTGTACATGAAGATATTTTTCCCCTCTTCTAAATGTATAAATTTTATTGACCTCCAAATTTAGATACAAGCATACCTGTTATTCTGTAATTAAAGTATAAAAAACATACATTTTGTGTGTGTGTTTGTTTGTTTTTGAGACAGGATCTTGCTCTCTTGCCCAGGATGGAGTGCAGTGGCCCCATCTATCATAGCTCACTGCAGCCTTGAACTCTTGGGCTCAAGTGATTCTCCCACCTCGGCCTCCCAAAATGCTGGGATTACAGGTATAAGCCACTGTTCCTGGACAAGTATTATGCATTTTTGGTGGAGAGTTAAACCATTTGGAAGGTCAATGTTCCTTTCAATTGCAAACATTTAGACAACAAGAAAAAGAGTGTTACATGGAGAATAAGGTACATTCATTCCTGTTCCAAAAGACAAAAATAGATCCATTGAGGAAGGACATCTACAGTGGTGACCTGTTTTAACCCATTAGAAAGATTCAAGTTGCTAATATCTGGAAGTTTCAATAATGGAATATATTTCCTGCCTCTATAAGTGATTGGGCTGCCTGGCCATCTGGTTTACATTCAAATACTTCAAAAAACAGGTAGAAATTTGAACTCTAAGATATTTAATTACTCTTCCAGTTGTAGAATATAATATTTTGTTAAGCAGTTCTAACAACCAACCCAGCTAACAGAATAAGTCTTTCTTTTATAATTGTATTAGTCAAACTTGAAATAATGTGTGTAATTGATTTCTTACATTAAACCATGATACAATGTTAAAAGACAAAATTAAACTTCAAAATTATTCTTTAAATTATGCCTTAGTTTTATGTTTTTAATACATAAATGTGGTAGGTTCTATTTTAAAATATTTCTAACACACTGACATTTATAGCAATTAGTATCAGAAGAGCTAGCACATTTGAGTCATTATAGTGAGATTGACATGTTACTGTACACAACAGTAAAACAGATTCATAAATGTTCTCAAATCCCAAGCCATGTAAAGATTTCACATAATTGTAGGAATATTTCTAAGAATAGTCACTCAGGACATATTTTTAGAATTCCATTTCAGAAGAGGGTGGTGGGTTTTCTCCTGTTGATATGTACTAACAAGTCTTTTTCTAGCCTAGGACATGATGGTCGTGTCTTATTCCTCCATTCTAAAGAGCAGTAATTTTATTTCTTTATATTTTATTGAATCTTCCAATTCATGTCCATAAATGACCATAGAAAGCAACATGAACATTTTGGTGGTTTTAGTTAACGTTGGGGGTATTTAAATTGATACAATTTGTCTCATTCAAATTATCTATAGTCATTCACAACAAAATGACATTTTAGCCAATAAAAGATGGAATATACGATGGTAGTCTCATAAGATTACAATGGAGCTGAATAATTCCTATTGTCTAGTGAAAATGTAGCCTTTGTAACTTCATGGTGTAACACATTACTTACATGTTTGTGGTGATGCTGGTGTAAATACACCTACTTGCTTCCGCTTGTATAAAAGTATTGCACATACAGTTATGTATAGTACATAACACTTGATGATAAACGACTATGCTACTAGTTTATGTATTTGCTATATTATACTTGTTAGTGTTATTTTATATTGTACTCCGTAGACTTATTTTTAAAAAAGAATTAAGAGTAAAACGACCTCAGGCAGGCCCTTCAGTAGGTATTCCAGAAGAAGGCATTGTTATCGTAGGAGAGGACAGCTCCGTGTGTGCTGATGCCCATGGAGACCTTCCAGTAGGACAAGACGTAAAGATGCGTGACAGTGATATTGATAATCCTCACCCAGTGAGGGCCTAGGCCAATATTGTGTTAGTACCTTTGTATTTAATTTAAAAAATTTAAAATGTAAATAATATATAACAAACTTAAAAACAGGAAAAGGTTATAAAATAAGGGATATAAAAAATTTCTGTACAGCTGTACAATATACTTGCATTTTAAACTAAATTTTATAACAAAAGAATCAAAAAATTAAAATTAAAAGTGTATAGAGTAAAAAAAGTTACAGTAAGCCAAGGTTAATTTCTTATTGAAGAACAAATTTTGTAATAAATTTAACATAGGGTAAGTATACAGTATTTGTAAAGTCTATAGCAGTATACATTAATGTTTTAGGCCTTTAAAATTGAGAAGAAAAGTATTTACCATGAAACATATACAATAAATTAACCAATTAGCAAACATCTACTTCTAGAATATGAAATACTTCTCATATCATTTGATATTTAATTTTGGGCATTTTCCATGTTTCTATATTTTACAAAATTTTAACAGACATTTTAGTATATTTTAAAAACTTCTCCCTTCATGTTATTTTCTTATTTTTATTTTATCTATTTCTTTGCAACTTTTATTTTTGGTTCAGGGGATAGCTGGGCAAGTTCGTTACATGAATAAATTGTGTGTCACTGGAGTTTGACACTAGGATAATTTTGTCACCCAGATAATAAGCATAGTACCTGACAGGTAGTTTTTCAATTCTCATCGTCCTCACACCCTCCACCCTCAAGTAGTCACTGGTGTCTATTGCTCCCTTCTTTGTGCTCCTGTGTACTCAATGTTTAGCTCCCACTTATAAGTGAGAACAGGTGTTATTTGGTTTTCTCTTCCTGCATTAATTCTCTTCATCCATTAATTCCAGCGCCATCCATGTTGCAGCAAAGGTCACGATCTCATTTTTTGTTGCTGGCTGCATAGTATTCCATGGTATATATGTACCACATTTTCTTTATCCAGCCCACCTTTGATAGGCACTTAGGTTTACTCCATGTATTTGTTATTATGAACAGTGCTGCAATGAACATATGCATGTCTGTGTCTTTATGGTAGAATGATTTATAATCCTCTGGGGATATATTCAGTAATGAAATTGCTGGGTCAAATGGTAGTTCTATTTTAAGTTCCTTGTGAAATCTCCAGGCTGCTTTTCACAGTGGCTGAACTAATTTACATTTCCACCAGCAGTGTATATGCATTCCCTTTTCTCTGCAACCTTGCCAGCATGTATTATTTTTTGACCTTTTAATAATTGTCCTTCTGACTTGTATGAGATGATATCTCATTGTGGTATTAATTTGCACTTCTCCAATGATTAGTGGTGTGGAGAATCTTTTAATATGCTTATTGGCCACATAGATGTCTTCTACTGAGAAGTGTCTGTCCATTTTTTAATGAGGTAGTTTCTTTTTCTGGCTTATTGATTTAAGTTACTTTTGATTCTGAATATTAGACCTTTATCAGATGCATAGTTTGCAAATATTTACTCCCACTTTGTAGGATGTCAGTTTACTCTGTTGATAGTTTCTTTTGCTGTGCAGTGGTCTTTAATTAGGCCGCACTTGTAAATGTTTGCTTTTGTTGCAATTGCTTTTGAAATTGTCATGAAGGTTTTACCAGGGCCTATGTCCAGAATGATATTTCCTATGTTTTCTTCTAGGGTTTTTATTAGTTTTAGGTTTCACATTTAAGTCTTTAACTCACCTTAAGTAGATTTTTGTATTACATATGGTAAAAGGAAGGGGTCCTATTTCAATCTTTTGCATATGACTAACTAGTTATCTCATCATCATTTATTGAATAAATAGTCCTTTACCCACTGCTTGTTATTGTTGGCTTTGTCAAAGATCAGTTGGTTGCAGGTGTGAAGCTTTACTTTTGGGTTCTCTAACCTGTTCCGTTGGTCTATGTGTCTGTTTTTGCACCAGTACCATGCTGATTTAGTTACTGCTGCCTTGTAGTACAGTTTGAAGTCAGGTAGTGTAATGCCTCCAGCTTGTTCTTTTTGTTTAGGATTGCTTTGGCAATTTGAACTCTTTTTTAGTTCCACGTGAATTTTAGGATAGTTTTTTTTTTTCTAATTCTGTAAAGAATGTTTTTGGACAGAAATATAAATAACCATCAGAGAATCTTATGAACACACAGTAGGGAATCTAGAATAAACTGATAAATTCCTGGGCACATACACCCTCTGAAGACTGAACAAGAAAGAAAGAAACTGAAGAATCCCTGAACAGACCAATGATGAGTTCTGGAATTGAATCAGCAATAAATAGCCTACCAACCACCACCACCACCACCACCACCACCACCACCAACAACAACAACAACAACAACAAAAACACACACAAAACAAAACAAAACAAAACAAAAAACAGGACCAGATAGATTCACAGCTGAATTGTATACCAGATGTACAAAGAAGAGCTGGTACCATTCCTACTGAAACTATTTTAAAAAATTGAGGAGGAAGGACTCCTCTCTAACTCATCCTATGAGGCCAGCATCATTCTGATACAAAAACCTGGCAAACACACAACAATAAAAGAAAACTTCTGGCCAATATCTTTGATGAACATTGATGCAAAAATCCTCAACAAAATACTGGCAAACTGAATCCAGCAACATATCAAAAGCTTATTCACCACAGTAAAGTGGGCTTTATCCCTGGGATGCAAAGTTGGTTCAACATAAGCAAATCAATAAATGTGATTCACACCACATAAACAGAATTAAAAACAATACCCACATGATCATGTTAATAGGTGCAAAAAAAGCTTTTGATAAAATTCATTTTTTTATGTTAAAAAACCTCAAGAAACTAGGGAACACATTTCAAAATAATAGGAGCCATTTATGGCAAACCCACAGTCATCCTCATACTAAACAGGGAGGAGCTGGAAGCATTTCCCTTGAAAACTGGCAACAGACAGGGATTCCTTCTCTCACCATTCTTGTTCAACATTGTCTTGGAAGTTTTGGCCAGAGCAATCAGGCAGGATAAGGAAATAAAGGGCATCCAAATAGGAAGAGAAGAAGTCAAACTATCCTTATTTGTAGACAATATAATCCTGTATCGAAGAAACCCCATAGTCTTGGCCCAAAAGGTCCTTAAGCTGATAAGCAACTTCAAAAAAGTATCAACATACAAAATTAATGTACAAAAATCATAACATTCCTATACACCAACAACAGGCAAGCCAAGAGCCAAATCATGAATGCAGTCCCATTTCACAATTGCTAAAAAAGCATAAAATACCTTGATATACAGCTAACCAGGGACGTGAAAAATCTCTACAAGGAGACCTGCAAAGCACTGCTCAAAGAAATCAGAAATAACACAAACAAATAAAAAAGCTATGCTCATGGATAGGAAGAATCAATATTGTTAATATGACCATACTGCCTAAAGCAATTTACAAATTCACTGCTATTCCTATCAAACTACCAATGACATTCTTCATAGAATTAGAAATAACTATTTTAAAATTCATAAGAAACCAAACAAGAGCCCTAATAACAAAGGCAATCCTAAGCAAAAACAACAAAGCTGGAGGCATCACACTACCCAGCTTCAAACTATACTATGGTGCTACAGCAACCAAAACAGCATGGTACTGGAACAAAAACAGACACACAGACCAATGGAACAGAATAGAGAACCCAGAAATAAGACTGCACACCTATCTGATCTTTTACAAAGCTGTCAAAAAAAAAAAAAAAAAGCAAGCAACAATGAAAGGACTCCCCATTCAGCAAATAATTCTGGGATTGCTGGCTCGCCATATGCAGAAGATTGAAGCTGGACCCCTTTTTTACACCACATAGTATACAAGAATCAACTCAAGATAGATTAAACATTTAAATGTAAAACTAAAAACCACAAAAACCCTGGAAGACAACCTAGACAATACCATTCTGGAAATAAAAAGGAGCAAAGAATTCATGATGAAGTCTTCAAAAGTAATTGCAACAAAAGCAAAAATTGACAAATGATGTCTAATTAAACAGCTTCTGCACAGCAAAAGAAACTATCAAGAGAGTAAACAGACAACCTACAAAATGTGAGAAAATATTTGCAAAGTATGCATCTGGCAAAGACCTAATCTAGTATCCAACTTCTATTAAGAACTGAAATCAGCAAGAAAAAAAAAATTAAAGAGTGGGCAAAGGACATGAACAGACATTTTTCAAAAGAAGACATACATGTGCCCAAAAGTCACATTAAAAAGTTCAACATCACTGATCATTAGAGAAATGCAAATCAAAACCACAATGAGATATCATCTCACACCAGTCAGAATGACTACTATTAAAAAGTCCAAAAATTACAGGTGCTGTTGGGTTTGCAGAGAAAAAGGGATGCGTATACACTGTTAGTGGGAGTACAAATTAGTTCAGCCATTGTGGAAAACAGTGTGGTGATTCCTTAAAGACCTAAAAAACAGAACTACCATTTGACCTAGCAATCCCATTACTGGGTATATATCCAAAGGAATATGAATTGTTCTACCATAAAGACACATGCAGGCAAATAGTGCTTATTGCAGCACTCTTCACAATAGTAAAGACATGGAATTAACCTTAATGCTTATCAGAGGTAGACAAAATAAAGGAAATATGGTATGTATACACCATTGAATACTACACAGCCATAAAAAATGAGATCATGTCCTTTGCATGGACATGGATGGAACTGGAGGCCATTTTCCTTAGCAAATTAATATAATAGAAAACCAAATTCCACATATTCTTACTTTACTAGGGAGCTAAATGATGAGAACTCATGGACACATAGTAGGGTACAACAGATGCTGGGACCTATTGGAAGGTGGAGTGTGGGAGAAGAGAGTGGATCAGGAAAAATAACTAATGGGCACTAGGCTTAATTATATCTGAGTGATGAAATAATCTGTACAACATACCCCC
The DNA here is from genome assembly GCF_000001405.40 of Homo sapiens. NCBI lineage: Eukaryota > Metazoa > Chordata > Mammalia > Primates > Hominidae > Homo > Homo sapiens. The sequence continues at coordinate 24,544,351 of NC_000011.10, read as the reverse complement.
ATGACACAAGTTTACCTATATAACAAACCTGCACATGTACCTCTGAACTTAGCATAAAAGGTTTATTTTTATTTAGAATGTTAGCCTACCACTACTAGGCTGAAATCAGGATGACGCAAACTGGACCTCCGGACAGGCAATTACTGAAGATGATCATCGGAACCAGACACACAGACCTGTACACTCCTGCATCACCCCCAGTTGTTTCTCACACCAAGTTTTCCTTCTTAGATCCCTTCCCTCAGCACCGGAAGTTGGAATGATATTTTAAAGGCATGAGCCCAGCCATATCTCAACTGCTACCAGCTGAATAAGGCTGCTTTTTTTCCATCACACCTCACTTCTTGGGTTTTCAGGCTCTGAGTGGCAAGCAGCCAGACTTGAGCCAGTTACACAATGACCGAACTGCTCAATGATGTCTCAGCACATATCTTCATCTTTATGTGAAACACTTTAACAATACCTAAATATAGCTACCCGGAAATATTGCAGTCCCTTGATCCATCTTTTTTTTTTTTTTTTTTTTTTGTGAGACAGAGTCTCAGTCTGTCACCCAGGCTGGAGTGCAATGGTGCAATCTCAGCTCACTGCAAACTTCCACCTCCTTAGTTCAAGAGATTCTCCTGCCTCAGCTTCCTGAGTAGCTGGGATTACAGTCACGCACCACCATGCCTGGCTAATTTCTGTATTTTTAGTAGAGACGGAATTTCACTATGTTGGCCAGGCTGGCCTTGAATTCCTGACCTCAGGTGATCTGCCCGCCTTGGCCTCCCAAAGTGCTGGGCATTGATTCCATTTGTCTCTATTTCCTCGCTCATAGCAATACAAACTGTATGTCTCAAGGCCATATTTCAAATGGAAAGTTGAGAAGCCCTGCATCTCTTGGGAAGCCATCATGAAGTTTTGGGATAATGCACATAGTCTGAGATAGCTTTTTTCAGAGACATGGTCACATAGACACAATCATACCAATCTGAGAATAAAATAAAATTGCATTCAGTTTTAAAAATGGCACAGTATTCTTTCAAGGGACCTACATTCTACAGTTGTTCTCCCATAGAAATATCACAGGGTTGCTAAGTTATCTGGAGTAAGTGAAGGTATACCTTTCGCAGATGTATTATTTATATTTTAAATAAACCAAACACGTTTTCTGGTTCCTAAAGTATCAGTTTTCTTATATACAAATTGAAACCACCTAATATAATTATCTGTCCTACAATTAAATATATGCACACCTGAAAATAAATAAAACCAAATCTCCCCGAATATTTAATATAGTATTTTCCCCAAAGTGTTATGAACACACCGGTAATAAAGATTCCTTCTTTTATTTATTTTAATTTACTTGTAGTAAACCTTGGTGTTTCACATGTCCTCATTTCACCTTCAATTCCATTCTAAATTTTTCTAGTTTTTTTTTTTTCTGTGTGTGTGTGTGCTGTTCTTTTTGTTCATTATTTCAAAGAAAACAAACCCCATAATACTTTGGAAACCATAGCTACAGATTTATTTTCTGAAGTGTCGCTGATACATAAATGTAGTCTTTTGCATTGATTGTCACCAAAAAAGTGACACAGTCATTCAAAAGCATAAAAGAACATCTATTTTTTTTGAATAAAAGTGATTATCATTTATTGTTAAACTAGCAAACTAGCATACTGCCAAAATCTTCTGTATAATTATGGCTAGCACTCAAATAAAGACTTTTTCCCCAGTTTTCACCCATATTATTTTGTTTCATTGATTATGAAAATTAAAGATCTACCCCACTGTCCCTGCCCCAATACACTCCTCATGATAGGAAGAAGTAGCTTTTTTTTTTCACACACTGGAAAATTCCCCAAATTGATTTAACATTCAGTAATAACTAAGTTGAGTATATGTTACATAAAAAAATAAGAATCCTGAAGACATACTTTCCCTTTTTCTTGTGTCTTAAGGGCTGATCTTGTCTAAAGCATCAGGTGTGGGTATGACCTCATGACTTCTGAAATCCAGCAGTGACTGTCATACATGTTCTATTCTCTCATGTACACTGGGCTCCTCCATGATTCTGAAATGTAACTCAGAAACTTTCTCTTCTACCAAAGAGAACACGTGGTTTGTGTATGGGGGGGTGAGGATAGTAATACTGTAGTTCCTTTGCTGTATCTCATCTTTAATTTTCTCTGTCCTCACTCTTTCACTTATTAATTTTAATTTATGTTCAGGTTATCTCTAGCTTCCTAGCAGACTCTCCTTCCAATAAGTATCACTGTTAGGGAAACATTTTTTGGCATGGACATCTGACTTATTTATGACACTAAGTTCAATAAGAATTCATCTTTTTGGTATACCATTAATTCTGTGAAAACATAAATCCATTCTGTCTCAGAAATATGTGATTATAAATAACAGAACTTCCTATTATGGCAACAAACTAACAGGTGTTTTTTTTTTCTTATATAAATAGAAGTAAGAAGTTATGCTGAGGATGGTAAAGTTGCTTAATTTTAGAATTTTTGGAATTTTAGGCTGTACTTATCTTCATGCTTTGTCTTTCTGAAAGCTTAGGTTCTTATCATTATTCTTGTCAGTGTACTATCAGTAATCACTTGACATCTGAGATTATGTGGCATAAGGCAGCATTTGAATAATAAAAGTTTTGTTTTTAGTCTTAATATTCTTCCCCCAACCTGCATCCAAAGCATAGTTTCCATGTCTTCAGTAGTCAACATAATCAATTGTTTTGTGGACAAATATACAGGCATGTGGAAATCTCAAGCTGAGAATTCAACAAAACATCCATACACATTAAATCTAAAGGTTAGACTGAAAATGAAGATGGTAAAAGGTGAGAAAGTGACTACTTCTTTTTCTCAGCCCCAAGGATGTTCTCACAGTGGATCTAAATTAAGTTTATAAATAGAATATAGGATGCCAACAGTCACCAAGTTAACTGTCAGGGACACAGTGCCAAATTATGTTTAAGATGTACTTACTTAATATTTCTCCTTCAAGCAGCCAGCAATGATACGATATCTAATCCTTTGGGCTGAAGAAGCTGTAGGCGAATGCCATCACCTCACTCCTTTTTTTTTTTTTTTTTTTTCCTTGAGATGAAGTCTCTCTCTTGTCCCCCAGGCTGGAGTGCAATGGTGCAATCTTGGCTTACTGCAACTTCTGTCTCCCGGGTTCAAGCAATTCTCCTGCCTCAGCCTCCCAAGTAGCTGGGATTACAGGCGCCCACCACCACGCCCGGCTAATTTTTGTATTTTTAGTAGAGACGGGGTTTCACCATATTGGCCAGGCTGGTCTTGAACTCCTGGCCTCAGGTGATCCACCTGCCTTGGCCTCCCAAACTGCTGGGATTACAGAGGTGAACTACCATGGCCAGCCGGCCATCACCTCATTTCTTAAAGTGTCACGTTTACATCTTTGGAATAGCTAAGCAATTATTTAAATTATGTTTTGTCTATTTTGTTTCAAATTTTTTTTTGTTTTGTGTTATTTAGGGATATGATTCTATTAAAAGTCTGTCATAACTGCATCCATTATCCATAACGATTATTCCATAAGTATCAGCATATAAAAGATACTGCTGGTGGCTGAATAATTTTAATCTGCAAGTACATCCTCCCCCATGTTCCATCTTTCCAGAGTTAACTTAGTACCAAGGTAAAAATTATTTTAGGATTCTTCTAAAGGACAGTTGGCATGCTATATTAGTCTGCTCAAGCTAACATAATAAAATACCACACACTGAGTGGTTCAAACAACAGAAATTTATTTTCTCACACTTCTGGATGCTGGGTGGTCCAGGATCAAGCTGCAGGCTGATTTGGTTCCAGGTGAGAGGGCACTTTCTGGCTTGTAGGTGTCTTAGTCTTGGTTCTTGCTGCATCCGCACATGACAGACAGAGAGAGAGCAAGCAATCTCTCCAAAGTCTATTCTTATTAGGTTATTAAACCTATCATGAGGGATCCCCTCTAATGACCTTATCTAACCCTAATTGCCTCCCAAAGGCCCCATCTCCAAATACCATCATATTGGAGGGATAGAGTTTCAATAAGTAAATTTGGGAGAGACATAACAAACATTCAATCTATAACACTTCACTCCCCTACTTGTGGGCTTCTAACGTATTTGAAGAGTCGTAATTGTAAAGAGAGACATGGTTTAATTAGTTTTGTGCCTTGATATGCTTTTATGTTTCCTTTAAAAATATGAAAATCCAAAGTGGTGTACTTTTCCCCACAATGCAAGTTTCATATGGTAATATTAATAAAACTTTCAGATTTATGGTAGGTTTCTATTAAATTTTTCATACACATCACCCTAACTAGGGAAATGTTAAAGAATTCATGTAATGAGAATATATATATATATGTTGTCTTTGTACACACATGTATACATACATATCATAATAATGGTGATGAAGATGAGACAATGAAAGAAAATGACAGAAGCTAGTATTTATTGATTCATTTAATATGTGTCAGATACAGCTCTAAACATATTTATATGAATGAACCTGAATTGAGCAATTTTCAGAAGCTAGTTTCTAAATGTTTAGGCATTTAGCTGGTGACTAAGGTAATAATTTCTCCCACAAAATGGTGGCTTAAGTAACAGCTAAAAGGCATTGTAGGTTAATAAATGTATTGACTTGCTTCCTATATATATGTACTTCTGTCACTATTGATTACTTGTTTTTCCCCTTATGTCCATAGATAGTTTAAATAATATTCAACGAGTTTCTGAGTGTGATGCAGGAATATTTACTTCCTGGCATATTTTCATCAAAATCGGTAAGGGGAGGAGGAGAGTATTTATAAAAGCATAGTGTATGCTTGATTTGATACTGCTTAAACTATCTGATCCTCCTGCCTTACACATCTGTACTTAGAGAAGATCAGATAGGATGTGGATTTTAGTTATTATAATTAGCATTACCATATAATTTATTATCAAAACTAAAATAATTTTGAGAGTGAAGTGGAGAGTTATTCATAATTATAACAGATAGCACACATATATTCAAATTATCTGTGGCAACGAGGACTTATTAGCACCATTAAAGCTTTATTCTATTATCACAAATAATTGGAATAAAAGACTTACAGGTAGATATGAATAATCAATTCTAGAACAACAAAGACTTGTGTTCTAACAAGAGAAGAACATTTTTTGTTCCAGATCCAATGTTTTAAAATTATACAAAAGCAGATATGTGCAAATTTTAAAAATAAATATATAGAACATATGACATAAAAAGTGAAATATTTCCTCCTCACAAAACCAATATTATACTGAGGTAAGTGCCATTAACAGACTACGGCATATACTTCTGGATATTGTGGGTAAGTGCCTGTCTATATGTCTACTGTATACATTCATTTTTTAATGAAAAATTATATATAATCTTCAAATTGTTCTTTCTTTAATATGTGTCATGGACACCATCTAGGTGAGAACCTTTAGAGTTACTGATTTTGTGAAATTGTTATGTCCTTTGAATGTGAAGAGCACAATGTATTTAATCAATTTCCACTAATGAATATTTAATCTATTTCTTTTCATTTGCTGAAAGTGCTGTGAAATATTTTACTTACGTGATTCTGCTTTCTCACAATTATTTTTACAAAATAAATTATCAGAAATGGACTTATTTTTTTGAAAGTTTTATATATATATATACACACACACACACACATATAAAAAACACATAAATACACATATATATGTGTGTATTTTGTAGAATAGTTTTGTAGAAATTTTGTAGAATAGTTCATTTTAGCCTACCTAACAACTTTATTAAAATAAAATATACATACCAAAAAGTAACATATTTAAGGTGTACAATTTAGTATATTAATATTTAGAAAACTTTTATCACCCCAGGAAGAAAGTATGTGCCCAATAGCAGTCACTCTCACTTATGCTTTTTATGTCCTAAGAAACCAGTACCTAATCCAAGGTCATGAAGATTTATTTCCATGTTTTCTTCTTATAATTGTATAGTTTTATCACTTATATTTATGCCTATTAACATTTGGAGCTAATTTTTAATATAGTGTGATATAGCCCAAATCCATTCTTTTACAGGTGTATATCTAGTAGTTCATTATTACTATTTTAATTTTCTCATCTTAATAGTTGAAAAATTATGACCTTATTCCTTTCATTTGGGCAACACAGATTGAATAACTTTATGTATATATTTATAAATGTGATTTCAGCTTTAATATCTTCGTCTATGAATTGCCTATTCACATCTTGCGGTGTGTGCATGTGTGTTTGTGTAATGTTTGAGCTCATGGAGGAAATGTACTAGTTCCTTCTCTTCAAAGAAGTGGCCCTATAAAAACCTCATTGATTATAAGTAATTAGTCTTAAGAAAAACAAGCAACACAAATAGCTCAATACTGTGTCTCTGCCAGCTAACAAAGCTTAGCCTATTTATTTTTTTTATGAAAGCAAGACAGTAAAATATAGCATATGTACATAAAAAGGTGAAACGTTTGTTTAAGGATAAAGCTCTATTTTTTGGTAGTTTTTGTCATAGCAAATATCCAGATTCTTGCATTAAAATGTCATGATATAATAATATATGCAAAAGGTATCCGTAAAAAATTGTAAAAGGCTTTTCACTTTAGTTTCACAGACTAGACTGAAACTAATTTTTAAAATTACCTTTACAAAATTTAACACGTTTTGCTTCAGAAGTGGTAAAAAGCTATAAAAAAGGGGGCCTCTATTAGTCCCTGTTCTATAGTTCTACAAAATAAAAGAACCTTTGATTTGAATATATATGTGTTTTATTTAAATATAGCACGTACATTTTAGTATAGAAATCTTGAATTCAGTTCATTATATAGTTTCAATATTGTTTAGAAAACACTACAAGAATTTCTAAACATTCTTACGTGATTCGAGAGTTGTATTTAGATCAGTAGGCTTGTGTATGTCAACATATTAACTTGTTTGAAGAAGCTCAGTACAAAGTTATCAGTTTTATTCTCAAATACAGGCATACCTCATTTTATTTCATTTTGATTTATTGCACTTTACAAGTGTTGCATTTTTTAAAAATTGAAAGTTTGTAGCAACTATGCATCAAGCAAGCCTATCAGTGCCATTTTACTAACAGTATAGGCTCACTTCTGTTTGTGTCACACTTTGGTTAATTCTCACAATATTTCAAACTTATTCATGATTATTATTTCCATTATAGTGATCTGTAGTCAGTGGTCTTTGATGTTACTATTGTAATTATTTTGGGTTGCCACAAACCACACCATGGAAGACTGAATGCAAAATTAACTAACAAATGTGGGTTTCTGACTGCTCGACCAACTAGCTGTTCCCTTGTCTTTCTCCCCCTCCTTGGGCCTTCCTCTTCCTCAGAAGCAGTCATATTGGAATTAGACTAATTAGTAACCCAACAAAGGCATCTAAATATTCAAATGAAAGGAACTGTCCCATGTATCTCACTTTAAATCGAAACTTAAAAATAAGCAAGCTTAGTAAGAAAGGCATGTCAAAAGCCTAGTTAGACTGAAAGGCTTCTTGTGTCAAAGAGATAGCAAAGTTGTGAATGCAAAAGAAATGTTCTTGAAGGAAATTAAAAGTGCTACTCCAGTGAATACACAAATGATAAGAAAGTGAAACAAACTTATTGCTGATATGGAGAAAGTTTTAATGATCTGGATAGAAGATCAAACCAGCCACAATGTTCTATTAAATCAAAATCTAATCCATAGCAAGGCCCTCACTCTCTTCAATACTGTGAAGGCTGAGAGAGGTGCTGAAGCTTCAGAGGAAAGCTAGCAGAGTTTGGTTCATAAGATTTAAGGAAAGAGGCCATCTCCATATCATAAAAGTGCAAGGTGAAGCAGCAAGTGCTGATTGAGAAGGTGCAGGAAGTTATCCAGAAGATCTAAGCAAGACCATTGATGAATGTGGCTACACTAAACAACAGATTTTCAATACAGATTCTTCTGTTAGAAGAAAATGCTACTGAGGACTTTCATAGCTAGAGAAGAGAAATCAATGCTTGGTTTCAAAGATTCAAAAGGCTGGCTGACTCTCCTGTTAGACACTAAAGCAGCTAGTGACTTTAAGTTGAAGCCAGTGTTCACTGACCATTTCAAAAATCTCATGGCCCTTAAGAGGTATGCTAAATCTACTCTGCCGGCATGTTAAAAATACAAAAATAAAGCCCAAATGACAGCATATCTGTTTACAGAATGGTTTCCTGAATATGTTAAGACTTGTGTGGAGAACTACTGCTCAGAACAAAAGATTTCTTGCAAAATATTACTGCCTGGTCACCCAAGAACTCTGATGGACACGTACAAGGAGATTAACGTTGCTTTTATGTCTGCTAACACAACGTTCATCCTATAGCCCAGGGATCAAGGAGTAATTTTGACTTTTGAGTCTTATTATTTAAAAAAAACATTTTATAAGACTATAATTGCCATAGACAGTGATTCCTCTGATAGACATGAGCAAAGGAAATTTTAAACCTCGAAAGGATTCACCATTCTGGATGCCATTAAGAACATTTGTAAGTCACAGTGGGGAGGTCAAATTATGAGGAATCCTGTAAACTACAAAATTTACAGGAGTTTGGGAGTTTATTCCAACCCTCATGGATGTCTTTGGGGAATTCAATACTTTAATGGAGGAAGGTGTGTCTGAGGTGGTGGAGATTGCAAGAAAAATAAAATTAGAAGTGGAATCTAAAGATGCAACTGAATTTGCACCTTTATGATAAAATTTGAATGAATGAATGAAGAGTTGCTTCTGATATATGAGCAAAGCAAGTCATTTCTTGAGATGGAATCTACTCCTGGTAAAGATATTATGAATACTGCTGAGATGATGGCAAAGGATTTAGAATATTACATAAACTTGGTTGATAAAGAAGTGGCAGGGTTTGAGATAGTTAACTCCAATTTTGAAAGAGGCTTTACTATGGGTATAATGCTATAAAATAGTATTTCATGTTAAAGAGAAGTCTTTTGTTACAGCAATGGTAAATTGACAAAACAAACTTTATTGTTGTTTTATTTTAAGAAATTGCCACAGCTACCCCAACCTTTAGCAATCACCGCCCTGATAAGTCAATAGCCATCAACATTGAGGTAAAACTTTCCACTAGCAAAACAGGATTTAGGAATTGCTGAAATCTAGATGATCACTACTACCTTTTTTTTTTTTAAGCAATGAAGTATTTTTTAATTAACCCTAGACATTTTAGACATAATGATATTGCACACTTAATAGACTATAGTAGAGCATTAATATAACTTCTATATGTACTGGGAAAGCAAAACGTTCATGTGCTTTACTTTATGTCAATATTCATTTTATTGAAGTGGTCTGGAGCCCAACCCACAATATCTCCAAGACAGGCCTCTATGTTTATGGTGGAAAATCTCTAAATGGGCTCTTAGAAATTCAAGTTTTAAAAGTTTCAACCAAGGACCTGCATTGCCAAGGACCACAAAATAGTCACATTATCGTTATAAATATTTTATTAAGCACATTATGCACAGCATCATTCAAAACAACTAAAGAAGGTCTTATATGACAATTGTTTTTCTAACTAAATGCTGTAGAAAATTCTCTTCCTCTTCAGAAATATTGTGTTTCTCCTTTTGATAAGTCTGCTAAGGAATTTATAGGTGGAATCTCTATTTTTACTACATGCAAGAAAGTTTAGAAACATATTCAATATTAAATTATCTTCTTACTGAAGACTATTTACTTTATCCTTTTAAATGTGTTTACTCTCTCTATATATAAATATGCTTTCTATATATTTACATACATCTCTCTATATATGCTTTCTATATATGCTTTCTATATATTTACATACCTACAAAATAGCTTATGCTCTATCTTTCTAGATAGAGAAATGTATGTGTAATCTTTCTATATGTAGAAATCTTTCTATATGTAGAGAAATGTATATGTCATCTTCTATATGTAAATATATAGAAAGAGCTTGTTGCTCTCTCTCTATATGGAAATATACATGTATTTATGTGCTCTCTATGTATGTATATATATGCATATATCTCTTTATATGCATGTATATGTATACATATTTTGTTTTTTTTAATCTCAGAAGTGTTCAAGAAAGTGGTGGAATAATAGGAACATATCTATTCTAAACATCAACTTGATGAAACAACTTAAAACTCCAACACTCGCCTGGCATTAAGACACTGAAAAGATTTGGAGACCTGGATTCAACAAATTGTAAATACAAAGGGAAACAATTTATTTATCATTTCCACAGAGCTTATTTATTTAGACTTAGAGAAGGTTTATTGCTGTATTTTATCTGAATAAGTGCCTATTTTTAAAGGAGCCTAAGGAGTGATTACTGTCCCTGTGGCTTTCACAACACAGTGCAGCAGAAAGATACGGGGGTCATGTTGAGGAGATAGAGAAGGGAGCACAGATATGTTAAGTGACTGGGTTATACATATATTATTTAATATACCCTAATATTCAGCAGAGAAGATATTATGCTGGATTTTTTATATGTGCACATGGAGAACGAGGCAAATAATTTGAAATAGATTGTCCCAAATAGCTGGTAAGTGGCAGCACAAGAACTCGTACAAAAGCAAATTATTACTGTTTTACTAAGTATTAAAAGAGATTCTTGAAAGGCCCCTAAGAGAATAAAGGAGGGAAAAGATAAATAGGATATATAACAGAAGTAGCAAGGATAAGTTTTACTTTTGCATGCTTTATATCAGGAGAACAAAATATTTTCAATTCCAAGCATATTCTTTTGAAAGTACGTCAGAAGAAAAATTTAAGAAAGCAGTTTGAAAGACAAATAAAATGATTTAGGTCGTTGGAGGTTTCATGTTTAAGTGAAACCAAGGAAAAGACAACCGTGCAAGTATTATTTTGTTAAATAAATAAATGAATATGAAAATATCAATTTCATGGCAACATAAAGGGAGTTGAATGGGTAGGATATAACTCTTTAGTACAAAGTTAAAAAAGATCCGATACTTTTAGAATGGCTGATCAATGCCTGAGAAGACAAAAGAAAAATATGTGGAACTTCCCACACACAGAATTGAATCAAGCTTCTTAAAAGACAATTAACAACCTGGCAAAGCCAGAGGGAAAGATCTTGCTTTTGGTGTTTGTGAGGGAGGGGGTATCCAATGGAAATTCACAGACAGGAGAAAATCATTGAGTATACATATTCTACACATACAGGCAATATGAACTCTGGAATTTAAAATGGAAAGCTCTGATTATACAGCACTGTCTTTTCTGTCTGGTGATGTTAGTATTTTTCAAGTTAGATATAAAGAACAAATTGACTGTAGAAGATGTAGCCCTCAGGAAATCTAATTTTATTAAGAAAGTAAAATGTCAGCATAATTAAGACTGTATTAAGATTTATGTTTATCAAAATTTGTCTGATGTTATTTCTTGATGAAAGGTTTTATTATACAATTTACCTGATAATATAATTATAGTTAAAAATTCAAAGGCATGACTAAATAATCTGAAGTATTTATATAATTAGGAAACCTTAATATTTTAACTTCTAGAACAGAGTCAGGTCCTCTATTATTCATCTTGAAACTATAGGAGATTAGTTATTACATTTGAACTGCCTGTTAGGCTAGCACTACCCCACCTTAATTGCCTTCTAAGCAATTTATACTATATTACAGAAAGTTACTATGTAAGCAAAGAAGTTATAATAAAACATTAAGTACAGCAATAGAAGTATATACTAGTTATAGCGACTTTTTTGTGTTTTGATGAAGGATGGAAGTGGGAGAGAAAAAGTGTTCATGGTGCATATAATTGAGATGGTTCTTAGGATCATAGCATCTCACTGGCAGTTATTTATTTCTTCAATAACTTATCTTGATGAAAACCTAAGAGCTGTGGTGGAACTCTTACAACTTAAAGAATAAGTGACAAATGTCAACTAATTTTAATGTTTAGACTTTAATTTAAATAAATCAATAGTCATATTTCTCAAAGAACTTAAATACAGATTGTATATTAAATTATATAAATGAATTATTCTTATTTTTTTAAATTTGTAATTGCAATATGCTTTGTTTGAAGTTCTAAAGTGTTAATGAATAGAATCATAGTATGTCTAGTAATTGGTATAAAATATTCCAGTGGAGAAGAAGGGGTGGTACACAAATAATGGTGGAAAAATTTAAAAAAGTGGCAAAATATTGATAATGATTAAAGTGAATGTGGTTATAATGAAGTTAATTTTATTATTTTCTTTCCTGCCCTGATTGTTTGATAGTGTTCATAATCAATATTAAAAACAGAATTCTTCATTTAACAAAATTGCAGCAGCTTGGATTACGGTGGTAGCAGTTGGAATTAAGAGAACTATATGTATTGGACTGATTTGGGGAAGTTAGGTTAAAGAGATTTACTTACGGATTAAATATAAGGGTGATGATGAGGCAAAGAGAGTTACCAAGGACGACTTCTAAGTTTTTGTCTTAAGCTAATGTGTATATGTCACTATAATTTACTGAAATGGCTGCATATTTTGGCCATGATAATTTTGAAATTTCTCTTGGGCATCCAAGTTGAGATGTTAAGAATTTGTGGTATGTTAAACAAAATGAGCCAGCGTAGAAAGATAAATACTACATGTTCTCACTCATATGTGAAAGCTAAAAAAGTTCTACTCACAGAAGTAGAGAGTAGGATGATGGTTACTAGAAGGTTGAAAAGTAGGGGAAAGGGAGGTTAGCCAGAGGTGGGCTAATAGATACACAAGTACAGCTGAATAGGAAAAATGCATTCTCATTTTCTATAGCACTATAGGGTGACTATGATAAACAACAATTTATTTATACTTTCAAAACTAGGAGAATGAATTTTGAATGTTGTCAACACAAAGAAATGATAAATGAGATGATATATTTGCTAATTATCTTAATTTGATATTTATACATTACATTCATATATTGAAATATCACACTGTACTCAAATATGTAGAATCTTTATGTGGCAATTAAAATTATTATAATTAAACATCTTAAAAATTAAAATAAAAGTGACATACTTTTGACCAACTATAAAATTCGACTTCAATTACCAGAATATACATTGTTTAGTCTTCATTACCAGGTTCTCATATTTTAAAATTGTGAATGTTGCCCTTCATTTTAAGGACAGAGAAACAAGGGTAATGTGAAACACAGTGCATTATGAAGTTGCTTTTTTATGGTAATATTAAAGTTAATTCCACTGGCAAAATAATAATAATAATAATAATAATAAAAGAGGCTAAAGTAATAAGCCATCTGTGGCTAAGGGAAAGGTTCAGGTAAAATTAAATTTGGAAATAATTAGAACACAGATGTTATAGGGAGCCATGTAATTGGATTCATTGGATTAATTCAACTAAGAAAAATGATGAGACATTGAAAGACCAAATGGAAAACGAGGAACCAGCAATGAAACAAGAGAAGCCAGCCATTTAGGGACAAAACCAGGAGAGTGTGAAGTCATGAAAGTCAACCCTAAACCCCACCAAAAAAAAAAAAAAAAAAAAAAAGTAAGAAGAAGGAATCAAATAGGTTAACTGCTGCTGAGATATATGTCAATATGAAGATCAAAAAATGAAAATAAAAAGGCAAAATGTAAACAACTGACAAACTTGAAAACAGAAAGTTGTGTATAATGAAAGTGAGACAAGCCATACTGGACATGGTAGCAAAGAAAGGAGAGATACAGTTTATAAGATCAAATGCAGATTCTTGTTTTTAACAATAATTTTTAGTGCTGTAAAATGGTGACAGTAGCTACACAGAATGTGAGATCAAAGCAGGGTGTTTATGTTTACTATAGAAGATATAACATTTATATTTCATATATGTATATGTATGTGTGTGTACACATATATATGTGTGTGGGTATATGTATATATGATGATCAGTCTGGAGCTTAGCATATTTCTGATAATTTAATCAAAAATCAGATGTAGACTTAACAACTATTACAGATGTCGAGCAGAAAAATTGTCAAGTCAAATATGCCAATACTGAAGTTATGCATTTAACTTTCCCTGAATCCCCAAATTAATGAGAATAGTGTAAATCTCCTCAGTGAATTCATAATCATGTACATTGCATTTAAAATTTTTGGGTATTTTAATGTTAGGATCAGAGTGCTTTTGATTGAATTAAATAAAGGTACTAGTATGTAAATTTGCAACCAGAAAATGGAAAGGAAAAACACAAAAATTAAAGAAGGTTAATACCCAAGTTTTATAGGACATTTCCACTAAAGCTTCCACAATAACTAAAGTCTAACCTAAAAATGAAGTGTTTATTTTCTTTTCAGGGCAAACTTTAAAACCTCAGATTTGTCTTCTCTGCTCTGAATACTTTGGGGATTGTTAATCATAAAATAGAGATATCTATTAACCTATATAACCTATTAGATCAAATATTGTTAATTATTAAAATGAAGATAAAATTTCCAAAATTTTAAAATGTTTGATAGATTTTGTTTATACAGTTTTTGACAGGATATCTATATTTAATGACTGACATCTAATTTTGTATTATAGGCTAACTTAATTAAACAATCATATTCTTTTGCTCTATTAAATGGGGGGAAATTTCACTACTTGTGGAGAAATGCTAGAGTGTCACCAGTGACCTTAAACAAAATATTTTTATTTACTTATAATTTAATATTAGGTATTTAAATGTCTTATTCTTATTGATTCCTAACCCTGATCATGGACACATTAGCATTTGTTTGAAGAAAGCAATTTATTATCAGAAATAATGATGAATGCTAAATATTTGTATTTATACTCTAATGTGATTCCTTCTCAGAAATCCCTACTTACAGATTTTTTTCTCTATAGCATGCACTTTCAGGAGGACCATGATTAGTAGTCATGATTAGTACTTATGTTTTCCCCTTGGAAAGCTAATATCTCATGGGTTTGTTGCTACATGGTTGATCTCATGAGTGAAATACCCAGATGAAGACAATATATACATGGATATATGTATTTATTCATTAATCTTCATTATTTGATAGCTACAATGCACCTGTTACTATGCCAGGTTTTTTTTGTATAAAGACAAAATGATCAAAACAGACATAGATCCTGTCTTATGCAACTTACTGTCCAGTAGAGGGTGGGGGAAAGCATATCAATAAACAAATACACACTTATAAACTGGAATAAGTTCTATGATGTGGAGGATGACTATGTTATTATTAAAGGACAGCAAGTGCCTGATTTGCACTGCGAGTTTGAAGGGGTGAGACAGAGGATAGGTTTTGCGCTAAATCTAAGAAGTCTGGTTAGGATGTTTTGAAGCTTAATTTGGATTTAACCCAGCATTCTACCATCTGATCACCTACTATGTGTATAATACTAAACTCAATAAAGAGAATATTAGTAATATGAGATAACACTTCTATCTTTCAGGATTTTATACTGATAGCAATTATGAATTATTTAATGATTTTAAGCAGCTAGAGAAGCATAACCAGAAAAGCCTTGTAAGATAGTTTGTCAGCATTTAGGGGCTTGAATAAGTAGGTGATGTCCTCAACACATTTTAGTTCGTCTCTGTAGAAAGCAGAATCTCCAGGTTGCTTTGTTATGGCCACTCCATAGAAAATGATCAGAGGGTAAAGGCAAATGAATTTGAATATTTTGATGAGGATTAATGAAGAGTGAGCATGTCCTCAGACAAGTCACTGGCACATGTATACATATGTAACAAACCTGTACGTTGTGCACGTGTACCCTAAAACTTAAAGTATAATAATAATAAAATAATAAAAAGAAAGAGATGCTTCTCCTGGTGAGAATCACCATTTTAAAAAGTATGTGCCATCAGCATTTACAACAACACTTTCTAAAATATAATCCAAATAATCCTGCTCCCCTGAGATGTTCTTTGGTGACTAATTTGGTAATTTCTGTAAATTTATCCACTCTTTAGAGGTTTTTGTACATGAGTATATCCAAGATTATAGAAATTCCTGCAGTAAGGAAACTTAACTTTTTTTTTTAAACCAGTGCTTCTCTCAAGAGGATCATTTTGTTTGTTGATTGCCTATTAATGTCTACTGAAACTAGTAACCCTTGAAACATGCTGAGAAATCTGCTTTTGACTATAAAGAATTATTTACTTCCTTTTATATTTTCAATTATCCATGAAATTTTATAAAAGGGAACTCTTATGCTTCATCAAAAAAATGTCTACATCGACTATGAATAGAGGGTTGAACCATATTCTCAATAATAGTCACTTAGAAAGACCTCTGCAAAGACATCTTACCAGGAATGGATGTCCAGCCCTGTGAATTTGCAGTTTCCTCCTTGTTAGGATGCTGATGTCTATGGTCACAAAACCAAATGCTTTAGCACTACCAATTATAAATCACACTCTATTCAGCTCCATTTGTATCCTGAGCTTTGGGTCTGAAAGATTTTTAGGACTCTTCTCTGGGAAATTTTTAAGCTTTAAAGGAGAGTAAAGCATTTGCAAAGAAAATGAGACGATAGCCCAGAAGCTGACTGTTGAGTGACCCAATTTATAAGAAAGAACATGCTCAGTGTAAAGTCTGATTTTCTCAAGGCTGGATTAAGTGGGGTTTGTGTGTGGGAGGCAGGGGTGGAACTGAAGAATAAAGAAACTGAAAGAACACAAAGAAATTTCTAGAAGATGCCAACAAATAAATGTGTGTGTGTGTGTGTGTGTGTGTGTGTGTGAGAGAGAGAGAGAGAGATTCTTATTTAACAATACTAAAAGGAGATTCTCACACTTTTGTTAGCATTAATGTACTATGGCCTGAAATATTTAAAAACATATCCAGATGTACAACTACTTGTCAGAGAGAAAGTGATTGTATGTCTTTACTATTTACTCTTAGAACTGCAATATTTTAATAAATAAAATTACTTTTGAACTATCCATAACAAACAAAATCAGTGCCATTTTGACTTCCCTTATAGAAATTCATTACAATCTGTATATTTATGGAGATAATCAGAAAAGTTCCCACTATTGCCTGTTCTTTTTCATCAAAGTATATCAACATATGTGCCTCTTTTTAGAAGATAAACCATATTGAGAGAGGAACAAAAAATAAATATCTTCAAAATATATTGCTAAAAGCCTATCTGAATGGCAATTATGCTAGTTCTTCCCAATGTCAAAGAAACCTGGCTAAGAGAATCCCAAATGTTTATGAGTTAAAATGGAGGGTCGCCACTGACTCATTGTTTGGATTGAAATAAAGATAATAAAAAGCATCAAAATTGGATTCCTCACAGAGTTTAACAATGGGCAAAAATCTCTGGGATTACCTCTCTCTTCTTCAAGTAAGCTAGGATAGTTCATGTTTAAGACCCCTTAGAGTGCCACCTTCAAACAGAGAGTATGAACTCTTTAAGTATTTTCTGAATATTGCTGCTTTGTGCTGAGAACAATGGGACAGAGTAAACTCTAGACTAGTCCAACTCCATTGTGGAAATGAAACTTCTGTATCAATAGGACCAAAAAAAAGATCAAAGAAAGGTCTAGCACAGAAAAAATGAAAAGTATACTTAATTTTGACAGGTTCTTAAATAGAAATAAAACTCAGGTTAATCGTGAGCATTTAATATATTATAGTAACTGTCAAGCACTAGCACATATTACAATAATCTGGCTGAATGCTCTTTAAGCATCAGATGTTTTAACAACGTCCCATGGAACATAGTTAAATGAAAAGAAACATAATTTTGTGATCATAGATCCAGACTAAATAAACATTGATAATTATAATTGATATCTCAGTTGCCTTTCCACATTACACTGCATTATAAAAAAAAAAAAAAGAGTAGAGAGTAGGATTAAAATTGTATCCCAAATCCAAAGTTTAATCCTGTACTTTAATCATTAACTGTGCCAAAATCATAACATTTGGTCAATGAATCACAACTGAATAAAATTTGAATGAATTAGGTTTTAGTTAGATATGCTTTGTCAGTACCAGAAGTAATATGCACTCTTGAGCTTTTTTTTTTTTTGCCCCCTAGTGTCATGAGTTATATAAATGATTAATTGGTGCTAATTGATTTATTAACTTTGGAGCCCTGCAGATAGTGGAGCACTTCATAGCAGAATGATTGCTTTAGAAAACAGAAACAGATAAACTTAGTAACAGATGGATATTTATCTTAAAATGTCATTCATACCCTGCAGAAAGAAAGAATGAATGAACAAAGAAAGCAAATTTTAAGTAAAAAATATTGAAAGTACCTCAGTATTTGGTAATGTATGCTATTTTGGTCTGGTGTCTTCACTAAAATCATGGATTATAAGAAGAATATTCTATAGATGTATCACAAAAGCAAAATTAAAGAGTAAGACTGTCTTTCATAGTTTCAAAGCACCTCCCTTACATGCTTGTATTCCAACCACTTCCTTCCTGTTTAAATCCAAGTTTTTACTTTATATATATTCAACTAATGTATGTCACAGAAAAAGATAACATAAATAGGATTTCCTAAAGGCCCTTCTTAAATACATATCTTATGCTTAGGAGGACTGTGTGTGTGTATATCTGTGTATATATATATATAGAGAGAGAACATATTAGAGAATTTGCAGATGAAAATCTTATTCTAATTGTGTGAAAATCATAAAAAAGCAGTATATTAAAAATCTATTGTTATTATCTTTCCCTGGTTTCACTAACATCAACCTAAATTCCAATTTCTCTGCATCACATTAAAGGAACTTTAATCTGATCCTACCTATGACAACATACATATTCTTTACGTTACAGCAATTTAACTTAACTTTGCTCCCAGACATGAAAGCCAATATTTTCACAGACTGATTCCTCTCCCTGGAAGTTAGCTCAGAGTTAAAGTCATGCCTGCAAAAAAACATGATAACAAAACTATTATGAAATTAGAGTTATCAAGTAAGCCTGCTACATACCTTCTAGGATTATGTGAAGCAGGCAATTTCTCTACCTTTGTAAACAAAATGTGGCATCATTTTCATATGTGCCTAATGTTCTTCCTCATGAAGCATTTAACCAATTAGCACTATTTTAAAAAATAAATATAGGGAAAAATATGTATATGGAAAATGAGTGTTTCAGACTGAGCAGGAAATAATAAGAAATGATAAATAAAGCAAAATGCTCAATATTGGTGAAGAAAAATATTCAACAGGCAGAGCCAGCCCTGAGAGAGGAAAATATCTGAAAAATTGGAGAATCATAGTCCTGAACATTGAAGAAAAAGAAATCCATTAGTGGCAAATATGTTTGTTCACTTTCTTTAATGTTTCTCTAATTCTTTTCCCAGTTCCCTCCCTGCATTTCTTACTCCTAGCCTGTCTCAGGTAGTGATTGTGAGAGAGGGGTTGACTAAGTCCCACTGTTCTGTCATTTCATCTGTAGTATATTCCCCTTAAGCCTCATTCATAACTTACAGAGAGGAAGTGGAAGTAGTAATGATTGGGATTTTGGTCCTGTAAATTGATTTGGAATGAATTTAAATGAGATGACATTCAAGGACAGAACATTCAAATATGCCTCAGTGTCCTATCTAGCACACTACTCTCATTTTTAAAAATTGCTATTCAATATCTCATAATTACGTAAATCACTTCACCTTGTTAGAACTGTACTATTGGTTGCTTCTGCCACAGACCTGTGTCAAGGGATCTAAAAGAGTTAATGGACTAAATTATAAACAATGGTGCTCTTGCTTAGTAAAAATTTCTATGGTTTTCAAAAGACTTCAGGGAAAGGTTTGTCATTACCTAAACTTCCTCTAAGAAATGTGAGCTCTGAATTAGAAGAAAAATAACTTTTTCAACTAGATGCCTCAGAGTCAATAAAATGGAATCTTTGTAAAGAAGAGCACTTATCTATAAACGAAAGCTCTTGTAGTCAGCATGTTTTACCAAAACTTGCGTTCTCATGAGGATAGGTCATTCCTATAATTAGACCATTCATTTTTACCTTAGTCACATTTTACCACCTTCAGATGACCAGTGCAAGAGACTAGCAGTTGATTATGTCTTGAATTACAATGTGTAGGCAATAAAAACTGTTTTATTAAAAAAATATTTTAATACGTTATTTTCTGTAATGAAATATAACATTTAACATCTTTGTCATCTAATAGAAAATGATAAAACTGGCCAGCTCAATTTCTGAAACACTTCCAGTATCCATAAAAATTAATTTGAGGACTAGACTCTTATTCCATATCAAGCATCCATTCAACATCTTTGTTTAAGATAAATTAAATTCAGACTCATTCAGGAGATAAATGAATGGGAAGATCAATTCAACTTTTCACTGCCCTTAGGCCTCACCTGACCTCAGGTTTTTCAAAGAGGCTGGACACAGAAAGAATATAATAAGAAATCCTTATTTTTTCTTTACTTAAATATAAAAATAACATTTCATTTTTATCTAAGGTTTCATTGCCCCACTGCCTCTAAGGCCTAAGATTAAAGGTATTTTGTTGGGATCAAAATTAATATATTACAACATAATGATGCGGGCTTGTAATAAAAGCCAAGATCATTGAGTCTTTACCTATCCAGAGAGATTAGGTAAGACCTCAATTAAAATAAGATTGTTATCTCCTATGGCTCATTTACCTTTGATTACTGTTACCAGGATCTTGATTTAGAGCTAAATAGTCAATCTAAATGTACTACCTGACAAAATGAGAACCATTACCAATGTATATATTTATCTAATATATATATAATAGATTATTATTTGTGAATTAAGAAAATCAACGAAGTATTCTTTTTTTTGTAAAAAAAAGAAGCTTGATATTTTAAGTGAATTAGCATGGATTAGTTTATTCACTAAACATAATTAAAACTCACTATACACAATCTCTGGTATATAAAGAATTTACCAAAAATGTTAAAGGTATAATTGAGTAGAGGATTTTTCTTTGCATTTTTTTACATTTTCTACATTGTCTATAAATATTTTTCTTTTAACATTAAACTTTAAATAAAAATAAGCTACTTCTTTGTGCCCCAAATTTGAGCAGACTGGGCAAAATTAAGCATCGTATATAAAGACAAAGAATGTGAAGAACATTTAGATTTCTTATACTGAAAAGCAATTAAATGGCAGGATATAATAAAAGCACATTCCAGAAGAATTCTCACTGTAGAACCAGATGCTGACAGAAAGCAAGTCAGGGAAGGTTTATCTTGGGATAACTTGTCAAGGATTATTTTTTGAGACCATGAGATAAAATAATCATTGAAACAACAAATGTGAATTCATGGAGAGAAATTTAAGAGAAGATTTTCACATTAATATTACCATATGGGTTAGTGAACGAGGTAAGGCACAGAAGTTTGGGGTAGTTTGTGTTAGAACAGTATTTTTCTGAATGTAGATATTGGAAGTAGGAAGATTAAACATTTTAAAGGGTCTTTACTGACTACTTCAAATCGTAATTATAGAATATATTTACTATGTAAATCTTTTTTATTCATAGTCATTCTGAGTATCATCGATACCCCAAATCGGATTTAAAATAACAAGTTTCTTATTGTCAAAAAGACGATTGTATATTTAATTTCACATCCTTTCCGAGTGGATTATATAAAAGCCAATATAGAGTGCTTTAGGATTGGCAATAAGATTTAAAGGTCACCTCAAATGCAGAAAACCTGACAATTTATCAGACTACATACTGATTCAGCACATGGCCTGAGCTTTTGACAATGAGCTATACAGGATACTAAGAAGCCTAAGACTCACACCCTGTCCTCAAAGGACTTTCAGACTAACTGAGAAGCCTCTATTGGTTCATACATGCAAGACTTGCTTACGGATGCACTTAGACTCCAAAGTGATATTCATATCTTTGCATTGCATAATTAGATGAATGAAACAGATTTTGCTTCTTTCAAGAAAATATGCCCAAAAAAGCAAAAAAACAAAAAGAAAAAAAAAAGCAATCTAAGACAGAAACTTAAAAAAGAGGTGGTTTTTAGAATTAGTTTCAGAAATTATGTGACTATTTATGCCAAATGCCTGTCTTCTGACACAAGGTGCTAAATATTGTTATGAATTTAAAGAAAAAGACACAAAGAAGATGAGTCCTACTGTGAAAGCATCAGGGACAACAAGTTGGTTCTATATCTTTCTACCATAGCACTTTATTTAAGTTTCTCTCCATATGTTCTTTCTCAGTATATCCTCCTACGAAAGGTAGCCATTTTTATTTGTAGAGAATCTCGTGGTCAGTTATTGCCAAATGTTAAGCTATTCAAAACAGGTTTCCCTATAGTTTCTAATTCTTTCCACTGATTCGAAAAATATATATATATATTTCCAGGATTTCACTTGGTGACGGTTACAAATCAGTGGTCAAAGAAAAAAATGCATGCTCGCTATGAAACGTTTCTAACATCATTCCTCCATAAACATGTGTTATGACTTAGAAGTCTTAACTTCTATGTCATAAACATTGCTGGTATTCAATGGATATGACTTTTTTTCAAAACAGGAAATCTGAATGGAAAAAGAAAGGCACCATCTGTTTTGAATTGCAAAGGAGCTGCCCGTTCACTGTGATCTGCTTCACTGGATCTAGTTATTGAACTTCTAATCCTAAATATATTTCTTCTTAATTAAGCTAAATGTGGTAACTTCTATGAAAGTTGTCTCATTACCCTGTGAAAAGTAAGGTGGGCAATGATATATTGACTCATGAAGTAGGTATACTGTAAGTCTACAAAGCTTGTAACCAAGTTTTTCTTCCTTACCTTGAAATGCTAGGCCTTTAAAATTTTTCTCCCTAAGAAACATTGCTTTAGGGACTGAGTCCTGCTTCTTTTAATTCCTCTGGGGTCATCAGATACAATTATATTACTCTAAAACAATCTATTTTCTTACCCCACCCCACCCCCACCTTTTTTTTTTTTTTTTTTGAGATGGAGTCTCGCTCTGTCACACAGGCTGAAGTGCAATGGCATGATCTCAGCTCACTGTAATCTCCACCTTCCAGGTTCAAGCAATTCTCCTGCTTCAGTCTCCTGAGCAGCTGGGATTACAGGCCCACGCCACCATGCCTGACTAACTTTTGCATTTCTAGTAGAGATGGGGTTTTACCATGTTGGCTAAGCTGGTCCCAAACTTCTGACCTCAGGTGATCCGCACACCTTGGCCTCCCAAAGTGCTGGGATTACAGGCGTGAGCCACCACGCCCAGCCACACAATCTGTTTTCCTAAAAGATTACACCAAATGGCAACACCCATTCACAGAAATATTAAAGTATAGAAATACATATCTAGGGAACTAAAAACACGCATTGTCCTATTTCCCTCTGGAGCTAATGATGGTGCGGACTGAGGCATCATATCCACTCTCTTGACTTGTCTGCAACCCTGGAAAACCCTTGGTTGAGTTTTTGGTGGTTGGCCTAAGGATGATCTTTGCTATTCCCCATGCAATGGGAGTCCTCTCTTGGGACTGGTAATTAGTAAACCTGCTTTGCACTGACAAAAAATAAGTTTCTACTGTTTCACTGCTATGGCAATTATCTATCTAAATGTACCATTAAGGTTTCCTAAGCCTAGTCTGGCTCTGGTATTGGTTCCTGTATAAGTAGCATTTATGCTGGCCTATGCTTCATTGTACTTCTCCTGCCCCCAAAAAGGATAATTAACATACTAACACAAACATGTGAATGAAAGACAAGACCACGTTTTACAATTTCCTTTCCCTTGCTAAAGTTTAATCCAGCAACTTATTGAAATTTAAATTTACATGAGAAGATTCTTCTGTACAAGTGCAATAATTATACAACCTTTTCATTATATGTGTGCTTTCTCCAGACAGAAAAACAGAAATCACATCTGGTTTCTGTGGAAGGGGTTCCTTCAAAATGGTGTCCAAATGCAACTACAGACATAAGTATTTATTGCAGTCATTTTTTAAATCCTTCCCTGTTTTTCCTGTTGATAACAGTTCCATTTCCAAATATTGCTTTTCGGTCATACACTAGTGCGTTTTAGAGTAGATATTAACCTTTTTTTGTAAAATGTGTTTTATTCAATTCTGTTGGTAATAATTCCATTGCATCTTCTTGACAGCTGTCTTTCTACCTGATTTCCCCTTTTAAGGGTACACAGGTCAATCTTCAAAATTCTCCCATTCAAAATTCTCCAAAACTAAAGATCTTGTGGATTTTATGCTTTATTATGCCATTTTAAAAATCACATAGCTATGTAGCTTCTGAAATCAGACAAAAACCCAAGGCAACTAATGAAATAAAAGAAATCAGATTATGAAAATAAATCATTAATAATAGTAACTCATACCAATATTTGCTGATGTTGTTATATTGAGTTACTAGAGAGGAACAAAGGTACTGTGCTGTCAACAAGTATCTTCATGTCTAAAGATTGTCTGAACTAAAATTATGAAAATTATGTGCAATCACAAATTAATCATGAAGCAAAATTATTTTGAAAAAAGCCTTTTTTAAAAAAGATGCATATTATCATTAGAATGCAACTATATTGACATGGCAATAATTTACTAAAATCTGAAGTGCAATTCTTCACATCAAAATAGTAAATAAATGAAATTCCAAATTAACCAAGACATGAAAAGACAGCAAATTCCAGTACATGTGTAGAACTGCCTCACTGAAGCTGTATCCTGGATGAAAGGCGAAACCCTTTCCCAAGGACTTTTCACTAAGATAGTTTTGGAGGAAGACATAGTAGGTCTGCTCTTCTAATGTGTTCACCACACAATTTCATTTCTGGAGATCTCATACTTATTTTCTTCAATTGTTTAATTGACTTCAGCACAAAATATTATAAACATAACTAAACAATAAAATCTCAAGGAATGAATCTTACATTCAAAACTTTATCTTTCTCCCTAAAACTACATCCGATTTCCTAGACAGTTCCAGATGGCCTGCTGTATTCTCCATTCAAGTACAGGAGTCTCCAAAGCTCAAGACTCATTCTAGATAAAGTTGGGTTGAGGGGTACTGTTAACAGTCCTTATATACAATCCTAATGGTCTGAAGTCAAAGTAGAAAATAAGATTTGTAGTCAAAATATAAAGAGGATGGTATGACTGTGAGAGCAAACTGAGTAATGAAACTGTAAACGTGAAAGAGCCAATCCCTCAACATGAATCCTGAGTGGATAACAGTGTCTAAGTTTAAAATAGAGCCCAAAGGCCATTTGCTACCTAGAGCTCACACATGTACTCAGTTCCAGAAAACCCACACGTCTACCTAACTTGGGACTTTCATAGCTGACTGTCCTTGTTCACGTCACCTGAACCAACAAATAGAGTATGATCTGCATCAAAATAATCAGAACTCAGCTCTGTGAATCAATCAGCACTAAGCAAGTTTGAATCCTTCATTTGCATAAATAGACTTGATTGGGAACTTGAATAGAAACTTTCTCTATAAAAGCCGAACCCTCTCTTTGCTCTCTGGAATGCCCCTTTGTTTTATGCAGTCTTCCCAGTTTGCAAACTGTTCACTGGAATAAAGTTTCTTTCCTCCAAATTCTTTTTCAGAGAATTTTTGGTCACAAAGCCATGTTCTGTTTATTGACTAACTTTGAACTAGGCACAAACAGTGAAAAGATCAAGAAGAAAACAACCCTAATAAATGTGCATAAAAACCCACTATCATCTTCTGATATTTCAGTTATCATCTTAACATTCTAAAAACTATTTATGGACTAAGGACACTCAGTAACTATACTCTTTAATAATTTTTAACAGTTTCTCTTCCATTCGTTTTAAAAAGGAGGAAGAAATTTCTCATTTAACACTTACAGAAAGGATAAAACACCCTCAAATAGCTTGTTATCTTGTTAGCCCAGACTGTAAATATACAATGTTACAAGGGGAAAATAGGCATATCAGACATTAAAAAAAATAATCAAAGATCTTTAACAAACATGGCTAAAGTTATAAGAACCTAGATGTTAGATTCATGCAGCTCTGAGCTTAAATTCTGATTTTACCATTGACTCATGGATTAGATGAAGCAAGTCTCTTAACTTAGCTAAGCTTTAAATAAGTTAAATTATCTCATTTATATAAATTATCTAACTTAATTAAATGAGGTCATACCTAACACTTAAGAACTAATTTTTTATTTGTTTGAATTCAATGTTATCTTATTCATTAATAACAGCTGATTAATTATAGGCCTTTTATCCCCTCCCTCTAAAAAATAATTTCTCCTACATTTCCATTTCATTTTCCACATGAATAGAAACTTAATGGATAGTGTTAGATAAGCATCCAATATTTCAAAAATAATCCCTGGAATATGTCATTTTAAAAACCAAATGATGAAAAAATGTATTATTTTATGGGAGGAAAATTGTTTTCTCAGTGATTAAAAGACAGGAATTTTCTATAATTAAAAAGAGCCTGTTATACACCATAAACATGAGAAACACAAAAGGATTTTTCTTTCTTCAGACACAATATAAAAATAACCATGGGAAGCAAAATGATGCCATTTTTCAATAAGTCAAGATTAAACTCTCATTTAACACTTCAGACTATCTGATAAATTCAACCTTCTAAAATGGATTTTTAAGAAAGCAAACTATGGATTATTGGCTCCACAATTTACAATAATCAGTGACGTGACTGATGCCCTCATTGAAGTGATTAATGTTTTTGGAGTCATTATTTAGATATATGAAAAAATAAATAGAACATTTTTTAAATATAAAAAACTTACATAAAATTTAATATGTACCTACAATTTTTTTTTTTTTTTTTTTTTTTTTTTTTTGACGGCGTCTGGCTCTGTCACCCAGGCTGGAGTGCAGTGGCGGGATCTTGGCTCACTGCAAGCTCCGCCTCCCAGGTTCACGCCATTCTCCTGCCTCAGCCTCCCGAGTAGCTGGGACTACAGGAACCCGCCACCACGCCCAGCTAATCTTTTTGTATGTTTAGTAGAGACGGGGTTTCACTGTGTTAGCCAGGATGGTCTCGATCTCCTGACCTCATGATCCGCCCACCTTGGCCTCCCAAAGTGCTGGGGTTACAGGCGTGAACCATCGTGCCCGGCCTGTACCTACAATATTTTTAACCTTTAGCAATAGTTTTTTGGACAGGTGACATAAGATTATCTTATTCATGTTTCAATTAAGATTTCAAATAAGATTTCATGCATATGTTTCAACTTAGAACACAAAAAATATGATAAAGAAAAATCTTTGTATTTTGTATTAGGAAAGGTTCAAAGACAAAAATAACAGATGGTAATAAGAAATTATCAAACCTGGAAATAAAGCCACATAGAGAGCTTGGCACATAGATTGTATCACAGAGTTTATTTCTTGAGTATGTAAAAATAAGTAACTCACAATCTAAGCTGTTGAAACTAAATTTTATAGCCTTAAGGGAATGTGATTATGGGACATAAGTCACATAAACAGGCAGCTGTTACCTAGGCAGCTGTAACCTAGAAAACTGTAATTTTTGTTTCTCTAATTATAGATTTGCCTTCTTCCTTACCTACATTGTTTTGTAAAATATTACAAATGACTACACAGCACCAGGAAAGACCTCTTCCCTCTTCAGGGCTGATCTTCATTTTAGATTAACTTCTCTCTTACCTTTCTCACAGAAAAACTTCATGCTGTCATATTGTCTTAAGATGGAATGTTAAATATACACTTTTAAATTGTAAAGAAAACCAGCCACACAAAAAAGAAAACAAACTTTAACCAATTAAAATGTTGTTACTCATAAATCAGCCTTGTGTAGAAAATGTTGTAATCCTGTTATATGTCTTTGTTTTCTTCCTATGTAAGCACAACTTTAACTTTTAGCTTTGGAGCACTTATCCCATTTCTCTGGAGTCCCTGTAACCTGGGTGGCTATTCCCAGATTTTTACTTGAATAAACTCATTAAAACTGGATTCTGATTATTTCAATTATTTCAGATTGACAAGTGGTCATAGAATTTCATATTCATATAAGACCTATCCAAATTCCATACAAATAATTTTAGGTTTTACATTCATTTCCACAAATTAACAGGAAAGAAAAGTAACATATATTAATCAAGTGTAAGTGTCAGGTCTTTAAAATCTGTTAATCTGTTAATCTTCAAAACAGGTCTTCGAGATTGATTATTTTCCCAATTTAACTGAAAAAAAAAATCTACTATAAGAAATTTTCAACAGCCCATCCAAAATCACATAACTAGTCATGTGGAAGACGGGGATTCAAATCCAGGTGGATCAGCCTCTGTCTCAGGTCAGTTTTCACAGAAGCAGAGCATAATCAGGGCCTCCTTTGGAAAGCTGATTTATCAGGGATAAATGAGAACTTTCATAAGAAAGAAAAAAAACATGACAGGACAAAAAATTCAGCAAGGAAGTGGTCCCAGCAGAATAGCTTTACCCAGTCCCTAGGGGAGCTCTGGAGCACAGGTTGTACCACAGAGGTAAACCCACCCTGATGCACAGAGCCTGCTGTTTTTACATACATATTAGTCAGTGCTTGTTCACTACTGGAGAGCCTATGATTAGTTCTGTCATTATTATTATTTTATTTTAGCACCTTTCACATTGCTATTCTCTTCCTGGAATTTGTTTTCCCAAGCAAAAATTTTTGGCTAAAAAGTTCCGTCTACGTTTTGAAACCCATAGGAAAGTCATTACTTCTGTGACACCTTACACAGCTATTCCCAGAGCTGGGAAACTTTACTCTTTGCACTTTTTGTCTCCCTCTCCTTCTATGAAGGATGTATTTTCTTTAATGCATCTGGGCTCCCAAGCACTTAACATTATTTCCTGGCATATTCCCTGATAGATATCAAGTTCTTTGTGAATATTAATTGAATTAATTTATATATCCTTAATTGCTATAAACCAACCAATTGCCAAGTTATCCCTCTTGCTGGTTGTAAAAAGTGTCATTTACAGATGGGGTCTTTCAGCTCAGTAGACTAAACTTCTGTAGGAAGAGAGTAAGTTACAGAGGATGTGTAGTATTCCTAGAATACCACTTCTCTCCTCTTACCTCACACATGCTAGGCACAGTATACGGTTTTATAATCTGCCTCAGGAAAAAATAAAAATAACATTCTAGATGATTGTGTAACTCCTACATCAGAGGACTTAGTTAATTTCCAAGAAGTTATTATGAACTTTCCGGTTCTAAACTCTGCCCTGAAATCGGGGAAATGGTAAATAATAGACCTTCTAGCGTCCTTCACTTGCAAGCATTAAGAGCTCAAATCAGCAGAGGTTTCAATGACAACGATTGTTCACCACACCCTTTGGTCTTACTAACAATAATTCATTTACTCTCCTCTTTAGGACCTCTGACCTAAAGTCATGTAAAAAGTCTCCTACCCTAAAGAGCTTGATCCTGAACCAACCAGCAGTTTTGTGAATTTAGCTTTCCTTGAGCCAGGCCGCTTTTACAGAACAGCCCTCACCTCAAGGACTAAGTCTTACTATATTTCTTTCTTCAACACCAGTGGGGAGAATTCTTTTAACAATTGCCCTGATAAATAGATTCATGTAATCTTATTGCTGTGTTGTCATAACCTTCTTTTCTCACACTTGGGAATATCAAAAGAAAAAAAACTAATAAATTAAGAAAATTATGTTAACAAAGTTTATTTACATAAACAAAGAACATCCATTCAGTTGGTTCTGTATGACGATGGTACCCTGCAATTCCCCACAAAGTGAAATTTATAATCATTCCATTGACAAGTGGGCTTGATAGAAGGAGAGGCACGATCTTATTATGTGTTTTCCCTTAATACTACAATATACCTTCCTCATTCTGTGCTGTAATGCCTCAGGGCTGCTCTCCTTCTCAGCTGCTCTGAGATGTGGATACAGTTTATTTGTTCAGGATCACTGAATTGTAAAGCAAATTACTTATTCTGAAACCATTCTTATGCTAGAATGCTCTCAGTTTCACCATGGATGAGGAACCAAAGACTGATCATCACCATCTATTTCTTTCTCTCTTTTTCTCTGCCACTTTGTCTTGAAATTTTTAATTGCCAGAAAAGAAAACACACACACACACAACCAACTAGTTACTCTCTGCATTCAGTGGAGGATTTCTCTCCCACCAATCAAGACTCCTCTTCCACAGCCCCTTGCTGAATGCCAGGGATATGCCACATGCTTCTGTTTATGGGCACTGTTTAGGGGTACCACTCATCTTTAAGACATTTTATTTTCCAGAGGTCTGCTTGTATCCCCAGCCAGATCAGCTTCTTATTATAGAACATAGCCAGGGAATCCTAACTATGCTTGCAGAATGCACTACACTTGGACACTTCAAAACATTAAATCCGTTCCATGCTTACGTGGTCCTCCAATTAGCATTCTGTTTGGCAACTCTTATTTTCCCAGCCTGTCAACTTTTCATCACTTCTTTGAGATAAACACTGTCTACATTCAGACTCTGAAAGGTCAAAGAGAGACAAAAGGTGGTGATCTTCCAGAAGAGTAAGGTATTCATTTCTACCAGCATTTAGTGATTGTTTGGTATTAATGGAATTCATTGACTGATTTTCCATGGCACACCCCAGGCTTTAGAATCAGAGTATAGTGCCCAAAGCATGGCCCTGCAACTTACTGTAGCTATAAGTAATGACAGTCAGAAAGTAGACACAGGAAAAACCATATGAGTCACGTATTATATAGATCCTAAGAATATTCAAAAAGAATATTTACCCTTCTAATTATTTAAGGAGACAGTCAAAACAGCAACACAATTTTAAAGTGGCTATTGATATTTTAATGTTTTCATAATATCTGAAAATAGTTTAAGACATAGTCATTATCCCAGGATAAAGCTCATCTATATCGTTCTCTTGATGCTGATTGTAAAAATGAAATAAAACCTTACCAACGACTGCTAAAGGATGAAGGCTAACCATCATATGACTCTGTAGCTTTTCTTTCAAATATAGATGTTTTTAGCTAAGATATGATCAAGTCTTTTGTGAATCCAAAAACAGGCAAGGGGGACTTAATTTTTAGCTATTTTGCATGTCAGCAAATACAATTTTAATTATTTTATTTTTAGGAGAAATTTGTGATATTAGCTTGTTTCCATGTTTTGAAAGAAAACATGATTTGAAAACATCAATACCATCTATTTTCTTAAAATAATAGTAATTAAAAAACAGAGACTGAAAGGAAAACTATGTCATATAGAAAAAAATCATTTGCTGGGCGCGGTGGCTCACGCCTGTGATCCCAACACTTTGGGAGGCCGAGGCGGGTGGATCACCTGAGGTCAGGAGTTCAAGACCAGCCTGGGCAACGTGGTGAAACCCAGTCTCTAATAAAAGTACAACAGCAACAAAATTAGCTGGGCGTGGCAGCATGTGCCTGCAGTCCCAGCTACTCGGGGGGCTGAGGCAGGAGAATTGCTTGTACCCAGGAGGCGGAGGTTGCAGTGAGCTGAGATCGTGCCACTGCACTCCAGCCTGGGCAACAGAGTGAGACTCCATCTCCAAAAAAAAAAAAACAAAGAAAAAAATAACCATTAAATTCAGGAATTAAAAGACCTATTTCAACAAGCCAAGCTATATTTAGTATACAAAAAGTAACGTTGAACTTCGTATTAAGTGTTAGAGATCAAACAACAATGTAAAATCATTCCTTTAACATTGAAATTTGTGTTAAGAATGATTTAGATATTTGAAATAAAAAGTACCATAATTATTCATTTGTCATTTTTCTGAAAAACTTTACATACTTAGGTAACTTCATGATTATGATGAAGTTCTCTCAATTTTTATGAAAGACTGATGCTGCTTCAGCAATAAAATATGTAACGTATTATTATATTTGCTTTTTTCCCACGTCTTACTTGTACTATTAAATATTTGTATCACTTTGATAAGTTATTTGGCATCTATGAGCCTCAATTTATAAAAAAATGAAGGTTTGGAGTAGATATTAAAGACTCACTGAGATCTGAAATGTTAGAATTCTAAGATGGTTCTTAAGGTTTATACTACCAATATTCTACCACCACCGCTATTTGTTTTTTCAGCCTGTGACAACCACCACATTCCACATTCTTCAGCACCTTCACCTTTTCCTTTGCTTCCAGCACCATCTTGGTTTCACTTCTTCCCCTGTTCAGCCCAATATACATCATCTATTAATCACTCTGTTATCATAATCATGGCATCCCTCTCCCAGTTGGACAAAAGTATACAGAGAAACTCCTTCAACTTTCTTTATTCACTCTCCCCCTGACAGATACTTTCTTCTAAGGAAGAGAATTTTGGAAAATGCTAGTCTCTGATAATATAAGATCCAAACATAAATATATGTGGATACTAGTGCATATTATCACAGTGTAATTCTGAGGTTAGCCTAAATAAGAGACACTTCGCTAAGACTTAGCATAATTCACTTAAATTTTTAAAAATCATCTATATCACGTTATTTAAGTGTTCTCTTTCCACTCATCGGAAAAAGTTCAAGAAAGAACAACAAAGCAAAAGGTATGAATTAGTCATTTAGTAAATATTTAAGCACATAGTTAAGTACTTCATATGTCTAAACCACAATATAAATCATAAAATACATATGAACTTTGCCTTTAAAGTAGTCACCTCAGATAGCACGCCCTAAGTTCAACGTTTAACCATTTACTGATATTATTTTATCATTGGTAAATATCTAGTCACATAAAGATTATTACTTATGAATACTCCTATTTTAGTGCTATTCCCTAGTTCTGTCCCTATCTGTCCCTATCTCCTAGCAAATATCCAACTGATGTAAACTTTTACCATCCCTGTAAGCTGAAATAGTGATTCTAATCCAAAATCTTGCCATTGTATTTTTTTTTATTTTTTAATTAATTAAAAAAATTGTAGCGACAGACACCAGCTTTCACATCACCATAAATTGTCATGTATAACAAAATGATATTTCTTGTCACCAACATCAGAAAGGACTTTGAAGGAAACCTGCTACACATCATTTCACGTAAGTTGTGGTTTCCAAAAATCTGTGAATGGCATTAAATAAGGGCTTACTATACACAAAAAAGACAACTTCCTTTGGAGCAACTGAATCAACTTACATAGCAGAGAATTACATAAACAGTCAGAAGGGAAGGCACAGACAGTATGACAGAGCTTCCAATATATTCTTACCTGAATATATGGCAGAGGTAAGAAGGCTACAAGTCCCAGGCTCCATTTTATATGGGACCAGCTACTCTACTAAGACTAGCAAATGGGGAGTATTCATAAAAGGAAAGCAGTGTGTCCTTCCTCCATGCTGCTATTTAGAAGGATGATTTGAACTCTCGTGGCCACCTTGGATCACGAGGGCAAAGACCTCAACAGAGCAACAAGCTGGAAGGAGCTGGGGTCATTACTGACATGGCTAACTTACCCACTTGGCACAGCAGCACAGAGTCAATGGCCAATGGTCCACAATACTTTCTTGGCCCACAAATATTTTAAATTTCTTTTAAAATTAGAATTTTTAAAAATGAATTTTTAGCTTGAAGTAGATAATATTAATATTTTATTCTTTATATGAACATAGTCACAAAACAATATGTTATATAATATAAATGTGGTATACGTATATATATTTAACAGAGTAAGGGTTGATGAAGTTTAAAGTAACTGAAGCCCATGAAAGTTAGAATGCAGCTGTTTGCCCACTTGCTGGCCATGGAGAACCAGCCAGCCCTGGATTTCCTACCTGTTACATAACTTATGTGTGAGAGAACTAAATTTATATCTTGTTTAAGGCATTGTAATTTGGGATTTTCTGACGCATTCCAAAAAACCTGAATCTCAACTGATTAAGGTGGCAAGGGTTGCAGGCAGGTACTTACAGGAACTTATGAAATGTACCCAAGACAATATAGAACCAAAGCCAATATGGCAAAACATGCCAAACATTGCATAGGCACCATCTTCTTTAGTCCTGCCAGGCTGGTACCTGTGGCTTCATCTTCCAAATATAAAAATGGGTAGCATCACAATTTAAATCCTCAGTACACTCTGCTCTTTCGTTTTCTTTCTTTAAGACATAAGAGCTAGCCATTGGGTAACTCTGCCTCCTTTGCACCCCAACTTTCAAGGTTCCAAAGCAACTTTGGTGTTGTGAATGGGGAATTCAGAGCGCTGGGTTTAAGCTACCTGGCTGCCATTACTAAAATTCTCTCCATCTATAAAATGAGGTTATTATGAATTGCTACATAAGATGTTGTGAGGAGTTATGAGCATGTATAACAATTAAAATTAAAACACTATAAAAATGCCAGGTATTATGTCTCCCTCACACATTGCCCACTACCTGTCAAAGCTGTCTTTGAGAATTCACTTAATGTTATGTCACTCAAGTAAAAGAATATATAGGGGAAATGTATACATTATTAAATTTGCAAGTCTATGCTCCTTCGAGAGAAAGGTAGACATAGAGGAAACACTGTAGTGATTACTGGAATCAAGCTAATGATAGTGTGTTACCAAATAAGCCTACTTTCAAGGATAAGTATTCAGAAAAATGCAAGGTATCTATGAGTAATATATTTAAAATAGTTATTAAAATATGCATATAATATATACTACGGAATATATTTATATATTCTGTGTATATAACATATAATATGTTATATATAACCATATTTTTAAGGATAAGTATTCAGAAAAGTGAAAGATGTCTATGAGTAATATATTTATTAAAATATGCATATAATATATACTACATAATACATATACACATTATATATTACATATATAATCTATATACTACATGATATATACTATACCATATATAATATATACCATATGTATACTATATATATCATCTAGTACATATTATATACTTTTTTTAGATACAAATTTCGAGGCAAGTGTATCAGTCTATGAATGAGTTAATTCTAGAACAGTTATGACTGTACTATACTTCACAGTGCCATCTTCTGATTACCAGTGGAAGAACAGTTCCAGCCAAACGACTTTCTAAGAAAAATCTGGCTGTTATTATCATATGGTAAGGCTCTCAAGACAGACCAAATGTGAATGTTGAGTTTGTTGCTTTTCACATCTCTAAAACCAAAGGTGACCCTATTTCCTACATGGAAAGTCTTGAGGTTCAGCATGCAAACAGCGGGCAAGAACCTACTGTGCACTGAACCCTCACTCATCGCACATGTCGCGTGTGTATGACACAAGTTCTTTGTCCCATCATTCTACATGTAGTCCCAACAGCTCCTTAGTTTCTGAGTTACTTCCCAAATATCTAGCCATCAAAAATTTTATTGCTAACTTTTATTGTCTCAGGATCCTGACCTTGAATTAGAATCCTGAGTCTTATGTCTATTAAATCATGGGCTCAAGTCTCATCTCTACCCCTTTTTAATTTTGTGACCTTAGATATGTCAACTTCTGTAATCCTTAATGCCTCATTTTGTAAAGCAAGCACTTCATAAGGCACTGAAAAGCATTAAATAAAGTAACCTTAGACAAATTTGTAGTACTGTTCTTACACATAGAAAACAAGCAGTAACCTTTAGCTACTGTTATAAATTATTTTTAAAAATTAAATTATGAGTCTGAGGAACTGAGACAGCTACCTGGAATCACACAAGTAGAAGATACCAAGCTATAATTAGAACACAGGTCAGCCTGATTCTACACATTTGTTCCTAAGCCCCACAATTAACACTTGGAAGACATCTGGAGCCAGGCAGTAGAAAACCATAGTTCACTGGTATTTTTTAAAAAACAGCCTCCACACATAAAGATATTACCATGCTAATATATGATTATTTTTCTTTTACCACAAAAACAAAATAAATATTTTAGTTAGAACTTTAAAGAAAGGATCTTCTGTCACCTTTAATTGTGAGCTTACCTGAGAAAAAGTAACATTTTGCCTTCCTTCTTTAACTGTATATAAAATTTTGGCTACTTATTTATTTGCGGAAGGGCATGCAACTAGAACCCACAAATGAAGCCAACACAAAAATTTAAGGCCATTCCAGAGCTTCACTTTATATCCTAGGAGGCACTGTAGTACAGTGATTAAGAATGTATGTTCTAGTGCCACCTGGCCTTTGAATTTAGACTCCACTGCTTACCAGTTATAATGTTGGCCAAGTAATCTAATCTCATGTGCCTTAGTTTCTACATCTATAAAATTAGGGCAACATCAGTAATCACCTCAAGGTTTATTGTAAAGATTAACCTGGTTGATGGTATTATATAATTGCTAAGTACTATTCATTTATATTATTATAAATATTATATTATTATTTATATTTTGAGTTTCTTTTTTCACTCTAGGAGAATTAACTAATGATACAGAGTTTAGGCACTAGGGCAATATGACTGGCATAGTTGCACATTCTATTTAATTCACACATTTCTTAGAAAAAAGTGTTTAACATCATGCAAAACCAACCACCATTTAAGGGGAGTAGGGAGAAGATGATCAAAACTTTAATTTTTACCACGTAAATATTACTTCTCCTCATTTTGAAAGTTCAGATTTCCTGCCCCAAGTAGCCTAGAACAAGCATTTATATGGCTTCATGTGTAGGTCTTGGTTTTTTTGCCTCTTTATTATATAACTTGCAGTGATAAAAGCTAGGGAGGGAGAGAAAGTTAAGTGTGAATTCTTTGTAGTTTATCTCAGACATTTCACCTTTTGTCTCATATTTTCTAAATACACTATGCCCCCTGATAAATCCATGTAAATATTTTACACAATTTATTTGAGCATTTTCTCAGCCCTTTAAAGAAAGCTATGTGAGGCGGATAATTATTTTCATTTAAATTGACTGATAAAAGCAGCCTGGAGCACAATGAGATCCTCATTTACTAAATGTATTTATACACATGTGTAAAGGTGTGATTTTTGCCAAAACATCAACATCTTCCCATTCTCCTGACTTCAGCTACAATTTGCATGTTGAGTAAATGGTAAAGAGATGAAAGTATACTAGAGTTTATAGTTCTGCAATACTAGAGCTGTAGTTTCTAAGCTCTCATATACATAGGAAGTTCCATATTAAAATGAAAATTCAATGTCTAGGGTAGGAACTGAAATATGTATTTTTAAGGACCATCACAGGTAATTATCATTCAATTAGAATGAGGAGCATACTTGGAGAAACTAAATTGAGAACATGTATTACCTGGCAAACTTTTGTATTTATAATAAAGGCTTTATTTGGCTGATTTTCAAACTAATGAATATTTTAGCTGATTTATTTTAAGAATATTTTTAATGTACTCTGTCTCACCTATTGAAAACATGCAGTCCTTT
This sequence comes from Homo sapiens, assembly GCF_000001405.40. Classification (NCBI taxonomy): domain Eukaryota; kingdom Metazoa; phylum Chordata; class Mammalia; order Primates; family Hominidae; genus Homo; species Homo sapiens. Next base: position 24,506,961 of record NC_000011.10, on the reverse strand, counting down.
GCCAGTATGGTTTAGCTTCTGCTTTCTTATTTGTAGTACTGATTATTACTTTCTTCACTGTACATTTATACAGAGACTAGATTCTATATAGGCAGCCTAATAGTTTCATTCATAAAGCCATTCTTAGAATAATGACCTAGGGTCTGGCCAATTTTTAGCTGGGGGAATATGGGATAGTCATTTAATGAGTGCAAAACTTAGGGGTCCCTAGTGATGAATCATATATGAATATAATGTGTTGTCATAGGTAAGGATTAAGTGACAAAGAGTAAGTAGCTAGCACTTCTACACACACGATTAGTCCTCAGAAATCTTGGTCTAACCTGTAGGTTATCATTCTATAAAATGGCCAACTGAAATAAAGACATATAGAGAACACACAAAAGGGATTTGATATACTTCAATATCTTTCTAAACTGTCATGTCAGAAAAAGAAAAAATTGCCCCTCACTTTTCTGTGTGCACGCAGAAGGAGCTAACATTTTTCTCTGTGGCATCTGAAGGAAAAAGCTACAACAATATAAAGCTGCTTCTGCCCATATCTGTGTCTTCCTAAGATGTTACTCCAATTTTTCATGCATTTTCTTGTTTCTTTTATAATTCAGAGACTTTCCCACCTTTTCCTGCCCAATGCTTAGTTTACTTCAAAGGCCAGAAATAAATGACCGCAAGCATTAGAAAAGAGAAAATTATATATAAAGAAAAAGCTAGTGATTGGTGCTTTCCCTTCCTCTCTTATAGTATCTTTCCAAGCACGCTACATTCCAATAGCTCAAGTGTGCTAAGTTTCTCCTTTCCTTCTACCATCCTAGTCCCTCTTCTGGACCATTCTCTGCAGGTCATGACCAAACTTATCCCATTGTAGGATTACTTAATTTTAGAAGTCCAGGACCTTCAACTTGTCAATTGTCTTGTTAATGTTACGCTGTCCTTGTTTTATGATTTACACATTTAGTCCTGCCACCTGTAGGTAATCTTGAACAATGAATCCTCTTTAAAATAATTAATATGGAAATATAATTGTAACAATTATTTTATACCTATATTTAATATTTACCCATATTATAGCAACATAATTTGGAGCTTCAGGCACCAGATAGAAACGAGGTCAGGTAATACTGTCTTTCTTTATTTTTTTTTCTCTTAAAAGCCTTATAGTTGTTTAAATTAGTGTTCCCAACTGGAATTGGTTAAGATAATAGAGAATTGGCTTCCACATTGCCCCCAAATTATCTGCATGTTCTTGAAGGAAAAATACCATTTTATTTGTTTTTTTAGTTTGTAATAAAGGAGGTTAGGCATGAGCTCCACAAACTCTTCATCAACAATTCTAACTTGTCTATGCCACATGAGCTTTTCTCAATGATCTCTCTTGCTGAAATGCATGTACAATCTGGTAGGGTAAAATTTTAATTAGATAATGTAGACTGTCGATATAGTGAGCTGTATTTCTCTGTGCTGGATGCTATTCTTTATACATTAGCTTATTCAATCCTCTTGACATATCTATGAGAGAGGCACTGTTAAATATGGCTAAGAGATGTTCATTGACATTTCTAAATTCATATAACAAGGAAGGCTGATTCAGAGTCTCCGTTTGAGCTTGGATTCTTTTGGATTTAACCCCATGCAACACGACAAACACCTCTTGTCATCTCCATTCCTCCCCTAAACTCCCCGACTCCATTTATCAGCACTCATGGAATAAGTGATTCTAGATGGTAACAGTATGTTTTGAATCAGAATCTGAAGGTCAGAAACCATCATAACCCTCTGGAGGACAGGCAGGAGGAAGTCAGAAGAAGTCACATCCTCCACAGGGGACATGAGATGAATGTCCCAGAATCTGATTTAGCCCTTACCAATACCTTAGCTCTGAAAACTAGTTTGGAAGACAGCGAGTCACTGCCCACTTTCAGTCTTACTCGTTTTCAAGCAAGAAAGGAAAAAATAAAAAGAGGAACCTGAAGATGAGATGCCAAATGCTTGTGACCTTCAGTTATTAAATTATCGGTGAGAATTAGAAATTAGAGTAAAGCATTTTCTCTGCAGGTACTCTCTAAAATGCATTCTGTCACAGAAATGGGTAATGTTTCACATCTTCATGAAAGCCATTCATTGGGTTAGTTCCCCGCTTGCCCTGGCCCCAGGAGAATCTTATTAGAAAATAAATTATAATTTTATAATTTTGGCTGTACTAGTCTAGAACTATGAAATTAAGGACTTCATTTATTTTGAATTTAAAAAAAAATTATTAAATTACATGCTGATTGCTTGAGGTGTTCTATATAAAATAAACATATTAAATCATCATATCTATGTATAGTAATAATGAACACATCTTAGCATATTCTGAGGGACTACAAGGCACAGCTATGTGCCCTGAGACACACTTAAATACATTTTATTTAATTTTAATGGCCCTAAATATTAGATATTATTGTTTTACTTTTTACAGAGGGGAAAATTAAGTTTCAGAATGGTTAAAGAACATATTCAAAGGCAAAGAGCTTATAACATGTGCAGGTGGAATATTCTACAACCATCTGAACCTAAAAATGTTATATATCTATAACTACATCATCACACAAACTGTGACGACAGTGTAGAGAAATGTAAACCAAAGAAAATGTAATGTAACCTTATATTAAAGCCAGGTATGAACATATTTAGGAACACATCTTTGCAAGATAGTTAGCATGCTGCCCATTGAGAAATACCACAGTTTCAGCACAGATTTATCAAGTGAGATTTATATCAGCAAATGTCTGAGAACTATAGTTACAGGAAATACTTTCAATGGAAAGATCTCAAAGGCACCAAAAATATCACCTTACAATAGAACTGAAAGGTCAGCAGGAACCATTATAGATGTATCTTATGGGAGGTAAATGGTGTGCAATGATGAGAACTCATTAATGACTCTGCTTTGAGTTTTGAAAATGACCTAGAATCTTATTTAGGCCAGCTCATTCTTCAAAAATCTACTAAACACAGGATGTTCAACTGCTTATTACTGTAATTCCCTTTGTCTTACGGCCTGTTGTTCTATGATGATTACATGTGGTGCAACAATTTGTTTTTAAGTTATTTTATACTCCATAATAACTAGAATAGTTCTGGATTCTTCATAGGTACTAACTAGTCACATGTTGCTTAATTACAGAATAGCTATGTCATAGTGAACATTCACATAACAGAACAGAATGAATATAGTGGAAAGTTCTGGGTTCTAGTTTGTTTCCCTTTACGACCTTGGGCAAGTCTCAGTCACCCTGGGTTTCAGTTTTCTCACCTCTAAATTGTAGGGCTTTGGACTAGAACACATTCTTGTGTTCACAATATGTGTCCCAATCGTAGGCTTTTTAAAGTACACTTAAAGAGATTAAAACACTGGAAAGCAACACCAAACAATTCAGACATAATTGCAATGCAATCACTACCTATGGTATAATTATGTCTCCTAGGGTTTACGAAAGAATCCTCAGAGAACACTGTTTACTTGGGTGACCTTCACCTTCTGTCTTCATACTCATGAAGCAAAGTTCTTAGACGTCTTAGTAAATATTTGCACTTTCTCTGATGCAAGCTTGACATGATCTGTACCTTTCATCTACTCTTAGCGGTAAATTACACCGTTTTCTATGATCCACTCAGTTCATAGATGTCATTGTCAACACATTCACATTCACACAGTAATCTATAGCAAAATAAAGAGAAATATATTTTTCATGTAATAGTCAGAATGTTATTACATAATTGTGAAAAGTTTATGATAATGTATGTGCAAACTAGTTGATGGTCAACAACCACTAAAGCTATTTTAAAACTGACTTAGTATAAGATCCCTTTCATATGGTCATTTTCAAAACTACAATGGTTGGGCTGCCTCTATATCAGTGATTCTTAATTTGTTCTCCGTAGTAAAAAAAAATGTCAATACTATCTTTTATTCCTTTAATTTTTCTAAACATTTGTACCTTTTAAATGTTGCTGGTAAATGATGAAATCAATGAAGAAGTAGAAAATAAAGTCATAAAAACTTTCAAGTCTACCCTACCTATATAGTTTGAAAACTTCCACTTTTATTCCTTGACACTTGTACTCACAGCTTTGATTTCATATCAAAATTTATAGCAATTACATTTTAATTAGGTATACAAACAGACAAATATTCACTTTTATGCTAAATCTCATTCTAAGTCATTAAGTTAAATATTCCAGATTTTCATGGTGTTCACCAAAGTGTACAGCACCATCAAAAACACTTTGGAGGGGCTGGGCACGGTGGCTCATGCCTGTAATCCCAGCACTTTGGCAGGTCGAGAGGCGGGTGGATCATGAGGTCATGGGTTCAAGACCAGTCTGGCCAAGATGGTGAAGCCCCATCTTCACTAAAAATACGAAAAAATCAGCCGGGCATGGTGGCAGGCGCCTGTAATCTCAGGTACTCAGGAGGCTGAGGCAGAGAATTGCTTAAACCCAGGAGGCAGAGATTGCAGGGAGCCGAGATGGCACCACTACACTTCAGCCTGGCAACAGAGCAAGACTCCATCTCAAAAACAAACAAACAAACAAACAAAATACTTTGGAAAAAAACTAGCCTAATAACCAAATAACCCCCATTATACCTCTGACTTCCTCTCTTCTCTACCAATCATTCTTTTCTTTTGGATGATGACTATGCTTCTTGTTAATTTCATGTCACCTAATTGATTTGTATCTATATTTTTTCTTTTTTCTGCTATGGCCAAATCAATCACAAAGATTTTATAAAAATAATATTAATAATACCATAATAACTGTACAGGCTAACCTTTGTTGAGTACTTAGGGAATATGCTAAACTGTTTCCACGGATGAACTCATTCAGTCCTTACAATTGAAGGCTGTTACCTTCTCAAGTAGGTGTTATGGGGAGGTCTGTGTTCTACATCAGAAAACTGGATAGAGAGGATAAGAAGTTTACCTAATAACATATAGTAAGTGTGGCAGGATATTGAGGTTGATCACAAAATATTTTTCTTTTCAATATCCTTGGAAAGTAGAAGTTGCCCCAGACACCACTTAATTGGCATTATTAACTCTTTGCTTCATTCACACTTAGAAATTTGTGTAAAATTTTGTTGTTATTTACCCAATTTTGTTTTATATATCATTATTTGTATGTATGACTAGATTATGGATATACATAACTAATCTATTGTTTTATTGCCCTGATGGTGCATGTAATAACTGACTGATAGCAGGCACATTCTTACTGCATGATAATGAAACATCAAAGACATGTCTACAGGGATGAAGACAAGTTCAGAGAGTCTTTTTGGATTTCTCAGAAAAGGAACCATAATTTTAAACAGTACCTGTTTAATCAGGTTACTTAAATGATTTAGCACCATTTGTAAAAGGGATTTTAGCAAATCTTCTAGAAGTCACTGAGAAACAGCCGCACACATAGTTTCTTATAACACACACCAGAAAACATTATTTCATTAGAACCACGCATTCCTCATTGGTTTCAGTGATCTTTGCTTCTTAGTTAGAAGGTCAAGTTCTTCCTTTCAATTACATGGAGTTTGGTTAAGGACAACTGTACAGACAAATCAAATATTTGAGATGTCCCTATCATTAATCACAGAGAAAATTTAATCCACAAAGATAATCACCAGATAAGTCATTTTAAAAACTGCTATTGGAAATAGGTGACTAAGGTGCAAAACTGCAATGTAAGAAGTCAAAATATTTGTGTGTTAATATCTTCTTAAGAAAGCCATACCTCTATCTCATTTACATGGAAGGTACAATTTTTATCACAAATAAAGGAACGTAGGTAGCATCCTGTAAAATGTCATGTGTGGCAGACACTGTGCACAGGACTTAGGAAGCAAACCCATGTTGCCTCAAAATATTTCAGGAGAGTTAAGGTGAGACTGCTTCTTGCATCAAATTTATTTGGGTAAAAATATTTTTTGTGTGTTCTCATTGTGTTTATTGTGATTCTTGTCCTTTATTCTACAAATCAAGTTGATCTTGAGGTTAGTTTAATTCACGGAACAAATAGCCCGGGGCATCTTCAATATATAGTATCATCTAAAAATAGATTCCAAAATAAACATGTAGTGTGACTGCTGATCAGACAGTCCAGGAGAGACCTCTAAGGTGACTCCTGTTGGGAGGACTATAACCGACCATCTGCTCAAAGTTCTTGCTTCATGGAAAACCACCAGAAGTCAATAGACCTTCACTCCTCCCCTGCCATGTCTCTCTCCTTATTAAGTCATTTAAAAGTTAACAATCCAAAGGCATCAAGAGTATAACCACAGCGTAAAGGAACAGAGGTTCAGCAGAATAAAGCATGAGCCTTCTCCAGCACTCCATGGGTCCCTTTTCACCAAGAACTTCTAAAGAATTTTTCACCCTACCATTACTTTCAATACCTATACTGCTTCTTTCTGAAGTGAATTACTGCCTACCTTGGAATAGCAATTTAATACTATACAACAAGGCTATCTTAAAAGTATAGTCATTCTACTCCAAAGCTATTAAACCAACATGTTTGCTTTCTTTGATCACATTTATTTGTGTACAGTTTAAATGAGTTTCTGTATTAGTTACATTATTCATATCATTAACTTGATTTTTTTTGGTAATTTATATGCATTTTCTAAGCAGGAGAGACCATATGCCAGGACATTAAACAGCTCTTTTTCTTTGTTCGTTTTTTAAAACTCTATGGGGTTTACCAGTAAAACAGAGAAAAATGCTTGGCTTTTGTGTAAATTGAACATTTAGCTTTCTTTCAGGACAAATACATTAACTCTGATTGGGGGCCATTGATGTTCACTGTGATTAAATTATGGGATTTTGTGCTTCAGCATCTAAAGTTGCTTCAGAAAAGGTGAGAAGGAGGAACAAGCAAAAAGAGAAAGCTATTCAAAAATGTCTATTTAAAAGGCAGGATTGTTTTCTATTCAAAAATTTCTGTTTAAAAGACAGGATAGTCGCTGTGGGCTAGATACCATTAGACCTGTTCACAACACAGTCAAAAGACTACCTTTTCACCTGCAGCATTTGTTTCACTGAACAGATTACTTTAAAATAGAACTGAACTTCAGACCTATTGGAAATAAAATAGCAAAGTATTAAGGCAATGCACTCAGAGAAAGATATAATGAAACAAATATATATATATATTTGCATTAAGAGTCTCCGCTCTGCATTCCCTACACTTTGGAAAGAGTTTGACAATAAAAGACAGGTGAGATTACCCAAAGGCTATAGGAAAAACTAGCAATTACCACCACCTGCTAATGCATCCAGCGTGATCTAAACATGTGAAATACCATTTGCTTCACATACAGGACTACTGACTAAGAAACTAAGTTAACAGAAGTCTTTGGCCAGAAAACCCACTGTCCCAGGTGGCCATGGCTGAGCTACTCAGCTTTTCCCAGCAGGACAATAAGCTCATCCCTACTAACACAACTGTCCTTTCAAAGCTGCTCAGTTTAGGTTCTAATCTGCACAATAACCATGTGCCTATAAGAACTGTTAAATATTATACACAGAATGGCCTTCTGTTAGAGATCTTTAAAACATATTCTCTTCTTTGCAAAATGACACTGATAGTACCGCATTGCTTTTCATATTTGTTCAATATCACAGGGTATTCTGGGTATCCAGTAAAATGAATTCCTACAGAGTAATCACATTAATAAGATATGCTACTTATTATAAATATTTCATCTTTTTCAAGCCCAGCATTCTCTTCTGGTAAAATTTAATAACCATAGTTTTCACATACCACAAGCATTGCAGAAGTTTCAAAGCTAAAGTGAAATAGATGATTATTCCAGTTTTTGTTGTAATAAGTGTGTTAACTATTTTTAAAGAAATTTATCCCTATCAAAATCAACACTTTCATGAAAGGAAAAGATAATGGCTTTTTGACCCTGTATTAGATATCGAACATTAAATCTTTGGACGCTAGAGACTATAGAGCTTTTTCATTCAATTTAATTATAGTATCCTTAAAAAGCAAATGTACTTTTGGAACTCTAGAGATGTTCACAGTCTAAAATCACTGTGGGCTGGATTTCTATTGTTTAAATATTTCCTATTATTTATGCATGTGTTGACTGTCATCTACTTAAGTGTCCAAAGTTAGAAAATTTCCTTTCTCTAGAAGACTAAATCACAACATAAGAGTGAATGGCAAGAATTTAAAGAATAACTGTGATGCATAATTTGTATTGAACTGTTGAGAGCTAACCACAAATATTAAAATGGGCTCTGTATTTAGAGCAACTAATTATAATACTGGGAAGCAAACTGGTTTTCTTTAAAACCATCTGCACTTTATGAGCTGAAGTGACAAGCAAACCTTACAGAAAATGAAGAATCAAACTTACATTTCATTTTAATCTGGGAAAGTCACCTGGGCTTTGTTTGCAAGGAAAGACTAAATTTATCAATTATTGAGGGTAAATGAAATAGTCTCTACACTAAAAGGAAAGTTTGGTTACACAGGCCTGAAAGAAGGTGTGTAGATTAGGAACGGAATCAAGAATTTTACAGCCTTGATTTGTAAGACAGAGTAAGTTTTCTTCATCCTTTTCCATTTCAGAATTAGAAACAACCCTATATCCCTACTTTATTTGCCATCAGATGCACAATCAAATAATGTTTCTATTCACGTAGACTTGAAAGGATCTTCATCCTGTGTGGGTTATTTTATTTTATAGTAGCCAAGGGAAAGAGGTTGCTGCCAATATGATGCTAAGGGCATGCAGAATAAAGACAGTCCTGGGCAACTAAACAGTCCACCTTTGTGCTGCGCTTGTGGAAGAAAAAAGCAAACCCATCACAACTTTGGGACTTGATCAACAGTGGGGAGTCACAAAACTCTTCTCAATCTCTGCATTTTAAATCTCCACCAAAAATAGCTCCTCTGTAATGGGGCTTAAAGTCCCATCCATGGCCAGTGATGGAGTACAGTACTTAATTGTTTCTGACTAGGGTCTCTGCATCAGCACTCTGAGAGTGTCTTCTAACTTTTAATCGCCTTCTGTGCTCTTTAATTAGACCTGTTCACAAGACAGTCAAAAGAAAACGCCTATCACTAAGCTTATCCAAGACGTTGAAACATGCCATTTCAGGAGTCCAGGAACTTTTGTACAAGTCTTAGCATCTTCCAGGATTAATCTGTTTTCTCTGGTTTCCTCTTCCTTAAATCAGGCACACTTGGGGGAAGGGAGAAGCTCTATGGTTATTAAGACAACTCCAATGTAAAGACACTGCCTGGTGGCAATTCCCTCCTTGCCTATTTCCGTTCTTTATTTTGTTCTTTTACCGCGTGTTACCTTTTGGCTACTAATAGGACCGGAGGGTAAAATGTCTTTTCTCTCCTTCGGAAGAGAAAGCTTTTGATCCCTCACTGAGAGCAATCCTAAGACTTTCTCCAGGGGGCTGGGATAACTAGGAAAGGGCTCTGCTCTCTCAGAAGGATTTCAGAGCCCAAACCATACAGCGTCCCTCTTGCTTAGGCGGGAGATGCAAACAGCTGAAGTGCCTTGGCCCCCACTGGTGACCCACAGTAGGACCAACCTCGCCCCGGCAGCGCCCCTGGCCTCAGGTCACTCACGCTCCTGGACTCACCTGGTGCTGAGGACCAGCGCAGGCAGGAGAGGCAGCAGGTAGTGCGCTGGGCTGAATTTCATGCTGCTGCCTGCCGGGGTCCTCCTTCCCTCGCTGCCTTCTCTCTCTCTCTTCGGGATCCTGTCGCTCCTTGGTGCCCGGCTCTGTCCCCAGCCAGTGATGAGCGCTCTTCCGAGGCGGAAAGGCGGAGACGGGCACACGAACGGACGCCTGGGGAAGGCAGGCGCTGGGAGCGAGGAGTATCTTCAGGAGTGATGTCACCGGCGAGGCGAGCCCTGCCGGGGATTGTTCGGCGCCGCCGCTCCGGAGCCCGGAGGGCGCGCCGTCACTCGCGCTGGAGGCGGCGCGGGGAGAGGGAGGGGGCGCCTCGCGATCGCCCCGTGCGCTTCGGTCACCGGGCTGCGCTCTGGTCAGTCGGGTGAGCACTGGCCAGGGGCGGATCATTTATTCCCGCTGCTCCCCAGGATGGCGCGGGGCGGGGCACGGAGAGTAGAAACCTAATCTGCCGATAATTGAACTTGCGTACTCGGCAGGAGATGAGACCCAATTCACTGGGAGAGACTTCCAGACGCGTAGGGTCCTAGGCAGGTGTCTCTCGCCGCTTAAACCGTGTTTGGAAGAACGTCGCTCTGGAGAGAGTGTTTAGAAGATTGTTCTAATTAGAACTGCATAATGATTTGCCTGAAACAGATGGAAGGAAGCGGGAGTAAGCAGCGTCCAGAAATGCAACCTCAGCCCGTCATGGCATTGCAATCTTCTTAACCCGTGAATGTTGACTGCAAAGAACCAAAGAACGTTTCGGGACCGTTAAGACATCTGCTGCTCTGGGTTTTGAAGATTTCTGATCTTCCTCTGATTTCAGTCGTCTGTACCAGCACCTGCCAATGGGGTTGGACCTGGTGGCTCAAGTTCACACACCTGAAGGAGTCCTTTTCCTCAGGTGAAACTCATCAAGGAGACCTAGCGGACAAAAACCATTAAAATGTTAACAGTAATCAGCTCGGAATGATGGTACTGGAAGGTAGAGGTTTTGTAGGTCATTTGGTTTTCTATATTTTCAAATGTTCTATCATAAGCATCCAATATTTAATAGGCTCTATTTAGAAATTTTAATTAGAAAAATTAAATAGCACAATTATAATCCAAAACACCATTTTGCAAAAGCAATTCTGAGAAACAGAACTACTATCTCTGCTACTGAGATATTCAATTCTAGGATATTTATAAGATGATATTGCATGTGTGTGTGTGTGTGTGTGTGTGTGTGTGTGTGTGTGAGTGAGAGTGAGAGAGAGAGAGAGAGAGAGAATGAGAATTCCATCTGGATATTATCCTGGTTATATAACTGTGTATAAGGCACTTCTTCATACAGTATTTAATTTAATCTTCACAAGAGCCATCCTAGTGAAATAGACGTTAATATCACTATTATAGATATGAGCAGACTGAATATCATCAAAATCTGACTATGCATATTAAAAAAAAGAACTGGTTCTACTAAGTCCTAAGAAAAATTCCACTGTTGCCTCAAACATCACAACTAGCACTCCTAGCCCAGTGTTTGACACAAAGTTGTGTTCAGTAAAGGGTGAGGTGCACCAAAGTCCCGAAAGATAATGGACAGCTGTGTCCAGGAATTCCTATCTAGAGGTTTCAGTTCATGTTCCAATTATTTCGGGGGCAAGCTCTTTACAGAAAAATTTAGATGATACATCCTCTTCAATCTCATTTTCGAAGACATTTGTAGGAAAAATGCATTTGCTGTAAAGCTTTATTTTAAAGAGGATGCAAATCTAAAAGGTTAACCATCTAATTTACTATTTTTTTTAAATGGGATTGAAGGTTAAGACATGTATGTAAAACAGATTTGCTTCAAAATCTTGAGCTGCTGAACTAGATGAGTAATAAGTTTTGAAAAGTGAATATTAGCCCCTTGGGCAATAATAATAAGATCCACAACATTATCGATCTTGTATATGCCTAATAAGTAGGCATATACAAATAAACTAACATGTGAATTGCATATCATTTAAGAGAAAAAAACGACACCACACTTTTCTAAAACAGAACTCTGATTCCAAGTAAAATAAAAACTCTGGTTTGCTCCTGCCAGGGTTTTCTAACATAGATTCCCTGCTCACTTTGAAGGAGATTACTTGAGTTGTATACTCAACAAAGACATAAGGCTACTTGGCAATTTTTTTAATGTGTGCACCAGGAAATAACACTCATATTTGTAGAATACATTTTTTATATAACAACTTTGCATCCATTATCTTACGTCCTAATCATAGAAACCAAATGTGGTAGTTATTTCTAGTATTTTTCTCTTTTCCAGTTAAGGTGACAGTTTCAGAGTAGTTAAGTAACTTGCTCAAGGTCACTCAGAGACTTATATAGTGGCGATGGCATTCAAATTCAGTCTGCATTACTTCAAAATGTATGCTTATTTGAGAGAAAAACATTATACACATGTAAGAAAAAACTTTCCCCAACCTAAGTTTTTTTTACTTTCAACTAGACATATAACATAAAACAACAACCAAATTATCTAATATCAATGAATAAAAAAGTCAGAATGAACTTTCTTTACACTGTATCTATATTGGATATCTATAAAGAACCACAAAGTTTGTTGGCCTTTGTGCATTTACTGCAAGCCAAAAAGAAAAAAAAAAAAATCTCTCCAAAAGACATCTAACTTGGAAGGGCATGAGAGCAACATAGTAGGGGAGTACATCTTGAAAGGTATAAGTAAGATTCTGGAAACTCCCACAGATGTAGAGAATTGAAGTATTATTTTGAATTCAAGTACAGATGTGTCTCTCAGCAGAAGTCTTTTCTTCTAGGAAAATTACAAAACCAGGAATCTCCATCACCCATGACATTCTGTCCACATTGTCACATAAAAACCTAAATTCAGAATAAATTTTGTGGCTTTGGAGAATTGGTAGATGAATTTTAAAGATACATTAGTACAGATAGCAATTCACTTATCTTAAACTACTTATCCTATGCTGAGTCCTAACACTGGAGTCAGCAAGCATTGTTTGTGGTAACTGTACCCAAGTCTGAAAAAGAACATCAAGAAAACCCAAGCAGTTGTGCTGAGTCTCTATAAAGTGCTAGGATTAGGAGATATAGAAGCTGTTTTAAAAACAGCTTTATTGAGATTTAATTCAGGTACTAAGAACTTCACCATTTTAAAGTGTGTAATTTAGTGCTTTTATACACATCCATAAGATTATGAAATCATCATCGTTATATAATTCCAGAACATTTTCATCATGCCCAGAAGAAATCCTGTACCTACGAGTAATCACTCACTGGTCCCCACTTTATCCCTTCTCCTGAACCCCCACAGACACCAATCTAATTTCTCTCTTTATGGATTGACCCAAATCTTGACATTTCATATAAATTAAATCATACTGTATCTGGTTTCATATAACTACTCTCTTTCACATTCATGTTTTAAAGTTCATCTGTATTATAGCATATATCGTTACTTAATTTCTTTTTATTGCTGAATAATATTCCATTGTAAGGGTATACCACATTTTGTTTATCCATCCATCAGTTAATGGATATTATGGTTGTTTTCATACTTTCGCTATTATGAAAAACTCTGCTATGATCATTCACATAAAAGTTTCTGTGTGAACATCTGTTTTCAGTTCTCTTGGATATATACCTAGAAGTGGAATTCCTGGATCATATGGTAACTCTACATTTAACATTTTGAGAAACTGCCAAACTCTTGTTCAAGATAGCTGCACCATTTTACATTTTCATTAGTAATATATGAAGGTATCGATTTCTTTACAACCTTAAACTTGTTAGTTGCAATTATTTATCTATCCTTTTATTATTATAGCCATCTTAGCTGATGTGAAGTCTTATCTCATTTTTATAGGCATTTATCTGATAATCACTATCAACATATTTTCATGTGCGTACTAGCTATTCATACACATTTTTGAAGATACATTTATTAAATTATTTTTTCAATTAATTTTTGAGTTTTATTTTTGCCTAGTAAGAGTTCTGTCTATATAATGGGTACAAATCCCCCTTAGATATGTGATTTGCAAATGTTTCCTAATCCATGGATTTTCTTTTCACTTTCCTGTTGGTGTCATTTGCACCACAAATATTTTTAATTTTGATAAAGTTCAATTCACCTACTTTGAATGTTATGATTATACTCCTGAGGTTGTATCTAAGACAGCTTTGCCTCACACTAGGTTATGAATATGTATGCCTTTGTTTTCTTCTAAGATTTTTATTGTTTTAGATCTTAAAGATAGGTCTGTGAATCCAACTTTTGTGTATTTGTGAAGGAGGGGCTCAGCTCCATTGTTTGCATGTGGGTATCAAGTTCTCCTAGCAATATTTGTTAGAAAGGTTATGTTTCCACAATTTAATGCCCCTCTTATTTCATTCTTCACACAGTAATACATTTTTTCTTATTTCTGTTCTGTTTTCTGCCCTCATATTCTAAACTCTCATGTCCCCTAGTGTTTCATCCTTGATCCTCCTCTTTTAAAATTCTATATTTTCTTCCCAAGTTGAACTTATTATTTTTTATGGTTTTTACAATCTTCACTATGGTATGGATCTTAAAATTTACCCCAGCCTAGACTTCCTCGCTGAGACTTTACCTGGGTTCTATATGAATACCTCAAAGTCAAATTCAATCACATTGAACACTTACTCATTCTTCCTCTGTCTGACCCTTCTTCGGTATATCTCCTTATACTTCCATCAACTCAGTCACCCAAGTTTAAACCTGAGAGTTGTCTATTGCTTTTACCTCCACCTTCTCCCACATATAGTCAATCACCAAGCCCTAGAGATTTCACTTCCTAAGTATTTATTTATAACAATTGTCCCACCTCTATATGACACCTGTCATCTGGGCTTTAATTAGAGGTAACCATCTCTTGATTCGGAGTGTACTTTTTACTTTAAGATGGATTTTCCTCAAAACTATTCCCCTTGTATAATCTATCTAAACTGCAAATATCGTTATAATCTTAAATCTCCTAGAAAATTACTCTCAAATAAGAAAACCAATACATGCCTCCTTTTTTTCTCTGTTTAACTTTCATGTTGCACTGTAAATACATTAATGGAAGTTTCCCTTAATGAGACTTTATAATTTTTCATGTTATTCCTTCTTTATGAAGTATTGTCTTAGTGTACTCAGATATTTACTTTAATCATTTAAGACTCATCAAGGACATCACTTCTTTCTAGAATGATTTATTGAGTCCATCTGCCACCGCAAACTTGGTGAGATCTTTCTTTTCTGAATTTCATGACCTGTGGTAGATTGCCTTGAGTTGCACTGATAATATTATATTGTAAATAAATTTTTATGTTTTCCACCACACTATAAATATTTCTTACTTTTCTTTGCACTAAAGATAGTAAGGGTAGTATATAAAATTATACTCTTATTTATATATTTCCTAGGATAATTATTAATTTTATTCATATACCTGTAGATCTGGGCATTAAAGAATAAGAACAGAAAAAATGACAATTTACATGGTTTATTAAAAATTTGTTTCCTTTTTTCATATTCACTGTTTGCTCATTGCTAGTTTAAACTATTTACAAGGAAGTTTCTTCTCATAAGGCCAATTATTCATTATTTAAAAGCCAGCTGCCTCCTAAAAGAAAAAAAAGAAATATAGGCTAATACTAGTAACTGTGCTTCATACAAAAATAGAAAAAGTTAAACACAATATCTTCCAGTTTTTTAATTTTTTATTTTTTATTAATACATAATAGCTGTACATATTTATGGGATAAATGTGGTATTTTGATATAAGCATGTAATGTGTAATAATCAAATCAGGATGATTAGGATATCCATCACCTCAAACATTTATCATTTCTTTGTGTTGGGGAGATTCCAGATCTTCTCTTCCAGCTATTTTGAAACATGAAATAAATTATTGTTAACTATAGTTTCTCTATTGTACTGTTGAATACTTTAACTTATCCCTTCCATTTAACTGTATTTTTACATACGTTAATCAACCCTTTTTCCATCCATATCTTCCCAAAGAAGGGATGTCTGCAACTCCATTTTACTGCTGCACTGTTCACAATAGCCAAGATATGGAATCAAACTAAAGGTCAATCAAAAGATGAATGCATAAAATAAATGTGATACACACACATTCAGCAATAAAAATGAATACAATCTTTTCATTTTCTGTAACATAGATGAAACTGGAGAACACTATGTTAAGTAAAATAAGCCAGGCACAGAAGGACAAATATAACATGTGCTAACTCATACATGAAATCTAAAAATGTGATCTCATGGAGGTAGCTAATAACAGGGCAATCACTAAGTGTTTTGAGCTCAGCCATCTCCATTGAATGACTTTGACCCATTAAATTCCCTACCACCTTCTTTGTAAGTAATGCTGCTGGTTTACACAACGGTTAGAAGTTTATGTAAGAGCTCTGGAACGGGAATTTTTTAGGAAGAAATATAGGCTAAAGGATCTCTTTTTTTAAATACATATTGCTGGGGAAAGAGTTCCATGTTCTTTCTTTGCTAACATCACCATGTGTCAGGTATTCTTGGACTGGGTCTATTCACTTGGAAAAAGAAAGAGACGAACATAGTAATATCTGTATGGATTTGCCGTATTCTTGACATTTCATATAAATTGTCCTTTTTGTCCAGAGGCAGGGAGATACATCGTAAATCTGCTGTCACAGAACAATCATACTGGGAATCCACCAGGGTATTGAAATTTCAGTGAATCCTTTTATGCCTGTGTTTTCCAGCCTTTCTTTTTCCCTTTTTAGTATTTTCATATTTTCCAGTATATTTACAAAGGAATCTGACCTGTCCAACTGATTCTTTCACTGGATCAGTTAAATTCCACCTAACTTCTAAAATTAATAACATCTCTTTATTTTCTGGGATTAAGTGTAGGCTTCCCTTTGCCACATATGTTTGTCTGTATCTCAGTGAATCTCTTGGCACAAAAATTTAGGACCCAATTTAGTCCTTCTTCTATAATTATTTATCATTATAGGACCACAACTAAACCAAAATTTTTAGTGCATAGCTTCTTCTTGCTCACTATACCTGACATTATACATACGATTTTCAAAGACCACCTCTTATCCACCATTATATTCAGCTCCAAATATAATTAATAATACAATTTCTGTTTCTGAGCATGAATAAAAACAGTTAGTACCAGATCTGCCTCTTTCTATAAACAAAAATTTTGAAAAAAAATGGTGACTGTTTTAAAAAATTCGGGAATAAAAATAACAGGGTCATGGGGAAAAAAAAAAAAGAAAAAAACTCATGCTCATACCAGCTTTCTAAAGAGGACCGTTATTGACTACCATGGTACTAGAAGGTAAAGTCCAAAGCAAACAATAGTCTTCCTGAGCTGAGGAGGCAGAAGTCTGAAGTTTGAACTGCTAGAGTGCCCAGGATTTGTGGGAAAATGTAACAGAGAAGAAGAAACTTTCCAGAAACCCCACAAACACATGCACGGGGGTTCACTATGAGTCTCTGGCCGAAGACTGTACTGTACAAACAGAGAGAAAGACACTGAAAGGCACAGTTTGGTCAACCTGTGGTTGCAGTGAGGCTGAGAGTAGAGTAGCGGTACCAGAGTTTTTCCACTACTATGAAATACTGTAATTCTCATTTAGCCCGAGTACAGTAGCCTCAAGAACACTTTGCAAACACCTCAAACATTTGGCTGAGACTAAAAAGAGATAATGCAGACTTTTAGAATAAGAGCTATGCTTTAGTGTAACAGCTGTATCTTAGAACTAAGCTCACAAATGATATAGACTTACCATGAAAAGATTTATTTTTAAAGTCTGACAACACAAAAAAAGTTTCAGTATTTTAACTGCCTACAGAAGAGAATTCAACATTCATTAAAAGACAGTGGTATATTCAAATCTCCAGAGTGTAGCCAGCACAATGTCAAGCATGCAATCAAAGTATTAGACACATGAAGTATGGATTGTACTCATAATCAACAAAAAAACAGTTAATGACAATAGAACCCAAAGGAACATGGAGTTTTAAATTAGCAGACAAAGACCATTGAGAAATTGAAACTAGAAAAAAAGAAACAAATGAAAATTCTAGAACTGGAGAGTACGATATATGAAATTAAAAATGCACAGCTTGAATACTGAAGAATGAGTACTGAAGAATGAAGTTAAAGGCACACAAATGTAACTAATCCTATCTTAAGGAAAAAGAAAATAATTGAGGAAATATATGGATAGGGATTTAATCAACTATGATATCAATTTGTCTAATAAGCACATGTCTGAATTTCCAGGGGGATAAGAAGAAAAGATTAGGACTTACAAATTATACAAAGAAACATTGACAAAAACACCAAATATGCTTAAAACACATAAATTTTCATTTTCAAGAAGTTCCACCAAACTTAAGCAGGAGTGAGCACAACAGATTCAAAGTTAAACATATCACAATCAAACTGCTGAAAATACAAGATAAAGTGAAAATCTTTTTTTTTTAATTTAAGTTTTAGGGTACATGTGCACAATGTGCAGTTTAGTTACATATGTATACATGTGCCATGTTGGTGTGCTGCACCCCTTAACTCGTCATTTAACATGTTAATGCTATCCCTCCCCCCTCCCCCCACCCCACAACAGGTCCTGGTGTGTGATGTTCCCCTTCCTGTGTCCACGTGTTTTCATTGTTCAATTCCCACCTATGAGTGAGAACATGCGGTGCTCGGGTTTTTGTCCTTGCGATAGTTTGCTGAGAATGATGGTTTCCAGCTTCATCCATGTCCTTACAAAGGACGTGAACTCATCATTTTTTATGGCTGCATAGTATTCCATGGTGCCACATTTTCTTAATCCAGTCTATCATTTTCCAACATTTGGGTTGGTTCCAAGTCTTTGCTATTGTGAATAGTGCCACAATAAACATACGTGTGCATGTGTCTTTATAGCAGCATGATTTATAATCCTTTGGGTATATACCCAGTAATGAGATTCTTGGGTCAAATGGTATTTCTAGTTGAAGATCCCTGAGGAATTGCCACACTGACTTCCACAATGGTTGAACTAGTTTACAGTGCCACCAACAGTGTAAAAGTGTTCCTATTTCTCCACATCCTCTCCAGCACCTGTTGTTTCCTGACTTTTTAATGATTGCCATTCTAACTGGTGTGAGATGCTATCTCATTGTGGTTTTGATTTGCATTTCTCTGATGGCCAGTGATGATGAGCATTTTTTCATGTGTCTTTTGGCTGCATAAATGTCTTCTTTTGAGAAGTGTCTGTTCATATCCTTTGCCCAGTTTTTGATGGGGCTGTTTTTTTCTGTAAATTTGTTTGAGTTCTTTGTAGATTCTGGATATTAGCCCTTTGTCAGATGAGTAGATTGCAAAAATTTTCTCCCATTCTGTAGGTTGCCTGTTCACTCTGATGGTAGTTTCTTTTGCTGTGGAGAAGCTCTTTCGTTTAATTAGATCCCATTTGTCAATTTTTGCTTTTGTTGCCATTGCTTTTGGTGTTTTAGACAGGAAGTCCTTGCCCATGCCTATGTCCTGAATGGTATTGCCTAGGTTTTCTTCTAGGGTTTTTTATCGTTTTAGGTCTAACATTTAAGTCTTTAATCCACCTTGAATTAATTTTTGTATAAGGTGTAAGGAAGGGATCCAGTTTCAGCTTTCTACATATGGCTAGTCAGTTTTCCCAGTACCATTTATTAAATAGGGAATCCTTTCCCCATTGCTTGTTTTTGTCAGGTTTGTCAAAGATCAGATGGTTATAGATATGCAGCATTATTTCTGAGGGCTCTGTTCTGTTCCATTGGTCTATATCTCTGTTTTGGTACCAGTACCATGCTGTTTAGGTTACTGTAGCCTTGTAGTATAGTTTGAAGTCAGGTAGCGTGATGCCTCCAGCTTTGTTCTTTTGGCTTAGGATTGACTTGGCAACGTGGGCTATTTTTTGGTTCCAGAAGAACTTTAAAGTAGTTTTTTCCAATTCTATGAAGAAAGTAATTGGTAGCTTGATGGGGATGGCATTGAATCTATAAATTACCTTGGGCAGTATGGCCATTTTCATGATATCGATTCTTCCTACCCATGAGCATGGAATGTTCTTCCATTTGTTTGTATCCTTTTATTTCATTGAGCAGTGGTTTGTAGTTCTCCTTGAAGAGGTCCTTCACGTCCCTTGTAAGTTGGATTCCTAGGTATTTCATTCTCTTTGAAGTAATTGTGAATGGGAGTTCACTCATGATTTGGCTCTCTGTTTGTCTGTTATTGGTGTAAAAGAATGCTTGTGATTTTTGCACATTGATTTTGTATCCTGAGACTTTGCTGAAGTTGTCTATCAGCATTCCCTTTGAAAACTGGCACAAGACAGGGATGCCCTCTCTCACCACTCCTATTCAACATAATGTTGGAAGTTCTGGCCAGGGCAATCAGGCAGGAGAAGGAAATAAAGTGTATTCAATTAGGAAAAGAGGAAGTCAAATTGTCCCTCTTTGCAGATAACATGATTGTATTTCTAGAAAACCCCATCATCTCAGTGAAAATCTTAAATATGTATATTATATACAAGGGACTTTCAATTTTCATGGCAACTACATTCTCAACAGAAACAATGAAGTACAAAAGACAAGAAAATAAAATCTTTAAAGTAATGTGAAACCGTTTTTCCAGAAGTTTATATTGATCAAAAATATTCTCCAAGAACAAGGATAAAATAAAGATATTTTCCAATAAATAAAACCTGAAAGAATTTATTAACAGCAAATTTGCCCTGGCACAGATGATAGTTAATGTTCAGGCTGAAGGTGAGTGATACATGACAATGCAAATTTCTAGAATAAAATAAGGAGTTCAAAAAGTAGTACATATTGGCCATCTTTTTCCTTTTTTCTAAAGACAAAAAAGAAAGATTATATTATTGGTATTAAATATGTAGAACTAATATAGGACAGCAGTATCACAAAGAATAGGGATGAAATGAATTACACTTGAAAGAATCTTTGTTCTGTTACAGTTGTAAAACATGAACCTTAGGCGGAATATGAAAAATGTGAATGTATAATATACTCACTAGAGTAAACACTAAAACAAATTGCAAAAACATACAGCAAATATTCCAAAGTAGAGGGGAAAAAAAGAACAACAACAACAACAACAAAAAAAAAACACATTGATCCAAACTGAGAAAAGAGGAACAGCAGAGCAACAGAATAAAGAAAATAGAAGATGAATGGTAAAATAGTAGATATAAATGAACCCATATCAATAATTAAATTAAATGAACATAAAGAGTGTCAATTAAAAATGAGAGACTGTCAGATTAGATAAATATGCAACTAAAGTCTATCTACACGAGATATATTTTACACATGAAAACAAGCAAGGCAGCTTTCCATAAGAAAGACTGAACGGATAAATTACAAGTGGAAAAAAGATTTCATGACACAATGTTACTTGTGATAAAAAGGGACATTTCATAATGATAAAAATGTTAAATTATCAGAAAACCATACAATCTTAACTGTCTATATACTTAAAAACAAAATTTTAAAAGAAAATCCTTAGAGAATTCAATGAAAAGGAAATCAGTATATTGAAGAGATATCTGCACTCCTATGTTTGTTTCGGCACTGTTTACAGAAGCTAAGATTTGGAAGCCAACTAAGTGTCCATCAACAGACGATTGGATAAAGAAAATGTGGTAGATATACATAATAGAGTTACACTCAGCCATAGAAAAGAATATCGAGGCATTTGCAACAGCATGTATGGAACTGGAGATCATTGTGTTAACTGAAATAAGCCAGCCAGAAAGACAAACACTGCACGTTCTCACTTATTTGTTGTATCCAAAAATCAAAACAATTAAAGTCATGGAAATACAGAGTAGAAGGATGGTTATCAGAGACTGGGTAGGGTAGTGGGAAGGTTGGTGGGGAAAGGTGAGAATGGTTAATGGGTGACAAAAGAAAATGCAGAAAGAATGAATAAGACCTACTATCTGACAGAACAACAAGGTGACTACAGTCAATAATAATTGTACATTTTAAATAACTTAAAGAGAGTAATTAGATTGTTTGTAACTCAAAGGACAAATGCTTGAGGGGACGGATACCTCATTCTCCATGATGTGCTTATTTCACATTGCATGCCTGTATCAAGACATCTCATGTACCCCATAAATATATACACCTACTATATACCCACAAAATTCAAAATATATAATAAATAAACTATTTGGGACCATTAAAATAACAAAAACAAATGCAGTTTTAGATGGATATTTCAAAATGCTATTTTCATAATTAATATATAATTATACAAAATATCAGTTAGAATATAGAATATTTGAAAAATACTATTAACTAATCTGATATAATTAACATTTATAGACTAACTCACCCAAAATTCAGTAAACACATTTTTCTAGGTGTAAATGGAACATTAACAACAGAAAAAATGTTTATAATATAACTCTCTATGCATTTAAAAAAATTGCAACTTCCAAAATAGTTACTCTGTGCCAAGCAGAATTATATTAAAAACTTAATGTCTAAATTTCCTGATATTTTAAATAACCAATGAATCAAAGAAGAAATCATAATGAAATTGGAAAAGATTTCTGATTGGATGATAATGACAATATAATAGGTAAATAACAATGATGCAATTAGAGTGATGATTAAAAGATAAATGCTTGTATTAGAAAGAATAGATATTTAAAAAGAGTTATCTAATATTTATCATAAGAACCTGGAAAACAAGAGCAAAATGGACTGAAAGTAATTGCAGGAAAGGAAATAATAAGACTAAGAGCAAAAATCAATGACATAGAAAATAGAATCAAAGAAAGAAAATAAACACAGCCAAAAATCACTCTTTGGAAAATTTAATAATATCGATAAATCCATAGCAAGTTTAAGGATACAAAATAGAAAATACGTAATACCAATGTCATGAATAATAGACAGTAATATAGATCTCACAGATATTAAATACATGGTAGGGGTATATTACACTAATATATTTGACAACTTGGATTAAATGGAATAATTCATGAAAAAATAAAAATAAAGCTTACCAAAAATCACCCAAGAGGAACTAGAAAATGCATATAGTCCTATCAAAGTAATTTAATTAATAATTCAGATAATTTCATTGATTTTCTTTCTTTTTAGACACAAGGTCTTGTTCTGTCTTTCATCAATCACTGATGATAAAAGGATTCCAGTGAAGCTATAATTAATGTAAACAGGAAATTACAAAATAATTGTATATTTACTATGAAAGGGTAAGTGAAAGATACTATTCCACTTTTGGATTTAAGGAACCTTCTTGGCGAAAGTAACACATGTATACATCAAATAACACAAGAGGGCGTTTACTAGGCTAAACAGACTGTCAGCATTGATTCATGGACAAAATAGAGCTCTGGTTCTAGAAACAAACTGCTTCTGTTTGAATAGCACATTTCCTCTCATTAGTTCCAAGACTTTGGGAAGTAACCCGATTTTCTGGAAAATAATAATACCTATACTATTTGATTACTAGGAGGATTAAATATTGTTTTGGTGGTCCATTCTATGACTATTTTCAAGTTCACTGATTTGCCGGGACTCACAGACCTCCACAGGAAATTATGTATTCATGGCTAAGATTTATCACAGCAAAGAACAAAAAGTAATAGCCACAGGAAAAAGATATTTATTGATGAAAGTTAAAACGGGTGAGGTGAAGGCTTTCAATTCCTTGCCTCTCCAGAGTCTCATAAGACCCACTTTCTCTCTAGTAGAGAACTACAAAATACGAGTGAGAAATCTCTGCCTATTGACGTGCAGAGTCTCAAGGGTTAAGGCTTTTATGGTAGACTGGTCATATAGGCACTTGTTCATTATGCAGTCAGCCATGATTACTGAAACTCAGGATCTTAGCATAGATGCCAGATGTACATCATTAAGTCTTGCTAAGCACTCCTGACAAGCAGGTACATCGGGTCCTATTGTTACCCAGGCATACAATATAACATCATCAATCACCAACAAAAAGAAAATTTGAGGACCACATTCACAGGCATCAACCAAGTGTATATCATGATTCTAGTTTGCCCTCGAAGCAGGCAAGGATTGCGTAACCATAAATGCTGTTTATTCTTCTTCCATCTTAAGACCTTAAACACTAACATGATTCTCTAAAAAATAATAGTACCTGTATCATAGAATTACCATGAGGATTAAATTTCTTCACACAAGAGGACATAGGAAGTGCTCAATAAATATCAGATGTGATAATAATGCAATGATTCTGTCTTTATTATACTATTATAATTCAGAAACTACAAAGACTTTATGTTCTAAAGTGAAGAATACTGCAGTAGTGGTTAGAAGGACATGTTTAAGTGGGTGATAGGATGTGAGAAATAAGACTGGCAAGGTAGGAAGAATCAGTATCATAAATGCTTTGATTGTCATAAATTAAACTTGTCTAACTTAAAATTTTTGCAGTGAAAAACCTTCACACAGCATTTTCCCCATCCTCTCTGTCTGTTATCAATTTTATTAAAATTGACTATTTTGGATGATTTTGGGGAAAAACATAGTAGTGAAAAACCCAAAGCACTGAAATTGTATGCTATTTTATCTTCGCATTGCTAGGAAGTTCCCAATTTCTCATTTCCCACTTGTCTCAGTCTTTCTTGTTTCTTTTCCATGAGACCCTTTTAGCCATGCACTTTACCATTATTTATGGTATTTTTTCCCAAAAAGCTAGACCAAGAAATTTAACAGTTCTCAGTCATATTGGCTAAATATGACATCGCATCAAATCAGATAGACAATAGGCCTCATTATATACTACTGAAATCAAATATGAAATTTCATATTAAAACCTCACTGGTAGGGTACAGTGACATGTGTCCCAGCTACTCTGGAGGTAAAGATGGGGAGGATTACTTGAGGCAAGGAGTTTGAGGCTGCAGTGAGCTATGATTGTTATTTTGACTAGCCACTGCACTCCAGCCTGGGCAACATAAGGACACTTCATCTCAAAACAAAAATTAAAAAACAAAAATTCTGAACTGAACATGATTTTGAGTAGAGTTAATGACCATCAAATATTTGTTGCTCCAATACTTTTTCTGAGTAGGAAATAAGTGACTGTAGATATTACATTCATTAAATAAAGTATACAATATATACAGTGTACAATACATATATGTTTATATGTAAATTCATATGTAAAGACAAACATAAATCTGTATGTGAAGACACATATATATGTATATATATGTGTCTCTATATATGTCTATATATTTATATATATGTTTGTATTATATACTCATATGTAAATCTTGGAATCATTTTCATTCTTAGTGGACATTTGCTGTTTTGCCTGGCTGCTCTACCTCCATTTTCCTACTGCTGTAAATTCACATTGATTTTCCTTTGGAGAAACACCTCTGTCTTTTCTCAGTTTTGGTATAAATTGGGCTGATACTAAGTCCTAGTTTGACAAGTGGGTATGCACCTCAAGGCTGCTATCTAGCATATTCTTTACTCTAGTCACAATATTGGCTTAAGGATGGGCTATAATGAGTACAAAGAGACCATGTATATAAATTTATAACAGACCAGCCTATTTCAAACATCAGTTTGTCTTTCCAGACTACATTTTAACATTGATTTTTCTTTATTTTTCTGCCTTCTGTGACATTCAGAAGTAATGGTTATTGCCAATTTCATTGTGGTTCCCCTCCACTGTTAGCAAATGGTTTGACACATCTTTTATGGAAGATCTTGTTTACATTCACTTTCAACAGCTCTTAAAATTTATTTCCAATACTGGCTCCCTAAACTTTCACTTATGTTTTCTTGCTTTTTAAGGTTAGAAAAATTGAGATTTCTATGCTATGCATTGCCTCATTGGAATTACCTGAGGCATATTTTGCTTCGTTGTATTTTAGCACTTCAGCTTCTGAAGGTGAAGGTAACTTATAAAATCCACGTAACATTTAAGGCTGTATTTGGTTCAGGTCTCTCTTTTTTCATTTAATCATTTATCTTAAGCTCACATCCACTGTACTTCATTCTCCTGTTGTCTATGGAAATCAGGCTGCCCACTAAACAGCTACATGGATTTATGCTGAGATCTCAGCCTTTCACTGCAAAATCAATCAGATTCAAATGGAGAATGTACCTTTTTGAAAGGAACTGATTGCGTAAGTTTTTGGTTACAATTGTATAAAAATGTAATTGGATAATAAAACTTGGTCGTTGCAGCACTCTGAAACTCTCAAAGCATGTAGGAAATAAAAACAAGTAGTACTATTATAGTGAATAAAAAAATGAAGCACAGGGAGGTAGGTGACATCCAAGGTCACCCTGGATGCTGATAAGCTACCTGGAACTTTTGATACAGGACATAGAATACCAATTTATTATTCTAATTTTTATTATCGTCCCCCAGTTATTTGTAATTGAGAACTAGCTCTGCTAGGCATTTTGTTAGGTAAGGTGAAGAATCCAGGGATTGATAAGATGTAGCATCTCACATGCTAGATGGAGCCTAGAATCTCTTGCTAGTTTTCTTCCTTTGCTAATTTTAATGTGTATTGAGTACCACTTAAAAAAACAGATGAAAAATAGAGTTGCCTAATTAGTTGAAAGATCTCTCATCCTCTATTTCAATTTGAGAAATAGCACATTCTTTTAAGCAATGGATTTCAGAAACTTCTGATAATGACAGAAAAAAATCCTTTTTCAAAGTGACATTGAAAGTTCTTAATGCAGGATAAGGGGTGGCTAAATAATTTGAGTTTACGTTATTTGCTCATACAGGCTAAGATAACTTCAGTTTTATATAGGATAGAAACAGTAGGAAAAGAGAAATGGCTATTTACTGTTCATAAGCCCTCTTCCAGAATTATATCTCAGGCATGAAAGGTGATCTCGTAGTTTTAGACAACATGAAGTATGCACGAAGTCACTGATTTAATGGAGTATCACTTTTTTGTTTTAAATTGATTGAAGATCTTCATTTTACATGTTTTAGATAGAAAATGCTAAGTCTTAAGGTGGCACAACTAGAACTAATCTCTTTGAGTTAGACAGGTAAAAAAATAAACTGCATTCAATGTGTCAGGCAGTATATACAATTCTCTATATTTAATGTTGCAGTTAATTTCCTGTATTCTGTCCAATAACCAATTTGAAGATGAGGATACATCTTTAAAGTTGCAGAGAAATTAAGGTATTTGTCAAATTTTACTCATCTTGGGAATAGGAACTTGAGTGTAGGGAGGCAACATACTTTGGTGATTGAGTGCAAGTCACACTTGTGTAGTCATGGGCAAATATTCTCAAATTTATCAATTACAAAATGAGGACAATATTGATATTCACCTCTTAAAGTTTCAACAGCTGAATGGGAGGATACATGTAATGTTCCAAGTGTAGTTCCTGATACAGGGTACATGCCTAATGAATGTTATTGATGGTAATGGATGCTACTGTGCTTTGCTGAGAACCCTTCATCAAGGTCCACGTATTCACCATCTCTGCTGGAAATATCAGTTGCCATTGTCTAACGATGATTTCTTTCAGGGGAACTCTCCTCTACTGCAGAGAACTGCCTTGTGCAAAGTTATTCCCAATTCTAGGGGTTGTCTTGTTCTTAATGAGAGGCTCATGTGCAGATACAAAGGCTCAACCTTCTTACTTAATTGGAAAACTCTGAAGGGCCACTTCTTAACAACAAAGCCCACCAAAATGACCTGCTGAGGCTTCAGCTACAGCTGCATTGCAGGTCACCTTCTCTTCCTGTCCAATCTGTCTTCCTCAATTCTTTCAGATATATCTCCTGAGAGCTCTTTCCAATAAACCTACATGCAACACTTTCTCTCAGGGTCTGATTTCAGGAATTCTAAGACACTGATAATGATGATAATAGTGATGTGTGTGTGATGTGGTGATGAAACACACTCTAAAGTTACCTCCACTAATTCCTATCAGGGACCCCAGGTCACACAGCATGGGGATTAAATGCATAGTGTTGGAAAATACAGGCTGCCTGTAATTGCAGCAAATTACTTGAGTCACAGTTTCCTGATCTGTAGAATGGGGATACTATTAGTTCCTAATATCTGAAGGTTTTTTGCCTTATTTTTAGAAATAAAGAGATATGAGTTTTTAAAATACCTGTATTAAACACTAAATTAAGCTAGTAATCATTATTCGAAGTCTCAGTACATTTACTTAAAAGATGAGAATAATTATACTACCTTCTAGACTTCTGGGAGATCAAATGATGCAATATAAATGACCAAACTGTGACTAACTACAGCACAATTATAAAGCATTTTTCCTGTTATTACTGTATCACACAGAGAGGTGCCAAACTAGGACCTAACTTTTTGTCTTAGGACCTGTTTAAATGAGAGTACAACTCTGGTTCAAGGACAGTAATTGAGAAGGGATCTTGTCTGATTTAAAATCATACAGCAAGACAACTGAAAATAAATTAACTCAAATCTGTGTGTGTGTGTGTGTGTGTGTGTGTGTGTGTGTGTGTGTGTGTGTGTGTGTGATCTATGATGGTCTGGGTCTGCGACCTTACATAAGTCACCTAATACTGCTGAGCTTCAATTATTTGCCATCTACTGCAGTCCCAGATTGTATGATAAAGAGGTGCTGAGACAGTGATATAACATTTGTGGAACTCTTTGAGAGTCTTTGATAAAAGATGTCACTTGAACAAAAGGCATGATCTTACTGTTATTTATTTAAGGAAAAATAGTATAAGGTGACTGTTCAGTCAAAACACCTAACTTTGGAAAATAAAATCAAGGTATTATATTAATTTTCTTGACTTTTCTGTATAGTCAGGTAACACTATCCCTACCCCTTTCTAAAAGCTCACAGAGCAGTTTTGACTAAGCACCCATGTAAGCTGCAAGTACATAAAGAGAAACTATACTGATCATAAAGACTTTGTATTTGTAGCTTATTTTATAGTTTAAATATAAACATAGAGTTATAGCTAAAAGCTCACAATCTGGTGCCAACTGCTATCAAACTCTGGCTCTAAAATATGTTAGCCTGTGTAACCTTGAGTAAATTACTCACCCCTTTCTCTTTGCCTTTGTTTCTTTATTGGTAAAATAGGAACAATAATATCATAAACTTTATAAAGTGGTGGGGGTTAAATAAAATAATTAAAACTCTTGCACATATAAAAATTACTCACTATAGATTAGCCATTCTTATTACATGTAGCCTCATGGGGTCTGAAAGTTGACAAAGGTCAAACAGCCTTGGACAAATAGCATAATATTTTCAAGACAGAAGAGGGTTGCACAATACAGCAACAGAGTTAAGATTCAGTATTATGAAAGGAAATATCAGTTTCTCTCATGAAGAGCCTGCCTGAATGATTTCTAGAAGTCATAGTCAAAGCAGGGACCCACGATTTAAATACAACTAATGCAATCAGATGTTTAGGGTACAGTCATGGCTTAGATCTACTGGTCCTTCTCTGTCACCTGAAGCAGTATTTAATGTACCTCATATAATTATGTAAACCTCTGCCAAAAGTTGACTTAAAGATACCACTTAGTTTCTCACAAAACTAGGCATTTTTCAAGACAAGATCCATACTCTTTCTGATCTATAACAGCTACCTCTTTCAAAGGAAATAAATAAATTCCACACAGAAAATTGTACTAGAAAACTATGGTGATGCCAGAAGCAAATGAAAACTACTGCCTAAATCCTTCAGCAATTAAGTTCTGTTTCTAGGGAAAGTAATCCCAGTGAGCAATTATCCTAAGCCTTAGCATTAATCTAATTTATCTTAAATCACTCATATATATATATGATATTAACACTGAAATACACTAAAAAAACAAAGATTGCTTGAGTCTATTTATACAGCATTTTCCCTAAGAGCTAACATAATGGCACTGCTGGTTCAGTTCTCCATAGTACATACGTGAGAACAGCATACTATACTACATAGGAATTCATTAGATGCCTTCAGTGATTGAAAAATCTAAGGAAACCAACATGTCCTTACCCAGTAGGGTGTTAGACACAGATGTCATTCTAGATCCTTAGTGACAGTTTTTCAATAAACTCTTTATTTCTGGCTTTACTTCAGTATCGCTTGACTAATTATTTTTCTTTAGGGCTTAAGCTTCCTGAACTCAAAGTTTGGATTTATATGAGGTACATGCTAAGTTACTGCAGCAAAATGACCACCAAATACAAACGTTGAGATGGAAGTTAGGGTGCAACAGATTGATTAAAAAGTATGTTCAGAATTAAAATTATGAAAGGAAAGGGAGAGAGCATGGTTCAGCAGGGGGAGAAGTAGAGCTGTCATGCAGTTTAATGGAACCCTGTGGGGAGTTCTGAAGATACTGATATGGTTTGGATGTTTTGTCTCCTCCAAATCTCATGTTGAAATATGACCTCTGGTGCTGGGAGTGTGCCTACTGGGAGGTGTTTGGATCATGGGGGTGGATCCCTCATGAATGACTTGGTACAAAAGTGAGTAAATTCTCACTCTGTGAGTTCACACTAGATCTGCTGTTTTTTTCTGTTTTGTTTGTTTGTTTGTTTGTTTTTGTTTTGAGACAGAGTTTCCCTCTGGATTGCAGTGGTGTGATCCCGGCTCACCGCAACCTCTGCCTCCTGGGTTCAGGCAATTCTCCTGCCTCAGCCCCCTGAGTAGCTGGGATTACAGGCATGTACCACCACACCAAGCTAATTTTTGTACTTTTAGTAGAGAGGGGTTTCACCATGTTGGCTAGATTGGTCTCAAACTTCTGACCTCAGGTGGTCTGACTGCTTTGTCCTCCTAAAATGCTGGGATTACAGGCATAAGCCACCTGCCTGGCCTAGATCTGGTTGTTTAAAAGAGCCTGACACCTCCTCCCTTGCTCTCTTACTCTCTCTTACAATGTGACATCCCAGCTTCCCTTCACCTTCTGCCATGATTGTAAGCTTCCTGAGGCCCTCACCAGAAGCAAATGCTGGCAGTATGTTTCATGTACAACCTGCATAACTGTGAGCCAAATAAACCTCTTTTTTTTAATTTTAATAAATTACCCACCCTCAGGTATTTCTTTATAACAACGCAAACTAACATAGAAAATTGGTACTAAGGGGTGAAGTGTTGTTATAAAGATATTTGAAAATATGGGAGCAGCTTTGGAACTAGGTAACAGTCAGATGTTGAAAGAGCTTGGGGGGTCTCAGAAGATGACATTGAAAGATAAGAGAAAGTTTGGAAATTCTTAGAGACTTGTAAAGTGGTTGTGACCAAAATACTGATTGAAATATGAATAGTGAAGGACAGGCTGATGAAATCTTAGATGGAAATGATGAATTTATTCAGAACTAGAGTAAATGTCATCCTTATTATGCCCTAGCAAAGAGTTTGGCTGCATTGTGTCCATATCCCAGCACTTTGTGGAACAGTGAACTGAAGAATTATTACTTAGAGTATACGTCGGAGGAAATTTCTAAGCAGCAAACCATTCAAGATATGGCATGGCTGCTTCTAACAACAGTTATGATCAAATGTGGGCAAAAAGAAATGACTTAAAGTTGGAACTTATATAAACAAGAAAAGCAGAGTGTAAATATCTGAAAAATTTGCAGCCTGGACATGGGTAGTTCTCTTTCTAGAACTTCTAGAAGTTTTCTTTCTAGAAAAAAAAACATTTTCAGGAGATAAATTCAAGAGGGCTGTGGAGTAATACTTGCTAGAGAGATTTGTGTGACTAAAAGGAGCCAAGTGCTAACATCCAAGACAATGGGAATAATGCTTCGAAATAATTTCAGAAGTCTTCAGAACAGCACTTCCCATCACATGCCCAGAGGCCTAGGAGGAAGAAGCGGTTTGAGGAACAGGCCTTGGGCCTCACTGCCCTACACAGCATCAAGACACTGCTCCCTGCATCCCTGCTGCTTCAACTCTAACCATGGTTCAAAGGGCCATGGGTACAGCCTGGGCTACTGCTCTTGAGGGTACAAGCCATAAGCTTTGGTGACTTCCATGTGCTGTTAAGTCTGCAGATGTGCAGAAAGCAAGAGTAAAGGAGGTTCTTGGCAGCTTCCACCTAGATTTAAGTGGATGTTTCAGAAAGCCTGGGCACCCAGGCAGAAACCTGCTACAAGGTTGGCTCCCCTGTGGTGAGATGCTCCTAGGACAGTACCAAGAGGAAATGTGTAATTGGAGCCTCCACACAGAGTCCCCACAGGGCACTGCCTAGTGGAGTTGTGGGAATGGGGCCATTGCCCTCCAGATTTGAGAATAGGAGACAGCTTGTACTCTGCACCTGGAAAAGCTGCAGGCACTCAACTTCAACCTGTAAGAGTAGCTATGGTGGCTGTACCCTATAAAGCCACAGTGCAGAGCTGCCCAATGCCTTGGAAGCTCACCCCTTGCCCCAGTGTGCCCTGGATATGGGACATGGAGTCAAACAAGATTATTGTGGAGCTTTAGAATTTAATGACTTCCCTCCTGGGTTTCGGACTTGCATGAGGTCTGTTGACTCTTTCTTTTGGCTGATTTCTCTATTTGGAAAGGGAATGTATACCCAGTGCCTCTACCACCACTATATCTTGGAAGTAAATAGCTTACTTTGATTTCACAGGCTCATGGGTGGAAGAAAATTGCCTTGAATGTCAGATGAGACTTTGGACTTTAGACTTTTGAGTGATGCTGGAATGAGTTAAGACTTTTGGGAAATATTAGGATGGGATAATTGTATCCTGAAATGTGAGAAAAGTGTGAGATTTGGGTGGGGGGCAAGGATGAAATAATATGGTTTGGATGTTTTCTCTCCTCCAAATCTCATATTGAAATTTGACTTCAGTGTTGGAGGTGGACCTAGTAGGAGGTGTTTCTGTCATGGGGGCTAATTCCTTTTGAATGGCTTTTTGCTATCCTGTGATGATAAGTGAGTTCTTACTCTATGAATTCACATGAGATCTAGTTGTTTAAAAGGGCCTGCCACCTCCTCTTTTGCTGTCTTACTCCCTCTCTCACCATGTGACACACTGGCTCCCCTTCAGCTTCTACCATGATTGTAAGTTTCCTAGGACCCTCACTAGAAGCAGATGCTGTCACTATGCTTTGTGTACAGTTTGCAGAACAATGAGCCAAACAACCCTTTTTTGTTTATAAATTACCAAGCCTCAGGTACTTCTTTATACCAATACAAACAGACAAACACAGATAGTATGACTCTTCATAGGTTTTCAGGGTTTTTTCCAATATTGAGTTAGGAGGGTCCTTTATACTCTACCTATCAATCAGTCTTTGCATGCAGGACACATAGGATAGGGAACTTGACCTTAGCCAAGGTAGCAGCTTACTTCAGAACTAGAAGCAATCCCCAAGGGGGTTGACAACTTAGAGTTGTCAGCCAGCAGCGCTCCAAATAGCTGTCATGACCCATCTTCATTCTGGAAGGTGGATCTTGGCAACATATTACATCAGTTACTATGTTTTATATTGTACTTCCAACATGGAGTCTTTGAAATTTTTATATTCAATTCTAAATGCTATTTCATCTGTGGTTTTAGTTTTTGAATCTACTTGTTCTTTCAAAATCTGGCTCAGTAACTACTTGCCTTCCCCTTCCTCATTCTATCCTCTATACTGTTTTATCATATTATCACCTACATGTCCTCAGCCTGAAATATAAACTTGGAGTTCAGTCTGACACCTTGTATGATTTAAACTGCTAATCTTGTCCTCCTTTATAGCCTCATGACCTGTCCTCTCAGGATGAAATCTCTCTCAGGTCTACAGAACTACCTGTGGATCATGAAACACAACATGTGTACTCACACTTTTCTGTCTTCACATATTCAGGCTTCTCTGACCGACCACTGCTCTTTTTTGCAGCCTAATTAAATCTCATATATTTGTTAAGATTAAGCTCATGTATTACAGAATCCATTAAGCCTTTACTGATGAATGCACCCTTTACTCCTGCCTCCTTATTATTTTGTATGTATATTTTTATTGTTTATATTAGACTGTATAATAATTGCTAGTTCACTTATTTGGTCCCTCCTCCAGACTGTGAGCTCTTTCTCTGTGTTTCAAACATATATCACGACATCTGGCCCCAAAGAGACTTTTAACCACACAATGAATGCATGTTAAATGAATGTTTAAGTATATCTGTCAAAATACTGCAAACTGAAAGATAACAAAGAGGAGGCAGTCTTTCTATGATAAGCTTCGTTTAACTAGATGTAAGTGCTCAATCAAGAAATGAATCTTCAGCAGTATTGATAAAAATGGTAATGACTTGAAGATTTCCTGGTTCCTACCAGTTATAAAATGCAACAGTTCATTAATTTTATATATCGGTACAGTTACAGAGGAAAACCATTGGAAAACTGGAAAAAAGCCCTGTTCCTCCAAATTTCTATTTTTAATTTTAGTTTGATTTTTCTCTGAATTGCAACTCTAAAACTGGCCTATAATTTAAAACACCAGTGAGTATGGGATGCTTGTAGTTCAAGAACTAGCAGTGCCTTTTTCTGATCCTCATTATTTTTGTGTGTTTATTTTATGTATGTAGGTCAGCATAAACTCTAACATCTAGATATTTTCTGTAATAGTCTTGATAAACTATAACTGCCATACAAATATATATCATGCTTTCCCTTAAAACATGTACCTTTAGATCATACTTTTCTCTATTCACTGTCCTCAATGCTAGAATGTTGTCAATGAACAAGACATATCTATGTTCCAGGAAACTCAATGAAAGAATCTGACAAGTGAAAGTAAACAAATATATATGTCATATATATTTACCTCATGTATAAAATAATTGATAGTGAGAAAAAATGAAATATGGCAAGGAGCATTGGACTGAAGGAACTAATGTACAACTTCATATTTATTGATCACATACAAAATATACCAAGTAATCTAGGTAATAACTATTTGATTAAATTTTACCAAAAAATATAAATTTTTAAAATATTTTTCTCATATGATCTTTGAAATTCATAAATGTTAAGAAACTGTCTAATCACACAGGAAGTTACTGGTGGAGATTGCAGTAAATACTAGATATTCCTAGGCCAAAACCCAAGACCATTGCAAAAACAACAACAACAACAAAACCCTTTCACTTCTCCACTTCGGCTTCTACAAGAATTTTTAGTCCATTTTATTATTCCCTATAAGTACAACTCAGGGGCTCCAGTAGCACTAATCAACTGAAACCAAGAGTGTAGATGTAAAGGAAGAGAGATAGAAAACTTTTCAAGAGCAGCGATAAAGTCAGTGTCTAGACAATAGGAAGGCTTCTACAACAAAGTAAAAAGCATGTCTTATGTTTCCACAAGACTTTAGTAGGGCAGCAGGAAATCAAAGAGAGAAATGAAAATAAATAAGTTTAAAAGAAGAACAACATAGCATCAGCTTTTTATTTACATTTTAAAAGTCTTTATTTCCAGGAAAAGTGAACAAATGTTTTGGACCTGTTCTAGGAAACACATGCTCATAAACCAAGCTCTTTAAAAAAATAGTATATACGTATAAGGCAAAAAGATAACACTCAAACGTTGTAGTGGTTTTATGAAAGCTAACAGCAAAGCACTAAACATTATCTAAACCTGCCTGTAACTGCTTTGCATTTATATAACACTCACTATATTTGAAAAACATATTTTTACCATCACTGAAGTATGCCATCCTTGCAAACCTTCTCATTTTACAAATGAATATTATCATACAAAGAAGCTTATTGAATTTTAGATGAAGAAGAGACTTAAAGCTTTTATTCAACTCAATGTTCCTATTTTATGGATAAGACAAGTGGGTTTCTGAGTGGACAGCTGATTCACTCAAGGTCACAGAACTATTCATTGGCAGAAATTCACCTAATAGCAGTGCCTTTTTATCACTAGTCCAGTGCTTTTGTAGCTGCCACTACCATTAGACAAATGCAATACAGACATTAAACATCTGTTGGATTCCAGACTCACAAAAGTCTGGCAAATAAGATGACCTCTAAAAAAAAAAATGTTACATGAATCAGTTTCGATCTTTCTTTCTTGTCTCCGTATCTCCTTCTTAGTTCCCTCTATGGCTTCAGAAGGGGACAGCTTATATATTGGAATACTTGGACCTGCATCCTTAAATCCTCTTCCTCATAGTTAACTGCAATGGGGTGGACCCCACCCAAATATGTTGTTCATATTGGTTATTCTAAATTTTAACACAGAGAGATATTTTATGTTAGACATGGCTGAATGAGAATGATTGATCAGGATGGGCCACTTATATTTGGTGCCTGGCAAATAGAGCAATAGATATAACTATGGGGAAGGTTAAAAATTTAGCAGAAACCATAATCCCAGCATGTTGGGAGGCTGAAGCAGGAGGCAGAAGGACTGACTGAGGACAGGAGTTTGGGACCAGCCTGTCAACATAGCAAGACCCTGTCTCAAAAAACAAAAACAAAAAACTAGGCAGAGACATTGAAGCATATTCGCAAGTGAATAGTTTATCCAGACAGAAAAGAAAAATGAAAACAGCAGACTTGTAGAATGCCACAGACCAAATGTACCTAACAGATGTACAGAAAATTTCTTTCAACAGCAGCAGACTCACATTTTTCTCAAGTGCACACAGAACATTCTTCAGAATAAATCACATGTTGGGCCACAAAACAAGTATTAACAAATTTAAGAAAATAGAAATCATCTCAAGTATCTTTTCTGACTATAATGGTATGAAACTAGAAATCAATAACAAGAGGAAGACTGGGAAATTTCCAATTGTGTGGAAATTAAATAGCACACTCTTGAAAAACCTATGGTTAAAAGTTTAAATAGAAAATGAAAAATGTATTTTGAGGCAAACAAACACAACATGCCAAAATTTATGAAATGTAGCAAAGGCTGTTCTAGGAGGGAAGTTTATAGCAATGAATGCTACATTAAAATAAAAAGAAGAAAAAAACAAAAATCTCAAATAAACAACCTAAAATCACATCTCAAGGAACAAAGAAAAGAGAAACAAATTAACCCCAAAGTCAGCAGAATAAAGAAAGTAATGAAGATCAGAAATAAATGAACTAGAAATTAGAAAGATAATATAAAATATAAAATATAAATGGAAAATTTAAAAACAACTCAAAGCTGTTTTTATAAAAATATAATCAAAATGGACAGACAGACCTTTACCTAGACTAACCATGAATAAAAAAGAGAGCATTCAAATAAATAAAATGGGAAAAGAGACATTACAACTTATCCTACAGAAATACAAAGGCTCATTCAAGAATACTATAAGAATTATATGCCAACAAATATTATAATATAAAAGAAATGTATAGAATCCTAGAAACATACAACTTGAAAGATTGCATTGTGAAGAAATAGAAAATCTATACAGACCAATAATCTGTAAGAAGATTGAATCAGTAATTAAAATCCTCCAAACAACTAAAGCTGGAGACCAGATGGCTTTTCTGGTAAATTTTACCAAGCATTTAAAGAATAATTTACACCAATCTTTTTCAAACTATTCAAAAAATTGAAGAGAAAGAAAAGGTTTAAATTCATTTTATGTGACCAGAATTATTCTAAAACCAAAGTCAGATAAGAACACTGTAAGCAAAGGAAATTACAGGCTGCTATCTCTGATGAACATCAATGCAAAAATTCTCAACAAAATACTAGCAAACCAAATTCAACAGCACATGAAAGAATCATTTTCCATGATCAACTAGGATTTATCCTTGGGATGCAAAAATGTTTCAACACATGCAAATCAATATATAAGATACACAACACAACATTAACAGAATGAAAGATTTAAATAATATGATCATTTCAATGATTTAATAAAATTAATAAAATTCAATAATAAATTTCAATTTAATAAAATTCAAACTTTTTCCTGATAAAAATTCTTAACAAATTACATATAGCATGACTGTATTTCAATATAATAAAAATTATATTTGAAAAGTCCACAGCTGATATCACACTCAACAGTGAAAAGCTGCAACCTTTTACTCAAAGTTCAAGAACAAAACTAGAGTCTCCACTCTCACCATTTCTACTCTCTCTATATAGGATTGGAAGTCCTAGCCTGAGCAATTAGACAAGGAAAGAATAAGAAAAGACAACCAAATTGGAAAGGAAGAATTTAAATTGGCTCTGTTTGCAGATAACATAATCTTGTCTATGGAAAACCCTAAAGACTACACCAAAAAACTGTTAGAATAAAAAAAAAAGATTCAGTAAGCTTGCAGGATACAAAATCAGTATACAGAACTCAGTTTTGTTTCTATTTACTGACAACAAACTTTCCAAAAAATGAATTAAGAAAGCAATCTAATTTACAATAACAAAAGAATAAAAAATTGGGCATACAGATAGCCAATAAGGTGAAAGATCTGTACACTGAAAGCTGTCAAAAATTGATGAAAAAAGATAAAGAAGAGACATAAATGGAAGGATATCCCATGTTCATAGATTGGAAAATTAATATTGTTAAAATGTCCATATAACACAGAGCAATTCATGGAATCAGTGCAATCCCTATTAAAGTTCCAATAATGGTTTCTACAGAAGTAATTTTAAAAATAATAAAAGTTGAATGAAACACAATATCTAAAGTAATCTTAAGAAAGAAAAACAAAGCTAGAGATATTACACTTTCTAATTTCAAAGTATGTTACAAAGTTACAGTAATCAAAACCGTATTGTATTTGCACAAAAATGATACACATTCAATGGAACTGAGTAGAGAGCTAAGAAATATATTCACACATATATGGTCAACTAATCTTTCACAAGGGCACAAACAGTACACACAAGAAAAGGATAATCTTCTCAATAAATGGTGCTGGGGAAACTGAATATCCACATGCACAAGAATAAAATTGAATCCTTGTCTAATATTATATACAATAATTAACTTCAAAGACTTAAATATAAGGTCTGAAAACATAAAAACTCCTAACAGAAAAAAGAGAAAAACACCTTGATATTGGTCTTGGCAATATTTTATTGGATATAACAACAAAAGTACAAGCAACAAAAGCAAAAATATACAAGTGATACTGCATCGAACTAAAAAACAAACAAACAAACAAACAAAAAAACTTCTGCACAGCAAATAAACAAAATAAACATTAAACCAAATAACTCAATTAAAAAGTGCTCCAAAGGCCTGAAAAGATATTTTTCCGAAGAAAATATTAAAATGGCCAACAGGTACGTGAAAAGGGCTTAACATCACAAATCATCAGGGAAATGCAAATTAAAACCACAAGGAGATATCACCTCACAATAGTTACAATAGCTATTATCCAAAAGAAAATAGATTGTACATTGCACATTAAACATGATGTATAAACCTTTATACATTGATGTACGAACCTTTGTACACTTAAAAGGTGTTAGTAAAGGCATGGAGAAATGGAATCTTTGTACAATGTTAGTGGAAATGTAAATTGATACAAGCATGATGGAAAATAGTATGGAAGTTCCTCAAAAATTAAAAATGGAACAACCATGCAACCCAGCAATCTCATTTCCAGGTATACATCTAAAGAAAATGAAGTAAGTATCTTGAAGACATATCTGTACTCTCATGTTTATTGCAGCATTATTCACAATAGACAATATATGGAAACACCTAGCTGTCCAAGCGTTAATGAAAATATGGTGAAGTGGTATATTTATGTGTGTGTGTGTGCGCGCACACAAAAGAATATGATTCAGTGATTAAAAAAGGAAGTCTTGCCTTTTGTGACAATGTAAATGAATGTGGAGAACATTATGCTAAGAGAAATAAGCCAAACACAGAAAGGCAAATACTCTGCATGAAATAGAAATACTGTTTAATTAGGAGAATCTGGTTGTGATGCACAGAGAGCATTGTCTGCTAGCTCATTACCTTAAATCCGACTTCCATGACACAAGACTAAGAATCCAAACTTATTTGTAGATGGAATATTAAAAAGTCAAACTCATAAAAGCAGAGAGTAGAATGGTGGTTACCAGAGGCTGGGATAATGGAAATGAGGAGATGTAGGTTAAAAGGTGCAAGCATTAGTTACAAGATATGTTCTAGAGATCTAATGTACAGCATGGTGACTTTAGTTAACAGTAATGTATTGTTTGCTTGACATTTGATAAGTGAGATTTTAAGTGTCTTCACCACACACAGACTCACACACAAACACACATGCACAACCAAATAGCAACTGTGAATGGTGATGGTGTGTTAATTAACTTTATGGTAGTCATTATACAATGTATAGGTATATCACGTCATCACATTGCGTACTTAGAATATATACAATTTTTATTTGTCAATTATACCTCAATACCTGAGAGCACTAATGAAACAGAGATAATATTTAATTAGCAGAATCTGATTGTGATGCACAGAGCATTGTCTGCTAGTTCATTACCTTAAATCCAACTTCCATGACACAAGACTAAGAATCCAATAAATCACTGGGAAGTTGGAGAATGGTTGAGTCTTATTAATGGTAATCAAAAGAAGTCAGGCATCAGAAAACACAGTAAATAATTATACTGTAAGAATTGGTATGTTGAGATAGTTTTAGGTAAAATACATTCACCTACCTGACCCAGCAGTGTCTAGTCACAGAATATTATGTGGAAACAATTTAAACTGTACCATGTTTGGATGAAATCAAATTTGTTTACTTTGTACACATACACAAAGCTACAAAGGTGATGAAATAGCATTTTTGGATACTTCAATCTATTGTGTAAATAATTAATTAGTATGGGTGTAATTGTACTTAGCCTTTGTTTTTTCCTAAAATTTTTTTCTATGCAATGACTATTTTTAAGTGTAGTCTGAACGCATGAGAATCTTTA
The DNA here is from genome assembly GCF_000001405.40 of Homo sapiens. Lineage (NCBI taxonomy): Eukaryota > Metazoa > Chordata > Mammalia > Primates > Hominidae > Homo > Homo sapiens. The sequence continues at coordinate 24,466,329 of NC_000011.10, read as the reverse complement.
GTTCTAACAAGTTTAAAAAACATTTAAAGAAAATTGTTCACAAAAAAATGCACATTCCATAGATTATCCCTCAATTCTGCTTCTACCACCAACCACACATTCTCCTCTTCCGCTTTGAGCAATAAAATATTTATACCCCATTATACTGCATCTTCTTTACAACTGTCCATATTGTTAAAGTAATATTATTCCTTATATAAACTGGTTTTCATTGTGTGTTTGTTATATTATTCTATTTACAAAAGAAGTGTTCGAATTTCTTAGGCTGAGATGTAATGCATCCTATTTCTTGTCAAACTTACTGAAAATAATTTTTCCATTCATTGGAATTTTAATTACAGGCATACGTTTCAGCAGCAACTGAGAAGGCCTGGAGGAATAGGCATTAACATGAGGCAAAGAAGGAGTTTTTGTTTGTTTCTAGGTGAAAGTAATTGTCTAAACAACTGGAGTGAAACAAATGATTGTGAACCCCGGAGAAAAGTTCTGCCTATAGATCCTGAGTTGGAAGACAAAAGTATCAGCTGTAGATTTTAATAATCAAATATATAGGCTTAAGCTATATTCCTGCTTTGCCACTCTTGATTTTTTTCTTCACATCTGACTAATAGAACTTGGAAATATGCTAGATAAATATTTTCAAATCCTTATTTTCTTCTTCATACTCCTCTACTTAAAAATCTTCAGTAGCTTCCTATGGCTTTACCAGACATGTAAAGACTTCTATAACCAATCTGAGCCACTTTTCTAGTCATGCCTTTTACTCTTAGTATAGTTTCTCTGCCAAATCAGATAGATTTTGCCTTCTTCAAAAAGCATACCTTGTTATTTTCACCAACATATATTTGCTTATGTTCTTCTCCCTGCTCACCTCTCCTCCGTCCACTTATCACTTTAAATTCTACTTCTCCTTCAAAGCCCATTTCAAATTTCTCCTTTATATTATAACATAATCTCTGCTGCCTTTGATTCTTTAATATATAGCTTAAGAATAAGCTATATATTAAATATATATAAGCTAATATATAGCTTAAGAATAAGCTATATATTAGGAGCTTATTTTGTCTGCCTTTTCTTGTTAGTTCTTTTGACTTATGTTTCCAGTTTGAAGCCCTGATTTAATAGTTTGAAGCCCTGATTTAAATTTTTTATTAAATTTTCTATATCACTCAGCACAGTGTCTTCCACAAACTAGATGATTAATAACATACTAATTGTAAAATTTAAAATAAGTATTAATGAAGAGTCTAGATGTGGAGGTCGGGTTCCTACGTTTTTGTTATTTAATATGTCCCATTTTTAGCAGAAGATTCAAAAGATTGAAAAGCCTTACTATATCTAGAATTGTTGCTAACACACAGTCAGCGCTTAATTAATATTTGTCAAATGAATGAATGGATGAAAAAGTAAAGTAATTATCGTCAGAACACTTCTGATTTTTTTATGCCACTATCACTCCTCTGCTTAAAAACATCATTTGCACTAGGCAGTATTCCCAGTGTATGGAAGTGCCTGCTCTAGATTAAGAAAAATGTAAATCATACAAAGTTTACAGTAAGAGAGGTAAGAATACGGAGAAGAAATTAACATACCAACAAGTCAAATTCAGCGAAGTAAAGAAGTAGAGCTTTGAAAACAAGAGTTTGGGTAGAATTTGGATTAACTGACAATTAAGATGAGGAATTCCCATGCTGAGTTATTCATGTGATAGATGTAAACCTAAACATAAGCACAAAGGAGTTGCCATTTATGGTAACCATTGGACACTCTTACTGCAGTGAATAGTTTGTGTTCAGAAAGAGTAGAAGTTTGGAAGGCACAATGAATATGTACATTGTGTGTGTTTGTGTGTGTGTAACATAAAAACCGTGTAACATTTATATTAAAAAGATAAATTCCAAACAAAAATCCTCAAGTGTAAATCTGCCAGGATATTCTGAAATTCCTTCCAAGCGCTCCTGTGTTTTTCTGGGTGTAGCCTAATACACTCGGCCAACTCATTTGTTGGAGATGATGTTTCCAAGTTTTGACATAGTCCAACAGAATCTTATGGGAGAAGATGGTACCTCCCCACTCTAGAATGCCTTGATTATTAGCCTCTCTGACAGGAGTTCCTAGAGAAGAAAGAAACAAATGGCTTTGGAATTCTTCTCTAGGAAACTCATTTTCCTTGTTAGCTCATTTGAAGCCACAGATGAGCTACGATCTTGACCCCTATCACATTATTTTTGAAGTGGAAATATGCATTGGAAAGCAACAAGGCTAAAACCCTCTGACTAAATACCATTTGCCATTTTTAAGTAAATGTGGGGTTCTTGTTAAAGATGATTTCAGGGGTGAAAGTGCAGGAAAAGCCTATGGCTAGAATAAAAGTGTGAATAATTCTGTGCCTACACATATCATAGTAGGCCATCTGTCCCCTTTGGGAAATAGACTATGATTGCAAAATCTCCAAGTTTCTATTATAACATTTATTACAGCCTAGTTTGCAGTAATTTTATTTGGCCTGCAGAAACAGTACTATGGGCAGTTGTGCCTCACCATCAGTAAAATCTTAATGAGCACAAAATTGATCTCATCAATTTACTGTCACTACTCAGCTCACTATATCCAAAAGCTGCTCTTTAAAAATGTTCTGTCCTGGGAGGACCAATCATGATGCCTGTTTTGCTTGAAGTTTTTGTCAGAGGAAAACTGCCAGGCCATATCCCTAGGTGAGGGAAGAGCATATATAAACACATCTTTTGCCGGCTTACCTCTTAAGAGCAAATATAACAGCTTGGACCAGTGTAGGACATTTAACACAATGATGACCAGGCTATTATAAAATGTAGCCAGAATGTACTATTTGCCTCCCAATATCTGTTATGTTTCTTCCTTAGTAAAATAAATAAATAAATAAATAAACCTCAATTTTTAATTAGGAACCTTGCTACCCCACTAAATGATTACATTTCTTTTGCAGCTTTGCATCACTACTGAGTTCTGGCTAACAAAAAGAAGAAACAAAAACTCACAAAACTTCTAAACGTTGCTTTTTCATTTCTTCCTTCTGACACCTGGAATTTAAACACAATAGCTGAAGTATTAGAACCATGATATGACCCTGGGAAAAGAAGCCAAACTGAGAGAAGTGCCGCTTCCTTAGAACATCTTCTAGACTGTTTTACCCCCAATGTCTTTAACAGGAAATAAATAAGTTTCTACCTCAAGTCCTCATTTTTTCAGACTCTACTATTCTCAGTCTAAAGTTATTCTAACAAGTATTATTGGCTAGTTGCCTGGGAGGCAGAAGTGACAGCAAAGATGGTGAAGTACAAAATGATTCCCTCATTGTCTGATGTAATTTTGGGCCAAGTATCATTGGCTTGCAGTGGCAACTGTAATAAAAGCTGCACCAAGACATGCAGTAACATAATGTCCGTGTCATGTTAAATCAGAGTCCTAAAAGGAATATCAACAACCTCCTAATGCATCAGGTCAAGATATTTTGACCTCTTGCACAGCATTGGATCATGAATGTTCCAGTTTTGGTAAAACCTGAAAGTATAAACATCCCTGGAGTCTCGTTAGATGTTAGCTCCTGGGCCGGACAAGGTGGCATACATCTGTAGTCCCAGCATGTTGGGAGGCTGAGGAGGGAGGATCATGTGAGGCCAGCAGTTTAAGAGTAGCCTGGGCAACATGGGAAGACTCTGCCTCTAAAAAAAATAAAAATAGAAATAAAAAACAAGTTAGCTGGGCAGTAGAATCACTGGAGCCCAGGAGTTTGAGCTTCTTGTGAGCTGTGATAGCACCACTGCACTTCAGCCTGATCAAAAAAGATTTGTTAGATTGCAAACTTTCTTACTACCGTGTATATTATCATGATAAACCTTCACTTGCAGGAGCAAATCTAAGAACAGCAGGTTCTTTACACATATTGTTTTCTTTTCATGGCTTTTTTAGGGTGCTCATGAATGCACCTAGTTACTCTGCCTTCTCCATATAATCGTTTGTCAAGACTGAAGACTCTAACGTCATAGTATTTCCAGAACATATCCCTTTTTTCCACTTCTGTTGAGATAAACTCTACTCAGATACTCACTTTCTGCTGCCTAAACATTTGACATTGACTCTTCCTAATACCTTATCCCTCCACATCAATGTCAAGGTCATGCTGATACATGACATGGAAAGAAAGTATTTAGGCAGATAATGAGGGCAAAAGAGTCCTCGGCAGAACTTCCCTTCTGACAAAAAAGCGGCCCAAGAAAACATCTCTTTTCTAACAAAGAGCAGCCTGAGAGATTGAGCAGCAAACATAGATAAGGAAGTTGGAAGCTTGCACGGGGAGATCCTGGCAGCTGCACCAATAGAAAAGGGCTACCTGGGGGCCAGGCATGTCCACCATGAGGGATTCTCATTCCTTTATTTTTTGTTAGCATGTGTACAGTAAGAAAGAAATAAGCAACATGGAGTAGCTACCTGCCTTCATAATAAAAGATTGAGGTGGGGACTGACAGAGATTTGTGCCCTATGCAGATGGCACTTCTGGTCCTAACCAGTTTTTTGCACCCTGTGTAGATCAGACATTGCCTCCCCACTAGCTCATCTACAAAAACCCCTGCATTTCACCTCAGATCAGCAACCCATTTTTCTGGGACCTCTCTCTGTAGTAGAGAGCTATTCTCTTTCTTTCACCTATTAATTCTCTGCTCTAAACCTCACCCTTTGTGCATCTGCATACTTGATCTCCATGGCCGTGAGACAAAGAACCTTGTGTGTCACCCCAGACAACAAAATCTTTATGGGCCTAGAAAATGCTGCATTATTCCCGCTTGGTTTAGTCTTGTTTATTCTATAGAAGTGACTCTGTACTTTTTTAATGTTGAGCTACTCCATCTCCAAACTAACAAAAAGCCAAAGACGTTCCTCAACACTTCCTGAAAAATTATACCCAAAAGCTTCAGTCTCCCATTCACCATAGCCTTACTTTACACTAGTCATCGTGTTCACCTGCTCTAGACCTATAGTCAACAATGCCTCATTTTGGAGCCTCTCCTATGTCTCTGTCTTTGCTTGTGGTTATCCCACTGCCAAGAATGTCCTCTATTGTCCCATGAACCCTGTACTTTTGCTAAAACCACAACCATTGTTTTGAACTGAATATTTGTGTCACCCCCAAATTCACATGCTGAAGCCCTTACACACAATGTGATGGTATTTGGAAGTGCATCTTTTGAAAGGAAACTAGATTTAGATTAGATCATGAAGAGAAGACACTCAAAATGGGTTTGATACCCTTATTAGAGGAGGAAGAGCAATCTCTTTCTTTCTCTCTCTTTCTCCATGCACACACACAGAGGAAAGGCCATGTGAGGATACAATGAGAAATCGGCAGTCTACAATTCTAAAAAAAAGTCCTTACCCGAACCCAAGCATACTGGCATCCTAATCTTGGACTTCCAGCCTCCAGAATTGTGAGAAAATAAATGTCTGTAGTTTAAACCACCCAGTATATAGTATTTTGCTACAACAGCTCAAACAGTCTGAAACAGTCATTTTTCAAGTCTCACATCAGATATCTCCTAAACGGAGGCTTCTCGCTTCCTCCTCAAACTTCCCACCAGATGTGAGCTTACTCAGATATGAAATCTGGTAGTTTCTTATTTGTAACACTTGGTATAACAGCATGTAATCCCAGTTTACTATATGAGTTTTTTCTTGTGGAAGACTAGGCCTGGGTTATATGGTTTGGATCTGTGTCCCCAACAGATCTCATGTCAAATTGTAATACCCAGTGTTGGAGGTGGGACTTGGTGGGAGGCGATTGGATCATGGGGGTGGAGTTCTCATGAATGGATTAGTTTGTTACTATATAGTAAGTGAGTTCTCATAAGATCTGGTTGTTTAAAAAGAGAAGTACCTCCCTGCGCTCTCTCTTCCTCCTGTTCTGGCCATGTAAGATGTGCCCGCCTCCCCTTCGCTTTCCACCATGACTGTAAGTTTCCTGAGGCTTCCGAAGGAGCAGAAGCAGCTATGCTTCCTGTATAGCCTGCAGAACTGTGAGTCAATTAAATCTCTTTTCTTTATAAATTACCCAGTCTTAGCTATTTCTTTATAGCAGTGTGAGAACAAATATTATTTGCAAGTTTAATATGTGTTCAATTGAATTGAGTGTGTTTCTATTGACTTTGTTAAAATTATTTCCCTGGAAGGAGGTGGCAAAACCATACTGTTTAGTTTCGAATCAACTGGACTAACTTCATTACTATATCTTATATAGCCAAGCAAAATACAAGGTTTGTAAAGAATGCATCTTTTAAAACTCAACATGTATGATTAAAAATTATAGTTTGGGTGAAGAAGGAATATATAGATTCAGTTATTCAAATTGCATGGTGGCTTAAATTTTATGGATAAATTCAGCTCCTTATTCTTGATCAATACTTAAGATCAACTAGACTCATTTCCTATCCTTTGCTGATTCTTCGATTTTTTTTTTTTCTAAAAGGCAATTAGGGAATTTCAGAATACTGGAATTAAAGAGAAACAAAAGAACAAGTGACCCACCTATTAACTCCTAAATCTCTCTTTGTTGAGAATGAAAATTAAGAATGGGCAGAAAAGGGGAGATAGAATACAGCACTTTGATTAATAAAACAGATTTCACAGTTGGATCTGAGTTCAGACCCTGATTGTGCTGCTTGCTGAATATGGAACTGGACAAGTCACCAAATCTCTTTCAAACCCCTAGATTCTCCATAAATGAACTGACTAGCACTTTCTACTGGTGTCTGTGGGATTAGGGGAGACAATGAATATAGAGAACTCATTTTCTGATATGGTCACACAGTTGCTGTTCTATAAATTATTTTTGGATCAGTTATATCTGCTTGTTAACTTAATTACTTAAAATAAATGAGATCTATGACATGTAATGTTGTTAGGATTAAAATTTTAAGTGCCCCTCAATTTTATTTCTAGATAAGGGCATTTTTTCTAATCCTTTTTCAAATATTCTGGCAATCCTACTATACCCTACAGTATAAGTGATTTTCATAAGGAAATCAAATCACAGTAAACAAAGTATAGAGAGCCAATGAAGTTATGTTCCATAAATGTTTTGCCCTAAGTTTTGTGTTATTCTTTTTACCTCTCAGATTTTATTTTCTGAATGTTTTCAGGGCAGTAATACTATCACTATTGCTTTTAGTAAGTTAGTCATGTAGCTGTAAGTGTTAAGGAGATGTTAAAAACTGAGAAAAACAATAAAAAGAAGCACAGATAATTTTCTAAACAGGCTTTAAAAGCACGTCTGGTCAATTAACTTTCTTATTTTAAGAAACAACTTAGGTTCACATTAACTAAGAATCTTATTTTACATAGGACTTCCAGGATCTTGGTATCTATATTCTTCCCAAAGGTATTGTCAGAAGAGCAATTTCTCATCTTCCAGAGCCATCACACTTGCAGGAATAAGCACCCTTTCTTGCAACTTTCAAAAGGCACCTTTAACCTCTCTTCTCTGAATGAAGTAAATAATGATAAAAATCTAAATGTCAAAGTTCCTTCAAAAAATATCTGGTGCAGCTATTTAAAATTATGAGTTAGAAACCTTTTTGTGTAAATATTTTATAGCTCTAAAGGATCTACACTATTACTGCACTCTTAAGTGAACAACAAATACTATTGTCAGACTGAATGAACAGCAATCTTCTTCCACTGCTTTTAAGTAATGGATACCTTTTAATGTACTGTTTTCTGTTAGCCATTCCCAGAGGTGGTCCAGGTTTATAAGTATATTCTGAGTAGAGAGTCAAAGTTGTGGGAAAAATATACTAAAATATTCTCCTTCTAGTACTCCACCTATAACTCTGCTACTCTTCTGTTGTCAGTACAAAGTAAGAGACAAGAGAGAGCCAGAAGAAAGATAAGGGACCACTCTCTTCAGCCTACATGGGAGAATATAGCCACACTCAGTTCTAAATAGTTCTTATTATGCAAGTAGATCATAACAATCTTTTTACATTTTTTAAATCCCTCTATGTAAATCTTTACCCTCATCCTGTTTACATACCCCTGTCTTTTATTTAAATCTCTCAGGGAGTGGACTTCAAATGGCCCAGCTTGAGTTAGATGTTTACTCATCATTAGACAAACAGTATCTGGCAGCAAAGGTGTGACTGTAAGGGACACCTTTGTCAACAGCCCTCAAGGGGCAAGGGAAGATAGTCAAAACCAATAAGATCTCCACAACCATAAACTCAGGGGCTGTGGTGTAACCATTAGTTTTCAAAATCCTATACATATACATAATTTGAAGTACCATTCACATATCCTGAAAAAATTGGTAAAATATACTTTTTTTTCCTATTTCTCTAAGTACAACTAAAAATTGTAGAGATTAGATATAAAACAAATATAAGAAGCATCTGAAAAGTGGAGAGAAGAAGGCAAACTAAATAAGGACCTGGGGATCCAAGGAACAATGGGCTGGCGAGTGCACTGGCTTTTCTTTTTGCCAGTTTATTCTACACTTGGAACAGGAGAGGTTGGTAACACGTAAATGCCAATAACCACAGGGGGGAGGAGCCTAACAAGACTAGGAAGGGGCAGCCTCACAAGAGGAAAAAGTATTAGACTTTGCTAATATTAAGATGAACAGTCAGGAAGAAAACTGATCCTCAGAGGAGTCACACTGAGGACTATCTCTCCATACATATATATAATAATTTTCTTAAATATTTTCTATATATACATTTTGAAACATGAAAAGTGATATAATTTTGTTTCAACTGTCAAATATAAATTAGAAAACACAAGAGGAGAAGGGAGTTTTTTTATTCATATTATTGTTAGCATGTTTTGTTTTGTTTTTCTAAGATTTCAAGACCTATTCTTTTTTGTTTCCTTTATATTTAAAGAACTTATTTTAGTCATTGCACCAGCAAAGGAAATTTTCATTTTTCTTCATTTCAGAATGTCCTTATTTCCTCTTTGATTCTGAAGGACATTTTCTCTAGATACAAGTTTCTGGGTTCGCATTGATATTATTTCAGCCCTTGAAAAATATTGTTCTACTTCTTTCAGGTCGCTACAACTTCTCATGAGAAATTCACTGTCATTTAAATTGTTTTTTCCTTTTAAGTAAAGTGTTTCTCTTTTGTGGATTTCTGGATTTTTTTCTTTGTTTTCCTATGTTTTAAATTATATATACGTATAGGTACTTGAGAACTGATGGTTGCACCACAGCACCCGAGTTCAGATCTAAACTACAAAACTAAAATTTACAAAACAGAAATGAAACAAATCAAAGAAGATACAAGTAAATAGAAAGATACATTGTGTTTAGGAACTAGAAGACACAATCTAGTGAAAATGTAAATTATTTACAAACTTATACCCAAGTTTTAACACAATGTCTATTAGAATCTCAGCAACCTTTCTATAGATATAGACAAAATTATTATAAAATTTAATTTAAAAAGCAAAGAAACTAGAAGAACTAAAAAGTTTCTGAAAGACAACAACAAGGGGTGGACTGGGTCTACCTGATGTCAAAATTCATTATACAGCAGTAGTAATAAAGACTGTGTGGTGTTGGTGAAGAGTTACATGTATAGCTCGAAAAAGCAGAATGGATTAAACAGACATAGATACATACAAATATGCCCAACTTATTTTTGACAAAATTAAATAATTATTGAAAAGATACACTTTTCAGCAAATGATGCCAGTGTAATTAGGCATTTATTGACACAAAATAAACCTTGTCAAAGTCTCAAAACTCACACAAAAATTAACTAAAAATTGATGATGGACTTCAATATAAAACATAATCTATGGAACTTTTTGAAAAAAAATAGGAAATCTTTAGGATTTAAGATTAAGCCAAGAGCTCTTAGACTTGAAATCAATAACATCATATATACAAGGAAAAAATGGCTAAGTTGACTTTGTAAAAATTTTGTTTCAAATTTTGTTTTATGAAATTTTTGTTAAGAAGATGAAAAGACAAGATGCCGACTGCAAGAAAATATTTGCAGACCAAGTACCACAACAAACTAGTATCTAATATATTTAAAGGACTCTGAAAACTCAACAATAAGAAAAAATCAGTTAGAAAATTGACTAAAGACAGGAAAAAATCTTTGTCCCCTAGAATATATGGATAGCAAATAAGCACATAAAAATGCTCAACATTATTGGCTATTACAGAAATGCAAATGAAAACAAAATGAAATATTACTACATACGTATCAGAATTGTCGAAATTTTTAAGTACAAAAATCTAATCCTAGCAGGATATATTTACTTGTATTTGTAATTTTACTTTAAGGCTAGTCAGATGAAGCAGTGAGAGTGGAAAAGACAAAGAAGTCTGTAACTGGTTGTGATCAGTTAGTTGTAAACACCACTGCACTTGGACCATCCCTTAGCAGGATCGAAAGAATATGAATCACTCATGAACTGCTGGTGAAAATGTGAAATGGTATAGCGAGTCTAGAAAACAGTTGGCATATTGTTAAAAAACTCAATGTTCAACTACTGTATGGCCCAGAAGTTGCATTTATTCTAGACATTTATTCTAGATAAATTAAGACTTAGGTTCACATAAAAACTTGTGCACAAACTTTTAAGAAAGGGTTTTCTTCTTAATAGACTTAACTGGCAACAACCCAGACATTTTTCAAGAGATAAATATTTAAGCTGTGGAAGATCTACACCATGGAATACTACTCAGTATTAAAAAAAAAAAAAAAAACTATTCATACACACAATATCTTGAATATATCTCGAATAAACCCGCAAAAAAGTACACAGTGAAAAAAGCAAATTGCAAATGGTTGTATGATTCCATTTATATAACATTATTGAAATGACAAGATTATCAAAATGGAGAACAGATTTATGGTTGCCAAGGGCTTTTCAGGGGTCACAGGTGGGAGGAAAATGAGTGTGGCTATCAAAGAGCAACGTGAGGGATTTTTCTGGGGATGGAAATGTTCTGAATCTTCACTGTATTCATACCAATATTTTAGTCTTTATATTGTACTTTTTCATGTTGTAGTTTCTCAAGAAGTTGCCTTTTGGAAGAAACTAGGATAATGATACACACAATTTCGTTGTATTAGTTATTAAAATTTCATGTGAATCTACAGTAATCTCAAAATAAAAATTTTAACTAAAAACAAATAGCATGTAAAAGTACTACAAACAACATAAATAAGAAAGTTATCAAATAAATGAAATAGAAATGCAAAGAATGAATTTATTACCAATTTTGGACAGACCTTCTGTCCTTTAGTGATCCACAGAAAGGGGAAATAAAATCTTGAAGAATAAGTCACTTTAAAACAAAAAGCAGGGGTGAAATGCATTCCAGGTAGAGGGACACAACTGGCTAACACATGGAAACAGTGATGTGCTTAGCATGTGGGGTGAGGTATTCGGTCACTGCGCAGCAATGACTGGCTGGAAGAATACCTCATAAAATCAAATCATCCAACCTAGAGTATGCACCTTATTTTTCTGCCATGGTTTACCAAATTCGGTCATAAAATTTTGTGCGAAGTATCAATTGCTTTCCAAAGTTTCATCATTCGTCCAATAAGAACTTCAGCATCTCATTCGCCTTCCAGAATATTCTCAAAATCCCAAATCTTCTCTGAAGGTCTCATTCAGTAACACTTCATCATGACATGTGATCTTAAACATTTCACCTTAATAATCTCATTAACTAGGCCGGATGCAGTGTGCTCACACCTGTAATCCCAGCTTTTTGGGAGGCTGAGGCGGACAGATCACCCGAGGTCAGGAGTTCGAGACAAGCCTGGCCAACATGGCAAAACCTTATCTCTACAAAAAACATAAAAATTAGCCGGGTGTGGTGGCACGCGTCTGTAGTCCCAGCTACTGAGGAGGCTGAGGCAGGAGAATTGCTTGAACCCGGGAGGAGGAGGTTGCAGGGAGCCAAGATCACATAACTGCACTCTAGCCTGGGTGACAAGAGCAAGAGCAAGACTCTATCTCAAAAAAAAAAAAAGGAATGTCATAGGCTAGAAGTATTAGTTCCTGGAAGTTTTAGTGGGTGTAATTGGATCTTCTGACAAAAAGTCTTAACTTCTCCCATCCCACCTCACCCCAAGTACTGTTCAATTAATCTGTCTCTAAACCTCCCCTTATTGTGGCAGCTGGGATTTTTTTTTAATGAAAAGGGTTTTTTTTTTTTTTCTTTTAGCCTAAGTAAAGAATAATTATTCAAATTTGCATGAATACAAATACAAAAAGAAACATATTAACAATCTACCATGTGAATAGAAACACTGAGGGGGATGAAGGGCTTGATTATACTCAAAAACCTACTAACACATCTCACTTTGAGGAGATAGATTTTCCTGAGTCCAGCAGAAGTAGCAACAGTTGACTTTCTTTAAGATATACTTACTTCTAGTTACTTTTATTCTTCACCCAGTAGCTATCATCCTGATAACCACTGGCTTATGCAACATAAGTAATTTATCTAATAACATTAAATTTTGTTATCAATTGCAAATATAATCAGATAATAGTTATATGACATTAGGATGCTTTTTTTAGTTTGTTTTTTCCAGGCAATAGGTGAGTTATTGTTAATTTTTGAAATGTTGCAATTTTTAAAAAATTAGCCTAATAATCCCTTATTTCTAAATATTCAATATAACCTCTCAGAGTTTTATCATTTATAGTGTTTTATTTCTCCTCCAAACAACAGTTTTACCAGAAAGGAATTAGTCATCACCTTTGGCAGGTGATAAATGGGGAACTGAGCTAGAAAGAGGATTCCTTAATCTCTAAGGTCTAACGGCCGATGTCAGAATTTGGCAGAAAACTACAGTCTTATGAAGAAGATAGGGGAGGAAACAGGCATTTATTGACTATCTACCATAAGGCAGGCACTATGGTAAATACCAGAAACAAATTTTATCTCATTTTACCCAAACAAAAGCCCAGGGGGCTCTAGTGTTGTTATCCATGCTTAGCTCATACATAAAGAATTTGTGACTCAGAGGGACAAATCAGTTTACTGGAGGACATTTTTCTGATTTATTTATTTTTTGTATTATACTTTAAGTTCTAAGGTACATGTGCACAACATGCAGGTTTGTTACATATGTATACATGTGCCATGTTAGTGTGATGCACCCATTAACTCGTCATTTACATTAGGCATATCTCCTAACACTTTCCCTCTCCCCTTCCCCCACCCCACAACAGGCCCCGTTGTGTGATGTTCCCCTTTCTGTGTCCATGTGTTCTCATTGTTCCATTCGCACCTATGAGTGAGAACATGCAGTGTTTGGTATTTTGTTCTTGTGACAATTTGCTGAGAATGATGGTTTCCAGCTTCATCCATGTCCCTACAAAGGACATGAACTTGTCCTTTTTTATGGCTGCATAGTATTCCATGGTGTATATGTGCCACATTTTCTTAATCCAGTCTATCATTGTTGGACATTTGGGTTGGTTCCAAGTCTTTGCTATTGTGAATAATGCCGCAATAAACATACATGTGCATGTGCCTTTATAGCAGCATGATTTATCATCTTTTGGGTATATACCCAGTAATGGGATGGCTGGGTCAAATGGTATTTCTAGTTCAAGATCCTTGAGGAATCGCCAGACTGACTTCCACAATGGTTGAACTAGTTAACGGTCCCACCAACAGTGTAAAAGTGTTCCTATTTCTCCACATCCTCTCCAGCACCTGTTGTTTCCTGACTTTGTAATGATCGCCATTCTAATTGGTGTGAGATGGTATCTCATTGTGGTTTTGATTTGCATTTCTCTGATGGCCAGTGATGATGAGCATCTTTTCATGTGTCTGTTGGCTGCATAAATGTCTTCTTTTGAGAAGTGTCTATTCATATCCTTTGCCCAATTTTTAATGGGGTTGTTTTTTTCTTGTAAATTTGTTTGAGTTCATTGTAGATTCTGAATATTAGCCCTTTGTCAGATGAGTAGGTTGCAAAAATTTTCTCTCATTCTGTGGGTTGCCTGTTCACTCTGATGGTAGTTTCTTTTGCTGTGCAGAAGCTCTTTAGTTTAATTAGATCCCATTTGTCAATTTTGGCTTTTGTTGCCATTGCTTTTGGTGTTTTAGACATGAGGTCCTTGCCCATGCCTATGTCCTGAATGGTATTGCCTAAGTTTTCTTCTAGGGTTTTTATGGTTTTAGGTCTAACATGTAAGTCTCTAATCCATCTTGAATTAATTTTTGTATAAGATGTAAGGAAGGGATCCAGTTTCAGCTTTCTATATATGGCTAGCCAGTTTTCCCAGCACCATTTATTAAATAGGGAATCCTTTCCTCATTGCTTGTTTTTGTCAGGTTTGTCAAAGATCAGATGGTGGTCGATGTGTGTATTATTTCTGAGGGCTCTGTTCTGTTCCATTGGTCTATATCTCTGTTTTGGTACCAATAACATGCTGTTTTGGTTACTGTGGCCTTGTGGTATAGTTTGAAGTCAGGTAGCATGATGCCTCCAGCTTTCTTCTTTTGGCTTAGGATTCTCTTAGCAATGCAGGCTCTTTTTTGTTCCATATGAACTTTAAAGTAGTTTTTTCCAATTCTGTGAAGAAAGTCATTGGTACCTTGATGGAGATGGCATTGAATCTATAAATTACCTTGGACAGTATGGCCATTTTCACAGAATTGATTCTTCCTATCCATGAGCATGGAATGTTCTTCCATTTGTTTGTCTTCTCTTTTATTTCATTGAGCAGTGGTTTGTAGTTCTCCTTGAAGAGGTCCTTCACATCCGTTTTAAGTGTGTAGAAGGAAATTTATAGCATTAAATGCCCACAAGAGAAAGCAGAAAAGATCTAAAATTGACACCCTAACATCACAATTAAAAGAACTAGAGAAGCAAGAACAAACACACTCAAAAGCTAGCAGAAGGCAAGAAATAACTAAGGTCAGAGAAGAACTGAAGGAGATAGAGATACAAAAAATCCTTCAAAAAATCAATGAATCCTGGAGCTGGTTTTTTGAAAAGATCAACAAAATTGATTGACCGCTAGCAAGACTAATAAAGCAGAAAAGAGAGAAGAATCAAATAGATGCAATAAAAAATGATAAAGGGGATATCACCACTGATCCTACAGAAATACAAACTACCATCAGAGAATACTATAAACACCTCTACACAAATAAACTAGAAAATCTAGAAGAAATGGATAAATTCCTGGACACATACACTCTCCCAAGACTAAACCAGGAAGAAGTTGAATCCTTGAATAGACCAATAACAGGCTCTGATATTGAGGCAATAATTAATAGACTACCAACCAAAAAAAGTCCAGGACCAGATGGATTCATAGCCGAATTCTACCAGAGGTACAAAGAGGAGCTGGTACCATTCCTTCTGAAACTATTCCAATCAATAGAAAAAGAGGGAATCCTCCCTAACTCATTTTATGAGGCCAGCATCATCCTGATACCAAAGCCTAGCAGAGACACAACAAAAAAAGAGAATTTTAGACCAATATCCCTGATGAACATCGATGCAAAAATCCTCAGTAGAATACTGGCAAACCGAATCCAGCAGCACATCAAAAAGCTTATCCACCATGATCAAGTGGGCTTCATCCCTGGGATGCAAGCCTGGTTCAACATACACAAATCAATAAATGTAATCCAGCATATAAACATAACAAAGACAAAAGCCACATGACTATCTAAATAGATGCAGAAAAGGCCTTTAACAAAATTCAGCAGCCCTTCATGCTAAAAACTCTCAATAAATTAGGTATTGATGGGACGTATCTCAAAATAATAAGAGCTATTTATGACAAACCCACATCCAATATCATACTGAATGTACAAAAACTGGAAACATTCCCTTTGAAAACTGGCACAAGACAGGGATGCCCTCTCTCACCACTCCTATTCAACATAGTGTTGGAAGTTCTGGCCAGGGCAGTCAGGCAGGAGAAAGCAATAAAGGGTATTCAATTAGGGAAAGAGGAAGTCAAATTGTCCTGTTTGCAGATGACATGATTGTATGTTTAGAAAACCCCATCGTCTCAGCCCAAAATCTCCTTAATCTGATAAGCAACTTCAGCAAAGTCTCAGGATACAAAATTAATGTGCAAAAATCACAAGCATTCTTATACACCAATAACAGACAAACAGAGAGCCAAATCATGAGTGAACTCCCATTCACAATTGCTCCAGAGGATATTTTTCTACCATGAGAGCTGGAATTTAAATTTACACTTTCTGACTACCAGTTCCAAAAACTTGTATTGTTCCCATTGCTAACTGTAAAGAATGGCAATATAATCTAATATATGTTGAATATTTGATATGTGTCAAGCATTGCTTTAAGAGTTTTTATTGGCTAATATTTTATTGTTTGTTTTTTTGCAGAAAAATCTTTGCCCTCCTTAAGATAATAAAAAACATATGCCTTCATTCTAATCAGAATACTTCTCCAACATTTTTTAAAATTTTATTTTGTATTGGAGCTGACCGAAAAAAACCTTTTCCCTCTCTGATCATGCAGCTATCTACATCTGGGATTAGGCAGCCAGCTCCCTTACATAATGGAGAATTCTGTCTGATAGAACTAAGACAACATTCAGAGAAAACAGATTTAAAAGAGGAATTTTTTATTTAAAATTCCTGTTTCAAAGACTCCTACCATCCCACATCCAGATTTACTGCTGCTGTTTAAAGTGCGGTTTTTACATATTCACTAATTGTAAGGCTTCTTACTTATTTTCTGTTTTTGCAGTTGCTTTATTCTTTTACTTAAATATACCTTTACTGAATGAAGACAACTTTATACACATTGCTTCATTCAATCCTAGAATCAACCATGTTAGATCATTCATTCATCCATTCAATATTATTGGTCTTAAACAACATATACTGTCCTACTCATTGAAGCTACAACAGTGAACAAATCGAATCAAGTGTCCTGCCTTCATCCTTATTATAAGGTGAAGCAATTGAAGCACAAATAATTTAAATGCCTTACATAAGGTTTCAGCGTTAGTAAATGGCAAAGGAAAAAAAACTAAAACAAAGTTCACGCAAAGTTCATATTTCAAATTCTCATTATTTGAGAATCATGTTAATGAGAGCCTGTTTGTCCCTTTCATTTGCTCTCTTGAAAGATCCAGGAAACTGAATTTAAGTATTAAGTTTTATTTATGATTGCTTAAGAGATGAATATTACTTGGCTTGAGGAAATGTCTAGAGTCAGGAAATTATTTCTTATCAATCGAATGTTTCTTTTGTTTAGTCAACTTAGAATTTGCTAAGTTTACTAAGATGGATAGAGTTAAGAGAAAAATTGATCCTCAGAGGAGTCACACCAAGGACACTTTCCATATAAAACCTAACATCTTATTAAAGGAATTCCTACTCACAGAGTGATATATGTCTAAGAAATCCTATTTCAGAAACTTTCTTTTTCTAGAATTTAGAAACTCATGAATCTAGTGAAATGGTTAAAAGCCTTGCTGAGAAATCAGTTTTGCAGTCAAACTTCTGGATCTTTCATGAATTTATTTAATAAAAAGTAATTTATACAAGAACTATTTTGAATATTTTTCATCCCTGCCATTTTATAATAAAAGCCAGGTTAAAATCTCAAACCGGTCTGCCATTCTACCACTGTGCGCCCTACATTCCAACCACCTGAATCTCAGCTGTCCTCTGAATGCTTCTTGTGCTCATGTGTCTCCACATCCTTGCTCATATTTCTCTGCCTAGAGACTTACCCTTTCTGTCTATATTTTCCTTTGTTCCATTTCACACATCCCTCTTGCCACTACCTGCTCACATTTTTAACTAAAGAACTTATTTTCATTATTCAAGGCCCAGCTCAAAGTTTGTCTCTACTAAGCATTTTCTCTCATTTTCCTCTCTTTTCTCAATTTACATAAAACGTTCCCTCCTCTCATTATTGTTCCATTCACATGTTTATTCTAGTGCATTGTGCCACCAATAGTCTTTTTCTATTATGTTTTTGTTTCTAATTTGAGCTCTGTGAAAAACAGAGCTAGATTATTTTCCATATTTTTTCTTCCAGTGCCTAATTTAGTGCTTAGTTAATATTAAAAATCAGATAATTATTAATGAGTTAAAGTTGTTTTGCTAAATAGTAACAGAAATAATGTTTTATTATCAGAAAGATAACAACTAAAAAGATGGATTGATAGATACCTGAAATTCATGGATTTATATAAGTGGACATATTACATTAATAGCTTTAACCAGAATTTCTCTTTGGGAATGAGGAAAGTTTGTTTAAGAAGACAACTTGAAGTGTTTTGTGGGTACAAGGTGGGATAAGAAGGCTTGAGTCAGTCAGCATCAGAAAGCACGAAGCCAGTGAAAGAACAAGGTGCATCACCAAAGGTAATATAATTAACAAAACAGAGACCAGGAGAAAGGTATTCTTGAAAACAATGAACAGATAGTATTGGTTGTGAGAATCACTACCAGTGGGGTGGCTGAAAGCTTATTATGCATTGGTAGTACCTAGCAATCCAGTTGAAAGGTAGTGCACATCTGCACTGTAAATCTCTTTTCAGAGACTTCCATTTCTAGAAGTAAATGATTGCTCTGTACTATCTTTTAAAACAAAATTCTAAAAATTCTGTTTAATGTAAAGTAAACAGATCTCTAAGTTTATACTTTTGTTTTCAAAAAAGTAAAGAAAATTCCCAGGGGGTAAAATGTGAAAAATAGGCTAAAACATAGAGCAAAAATGCACTGGGTGGCCTAAATCCATGTGGCAGTCTTAGTGATCAAACAGCCTCAGTTTTACTGGTTAAGCCTTGTGGATAGAATAAATCATAGCCTTATAGTTACACAAAGGAAATTTGGAACTGACATTTCCTCACATAGCCTCCTCCTTGAAGGTCTCAATGAAAAGGGTGAACTAATAAAATACTCGCACCTCTATAGAGGGAGAAAAAGATAGATTGTTTGTGCCCTGAGGCTGAGTAGGAAAAAAAAGTTTCCCCTAAGAAATATTTTTAAATACCTCCCCTAATTAATCATCAAAGTTTAATTTATATTCTGTGTAAATTCTGTAAAAATTGCTGGGGTGGATTTAAAATAGGCCCTAAAATATTGGATATGGCTTCTTTTTAGAAGCTGAAGTTAATTCTCTTCATTTGCTTGTGGGCTAGGCTTAGTGACTCATTCATAATGAATAGGATATATCAGAAGTGCAATGGGTGCCTTTTGAGGCTAGGTCACAAAATTCATTTCAGCTTCTTTCTTGTTCTGTAGGGGTGGGTTGCCCCTCCACACCTGTGGGTGTTTCTCGTAAGGTGGGACGAGAGATTTGGAAAAGAAAAAGACACAGAGACAAAGTATAGAGAAAGAAATAAGGGGACCCGGGGAACCAGCGTTCAGCATATGGAGGATCCCGCCAGCCTCTGAGTTCCCTTAGTATTTATTGATCATTTTTGGGTGTTTCTCAAAGAGGGGGTGTGTCAGGGTCACAAGACAATTGTGGGGAGAGGGTCAGCAGACAAACACGTGAACAAAGGTCTTTGCATCATAGACAATGTAAAGGATTAAGTGCTGTGCTTTTAGATATGCATACACATAAACATCTCAATGCTTTACAAAGCAGTATTGCTGCCCGCAGGTCCCACCTCCAGCCCTAAGGCGGTTTTTCCCTATTTCAGTAGATGGAGCATACAATCCGGTTTTATACCGAGACATTCCATTGCCCAGGGAGAGGCAGGAGACAGATGCCTTCCTCTTGTCTCAACTGCAAGAGGCATTCCTTCCTCTTTTACTAATCCTCCTCAGCACAGACCCTTTACGGGTGTCGGGCTGGGGGATGGTCAGGTCTTTCCCTTCCCACGAGGCCATATTTCAGACTATCACATGGGGAGAAACCTTGGACAATACCTGGCTTTCCTAGGCACAGGTCCCTGCGGCCTTCCGCAGTTTTTGTGTCCCTGGGTACTTGAGATTAGGGAGTGGTGATGACTCTTAAGGAGCATGCTGCCTTCAAGCATCTGTTTAACAAAGCACATCTTGCACCGCCCTTAATCCATTCAACTCTGAGTTGACACAGCACATGTTTCAGAGAGCACGGGGTTGGGGGTAAGGTCACAGAATCTCAAGGCAGAAGAATTTTTCTTAGTACATAACAAAATGGAGTCTCCTATGTCTACTTCTTTCTACACAGACACAGTAACAATCTGATCTCTCTTGCTTTTCCCCACATTGTTCTCTCTCTTCTCAGTCATTCATCATGGGGGAATCTCCTCCTATGTTGTGAGGAAACATCAAACAGTCCTATGGAAAGGTCCATGTGAAGACAAACCGAAGCATCCTGCCAACAGCTAGCAAGGATTCAAGGTTTACTCCTTATAGCCATTTGAGGGAAGCAGATCACCCAGCCCCACTAAGGCCTTTGGAAGACTACATCTTTGACCAATGGCTTATCCATAACCTCATGAGAGATCCTGAGCCAGAACCACCTAGCTAAGGGGCTCCTAAATTTATGACACACAACAAAGAAACAAACCTCAACATTTATAAATGTTATAATAATAAATTATAATAAATTTTTTTGCTTAGAATTGCTAAGATTGATGATAATTTGATACAGAGCAAAATATAAAAAATGCAATCTTATACAAATAATTTAATCGGAAATCTAAGACCAGATTGATAGTAACACTTTGAATTCTGACAGAAGCCAGTCCACACCCTGTGTGGAAAGACAAATCCTCAGATAAGACCTTATATTTACAAAATTCTCACAGTGAAAGCTCAGATGAACACTATATTCGTCCATTTTCCCATTTCTATAAAAAACTGCCAGAGATTGGGTAATTTATAAAGAAAAGGAGTTTAATTGATTAACAGCTCCACATAGCTGGAGAGGCCTCAGAAATCTTACAATCATGGCAGAAGGCAAAGGGGAAGCAAGGCATGTCTTACCTGGCAGCAGGAGACAGAGAGAGTGAGGTGGGAAGTGCCACACTTTAACACCATCAGATCTCATGAGAACTTACTCACTATTACAAGAACAGCAAGGGGGAAATCTGCTCCCACAATCCAATCACCTCCCATCAGGCCTCTCCTAAGACACATGGGGATTATAATTTAAAATGGGATTTGAGTGGGCACACAGTGCCAAATCATATCATCCTCCCCCTTACCCTTCTCAAATCTCATGTCATTTGCACATTTCAAAATTAATCATGTCTTCCCCACAGTGTCCCAAAGTATTAACTCATTCTAGCATTAACTTAAAAAGTCCAACTCCAAAGTCTCATCTGATACAAGACAAGCCCCTTCCATCCATGAAACCTGTAAAATCAAAAAACAAGTTAGTTTCTTCCAAAATAAAATGGGAGTACAGGCAGTGGGTAAATATTCCCATTCCAAATGGAAGAAATTGGCCAAAACAAAAAGGCTACAGAAACCATGCAAGTCTGAAACCCAACAAGGCAGTCATTAAATCTTAAAGCTCCAAATTAATCTCATTTGACTCCATGTCTCACATCCAGGGAAAGCTGATGCAAGGGGTAACCTCCCACAACCTTGGGCAGCCCTACCACTGTGACTCTGCAGGGTACAGCCCCTGTGGCTGCTTTCACAGGCTGATGTTGAGTGATTGTGGCTTTTCCAGGTGCATGGTGCAAGCTGTCAGTGGATCTACCATTCTAGAGTTGGGAGGATGCTGGCCCTCTTCTCACACCTCCACTAGGCAGTGTCCCAGTAGGGACTTTGTATGGGTGCTCCAATACCATGTTTTTCCTGTGCTCTGCCCTAATAGAGGTTCTCCATAAGGGCTCCATCCCTGCAGCAGAGTTCTGTCTGGACATCCAGGCATTTCCATACATCTCTGAAATCTAGGCAGAGGTTCCCAAACTCTTGCCTTCTGTGCACCTGAAGGCTCAACACCTCATGGAAGCCACCAAGGCTTGGGGCTTGCATTCTATGAATCAATGGCCTGAGCTGTACCTTGGCCCCTTTTAGCCATGGCTAGAGTTGGAGAACTGGGTGCCATGTCCCAAGGCTGCACAGAGTAGCAGGGTCCTGGGCACAGCCCAGGAAACCACTTTTCCCTCCTAGGTCTCTGGGTCTGTGATGGGAGAGGTTGCTGTGAAGATCTCTGAAATGCCCTAGAGTCATTTTCCCCCATTCCCATGAATATTAACATTTGGCTCCTCTTTACTTATATAAATTTCTGTTACCAGCTTTAATTTCTCCATAGAAAATGGGGTTTTCTTTTCTACTGCATGGTCAGGCTGCAAATTTTCCAAACTTATATGCTCCGCTTCCCTTTTAAACATAAATTCCAATTTCAGATCATTTCTTTCAAATGCATATGGCTGTACACTGTTAGGAGCAGCCAGGAAATATCTTGAATGCTTTGCTGCTTAGAAATTTCTTCCACCAGATACCCTAAATCATCTCTGTCAAGTTAAAACTTCCACAGATCCTAAGAGGAGGTACACAATGTCACCAGTGTTGGCCAAAGCATAGCAACAGTGACCTTTGCTCCAGTTTCCAATAAGTTCCTCATCTCCATCTGAGACTCCATCAGCCTGGACTTCATTGTCAAAACCATTCAACAAGTCTCTAGGAAGTTCTAAACTTTCCCATATCTTCCTGTCTTCTTCTGATCCCTACAAACTGTTCCAACCTCTGTCCGTTACCCAGTTCCAAAGTTGCTTTCACATTTTCAGGTATCTTTATAGCAGTGCCATACTCCCAGAACCAATATTATGTATTAGTTCATTCTCACACTGCTATAAAGAACTACCTAAGACTGGGTGATTTATGAAGAAAATAAGTTTAAATGATTCAAAGTTCTGCATGACTGGGGAGGCCTCAGGAAACTTATACAATCATGGTGAAAGCAAATGGTAAGCAAGGCACATCTTATATGGTGGCAAGAGAGACAGAGAGTGAAGCAGGAAGTGGTACACTTTAAAACCATCAGATTTTGTAAGAATTCACTCACTATCATGAGCACAAGCAAGGGGGAAATCCACCCCCATGATCCAATCACTTCCTACCAGGCCCCTCCTCCGACACATGGGGATTACAATTCCCGATGGGATTCGGGTGGGGACACAGAGACAAACCATAACAAACACAAACTCACAAAGCAAATTTTAAAAACAATCAGCCTTCAGGAGTAACAAATAATAAGGTGTGGAAGACTTAAATAATACCACTATTTGCAAAGCAGAAAATATATAGAAATTCATATCCAAAATATAGAGTATATATTCTTCTCAAGCACATAAGAAATATTTTTAAACAATGAACCAAATATTAGATCAAAAACAAACTTCAGAAGATTTCACACAAGTTGTATTACAAAGATCTTGTTTTTAAGCATGATTCAATTATGTTTGAATTCAATAATATCATACAAAAAACACCCCATATATTTTTGAAATTATAAGCACAATTCTAAATATTGTGAGTTGAAAAAATTATTCACAATAGATATTCAAATATATATTAAAATATTAACATTTCAGTTAATTCAAATACTCAATTTTAATACTTTGAGATACATGGATGGTGATTACAGCTAAACTTGTATATATAAATATTTATATTTGAAACAAAGAAAAGCTATATATTAGCAAACCAAAATTCTAAGTTAAGTAATTAAAATAAACCCAACAAATTGTAGAAGAAATAAAATAAAGATAAATTTTATTAAAAATTAATGATAGGTCTGCTGCAGTGGCTCACACCTGTAATCCCAGCACTTTGGGAAACCAAGGCAGGTGGATCACGAGGTCAGGAGATTGAGACCATCCTGGCCAACATGGTGAAACCCCATCTCTACTAAAAATACAAAAATTAGCTGGGCGTGGTGGCAGGTGCCTGTAATCCCAGCTGCTCGGGAGGCTGAGACAGTGAGACAGGAGTATCGATTGAACCAGGGAGTTGGAGGTTGCAGTGAGCCAAGATCACACCACTACACTCCAGCCTGATGACAGAGCGAGACTCCACCTCAAAAAAAAATTAATAATAATCAAAATGGGTTTATTGAAGTAATAAAAATATATTTTAGCATTAGAAACTCTAGATTAAGGAAGAAAAATCACATGCTCTTTTAAATATATTTACATAAATAATTGAATAAAATCCAACATGCCATATCCACTTTCACACAGAATGGAGAGTAGACAACTAGAAAAGCCAGATAAAAGACTAAACTCCTCTGTTTAACAGAATCAGAGAGCTGTTGAATGTCTAAGTTTAAATACTAAGAGCTAGAGTCTAGAGAGAGTTGTACCACAGAAATCAACTGATATCTGAACTCACTTTTCCCCTGGAAGCATTACTTAGGCATAAGGAATCTTCAGTAAATGTCATAACTGGGCAGATGTAGATACTAACTTTTGTGAAAATATATAGCAATCTTTACTCTCATAGAGAGCTGATGGATGAGTAAGTTGGTGCAACCATTTGGAAAAATTATTTGGCAATATTTACTGAAGCTGAGCATATGCATAATTTATGTTTCAACATTTTCATTCTTAGGACTATATTGATTATTGGGGCATGGTGGCACTCATCTGTACTCCTGGCTACTTGGGAGGCTGAGGCAGCAGAATCACTTGAGTCCAGGAGGTTGAGGCTAAAGTGAGCCATGATCACACCATTGCACTACAGGCTGGGTTACAAGAGCAAGACTCTATCTCAAAACCAAAGAAAAAAAAGAAAAAAGAAATGTGTCCAATATAAGTGTACACATGTTCTCAACAATACAAGTACATGAATATTCAGAGAAATACTATTCATGATATACAAAATCAGAAAATCACAAACATCCATCAGCACTAGAATGGATAAATTTATAGTATTTAAAACAATGAATATTATTTATCAATGAAATTAGAATAATTACAACTACACATAACAACGTGGCTATCATAAATATATTCTGAGCACTAGATATCTAAAACAAAAGAGTACATCTGGCATGTTCCTATTTATATATTATATATTAATTATATATTTAATATATTATTAAATATATTTAATAGTAATATTTATATAACAAAGTAAACATTTACTATATTGTTAACGTTTATATAAAGATTAAAAACAGGCATTATTGATTTATGATTTTAGAAAATTACAATAGTCATCTTTTATTTTATAGGAGGGAAAGGAAAGATAAAGTGAGTGAAAGAGAGTACAAGGGGTTCTTTTGTGGGTATTGTTAAATGTTCTGTTTCTTGATCTAGGTGATGATTGCATGAATGTGGTTACATGCATTTTGTTATTCAATAAAAATTTAGTAAAATACATACTTAAAAACTTTAAATCAATTCAGACTAATAATAAATACCTTTAGGAAAAGGAAACTACCTTAACTTGATAAGAATTATCTTAAAAAAATGCAAACTACAGAGTCAAAACTTTCACTTTTAGATCAGGAACAAAAAGAGAAAGCCCAATATCACCTGTTCAATACAACAATGAATCAAAGATGTAACCAGGGTCAGTAATACAAGAAAAGAGCCAAAATATCTAAAGATTGGAAAACAAGTAAAACTGTATGTGAAGAAGCTATGATAGCATAGCATAAGAAAATCTATAGAAAAGTGATTAGATTTCATTATTGAGTTCTTAAAGTTTCTATGTGTGAAATTAACATACAGATCAACTACATACTTTATATTAGTAAAAACCAAAAAAAAAGAAATATAAAATGTATTGTTTATAATAACAATGAAAAATAATGCAATCCTTAGAAATAAATTTAACATATGGGTGAATATTTTGGAGAAATATATAAATATCAATCAGAGGCATTACAGAAGATGCAATTATTGTCTTCCTAGGAACTATTTTCCTAGTTCTTGGGGACAGTTTAGAAGAAAATCAAGGTGAGTCACTTTGGTTTGTCAATATTGAGATTTATTCTAAAGCTACGTGAATTGAAAAATTACCATCTCTGAGACGGAGAAATCAATACAACAGGGAGTTCTTAAAAATACTCTTGTAGATACGGGTATACTATATGATATGGCTAGCATTATATACTGTAGAGAAATAATACCTATCAAAGGAAAACAAATACAGTTATTAAAATTTAATAGTTTGAGAAAATCAGTCATAAAAATAATGTAACTCTTATATTTACTATCCACAAATAACAATTCCAGACGGATTAACAACCAATTAACATGGATAAAATGTATTAAGATAATTAAACTCAGAAAATTATTTAAGAAAAGAGCAGACTACAAAAACATACATCATATAATAGTTCATCTGGAAAAAAGATAAATATATGAAGTAATTATATATAACACATTCAGATGAATACACATATAGCAAACTAATAAAGACAAGGTATGGGTAAGAAAGGTATGGGAAAGAAAAGTATGTCATTGTTGAGGAGGGGTGCTGAATTATTCTTGTAATATTTTATGTACGTATACATACACTCAAGTGGATTTCAAGGAAAATTGGAATGAAAACAATTAAGTAAAATAAATATTTTAAATAAAATAAAAACAATTTTCAACATAATCTCCATAAGATCAAGACACATTTGTAAGTGATGATAACAGCCATTTAGTCTGGCCCTAAAGAGCTGAGGGCCCTGGGAATTTAAACATGTTAATACTATATTTTTTACATTACTAACGGAAGAGAAATGGAAGCCCTTTAAAGACTTTTTTAAGATTAGGAAATGAAAAGGAGTCAGAACCAAATCAGAACTTAAGGCAGAAGCTTAATGATTTCTCATCAAAAATCTCTCCAAATTGCCTCTGTTTGATGAGAGATTAATGAGTAGGAACATTGTTGTACTGGAGAAAGACTAAAGCTTTCCTGGATGTTTTTCTGCTAAAGCTTTCTCTTTCTCAAAAACTCTCATAAACAGATGTTATTGTTCTTTGGCCCTCCAGAAAATCAGTAAGCACAATGCCTTGAGCATTCTCCCAAAACCGTTGCCATTACCTTTGTTCTTGACTCATCTGCTCTTGCTTTTACTGGATTATTTCCATCTCTTGGTAGCCATTGCTTTGACTGTGCTTTGTCTTCAGGATCATACTGTTAGAGTCATGTTCTATCTCCTATTACATTATTTGAAGAAGTACTTCAGGAGCTTGATCCCACTTATTGAAATTTGCCACTGAAACTTCCCTTGTCTGAAACTGATTTGTGCCATTAGTCATTGGTCCTCTACAATTAGGGCATAAACAAGATTTTTTTGTCCTTGAAAACTGATGTGGATGATCTGATGCTATGGGCTTCATCTTCGACATGGTCTTCTCCCTTCTTAAAATGAGTTATTCATTTGTAAACTGCTGATTTAATTGGGCCATTATCCTTATACACTTTTTGTAAAGCATCAGTGATTTCACCATTCTTCCATCCAAGCTTCACCATGAATTTTATGTATGCTCTTGCTTCTGTTTTAAAGGATTTGTGTGAGCAACACAAACATGTGATATGGTTTTGCTGTGTGTCCCCACCCAAATCTCATCTTGAAGTGTACCTCCCATAATTCCCATGTGTTGTGGGAGGAACGTGGTGGGAGATAATTGAATCATGACGGCAGTTTCCCCCATACTGTTTTCCTGGTAGTGGATTAATCTCATGAGATCTGATGTTTTTATAAGGGATTTCTGCTTTCAGATCTCTCTGATTGTCTCTTGTCCACCGCTATGTAAGATGTGCCTTTCACCTTGTAGCGTGATTGTGAGTAAGCACAATGCCTTGAGCATTCTCCCAAAACCGTTGCCATTACCTTTGTTCTTGACTCATCTGCTCTTGCTTTTACTGGATTATTTCCATCTCTTGGTAGCCATTGCTTTGACTGTGCTTTGTCTTCAGGATCATACTGTTAGAGTCATGTTCTATCTCCTATTACATTATTTGAAGAAGTACCTCAGGAGCTTGATCCTGAAGCTCCTGTGTGGAACTGTGAGTCCATTAAACCTCATTTTCTTTATAAATTACCCAGTCTCAGGTATGTCTTTATCAGCAGTGTGAAAATGGACTAATACACTCCGATAAAGTCTCTTTTTAAACTAATGTCTAATCCTTCTTAGTGCCTCAAACTAGACCCTCTTCAGATAGACCAAATTAGTGTGAGTTTATATCGAAGTAAAAAAAATAAAATTCATGCAGTTTTTTCATAAGGCACATATTCCACGAACTTGTTGAAGACCCCTTGTATTGATTTTTGCATGCAGTTTTTGCATGCAGTTTCTTGCTTGTAACAAGGGCAGTTTCCCACAGCCCTTGTTGCAGTCTTTTGTTACAATGTTAAGGTACTTCAGACCTGAGAAGCAGGCCTCAGAAAATAAAATGTTTCTCTCTGACCTTCTCCTGCCTGCCTTTTACCAGTTCCTTTTTGTCCTCAAGGCAGGACTCTTTTTATACCTTTCTGTCTTGGAGCTGGTCATAAGCAAATTCCCTGACTGACTGTATGTCATAAGACTTCCATTGCAGAAGAAGTTCTGTCCCAAACCCTGGAGAATGATATGCTATACCAAGTGGCAAAGAAGTATCTGAACAGACAGGCCTTGCCGGGTTTCCCCCATTCAATCTATTAGTATTACATCATACCCTTTTTGTCCAGTCACATTTCTATATGGCTGTCAATCATACCTCAGTAATAAAACCTTCATATTCTCCCAAAAGGACAGGGTGGGGAGAGCTTCCAGATAGCTGAACATGTCTGTGAAGGCTCCTGGAGGGTAGCACACCCAGGGAGGATACGGAAACTCCCCACTATTTTCCATATCCAGTCCCATATATCTCTTTATGTATATCCTTTGCAATAAACTAGAAAACATAAGTACATGTTTCCCTGAGTTCCGTGATCTACTCTTGCAAATTAATCAAACCTGAACAGGGGTTCATGTGATTCTAGTTTTATATCCAGTAGGTCAGAAGCACATATAAACCAACTTGGGACTTGGAATTGGAATCAGAAGTGAGAGACGGTCTTGTAGGACAGAGCCCTCAGCCTGTGGGATATGATACTGCCATCTCCAGGTAGATAGTGTCAGCATTGAATTGAAGGATACCTAGCTGCGGTGTTCACTGCAGAATTGATTGCTTGCTTTTTGATGAGGAGAAACCTTTACATATTTGGTTCCAGAAGTCTTCTGTGTTTATTGCCGTTGAGTGAGGAGAGAGAAAAAAGCACTTTTTGAGTATGATTTTTCCACTCAGATTCCTAACTGCTTAGTCTCTCTTCACTAAATGTAGAAACTAGATTATTATTGGACATATATTTTGAAAGACTCGTAAATTTAGGAAGAATATATATTTTAACATGCTTATAGAACTTATTATTTGAATTATTCTAATCAATTATTTGATGGTAGTAAAATGTGAATATTATGATAAAAAGTTTTATCCCTTAACAGCTTTTTTTTAGTGTCCTCCCTAACATTGTTGATTGTATTCTCAATAATTATTTTATTTTTTTCTTGCAAAAAAATACCCAATTTTTCCTCAAGGAACTCAGGAATAAATCCTGTTAATGTTAAGCTAACCAAAAGATTCTGATTCATCACTGTAGGTACAGACTAAAAAGGAGCATATGATAGAATTCTAGCCAATGAAAAGTGAGAGGATTTTTTAAGAATTGATGATTAATAGACTCAATTTGCTGGCATATATTGTTATTTTTGTAAGAAGTACCTGAAAATATAGTTCCAATTTTGCAACCTTGAGGACAGTGTAAAGCAAATGGCAAAATAGTACATTGGAAATAAGCAGTTTTAAATGGTTTATTGAGCTGCTCAGTTAAACAACCATGAAATGACACTGCCTAGAAAATTCTGTTTAAATAATAAAATGTCCTTATTAATAAGCTATTTTAGCATGTTTTCTATTACTTGCAATCAACAGCATCACACATGATACAGTATCACAGTAAATATAATATACTAGATGGGGATTAAATAGCCTTAATATTCCCATCAGATTGATTCAACTTTAGACAGCATTCTTTCTGACTATAGGCTCCAGGTCTTTAGGTTTTTAGAGAATTGAATTGGTTGTTGTTGTTTGAGACAGAGTCTCATTCCGTCACCCAGGCTGGATTACATATTAGATACAATATAGACTATCAAAGTTAAGTAAAATAATTTTCTGCTCTCAAAAAAACTTGTGGCATAATGAAGGTAGAAAAAAAAGGGTTAAGGCAAGCACATATATAACAATAAGAAAAGTGAATCTATTTTAGATCCTGAAGGTTAGATAACAATGGGTTATGGGGATACAGAGCAAGGAAAGATTATATCCTTAGAGCTAGGAAAAATTTCCTTTAAAAGGACGTTTGAAAGCAATGGTGAAAGGGACATGGTGAGCTCTAGGTATACGGAACTGCATGGCACAGTTACAGAGGGAATTCAAAGGCCTGCACTGCAGCATCAGAAAACAGGATGCAGCAAAACATGGCAGGCTTGTAGAGTCTCAGTTGTTTGACAACGGGCAAGTGGCTTTCTATCTCTCAGCCTCATTTTCTATTTCTCTAAAGCGAAGGGTTTGGATTCAATGATTATCAAGATATCTCTCTGTTCAATAGAAATTACATAAATTGATGCTATTTTCATAGCTTAATCAAGAAACTCTGAGCCAGTATTAACACTTGCTTTTACTTACGTAAACGGTTATTTACAAACATATATTAATCAAATATTTTAAAAGCAGGACAAATTTGAATGTTTGTTTTTTTTCCCTTATAATATAATAGCAAAGTGGCACCACATTTGGTTTCATGGCTCAGTGGATCTGAATACACTGACATTTTCACTTATTCTGGACTAGCCAATTCTGTTAAAAGCCACTGAAGTGGTCTCCCTTGGTACTGAAATCGGAGCCAAATGGCTCCTTTCACTTGTGACATTCGAAAAAAAAATCTTTGTGCTAATGGAAATGAAGAAAAAGAAAATATTATTATAATTCCTACTTATCCCACTTATTAAAATAAAAATGATGTCATTTTCAGTGCAGGAGGTCCTAGGAGAAATTTATGAGGACTCATTTTCAGTGGTGCTTTCTTGTTTGGGTATGCTACTGTAATTTCATTGGCTGAGTAATAATGGGTACAATTAACCAGTTTGGGTATTAAGTACTTGACCCCTTAATTGAGCCTGTAAACAGCCCTTGAAATTTGGCATCTGAAAACAACTGCAAACAGAAAAATGTTCTCATAAAGACAACATTTTATGCCCAAACTATTTTGAAACTTAGCTTTTAAAATCAAACTAAGTAAATCTGACTGGCACTGGTATAGCACTTTTCTTTTTAAAAAATTCCCACACTAGCAATGCATTCATTAATGATCTCTGGAATTGTTACATAATTAATCCACTGTTTAACCACACATTAAGTCCATTTAAATTCCAAAAGAAGGCCAATGTTTGCTTTTTATATCTTACTAAATTCACTGTCTAGGGAAAATAATTTGAGGATCAAAGAATAAATAAACTATGACACGTCACATTAAATATAAATTTGTATCTATTAACTTTCCACAAATATAGTGTCATGCTCTGGAATGAGTCTTGAGAAAAAGGTATTCAAATACAAAGCTTAATTATATCTGATGTATTCTCGCTATCGTTTTGACTGGTCTTGGTGTGCATAGGTAATATTCATGATGGAACTGTCAGAAAAGAGAACATTTTTCGCAGCTGATGTTTGATTTTGAATGCAGCTAAGCACCCTGTTTTCTTACACGTGGGAAAAAGCTCAATAATGCCAATGCAACTGTGGTGTACTCAGAAGAATATCTGCTATGGTGGTCAAAAAGTGCACAGTCTTTAAGTTGTATCATTGTAAACCCTTTGGAGCCTCATATTATTATCTGAAGAAAGTTGAATAAAAATTAAAAGAACAAATAATTTATATCCCTCTGATTATCACACTATAATAGATATCAACAGTGCAAGTACAGGCATTTTAAAATAATTATTTAAGAGTTTTTTTGTGGCAATTCCTGAAACTTTCTTGTTTTGGTCTAGTGTAAAATATTTTGAAAGCTCTGTGAGAGCTTTATTGGGTTAAAGCTATTGCTATGTCAATGCACCTCTATCAAAGAGAAGGCTAACTTAAGACAGGGAACAAAGTGTTACATGAAGGATAACATCAGTCATTCCTGCTGTCAGCCATCCGCAGAAAGGGCTTTTTTCCTCATATATTAACAAAATTTAGGACTCAAGTTTAAAAACAAAAAAGAACGGAGGTAAAGAATACACTCCATGCGGGTGCTTGTTGCTCCTCTTGAGCCCTGGTGAAATGGAAAAAGGTCAGTAACCAAAGCAAACTGGGGAGGGATTATAAACGTTATCTTTCTATATTAAGAGGAGTATGCCTTCCCTGCACTATGGGAGGCCAAGGTGGGCAGATCACCTGAGGTCAGAAATTCAAGACCAGCCTGGCCAACATGGCAAAACCCCATCTCTACTAAAAATACAAAAATTAACTGGGCTTGGTGGCAGCCGCCTGTAGCCCAGCTACTACTCGGGAGGCTGAGGCAGGAGAATTGCTTGAACCCGGGAAGCGGAGGTTGAAGTGAGCTGAGATCTCACCACTTCACTCCAGCCTGGGCGACAGAGCAAGACTCCATCTCAAAAAGAAAACAACCAAGAAGAAGAAGAAAAAAAAAAAAAGTAAAAAAAAGAATATGCTTACTTGTGATGTTGTGTTTTTTCATATCTTGTAGATATTTCTGACAGACTGAGGCTACCCCAGTTGTGTCATCTATCTCCCAAAGACCAATAAATTTTTGGGAAAAAAATTGAAAGAGTACACCAAGGAAAATATGCTTAAGGGGTCAAAGTTAATGCCACAAGTATATTTGCAATGCCAAAATCTTCTTCATTTTTTTCTGTAAAAAACTATGAGATTGTAGGTTTGTTTGTTAAAGCCATTATACTCTATTTCTAATTGGGAACTCATTTCTGTAATTCAAACATCTTTTTTAAAAATCATGAATACAATGAATTGGCTGCTTAGATAATTCTAAACTTTTACTTTCAACATCATTAAAACTTTTGTGAAGTCACACTACAAGTAGAATTCTATAGACAAAAATTAGAGGTGAGGTCTATGAATCCTAACTTATACATTTAAGAAAAAAGCCACAAAAAATTTTAAGTCAAATTCTATGACATATTCAAGAAACAAATAATTCATATTATATATTCCAAAAAATGTAAAAGAGAGAACATTCCAAAAAGTATTTTAGGAAATGATTAGAATATTGATATCAAAACCATAAAAGCAAACTATGATAAAGAGACATTATAGAAAATATTTTGATAATAATTACAAAAATTCTAAATAAAATATCCAAGAAATAACTCTCACTATATCAATATATGCATATGTGTTCTGTATATATGAAGACATACACACACAAAAAGACTTTGATAAATACTTTTTAGGGACTCTGATAGGGAGAGAAACTGGCATTCTCAAACATCCTAGGAGTATAAATTGGAGCAATCTTATGGAGGACAGTTTGTCAATATATATCATTATTCCAAATGCATCACCCTTTCAATAAGCATTTTTATCTCTTTTCCAATAAAGACTTATACATGTGTTAATTACATGAAATAAACAAAAAATAAATAAAGCAGGATTATTTATGATAATAAAATATTTAAATAAGCTATATGTTCTTCAGCAAAAATCATGGTCAAGTAAATTGTAATACAGCAATCTAATGGAATTCTGAAGAACTAGTAAAATGACTAAGTTAATTTAGATTTACCAATATTTCAAAAATCTCAATATATATTGTTTACTAAAAGGCAAAATGCATTATTACGTACTGTATGCCATTGTGCAAATGAATGTACAGTTACATATATTTAAAAATGTATAGATTATTTCTGAAAATAAAATTATTAATTTTTTACCTCTTGAGAACTGCGTGGTTAGAGAAGGGAGATAGACTATTAATCGTGCCTTTATATTTTCTGTATTTCTAATGCTTTGTCATGTAGGGTTTTGCAGACTCTGGAAAGACAGCCCCTCCCAAGGCTAGCTAATTCCTAGAGCCAGTAAATAACTTTCCTGTGAGCCCACCTATCATATGCAAACCAACCAATCCAGAGCCTATACCCCAACTACCTACTTTATCTTAGGGGCTTTTATACTCTTGGCCACTATTCCCCTACCCTAAGTAGTCCAAGGTTAAGTACTAGACAACTCGGGGCAATTTTTATTCACAAAAGTCCCCTGAAATTATTCAAACTAGCCTATCCTAAACCTGCTTACCCCATCTCCTTCCCCTGGAAATCACAATAAAGGCTCTTGCCTATGCATTACTCCTGTTCCCTCTGCCTCTTGACCTACCTTGGAGTTTCCCTGTGTGACTTTCTCTGGTGTGGTGTGCCCTCTCCTCTTGAGAACTGTGAGAAACAAACTAGACTTTTAATATCAGTCCTCTCCGGTTCTGTAGACTCACCGTAACTGAATAATAATAAAACGAACCTTGTAAAACAGAATCAGAGGAAAACTTATTTTCTATGGCTTGTCTTTAATCAGTTTTATGGCTATTTTACTCTTTGTAAATATTATCTATTTAAAATAAATACATTATAAAAGAAGAAGCTAAATGCCATGATATAATCTCAGTAATTTCTGACATATACTAATAGAAGCCAAAATCTCAAAATAAATATGGTTACTGAAAAGTGAAGAACATAATATGTTCTGGAAAAATCCAGAATAAATTGTTGAACTATACGTTATTACATATTCAAGAAGCAAATATGTCACTGTCAATAGCAATACAAGAGAACTTTGCGGTGGAAAAATACAAAATATGAGTAGAGAAAATAAAAGATCTGAACAAATGGAAAGATATACAATGTTCATATGTGTGATAACTTAATGTGGCAAAGAAACTGACTTTCCCCAAATTCATCAATAATTCAATGCAATTCTAATTAAAAATTTTACCTAGTTGCTTCTAGAATTCATAGAAACGTTTAAAAGACCAAAAAGCCACACCAGTTTTAATGAAGATTAAAAAAAAAGATTCAGCACTTAACATTAAGAATAATTATAAAACTAGAAGAATTAAAAGGGTATGAGGGTAGGCACAAAGACAGTAATTTAATGATGAAACTGAAGAGGGAGCCTAGAAAAAGCCTAGTATATAAGGAATATTGTATAGGAAAGTGGTAGCCTTACAAATCAGCAGAAGATAATGCACTTTAATAAACAGTGCTAATAAAATTATTTGTCAATAGAAAACATGACAGAAAATTACATCTCTACCACACATCATTCATAAATAAATCCCAGAACTTATATAAGGTAAACATAATAAACAAAACTTATAAACTTTTACAAGAAAATGTTTTCGAAAATTTTTATCATATTGGGATGGCACAAAAAATGTAAAGAAAAACAATAATAAAATTCTGGCTTAATAGGCTCCATTTTCACCCATCTCCTTGGACAACTTTCTTCAGGACTTCAGGACTCAAAAGAGGACAATGATTGTAGTAGACAACCTTGATTTAATGCCAAAATCTCTTCTGATTTTTATAAAACTTCCACAAGGGAGGAAGACAGGACAAAATTTTCCTCATTTTATAAGTGAATCACTGAGACATAAAAAGAAGACTGGTATTTGTCCAAGGTCATACATGGCTGAAAATGAATAACTTGAATAATTCAATGATTTTAATTCTTGTAAATGAAACTCATATTAAAAAATATAAAACATGTCAACCTCTATACATTCTGGTATTGTAAAGTACTACAATTATTATCTAGTCTTCCAAGATTTGTTTGCTGTCATTTTAAAGCATGTACTTATTTCAAAAATCACAATATTTTGCTTCTGAAATCAGCATCATGTAGATTTGGAATAAAATGTGAGTGTTGGAACTTCTCTGAACATCAGATAGTATTTTCAAATTTGTGTTAGCACCAGCAGATGAGGCATTGTAACAACATTGGTAAGAACTATATCGCCACATGGGAAACCTTCAAAGCATAATTAGATCGAAATTTTTAAATAATATGAATGAGACTAAGATTCTGCCTGGACTTACTGGAATTATAAACTGTCTTCTATGCTTCTATACTTTCCCCCTGTTGAACAGAAAATGCAGTCAAAGCTATCACAAATATTTCTCATTAAAGAATATGATGACTGAAGCTTTTATAATGGTTTAAAAGAACAGACTTGCCTTCTTATATTGATTTTTCTTGTAAATAAAACGCAGCGCTCAGTACAGGAGTGGTTCAATCACAAATACCCTTCAGCCAGTTGGCTAAGTGCTTTGAAAAGCATTTATATACCAAATTGTCCAATCAGAATTAATCTTTCCATACCAAATGCTTCAATTATTATGAATTAGAGTATTTATATTTAAAAATCTAGTTTATAGATTACATTGAGTTCTTTGAGGGAGGAGGTTTTTTGCTACCACTTTTCATATCGCCCATTACTGTCTATAGCCTTGATGCATAATAGAAGTTCAAAAAGCATGAAATTTTTTGTGCTAAGGAAACGTAGCTTGCGGTATAGATATTGCAAGATCTTTTTTTCTTTTTGTCTTTTTCTTAAAAATTTTCTGAATTTTTAGCAAAAAGATACTTTGTTATTTGTATTTATTAATGTAACATTAAAATTTTAACAACTACTTGTATAAGCACGCAGGATATTCCAGGGCCTGTGTTACAAAATTATTTATAGATGCTAAATAATTTTCCTGCCAAAGTTATCATGCGGGTATGATTTTTTTTTCAATTTTTAGGTGAGAAAACAGAAATGCAGGTAGGTTAAGTAGTACATTTCCCTAGTTCACATAGCTAGCAAAAGTTAGTGCTGAGATGCAAACCTTTTCTTTATAATTTAATTTGACAATCATCATGCTAAATAGAAGAGTTCTCAGTTATACAGTTGTTTGCTGATATTTTTAACACTTTTAATTTTTTAAAAAGCCAAAATGCTGGATTTTTAAGTTACGAGCTGCTATATACTTGCTATCTTAAGTTTCATACATCATTTTTTCTTGAATTCTTCTTTTTTTTTTTTTTTTGAAATGCAGTCTCTCTGTCGCTCAGGATGGAGTGCAATGGTGCCATCTCTGCTCACTGCAACCTCCGCCTCCTGGGCTCAAGCAATTCTCCTCACCTGCTGCCTCAGGCACCCGAGTAGCTGGGATTATAGGCGCCTGCCACCATGACCGGCTAATTTTTGTATTTTTAATAGAGTCTGGGATTCACCTTGTTGGACAGGCTGGTTTCAAACTCCTGACCTCAAATGATCCTCCAGCCTCGGCCTCCCAGAGTATTTTTTTCTTGGACTCTCAAAGTATGTTTTATTTTTTTTCTATCCAGTGGTTCAAGTATCTCAGACATCATCACAGGAAAAAAAAAAAAAAAAAAAAAAAACAACTTTCATATTTGTTAATTAATCAGGCTTCCTGAACTGCCCGTTCTCATCAAGTTTATTCTCAAAGCCGTTGGTAATTGGCGCTGTTGTGAAATTAAAGTTAGAATTCTAATTATGAGAAATGAACATCAGCATGCTTTTTAATTATTGTACATTCAGTGCACTATTATTTGTTTGGTTGGTTGGTTTAAGGAAAACGTATCTGAATAAGCAAACTAATAAACTGCCTATTCATTCTGAAATATCATGATTTATATGCAGTGTAACTTTTCTTTTTGAAATTGATTTTGTAGCGGAAGAAAAATCTTTTTTTCAATCCTCATACGTTCTAAGTTGTAACAGACCCCTGAAACAAAAGACAGATCAACAAGAGAAAAACAAATAGAAGTTTATTAACATGCTTCTTTCATGCATAAATGGGAAACAGGAAATAAGTAGTTCTCAAAAAGGTGGCTTTGAATTCCAGTTTATATAGTAACAAAGAAAAGTACATTTTTAGAAAAGTGACAAGACAAAGGAAATGGACTTTAAGTCTCTAGGGGCAGCAAGTTGTGGGAAGGTAAATAAATGGCAGATAAATGGGAGTTAGTAAAGATTGTTAACGTAGATTGCTCTGGTACCACTCCCCAGGCCAATAAGGGTCTAATGGTTGTCTTCAGTGGTTAACCTTTGTTCTCCCTGGTAGAGAGTGAAGGCAGAGTACTTTCTGTCCTTGTAAAACTATGTACAAAAGCCAGAGCTTTTCTGCATCTGTTGCTTCTTCTAAATTGCCTTTAGCTCAACTTCATATTTTGAGGTGGTACATTGTGCTCTCTCACAATTCTAAAAGAGCAGATAAATTAAGATATATACTTTTTAAAAGATGAGATTAAAGAAATACTTGCTAAAGATTGATTAAATCTCTATATATGTATATGGATATACACAAATACAAAACTAAAATATGTTGTATATAACAAATCTATATAACTTATGTATTTATAACTGAAATATATATAACTCATTTGTATTTATGTATATTAACTCATATAATTTATATATGTTAACTCATATATATGTGTGTATATATATGTATACACACATACACACACACAGAGTGTATGTGGAAGTAAATCTTACTTCATCTATTTTTAGAAGTATAGTAGTCAAAGATTATTTAAACTGGTAAAAAACATAAATGACCGTTGCAATAATGATTTGCCTGTGATCTGAGATAACCTTTTTTTTTCTAGGATTTTATTTTTGCACTTGGCAACTTTTAGTTGAGATCTAGATTTAGAAATTAAAGAAAAGTTAGCTAGAAGAACAAAGAAAGAGTCAATAAAAATACTTAAAACAATAAGTGGACTAATTTTATACAAGTTTCAATACTTTTTTAAAAAAACAACAACCTATTTGTTCTTGATGTGTTTGCCCAGAACTATTTATTTCTAAACAACAACAACAACAAAAATACAGAGCTTGCCATAAATTTCTTGAATTTTTGGTGCATCAAATACTTAAGTAGAAAATCTCTAAAAATTAATTTGATATTTTGTCCTGTTTTATAGCATTTGGCTTTCAAGTACTAAGATTTAAAAGTTTTGTCATTAAAAAGTAAAATCCGTTGAATGAAAATGTTTCAATTTTAACAAAATTTGAGGCTGTGTTATAGTGCAAATTATTTTTTAAATGGTATCGATACTTAAAACATTTGATACTTAAAAAAATACTTTCAAAAATTGTATGGCGTGTGCCTGTAATTTCTGTAATTCAAGAATTATAGGAGTTAATTCTTGAGCTGAGACAAAGGATGACTTGAGCCCAGGAGTTTGAAGCCAGCGCCTAGGCATCATAGCAAGCCCTATCCCTTAACAAAAAAAAAAAAAGAAAAAAAGTACTTTTTAGTTGGCTAAGGACTTTTGCATGTATTAACTCTTCCAATTCTCATAGCAACTGTATATGGAAGTTAATATGTTCGCATTAAAGATGAGGAAATAGAAGTCGAGTAGTGAGTTTTGCCCATAATGTTACTCACTGGCAAGCCTAGAATTGTCTTTAATTTATAATTAATAATTTATTCATCTAACAAAAAAATTTGCCTAACACCTACTACATGCACTTTGGACATGGTAAACAATTAGTTGTCAATTCATCTACCTGTCTTCTTTTTGTAGCAAACGTAAGTGGTGGCACTGAACCAATCCCTAGCTCCAGTAATTGCTGGATCGGCCTTTCCAATCAGCAAAATCCCTTCTCCCTTTTGATTGTTCATGCTTTAGGGAAGGGCTTCTAACTCTGGCTCCAGTCAATCAACTGCCACAGTGACTGACTTAAGAGTTGTCACCTACGTTGTTCAATGAGGGTTGGAGTTAGGAATTTTCA
Organism: Homo sapiens; assembly: GCF_000001405.40. Classification (NCBI taxonomy): domain Eukaryota; kingdom Metazoa; phylum Chordata; class Mammalia; order Primates; family Hominidae; genus Homo; species Homo sapiens. Next base: position 24,426,547 of record NC_000011.10, on the reverse strand, counting down.
TTTAATGTTTAAGAAAGAGATTCTTGCAATTTCTCAGAATATGAACAGAGAACAACGTCCTGCCCCAGCTGATGTGAGCCGTCAATGGAAGCAAAGGGGAGAAAGCTGACAATGAAGAAAGCAGAGCAGTAGAAAGAATGAAACTGGGTTCTTGGATGTCACCAGTTCTGGATCATCCTGATGCTGCGGTAATCATACTTCTAAATATGCAAGTCACATGGACTAGTTAGTTCCCTCTACTATTTAAGCCTCCTTCGGTTGCGTTTTCTTTTACTCACAACTTGAAGACACAGTTAAATTCTAATATTATGTTACCTTCTCTGCTTAAAAAATTTGCTTTCCCTTGTATACAAAGACAAGAAAAACATTGTCTAATTTATAGTCAGAAGGTATTTAATTTATAAAAATGGAGTGTTTTCTATTGTTTTATTGACTTTATTTAACCATGTATCTTGTTACTGATTTTTTTCTTCAGACTCTGCATTGCAAGACATGCTAAGCAGCAGTTTTTCTCCAATAAGATTGTTGCAGTTGGTGATGACATTCCCAAGTACACCTTGTGCTGTGATTAAGGAACAGAGATATGCAAGACTTCAGTTCCTGCCAAACACTCTCATAGATCACAGCTGAAAATACCTTTGTCCCAAGGCAGTTGTCAGCCTGAAAATTATCACCCAAAGCAGAGAACAGTAGTTTGGATTAATGACAAAATGATTGATCGAGGCTAGTGAAATGCATACTTGGTCATATTTAAAAGAAAATACACGAATAAACTTTACTCGACTGGACAAAATGTAAGTGAAGCAGACAGCTGAGACCATAACCCATCACGAACAGGTTAAAGATAAACAAATAAAAGCAGAAGTGACTTGTGTTTCGAATGGAGCTCTTGGACCTATCAACATAACCTTGGGACCAGAAAATTTCAGAATGTCAGATTACAGGAGAGAAATTTGGATCTTTAAAATTGAAATGTAATAAGCTTTCAATAATCAAGTAAACAGATGTCAAATCTAAGCAGTGATGCACATATGAGTCAGAATGCAATCTGCATAGAGGAGAAGCATAATAACTTGAAAAGGCAAGGTTTGAGAAACTTTGGAAGATATATATGTAAGCCCTAGATAACTTTATCATTTAAGAAAGACTTGAATCTCATCCTTCCCAGTTTGTTTCTTATGGCCAATTCTAATACATGGAACCATAATTTCAGTATCTGATACCCAGGTCTATTCATTCTCCTCCTCTGTCATTCTTTACCTAGAGTAGGCATTCCCGCTTTGCCCCTTAAGTTTTAGACTGTGATTGCAATGGATCAGGTAAGGAAAGAAGTGATTGAGTGAATGTGGGTTGCAGTATCATGTTATTACCTCCAAAGATACCTTCATAGTATTTTTTTCAGTTAAAAAAATTGCATGCAATATAATCTACTTTTTTTAGTGTATAGTTTTTTCTTTGTTTAGAAAAAAAAAGACACTTATTGGTGTCAAAAAACAACCAAAAAGATATTTCATCACCTTCCAAAAACAGTCTCTAATGCTACCCCTTTTTAGTCAACTACTCCCCTCCACATCTAACCAAGCAGCCACTGATTATTTTCTGTTTTTTGATTCTGCCTCTCCACAATTTCATTTTTTTCTCCAAAATTTCATATAAATGAAAGCATATAGCATGCATCCCACTGAATTTGGCTTATTTTACTTAGCAAAATATGATTGAGATCCACCTATGCTATTGCATACATCAATGGTTTATTCTTTTTGATTGCTATGTAATATATCAAACAGTTCAAATGTATTTTATTTTATTGATATACCTCATTTTGTTTATTCCCTAGTGAGTGACATTTGGCTTATTTCCAGTTTGGGGTCATTTTGAATAGAATATCTATACACATATAAACTTTCACGTCCACGTTTTTGGGTGAACATAACTTTTCAATTCTATTAAGTAAATACCTCTAAATAGGATTGCTTGGAAGTGTGGTAAGCATATGGTTAACTGCATAAGAAACTACCAAACTGTTTTTCAGGATACCTGTATGATTTTTTAATTCCCTGCATCAACATACATATCCTTGTCAACACTTGTTTATCCAGTTTTTTTCTTTTGTTTTGTTTTATTAACCACTCTATTAGGTATGTAGTGATATATATTCATATGCTTATTCGCTATCTGTATGGTCATATAGTCAAATCTTTGGCTCATTTTTACTAGATTGTTTGTTTTCTTGTTGAGCTTTGTGGGTTCCTTATATATTCTGCATACAAATATCTGTTGAGATTTTTGACTTGCCAATATTTCCCAAAGTCTGTTACATGTCTTTGTCTTTCACTTTTCTTAACGGTGTCTCTTAAAAATTAGAAGCTTTTGATTTTGATAAAGTTCAATTTATCAATTTTTTTTTTAATTTAGTGGATTTTGTTGTTTTATCTAAGAACTTTTTGCCTAAGTCAAGGTCACAAAGATTTTTTCTATGTATTCTCCCAGGTGTTTTTTAGTTTTTCGTTGTTCACTTATGTCTATGATCTATTTTGAGTTAATATTTCATTATAAGGTACAATATTTACGTTGGGGTTGTTTTTTGAATAAACATATTCAAATGTTTCAACATCATTTAATTGTTGAAAAAATTGTCCTTTATCCATTGAACTGCCTTTGCATCTTTATCAAAAATTAATTAAATCTATTGTGTTCTTCTATTTGTAGATTCTATAGTGTGTTCCATTTATCTTCCAAATTAGTTTTTTGTTTTATTCTTTTCGAAGTTGTCTATTGTGACTTTACGGCTCTTCCACAGGGAGTTTTGAATTAGGTTGTTAATGTCTACTTAACATATATACATATAACATAACTTACATATAATTTTCTTATGGGAATTTGGTTAGATACTGTGAATTTGGCTATTTCTCCATCCAAGTCTATGAATTTTTCTCATCTATTTTGAATCACTGCTGTTAGATGCATTCATATTTAAGATCATAATGTCCTCTGTGAATTGTCTGTTTCATTGTTGTATTATGGCCTTCTTTAGCCCTTGTAATATTTCTTCTTTTGAAGCTTATTTTGTCTGATGTTAATATAGACACTCCAGCTTTCCTCTGGTTAGTAATTGCATGGTATATCATTTTCCTATTCTCTTGCGTTTGATTCATTTATCACTTTTTATTCCTCATGATAACCACAAAGCAAACAATCTACAAGAGATACACAAATGTTAAATAAAAAGGAACCAAAGCAGCAGTATGGAAAATAACAAAATCACAAAGATGAAAAAGAGGAAGAAAGGAATGAAGGATACAAACAAAAAACAGAAATAATTAACAGAATGGCGTTAGTCAATCCTTATATATCAATAGTTACTTGAATGTAAATTAATTACATTAGTTACATAAAAAAATAGGGTGGCTGAATGAAATAAGAAAATACAAAATCCAATTCCATGTTGCCTATAAGACCTTCTGATATTATTTTCCTTTGTTTGAATAAGTACCTTTAGTATTTCTTTTACAACAGGTCTGGCGATGAAGAATTCTTTTACTTTCCATTCATCGAAAAAAAATTTTTTGCTTAATTTCTGAAGTATATTTTTGTTACATATAGAGTTCTGAATTAAAAGTTATATTCTTTAAGTACTTTAAAGATGACATAACACCGTCTTCTGCATCCAACCATCTCTGGTGAGAAATTAACAGTCATTTCAATCATTGCTTTACTACATGTAATATGTTATTTTCCCTAAATATTTACATGATTTGTTTTCTTTTCCTTTCTTTTTTGTTTTCAGTAGTTTATTATGATGTAGCTAGGAATTTTTTTTGTGCATTTATCCTATTTGAGACTCCTTGAGCTTCTGGAATTCCTAAGTTTATAGGAATTTACAGATTTGGGGAAATTTTTGTTTCTACTTCAAACATTTTTTCTGCATCAATCTCTTTATTCTCTCCATCTGGGATATAGCCATACCACAAATACCAGACCTGTTGATAATGTCTCACTTATCCCCGAGGCTGTCTGTGCACATTCTTTTCAATCTTTGCTGTTTTCTCTTTATAAGACTGAATAATTTTTATTTATCTATATTTTATTTCATTCTTACTTTTTGATCTTTATTCTGCTATTGAGTACATGCAGTGATTTTTCCCCCCAGATATTGTAATTTTATTACTTTTACAGTTACATTTGGTTCTTTCTTATATTTTACTTTTTAACACTTCTATATTTTCACTCATTTAAAGTGTGTTTACTATCTTACTATATTTAATAATAATAATGTTGAATTAAAATAACAATAAATACTTATTTTTAAGTTATCTTATTTTTACATCATAATAGCTGTTTTAAAATTTGGCCTAATAATCTTATCATTCAGATCGTCTAAGGATATTGATATGTTTATTTCCTATTCCTTAGAGAATTGGTCACATTGTTTAAATGTCTATTAATTTTTAATTTGGTCTTAGACGCTGTCATGAGACACTGAGTGTTTGAAGTATGCTAATATTTTTGGAATATGCTATGTTATCTTCTTGGTTTTGCTTGTTCAGCAGGTAACAAAACAGCACATATATGACTCAGGATTTACTTTGACTCATGGGAAATGTTTTGCATTGACAAGTCCTGGATTACTTGCTATGCTGCTCAGGGTCTCTCTGTCCCCTACCCCCGACATAACTAACGGTAAGCCAAGTTTTTGTGCTGGCTGATACTCAGAACTGAGGGTTTCTTTATTCAGTCTTTTCTCTATTAGAATTTCTCCCACAACCTCCAGCTTTACAGAACTCCTTTTCCTGTCCACTGCTGAGAAAAGCAAGGTTTGTCTTAGAGATTTCACTGCCCACACACCTGCGCGACTATGAAATTTGGGCCTGCCTTCAGAAAAAGACAGTAAGAAAAGAGGAAGAAAAAATAACCACTGTATCCACTCATGCCTGAGTTCTTTTTTTAAAGTCTTAATCCCTTTAAAATGATTCAAGAGCACTGGATCTTGACTGGGGTTCTGCTCACACCCAAAACTTCCCGATCTCTACCTCTTACATTCTAACACATCATTGGGCTGGTTCCTGGTTGTTTTACTAAAATCCACTGAGGACATCTTTTGATTCATCTTAAAACACAAATATATCTGAGAAATGTAAATTTAAGCTCTTGGATTTATTCACACTTTAGGGTGCAGAGGACTCTGAAGAAAATTGATGCAGAATGGCAAGACAGTAGTGCAGATAAAAAAAACTGCCTAAATTATCATTTTGCCTTAATTGAAACACATATTCAATCTGCGTAGACGTAAAGTACTCAGATACACAGCAATTTCAAGTAGGGTACAGACAAGTTCATAGACAATGATCTAGAATGAACTATATTAATAATTCTATAAAGATCTTTCTAGGGACAGACAGTGCAGTAGCTCCCTTCTTATCAGTGGTTTTGTTTTCTGTGGTTTCAGTTACCTAAAGTCAACTATGATTTAAAAATATTAAATGGAAAATTTCAGATATAGACAATTCATAAGTTGTAAGTTGCATGTTATTCTGAGTAACATGATGAACTCTCACACTGTCCAATCTGTTCCGCTGGCAATGTAATCACCCCTTGGTTCAGCCTATCCACACTGTAGATGCTACCTGCCTGTTAGTCATTTAGGAGACCTCTTGGTTAGCAGGTTGACAAATCACAAGAAGACAGGTGAGTAAACTACAATAAGATATTTTGAAATAAAGGGAGGAAGAACACAATCATATAACTTTTTGAGAGAGACAGGGAATCCATGTTCACCTAACCTTTATTACAGCATATTGGCACAATTGTTCTGGTTTATTAGTAATTTGTATTAATTTCTTGCTGTGTCTAATTTATAAATTAACCTTTATCATAGGTATGTATGCATTGGAGAAGAAATAGTAAATATAAGGTTTGGTATCAACTGGAGATCTTAGAATTTCTTTGAAAACATTTGAATACAAATACCTGAAGATCAAATAAAAGCCATATTTGCTTCCCGTAAGGTGAATTAATAAAAGAAGGAAATATCACATTATGATTTTTGCCAAAACTTTCTTTTAGTAACAGACAAGCTGGTAATAAAATTAAAAATTAAAATGTGTAGAATTATGACTGCCTATACATGTTTGAGCATTTGTTGGCTTATGAAAGAAATGTCATTAAAAGGAGTTTATTTGTGAGAGTTTCACTGAGCAACTAAAACATAAAATTTCAATATAATCAAAATTTTGAGTAATAAAAAATAGACCCAAATATCTTCTATAACATTGGCTTATGTTTGAACATTGTTCATATTTTGGTTAAAATAATAAATGAGTTAATTTTATTTAGTATTTTGTGTGTTTTGTTACTGATTTGATAAAGTATCCCAAAGTTGAGATATTTTATGTGTGTTATCCTTTCCCTTCAGGCTTTTGTTGTAAATGCTTCTCAACCATAAAAAAAAAAAAAAGTTAGAAGTTTATATATAACAAATTTAAGACTAAATAAAGTATAATCTTTGTTTTCTACTTTTAATATCAGTGTTTGATATGCTAAAATAATTTTTATCTGATTGCTTTAATGACTTGTTTTGGGCAAAACATTATGCTAGACTGTATAATTAACCTCCCCACCCCAACAGAATGTCCATGTTTTGACCCCAAATCCTTTCAGTATACTAACTTATATGGCAAATTGGAGTTTGCAGATCTGATTAAGTTGAAGACCTTGGCATGGGGGATTCTACTGAGGGAATTAATGTAATCATAAGAGTCTTTTTAAGAGAAAACAGGAGGGTCAAAGTCAAAAAAGGACAGGAGATGATAGAAGCAGGGGTCATAGTCAGAGAGAGAGTCAAAAAGAGAATGGAAGTTGCTACATTTCTGCCTTGTAGTAGGCAGGGAATGTAGGCAACCTCTAGGAGCTGCAAAGGTATGGAAGCAGATTCTTTCTCAAATTCATTGAAAAAGAGGGTGGCTCTCCTGATAACTTAATTTTAGCTCAATGAGATTGATATTGACTTCTGGCCTTCAGAGCTCTAAAATATGAAACCTTGCATTGTTTTCAGCAATAAGAAACTTAACAGAGTCATCCTGATGTAAATTTGCCAAATTATTATTACAAAATTTATTGTTATTTTGTTGAATACAACAGCAGGCTTTATTTTTCTTCTTATATTCAATGAATAGTCCCAAATAGATATTAATTTTAAAACACTCTAAGAATAAGAAGTGTTAAGATTTATATAATATTTAAAAACGAATGCAGTGGATAGTCATGATGAACTTAGTGAGTAAATGAATGAGTCATGTGGTAGCATTACACTATGGCCCCCATATTCTTTGAGATTGCTCTTATTGTGAGATGGGTCTATATCTTCTCCCCTAGTACCTTGGCTGTATGATTACTTGATCAATAGAATATGATAAAACTGATTCTAGGGCAGTTTCTGGGCCAAGGTCTTATGAAACTGGTAGTTTCTCTTTCCTGTATTTGGGGACAATCTCTCTTGGAACTTGTCTACAATACTATGAGAAATCCAATCTAGGGAGACACTTAAATGGAAAGAAATCAACACTCAGCACCAATTTACCAGTTGTGCAAGTAAGTGATCTTAGAACCAGATCTTCTAGGCTAGTTGGGCCACCCCAAATAATACAGCATAGAGCACTGATAAACTATGTCCATTGAATCCAGCTCAAAACTAAGACTCATAAGCAAAACACAAATGATGGTTTATGAAGCCACTACATTTGAGGTAGGTTTTGAATGCAGCAATAGTTAACTAAAATAAATAATCCATGCTCCGATCTGATCTCTATATTATAAACGTTTGGGGTCTTCAAAGAGTTTCTATTTTCAACAAAACATGCTTAAATGACTAGATTATGAATCGTTACAAAAATATGTCTTGGAAAAATACCATTACTTTTTTAATAACTTAAACACAAAAATATTTCATGACTTTTGGAAGTAATCAGAAGCCAGTATTTAGAAAATGGTGTCACAGCATGTCACAGCATGTGTTAGTTACTTCTAGGAAAGGAAAAGTGCAGTCTGGGAACAAAAATGCATATCCCATCTGCCACACAGCTCAATAAATACCAAACCAAATATGTCGCTCTGTATTATCATAATAAAATATATTCTGATAATATTTCCAGGGTAATATGTAAATAATCAATTCTGTAAACTTGTTATTGCTTTCTACTATCAGTCACAGTCATTGATGTCTCTCAGTTGTCTCCAAAAAATAAGCCCTTCAGACCTATTATATGATGGGATATAAAAGCCATGAACTTAGGATTCTTTTCTCTGTTCTATTAATGAATGCTCAGTGTTATTATATTGTACACAAGGGAGTCCAAGTTCCTCTGCCCACTCCACACCGTGTCCAACCCTTGCACCTTTAGTCACTGGAGAGGTAACTGTCGCAAGACAAATACCACTTTAAAGTGGTAAATAATGTTTTGTATTATGTGAGAAATACACTTCCCATATGTATTTCAAAACATTAAAAGTAGTTACAATTTTTTGTTTAAAATGTTATGAAATAAATATAAAATCATAATGATTATAGGATTTTGATATCTCACGACAACACTCTTTCTGAGCTTACTACAGCCATATATCTTTAATTCTGTGGTAAATCTCCCATCTTAAATAGCTGTCCTATTTCTCCATGAATCCTGAAAGTACCCTAGAAATTCTGTAAGTTTGGAACTTCAAAAATAGATGTCTTACACTTTTTATTTTACTCAGAATCAGAATAAAATAAAAATAATCTGATATCCCATTATCACCTCTTATTTTGGCATAAGAGATAAATTATTTCTGAAATCAGTAGCTTCAGGCCATTGCATACAGAAGGCCTTTCTTTCAGTGAAAATTGTCTGAATTTAAAATAAAGAATTAAAAAGTAATCCAACATTTAGCACTTATTTGGCATCTCATATAAAGTTTAAATCATACTCAGATTGATGATATTTTGGTGACCATCATAACACTTATGTTACAAATAATCATATCAACTCTATTACCTCATGTAGGAACATATAATTTTAGAAATATACAAATTTAAGTTTAATTTTTTCTATAACATTGCACCTATAATCGACATAAAATCAAGAGAATACAGAACTTTACTATGCTGTTGTATAAAATCTGTTTGTATAAAAAATGTTATCAAATCTCAGGTTTCTTAATAATAGGCAGATCTCTCAGGACTAACATAAATTGAAATGCTCTAATTATGTGTGCCTTTAGAATTCCCTTTGTCCTTGACTATAAAACTGTCAAAGTGTCAAGACAATCATCTTCCCTAGATGTGGACAGTAAGCTGTTACCTTTCTCATCTCTTTTCCTTCAAACACCAGGTTCTTGATAGTAACTCCATCCCACTTTGTTTTTGCCACTTTGAGTCATGTTGATACATTCAATGCCTAATGCCAGCACTTTCTTCTCTCAGTAGAGAAGAAATCAGTTGTTGATATGCTGGTGTAGATTCCTGCATATGGTACAGTCCTGCCCACATTTGGCATTCGAAATCACTCTTGATGAGCCATTCTCATCCAATGTTCTTGAAGCAGAACAACCTTGCCAAGGAAGCTATGTCTGTAATGACATCGTTTTGGAATAGACTCTTCCGGCATCAAAATCACTCCTTCTGATAGCCACCAAGATGGCCATAAATAATCCTTGTCTCCTAGTGTGTTAGTCAATTCTCACACTGCTTGAGACTGGGTAATTTATAAAGAAAAGAGATTTAATTGACTCACAGTTCCACATAGCTGAGGAGGCCTCAGGAAACTCACAATCATGGCAGAAGGCAAAGAGGAAGCAACGACCTCTTCACATGGCAGCAGGAGAGAGACGTGCGAGCAGGGGAAATACTAGATGCTCATAAAACCATCAGATCTGGTGAAAACTCACTCAGTATCATGAGAACAGCATGGGGGAAACCACCCTCATGGTCCAATTGAGAGGTGACAGTGTGCTGGCAGTCCTCACAGCCCTCGCTCGCTCTGGGCGCCTCCTCTGCCTGGGCTCCCACTTTGGCGGCACTTGAGGAACCCTTCGGCCCACCGCTGCACTGTGGGAGCCCCTTTCTGGGCTGGCCAAGGCCGGAGCCCACTCCCTCAGCTTGCAGGGAGGTGTGGAGGGAGAGGTGCGAGCGGGAACCGGGGCTGCGCTGCAGCCCTTGCAGGCCAGCTGGAGTTCCGGGTGGGCGTGGGCTTGGCGGGCCCTGCACTCGCAGCCAGCCGGCCCTGCACTCGCAGCTGGCCAGCCCTGCCGGCCCCGGGCAATGAGGGGCTTAGCACCCGGGCCAGCGGCTGTGGAAGGTGTACTGGGTCCCCCAGCAGTGCCAACCCGCCGGTGCTGCGCTCGATTTCTCACCGGGCCTTAGCTGCCTTCCCGTGGGTTAGGGCTCCGGACCTGCACCCCGCCATGCCTGAGCCTCCCACCCCCTCCGTAGGCTCCTGTGCAGCCCCAGCCTCCTCAGTGAGTGCCGCCCCCTGCTCCACGGCGCCCAGACCCATCAACCACCCAAGGGCTGGGGAGTGCGGGCACAGGGGTGGGACTGGCAGGCAGCTCCATCTGCAGCCCCAGTGTGGGATCCACTGGGTGAAGCCAGCTGTACTCCTGAGTCTGGCGGGGAGGTGGAGAAACTTTGTGTCTAGCTCAGGGATTGTAAATACACCAATGGGCACTCTGTATCTAGCTCAAGGTTTGTAAACACACCAATCAGCACCCTGTGTCTAGCTCAGGGATTGTAAATACACCAATCGACACTCTGAATCTAGCTACTCTGGTGGCGCCTTGGAGAACCTTTGTGTCCACACTCTGTATCTAGCTAATCTGGTGGGGAGGTGGAGAACTTTTGTGTCTAGCTCAGGGATTGTAAACGCACCAATCAGCGCCCTGTCAAAATAGACCACTGGGCTCTACCAATCAGCAGGATGTGGGTGGGGCCAGATAAGAGAATAAAAGCAGACTGCCTGAGGCAGCAGTGGCAACCCGCTGGGGTCCGTTTCCACGCTGTGGAAGGTTTGTTCTTTCGCTCTTTGCAATAAATCTTGCTACTGCTCACTGTTCGGGTCCACACTGCTTTTATGAGCTGTAACACTCACCTCCAAGGTCTGCAGCTTCACTCTTGAAGCCAGCGAGACCACGAGCCCACCAGGAGGGATGAACAACTCCAGACACGCCGCCTTAAGAGCTGTTAACACTCACTGCGAAGGTCTGCAGCTTCACTTCTGAGCCAGCAAGACGAGGAACCCACCAGAAGGAAGAAACTCTGAACACATCCGAACATCAGAAGGAACAGATTCCAGACGCGCCACCTTAAGAGCTGTAACACTGACCGCGAGGGTCCGCGGCTTCATTCTTGAAGTCAGTGAGACCAAGAACCCACCAATTCCGGACACACAATCACTTCCGTGCCTCTATACATAGAGATTACAGGTCCCTCCCTTGACACATAGAGATTACAATTTGAGATGAGATTTGGGTGAGGGCTCAGAGTTGAACCATATCACCTAGTATTCAGACTCTCCAACATTAAATCAAAAGCAGCATGTGTTACCATTATAATACAGCAGAAATGATGCTGTGTGACTTCCGAGGCCATAAAACAAATAGCACTTTCTGTCTTTGTCATTTGGACAGCTTGTTTTGGGAGAAGCTAGCTACTCTTCCATGAAGACACTTAGTAGTCCTTAAAAGATGATCAAATGGAGAGGAACTGAGAGTCAAGAAGTCTCAAGACAAATATTAAATTAAGGGTGTAACTGTTCAACGGATGTCGGACAGTCTTAAAGCATCCCTCTTAATAAATAAAAGAAGGGGAGAGAATTACAAGGTAAAAAGGCAAGGAAAAAAGTAAAAACAAAATCACTTAGTTTTGTGTAAAGAAAAAAATCATGAGTCCATAATAAGAACTCTGGGAACCCACTTAGACAAAACACACTCTTCGGTCCCAAATTTTCTTTAAGCAAGAAAGAGAAGCTGAGAAGATTGCACTGCTTCTCAGGAATAGTTTTGTGTTTTGTTTTTTTTTTTTTTTTTTTCGTATGTCTACTTTATAGGTGGGCAAGGTAGAGAAAGGTGATAGGAAAAACTCTCACAAATAGTAGTAAAAGGTCATGGAGGGAAATGAACAAAGAGATTGTAGAAAGCAGAATCAGAAGCTAGTCATCAATTTTACTCACCACAAGAGTAGAAAAGCCTGGCAAATGTCTTTTGAGTAACCTGATTTTCCGTTTGTGCTACAGTCCATGTATCAAGTCAATCACTGATAAATATGGGACTTGGATTTCAGTTGTGAGATATTTTATGTTAAACATAAGTAGTATTGTTCAAAGAAATTACTGCAAACTCAAATTATCAAGAATGATTGCATTTAAGAATATTGGTATTTCAATTAATGTAACCACTGATTGCTTTGAAATTCTGGCAGACTGGCGAAATACATTTTTAAATAATCAATATATTTAAAAATTTAAAGTTTATTTAGTATGTCTAAAGTAATAGCAAATCAGGATATAGTTTCTCTCATGGTTATGGTAAATCTTGAATAATTAGTCTAGAATAATTCAGTCAGGAGAAAGTTAGTTTAGCAGATCTGCCTTAATTCAAGCCACATTTTTAATTTGAAGATCATTGGGGTTAGGAATAAAAAGGTTGAAAAATAATAATTTCACATTTTACAATTTTTTTGTCATTTCCTTTTTAAATGTATCAAAAGTGAAATCCTTTAGTTTCACTTTTTCTTCAAAAATAAGCAGAGGTCATGTTTCCCCAAAGCTGTTTTCTCTTTATCTTTAATTTTAAAAGTTGACTTTTAAAGATATCTTTAAAGTCCTTTACCCTCAGCATTCATAAGTGATCAACTGGACTTTCCTTTGGAATCTGGAATTGAGTAAGTGCATCATACAGATGAGTTGTAAAAATGGTTATCTTAATGTGTCCATTCACATACAATTCCTCTCGTTTGATTCAAAGACTTTTTCAGAGAGCTTGCCTAATGTTAGCATATGATCTCATTTTCTGACCATGGTTTGTAATAAAAAGATAAGAGATTTAATATTTTGTAAAATCAACAAATGCCATGATTTTAAATATTTTATACCATATAAAACTCTCTCTGTAATTCAAGGGATCTTAGGTATTATGATTCCTGCTTATAGAGGTAGAAACTAAGGCCCAAACAAATTAAATGAGTTGCCCTAGGTTACATAAGAATTATATTCCCACTGCTTAAACTTAAAACCTTTGCTCTGTTGCCTATTTCATGCTGCTCCTCTCAATATAAACTTCGATACACAGAAAGATTAATCTGTCAAAGCTATGTGCAATGGCTTCTGATAAGAGAAAAGACTAAGTTCAGAGCAGACCATTGGAGTGCCCTGATGCCTTATCATTTAACAGTGGGATTTGTCCATCTACAGGCCTATAGACTGTAGGGTGGACAGGAGTGTCTTTCTTAGATATTGCAGTGCACTCTTGATGTGGGAAACAATAAAATATAATTAAATTTCTATTGTCATGCATTTAACTGTGTATTATTATATCTTTGGATATGATGCCCAGAACTTTGTACTACCAGAACTGATTACCTTCTGGAAACTGTTCCCAAAATAGCCTGAGGATCGTGTCCATGCTCTCAGTCTACAGTGCACAATATTGACATACAATTGGTGTATCCACTGAAGGCATTGTTACTACTAAAGTCTGCAGATATTTGCAATAGCAACTTCTTTCTGGATCTTTTTGCAACACCTTTCTAGTCTCTTGTCTAAAGGGGCTTAGACACAGCGCTTTGACCTTCATACTGATAATTTTCACTATAGTTTCCTGCAAGGGTTCAGACACTTCACAAGCAAAGTTTAAGTCAAGTTTGTTCTTTTTTATTTTATTTTTCCCTGAAAGTTGTTTTTTTTTTTTTTAAGAGAAAATGTGTTATGTAAGAAAAATTGGGATTATAAATAAAAGCTAAAAGTAGAGTGGCTAATTTGAGAAACTGAAAAGCTGAACTACTTTAATTTTTCTGGACTTTTTAATCTTGGATTGATAAAATGTGGCTTGCCATGAAGTGAGGGATTATAACTTTGTTTGAGTTTGCTGCAAATAAAACAGGTATACGCCATTACTAAAAAAAAAGAAAAAAAACAGTAATGGGTATTATAAAGCATTCTTTTCCTGTGATTTAGGGGTACAGAGTACAATGCAGTAAAGGCTATTGCTAAGCAAAGGAAAGTAACAAATATGTAACAATTACTTTAGTGGTTGTTTATCCAATTCCAGAGAGTTGCTTGATATACTTTGTAAAAATTTTCATGGATAGTGAAAATTATCTTCCAGCTAATTTTTGCAAATGTGTGGATAATTCAATTTATCATTGTATTTTTGGTCCCCACTTACAGATTACAAAATCTCACTGAGTTAGTACTTTATTGAATGGCAGACATGGGACACACTGTGATCATATTAAAATATTTGATCCAAAAGCTCTCCAATGTTTACAACTTAGCTGTCTAAACTGATGCTGGCTCCATTTTCTCCCACATAGATTGACAAAATAGAGTCATCTGTCACAAAGAACATTAAAAACATTTCTGCCAAGCCGAGGACTAAAAGAATGATCATGATCTGTCTTTCAGATGGGTGATATTCAGTGTCTTGACGTTTATAAGGCAGATGCCACAAGTGACTGCTTTTTCCATAGGCCAAAACGAAAGTTTCTTTTCTCACACTATTAACTAAATGGAAAAGAATCACGTAGAAGTGTTGGCTTTAGTAATGAGCATAAACCTGTTCACAAACCAGACTAGAGGGACATTACCTGATATAGCACATGTTCATCTGGTATTACTGATGAGTGTCTTAAGATGAAGGGCCATAAATATATTTTATTCATCACTCTTTCCCTTGTTTCTAGTGTCGTGGCTAGCATGTAGAAGGTGTTCATTTAAAAAAAGTAGTATGTGGAAACTAATGAAAAATAAAGATTATTATTTTAATGAAACTTTAAAATAAATTTAAAAGAAAAGTCTTCATGTGGAATAGAAGACCAATATGAGATTTGATTTGCTGGAAGTCAAGCAAGGCCAAGTAGGTATAATAGCATGTACCAAGGAATGAAGGTCTGAAATAATAGTGAATTGTGTCACTACATGCAGTGGAACATGGCTGACGCATAACATGTGAGTTGTAGATGGCCAGAACATGACTTTAGACAGGTGATAGGAATTTGTTTTTTGAAAGGCTTCCTATATCACCTTAAGGAGTTTTCATTTATGTCTGTATGCTGTTGAGTAGGCATTGAAAAACTATAATCAGGAGAGTGACAGGATCAAATGTTGTGTGAAGAAAAGCATGTTTATAGTTAAGGATGGGCAAAGAGTAGCTACTGCCTCTAGCCTCAAACACCAAACACCATTTACCTGAAGTATGTGGACAGCATAATCAAACCAATTTTATCTCTCTGGTGAAATATATGGATAGAAATGGAGTTACATAAATTTATAATTTGCCTGGAGTTCCAAATTGTTCCAAATTTCTTTGGAACTTTACCTAGAGTGCTTTATCAATTCACAATTTTATACTACTTTTCATAGTTTAAATGTAAATTTAAGCCATAAAATTGTAGGGCATATAGTATGTTTCTGTTCATTGATTTGATTAATTTAATCTTCATGGAGATAGATAGCTTTTCTTCATATATTTATCACAAAGATTTTGAAAACAAATCTTGTTTTGGATGTAATCATACAGTAAGCACTTACTTTTTATTAAGCAACAAGATACATACAAAAGTAAAATTTTATTGGTAAACATAGATATTTCTGTGGTGAAAACATTTTCCAAAATAAAATATCTCTTCTGGCTGCCAATATAAAACAAGACAAAGATGGTATGGTAAGAAAATTAAATCATTTACTCTTTGATGTTTGTGATAGCTGTTAAGTTAAAATTCATTTCACATTTAATTCCTTGAAAACAATGTGTTGTTGAAAGAATTACAGCATCATTGTGTTAAAATCTAATTCACTCCTGTGACATTTCTTGTCTAATACATACAAGTCTATCTTCTAAGTATTACAGAGTTACAATGAGAAAAAAACACATTGTATCGTTAAAAAAGGCAAAAGAAAAATAGACTACAATTATAATAAACTTGATAACTTTTGTAATAGACAAATTCACAGATTGCCACAAGAATACTTAGTTTAGAAAAAGTCCCTTCAATGAGGAAACATCTGTGCCAAGCTTGCGGCATGAATAGGAGATCATTAGACAGGCCTAAGCAAGCAGAATGGCAATGAAGTTAAGGAGATATAAAAATGAATGACATGTTAAGGAAGGCACAAACTGTGTGTGTTTGTGTATGTGTGCCCATGCACATGTATGCTTGGGTGAGGGTTGGGGGGCTAATTATAAAGTATCACAAGAAAGCATCAAAAGAAGGAACTGAAAAGTTACGTTGGAGCCAGGTTGTGAAGGGTCTTGGGTGCCTTGCTTCAGGTCAGTTCTAGAAATACTAATTTAATACTCATGAGAGAAATAAAGGACAGGATTTGAGTTGATTTTGATAATGGATATTTTTTATATGTGGAGATAATGGGAGGGAATAGAAGTAAAGATAGTGTCGAGGTCACGCCCAAATTGTTGGTGACATTGTAATTCAGGACCTCAGGTATTATATTCACAGAGCAGATGAGATAGGTTAATAAGACAGACCTTAGAGATAAGTGAGACCAGACTAACTTTCTCCAGATTCCTTAGTCCATTCTACTGGAAAATTGTTATTGAAGTTGAACAAGGAGATTCAAATGGAAAACTCCAAGCCTAGAAAACGGATATGGGCAGCTAGGCTTAAGTTACGCTTTGTAACTAAGTGAAAAATATGCAAACCAGCAAATCAGAGTGGAATAAATTTTGGTCAGTCTTTCAAATAGTGTCATGGATAAATGACTGCACAAAATTAGACAGGAAAAATACAATTTTTGAAGAGTTATTAAAATGCACAATGCAAGTACTTTGTTAATATGGACTGTTTGGTGATTCTTATAATTCCACGTGGGACAGAAAAGACAAATCTTTTGTATTTATTAATTAACATTCCCTCTGATATGTGGTCCTTGTAACTGTACATAGTTCATGGTGTTATAAAAATACACAGTATTTGCTCAATAAATATTTGTGAAATAAAAGAATACATGACTGAATGAGTCTAGTGGCCCAGATGTTTTCTGCAAACTGTAGTAAATTCTAAACATTCTGAAGTGTACAGTTTTTTAATGCAACTTACAATTATGTTAGCCACTTTAATAACTACATTATCCTTTCAGTTATATTAAGCTTGTAATTAATTAGAGCACAACATTAATGACTCTAAAATTTCTGTTTAAGGTGTTACTTCCCAATCACTGATCAGCTCCAATCCTAAGTGTTCAAGAATTACAGCACTGAAAGTGTCAACGGAGAGACTGGTGTCTTCGCTGTGTTTCCAGCACTGTCTAATCTGGGCTACAAACTCATAGATTTCAAAGAGGTCAAAAGTTCCCTGCTTGCCAAGAATAAAATTCACCTAAATGATGTGACTGTACCTTCAACATAAAAGCTAGAAGCTAGTAGCAATTCTCTCACAGCTGGAGGCCTGGGTTTGTTACAGTCAGAAAAGACTTTGCAATAATTGGGGAATTCGATGCCATGGTGTGTACAACCTGATGACTTTGATATAAGAGGTTATGAAATGTAGTAGAAATAACATGTAAGCGTGGGCTGCTGAAAACCTGGGTTTGCTTTTATCCTGGTTCTGCCACTTACCAGATTATCATTAGATATTCACTTGTTCATTCATTCACCAAATATTTCCTGAAGGCCAACTAAGTGCCAAGCACCACTCTATTCTCCAGACATGCAGCAATAAACAAAACTGACATACTCTCTGCCTTAAAGGAGCTTATATTCTTGTGTAAAAACAATAATGAGCAGTTTAAAAAATAATTTCAGAAAATAATAATTTTGAATATAAATGATAATGTGATAGACATTTAGGCATGTGGTAGATGGAAGCAATATATAGAAAATTGGGCAGGCAGTATATGAGGCAATATGATGCAACTGCACATAAAATGTGTGCCTTTGAGTAAAGGCAGATTTCTTCTGAGATAATATCTGAATGATGTGAAGTCAGCTGTATGAACTAAATAAGCTGATTGTGTTTCTTTCCCTATAAATTTGGAATAATAATACCTACTTTGTGAACTAGTTCTATGGATTAGAAAAAAATAGCATGTGGGAGGTGAGCATTGTGGATTGACACATATTAGGACCTTAAAAAATGCAGGTGGTAAGGTATTGTTTGTAATAGTGGTTGATAATAGCAATAATATTAATCATATTTTTAAATGTTAGCTCTTAAAAATGGTATTTGTTACTTGGAGAAGTAACTCAGGGAGAAGTTTATTTGGAATCTTTTCTCATAATTGCTATCGTCTTTTTTAGAGTTTCTCTGCATGTTTGGAACCTCACAAACACTTTCTGGTCTCAGATGAAGCCTGTTTGTTTTATTGTTTTCACACCCTGTGCTAATCTAATCAGCTACAGATGTGATGACTTTGTCCTGGCACATTCTGCGTTATCCTGGCTCTGAAGAGAATTCATGTTACAGAACCACACTTATTAGTGAAGCCTAGATTATTAGTCCCTCGAACCATTTACTGACCTCTTAATAGCAAGCTTTAAATACAGAGTATCTCCATTTTTATCTGCAGTTCATTCTGTTTGTTGTCTATACCACAATTTTTAGGCTCAAAGGGTACTGTAGGGCAATAGAAATGGCCCATCCTTGCGATTACATGAATGCCCAATAAAAAAGAAAAATAAAGGGACATTATAGACACTCCAAGTGGAAATTGCAAAGTTAAGTATAGTGCAGTAGGTCCAAATGCATGTTTGCCTTGCACAGTGCACTTAATAATATTAGGTTGGTGCAAATGTAACTACGGTTTCAGGTTATGAATTTTAAATCATCATAAATAGGCTCAAATATTTATTAACGAAAATAAAAATCATTACAATCATCGCATTTTTGCCAACAAGACATGTTTGTTTATTCCTGTAGCGTAAAAATCCTTGCTTCGGGACTCGACAAACTCTTGGAAAGCATTCTCTGCATCCATTGGTTGTGGAAGCGTTTTCCCTGCAAAAAAAAAAAAAAAAAAAAAAAAAAGTTGCAGAGATACTTGAAGTAGTAGTAGGTTGGTGAGGGGTCAGGCGAATACGGCGATGAGGAAAAACTTCATAGCCCAAATTTGTTCAAGTTTTGAAGCACTGGTTGTGCGATGTGCGGTCGGGCACTGTGGTGGAGAATTGGGCCCTTTCTGTTGACCAGTGCCGGCTGCAGGCATTGCAGATTTCGGTGCATCTCATGGATGTGCTGAGCACACTTCTCAGATGTAATGGTTTTGCTGGAATTCAGAAAGCTGCAGTGGATGAGACCAGCAGCTGACCACCAAAAAGTGACCACATTTTTTGGTGTGATTTTGGCTTTGGGAAGTGCTTTGGAGCTTCTTGTGGGTCCAATCGCTGTGCTGGCTGTGGCTGGTTGTTGTATAGAATCCACTTTAAGTCACACAATACAATCTGATAGAGAAATGGTTTGTTGTTGTTGCATAGAATAAGAGAAGTTGACACTTCAAAAGGACGATGTTTTGGATTTTCTCTCAGCTTATGAGCCACCCACTTACTAAGCATTTTCACCTTACCAATTTGCTTCAAATGCTGAATGACCCTAGAATGGTCGACGTTGAGTTCTTCGCAGCTTCTCGTGTAGTTGTAAGAGGATCAACTTCGATGATTGCTCTTCATTGTGAAACAGGAAAAGTTCCTTTATCCCCCTCACAGCTCATGCAGTGGGGGGTGTGGCTTGCTTCTTAGGTACCCTGCTGCTGAAACCTCTAGTGGGAGCATGAAGACAGGCAGGTTGTGGTTGTGGGCTCCAACCCCAGGACAGTGTCTAGGGGTGAATGTTTACAGCCCCAGAGGGCGTTTGTTACAGTGTGCTCTTTTACTTTTGCTGTCTGTAGGCAGCTTGTATTCATCAGTTCAATTAGACCATCTCCTTTATAGCAAGGACAAAGGGTTTTCTGTATCCCTAGTTCTTCCCCTACTGTACTGGAAAACCTGGATAACACGTGGGCTTGGAGAATGAGTGTGAAGTTTTATTGAATGGTGGAAGGAGCTCTCAGGAGATGGATGAAGAGCCAGAGGGGGATGAAGAGGGAAGACGGTTTTTCCCTGGAGTTGGGCCATTCAGTGGCCGGGCTCTTCTCTGACCGTCCTGGCCTGTTCCCCTCAGGCGTCCACATCATTCTGCTGGCAGATGGCCTGCTGGTGTCTGCTGGGGCCTGTCAGTGTGCTCTTCCACTCCTCCATTCCTCTCAATGTCCAGCCGCCTGTATGCTCTTCTGCCGGTGTGTTCCTCTCGACGTCCAGCCACTTGTGTCTGTGCCCTCTAGGGTCTTGGGGTTTTTACAGGCACAGGATGGAGGCATGCAGTGCCAGGGTGGTCTTGGAAAATGCAACATTTGGGCACGATAACAGGAGCACCTGTCCTCACTTAGGTCTCTGGGCACAGGCCCGAGGGTGGAGCCTCATCAGGGACCCCAGATTTTTCTACCCAGCACTTACTTCCCTGTCCCCCTCCCATATCCGTTGGTCCTTGTCAACTTCCAGTGGCCAGCCACTATGCTCCTCATCTTCAAGGCTCTCATCTCCTTTGCAAAACTTCTTGAACCACCATTGCATTGTATGTTCATTAGCACTTTCTGAGTCAAATGTGTTGTTGATGTTGCGAGTTGACTCTGATGCTTTACGACCCATTTTGAACTTGAATAAGAAAATCACTTCAATTTGCTTTTTGTCTAATATCATTTCCGTAGTCTAAAATAAACATAAAATAAACAGCAAGTAAAAAGTAATTCCCAAAAACGTAAAGCTAGAAATGCCCATTAAAATGAATAACATAACCACATTTATTTAAGAATGTATTCCAATATCAAATGGCAAATTTCAACAATGCATAAACCATAGTTAGTCTGAACCAATCTCACACAATGATAATTAAACAAGATGTACAAAGACTTTTACATTATTAAGAAAAGCAAAGAGGGCCAGCCTAGTTAATTGAAACTTTTTGAAAAAATAATAAGTTCTTGGCCTTCAATTTTGAAGTCTGAGGTGAATTACTCAGGACAAGAGAAGAGTAGCTTAAGTTCTGCCTGCAATGGGATTCCACTGGAGCATATGCCCTCTACCATCCCAACACAGGGTGCCCTTTGCTTATAAACCATATACACATTTTCAAAAATTTAATTTTAAGGAAGGCCAAATTAGTGGCTTGCCTATGAGGCTTATATTTCAAGCTTCAAAATCTAACTATAGATTATCCTTTATTAATGTTTAGGTAAACTGAGGATAAAACTTTCTAGTTCCAGTGAAACCCAGGTAAGGCAGTATCTCCTTGGTTTTGGGCAATGGCAGTTGATGATTCTGCCTTCTTCATTATTGCTTATTCCTTACTCCAGTAATGGTGCCTGACACCTAAAAGGCAATCAGAATATAGGGTGTGTTATTGCGAAGTAGAGCAAAAGTGAGAATGGAATTTAGTTAGTGTAGCATCACACAAATAAAGAGTGAAGTTTGTAAGTGACTATTCATGCATAACAATCTTTGAAATGCCTAATTGTTTTCAGGAAGAAACTTTTTTGGATCAATCATCTGGAAATTGCTTCAATTCTTGTCTTCACTTTCTATGCATGTACAGTATGCATGTACAGTATGCATGTGATAAAATAAAATTATTCTAATGTTTAGAAGAAATATAATTTCTGACCCCAATCACATGAAACTAAAGAGAACATTTCCAAATTTGGAAAGCATTTACAAAATCTTCTCCCTGGATCTTAGCCCTGCTTGCTGCCAGCAGATATTCAAACTTTTGTGTTTCAATTTCAAATTCTTTGGTATCATTCATCCTTTTTGTTTTGTTGCTGTTATTGTTGTTATTGTTTTCTGGTTACTTATTTTTCAGCTTTATTGAGGCATAACTGACAAATAAATATTGTATATATCAAAGGTATACAATGTGATAATTTGATACATGTGGACATTGTGAAATGATTACCAAAATCAAGTTGATTAACACACCCAGCACTTCACATAGTTTGTGTGTGTGTGTGTGTGTGGCGAGAACACTTATGAGCTACTCTCTTAGCAAACTTCAAGTAGGCAATATAGTATTATTTGTTATAATCACCATGCTGCAAGTTAAATCCCCAGAACTTATTCCTCTTACAACAGAATGTTTGTACTCTTTGTTCAATATCACCCCATTTCCTCCACCTCCAGTTCCTGGCGATCATCATTCTACTCTCTGTTTCTTTGAGTTGAACTTTTTAAGATTCTTTATATCAGTCAGAGTATACAGTATTTGTCTTTCTGTGTTTGTTTTGTTTCATTTAATATAACATGTTATGTCCCCCAGGCTCATTCATCTTGTCACAAGTGACAGAATTCCCTTTAGTTTTTAAGACAAAGTAGTATTTCTTTGTGTAAGAATAAGCAATCCTTTATTCATTTGTCTGTTAACAGACGCTTAACATTGTTTTCATATCTTGGGTATTGTAAATAATGCCAGATTGAACATCGGAGTTCAGATATATCTTGAGATCATGATTTCTTTCTTTGTCTATATACCAAGTAATGGGATTCCTGGATCGCACAATAGTTCTATTTTTAGTTTTTTAAAGAAACCTGCCAACTATTTTCTGTAAAGGTTGTAACAATTTACATTCCCACCAAAAGCATACTGGATATCTCTTTTCTCCATACCCTCACCGATATTTGTTATCTCTTTTCTTTTTGATAACAGCCATAATAACAGGTGTGAGTGATATCTATGCATGTTGTGGTTTTGATTTTCATTTTCCTGATGTTTGGTGATGTTGAGTACCTTTAAATACATCTACTGGCCATTTTAAAATCTTCCTTGGAAAAAATGTCTATTGAGATCCTTTGCTCATTTTTTATTCTGGTTATTGGCTTTGTTTGCTATTAAGTTTTATGAATTCCCTATATATTTGGGATTTAACCCCTTAACAGATATAGAATATATGCTTTGCAAATAGCATCTCTCATTTCTTAGGTAGCCTTTTCATCTTGTTTACTCTTTCCTTTGTGGTATGAAAATTTTTAATTTGATGTAGTCTTACTTGTTTCTGGTTTTGTTTTTAATTTTGTTGTTGTTGTTGTTGTTTTTACTTTTCCTGCCCACACTTGTGGTGTCATCATAAAAATAATTATGCCTCTGACAAAAGAATACTATACCAAATCTACAAAGAACTCAAACAATCCAACAAGAAAAAATATTCCCATTAAAAACCGGACAAAGGACATAAACAGATATTTCTCAAAAGAAGAAATATAAGTGGCCAAGAAGCACATGAAAAATGCTCAACATCAGTAATCATCAGATAAATGGATATTAAAACCACAATGAGATATTGTCTTGCTGCAGTCAGAATGGCTATTACTAAAAAGTCAAAAAACAGCAGATACTCGTATGGATATGGGGAAAAGGAAATACTTATATATTGTTGATTGGTATGTAAACTAGTTCAACCTCTATGGAAAAGAGTATGGAAATTTCTCGAAGAACCAAAAATATAACTACCGTTTAACTCAGCAACCTCCCTACTAGGTATCCACCCAAAGAAAAAGAAATCATTATATTAAAAAGACACCTGCAAAAAAAAAAAGACACCCACAATTGTGCATTCATTGCAGCACTACTCACAATAGCAAAGTCATGGGATCAAGTTAAGTATTCGTGAATGTTTGACTGGATTAAAAAATATGGTATATATACACCATGAAATACTACACAGCCATAAAAGAGAATGAGATCATGTCTTTTGCAGCAGCATGAATGGAGCTGGAGGCAATCATCCTAAGTGAACTAACTCAGAAGCAGAAAACCAAATACCGCATATATTTACTTATAAGTGGGAGCTAAACAATGAGTAAACATGGAAACAAAGATGGAAATAGTAGACACTGGAGACTTTTATTTAGCTTTCATAGAGAAAATATTACTTATAAAATGTTTTTCTTCTGGCTGGCAAATATATCATGAGTGTTGCTGTTACCAAGTTACATTTTAGTATCATGTAACATATCCCTGCAGAGGAATCTTAAAAACATACTGCTGGGTAATGTTGAGTAAAAATGGCAAGGCACAACTACTCATATATACAATAAAGAACCATTTCTGTACAGACTTAAAAATAAGAAAAAATGATTTTTAATTTTAATGGACATATAGGTATAGTAAATCTGTTTTAAAGAGAAAAAAGATTGATTAAAAAAGTAAAAAGCAAATTCAGGATAATGACTACTTTCTGGATGAAGAGGTCAGCAGGACATGATGGGATCAGGGAGCTTATTGGAAGTATATTATTTCTGAAATTAGGTAGTGGCTCACAAATGCCTTTTTAATTATAACATATCAATTATGTATAACTGCATATTTATATAGAAATGGCACCGATGCAATTTTTTTTCTTTTTTTTTTTTTTTTTGAGACGGAGTTTCGCTCTGTCGCCCAGGCTGGAGTGCAGTGGCGCGATCTCGACTCACTGCAAGCTCCGCCTCCCGGGTTCACGCCATTCTCCTGCCTCAGCCTCCCGTGTAGCTGGGACTACAGGCGCGCGCCACCATGCCCGGCTAATTTTTGTATTTTTAGTAGAGACGGGGTTTCACCGTGTTAGCCAGGATGGTCTCGATCTGCTGACATCGTGATCCGCCCGTCTCGGCCTCCCAAAGTGCTGGGATTACAGGCGTGAGCCACCGCGCCCGGCCTTGTTTTCTTAATATATTGAATATATTATTTTGATGACAATATTTTATAATTAAAGGTAACAAATTATATACATAAAATTAAAACATGATCAAAAATTATCTGTGCATCAATACACACTACAATAATGAAAAGATACTTTCACGATATATACATTTGCTTGGGAAATTTCCAATCTGGAGGCTCAAAAAGTGCATCTAATTTAACCTTTTATTTATCAACATTACTAGTGTTTCAGTGTCATAAAATTAAAGAGACTCTTAATTCCTACATATTGGAGATTTTTGTCCATGTATCAACAAAAAAAGTAAGAAATCACAAAAATGTACTGTACATATGAAAAAACATGCTTCCTTTTACATTTTTCAGTTTCTACCTCCGAAACTGCTTATGTTCATATTTCTTCTAAAAGCTAAGTTGTAATTTCATTATTAATAGTTAATAAAATGGACAGCAGATTTAAAGACATGGGATTAAGCTTTTAGCTCTGCAAACAGGTTGATTTTAGAAATAACTCAAATTCTCTGACTTTCAGTTATTGTATTTTTAAAAAGAGAAAGTTGGTTAATAGAGCTTGTTCATTTCTAAAGTTTTATGTTGTATGCTGGAAAAGTCCCCAGTTTGATATTTGATCTTTCACTCTCTCTGCATGTTTATACAGTGTTTATATTTATCAATGTTTAATCTCTGCTTTCCAGAAGGAACCAAATACCATCTCTGCACAGCTTCAGGTGACATAATGTTCTCCAATCACATCTCGTACTGATGTAAATGTCTTCTTTAGTTCATTAGCTGGAGAAATTGAATAGCTAGAGAGTGACTAGAACAAAGGTGAGGCTCACAATTCATGTCTACTTTTGTTCTCTTTATCTTCTTAGTCTGGTATTTTCAATAGCATCTTTTTTTTTAATATAGGCCTACTAGTTATTCCTGTACAAAGTGTGTATTTCAATCATAATTTGCCTTTTGCATAATGTGAGACAACTTTCAGTTAGAGCAAGATATCATTGAAGGCATCTCTAACCATGATCATGTCTTTCTTTTTTTTTCCTTCTATTTTTTTTTTCTTTCTTGAGACAGAGTCTTGTTCTGTCCCCCAGGCGGGAGTGCAGTGGCGTGATCTCGGCTCACTGCAACTTCTGCCTCCCGGGTTCAACTGATTCTGATGACTCAACCTTCCAAGTAGCTAGGATTATAGGCGTGCACCATCATGCCCAGCTAATTTTTTGTATTTTTAGTGGAGACGGGGTTTCACCATGTTGGCAAGGCTAGTCTCAAACTCCTGAACTCAGGTGACCCACCCACCTCAGCCTCCCAAAATGCTGGGATTACAGGCATGAGCCACCGCGCCCAGGCGATAATTTCATAATGTAGAATTGCATGCCATATTTTACTGGGAGGGATGTATGTGAGTGTATATGCACATGCACGTGCCTGTGTCTCTGTGTGTCAGCAGCAATTATGCAGATGGAGAGTAAAAACAATATTATTTCATAAGACATTAGAAATTTATATACAAAAATAATTGATATGAGTGATGCAAAATACAACAGAGAGTCTCATAAAGTCATAAGGTGATGTTATCATAAGTTTTGAATCTAATACAAATAAGGAAATAGTCCTTAAAGAGAGGCTGCTACTCTCAGGTGCTGCTTGGAACTTCCAAATGTGTGACAACATTTAATCTTTATAAATCTAAAAAACAATTAATATTATTACCAAGAAAAACAAAGTAAGGCTCTGCAGTGTAAGTACCTTTCCTGAGGTCACAACTGGTAATGACAACAGATTCTTGAACTCAGGTCTGAAACAAAAGTACCTGCTTTCCCACTGACCATGGAAACAGCCAACCAACTTTAATTCACTACACCGGGCCCTGTTCATATTCTCTTTAGTAGTACCTAAGTGAAATTTTAATATTAAAAAGTTTAATGTAAATCCTTAATTAGTATAATAACTTCCATTGAAATTATTTCTTAAATCAGTGCATTATATAGTTCCTTTACACCTAATGTACACGTACTGCAATTCCAACAAGTTGTCATTTTTTCTCTGAAAACTTTGATAATATTCCTATTTGTGCTAAAAAATTATCTATGACCAGAAGACTTGTTCTTGGAAGTGTAATGCTTACCTTTATCAACGTATCAGACAAGGCTGACTTTCCCAGCTCTAAGAAATATTGTGATAACACTGACACTGACATTTGAGCTAGTAGTAAAACAAAAATCTAATTGTTTCGATGCAAGCATTCTGTTTCCCTACACCCCTCATCACACTGTAAGTCTCTCAAGGACAGAGACTGTTTCTTTTCTCTTTTTGGCCTATGTGCTTGAACATTGCATGGAATATATTCGATGTTTAATAGATACGTGATGACTAAAAAGATACTCCTGAGATATTTTCATGCATTAACTTGATTGAGGGACATTACATTACTCCATGTAATGATAAGGATTAGTATTGTGAAGTTAGCCAATATTAAGACTTAGTAGCAAAATAAAATATTAGGTGATAATTTACTTTTATTTGGTTTATAGTTTCCCATTGTTCTGTGTAGCATTTCTCGGTTGCCACTTTCCTGCTATGATGGTTAATTTTATGTGTCAGTTTGTCTAGGTTATGGTACTCATGGTAACCAATTTTTGGGCAAACACTTCTAGATGTTACTGTGAAGGTAGTTTTGAAAATATGATAAACATTTAAATCTTGGACTTTAAGAAAAGTACATTTCCTTCCATAATGTATGTAGGCCTCAACCAATCAATTGAAGGCCTTCAGTGAAAAAGACTGAGGTTCCTGAGAAAGAAAAATTTCTGCCTCTAGACTGCCTTCAGACTGGAGCTGCAGCATCAACTCCTCACGGGTCTCCAGTCTATCCACCTGACCTGTAGATTTTGGATTTGCCAGCCTCCACATCACAGGAGCCAATCCCCTAAAATCTATCTCTTTCTATCTATGTAGGTAGATACACAGATCCCAGTGATTCCGTTTTTCTCTGCAGAACTCTGACAAATACACCTGCTATGGAGGAAATATTTGACTAGCCTTGAGCCCAGTTCTTTCTTTGCCCTTCATTTGGGACAGGGGTAGTAACTCTATCATTATACCGGTTTTCTTCTTCCTTAGTATGCCTGTAATCCTGAAAAAAAATCTATCTCTTATTGTCCCATAGTGTAATAGGTATGAGAGGATCGTATTCTCTAAAGTACTCTATTATAAATAAAACAGATTAGAATTTGAAGACCAGCTCTCTCGCTCACTAGTAGCATAGCCCTAGTAAAATAAGCCTCAGTTCAGTTATTTATGAAATTAAAGGTAATGCATGGGAGATAAAGTCCTTAGCACAAGGTTAAAAATGATCAATATTATTATTAGCCATTACACCCAGTCAAGAAAATAAAATGTCAATGAAAGATTTTCTTGTGTTTTATTAATACTGCTACAGATATACTCTAAAAATCGATTGCTGCTAACATTCCTGGTTAATTTTACATTGACTTTTTTCAAATGTATTTATTAAAGATAAAATAAGGTTGGTGACTCAAGTTTAAGATTATTTCTTGGAACAGATAATATGCCAGAAGAGTAAAAGATCACAAAGAAGTTTCCACTGGGTAGGAATTGCTTCTGTCCAACCAATCCCATTTGCACAGGTAATTAATTACAAACTATGTTATGGGCATTGGTATTGACTGAGGATTTCCTGTACTGTGGTAAATTCCATTTTAGATGTTACCCTCAAGCCATCTATTTTAGCAGATATCCCAACAAGTCAGCAGCACTTTCCATGTTTCAGTCAGAATAGTTTTCAGCAGAATCCCTCTTTCTTCTTCTTTAACATTTATTACTGTGGGCCACATCTCCACAGGCTCGTCAGTGCAGGGTGGCCCAGACAAAGCAAGGTTTGTGTTTGCCTTTGGCTCATTCGTCTCCACATGTGTGCCCACCCCCTTCACCCGCCATGATCCAAGAGCCTGAAGAAAAATACACTGACATGATTCATCTCCTTCATGTGGATGTCTCAGCTCTGCTGCTGCTGTGATAACCCCTGCCTCATATTATGGACTGAATATGATGAAAAGAAGCAGGAACAAAGACATTCATCCCAGATGTTAAAGAGCTCTAACTTCAAGATTGAATCATTACAATTTACGTCATTAGTCACAATAAATATAACCTATTTTCTGAAATTTCAATTATGTTCCTAAACTTTTATCATTATTTCTGGCACTGTTTTGGGAAGAATTTGTTTCTCTCAACCTTAAAGAAGTCATGCCACCTATCCAAAAGATAATCAGCACTGTCTTTTTCTTTTTTCTTTTTCTTTTCTTTTTTTTTTTTAATCAGCATTGTTTTTCTTGCTAAATGAATACATATCTCATTTGAGTCCCATGAGGTCAGTCCCACGGCATTTACTAGTGATTTTTCTAGAGGGGGTGGGACACAAAGTGAGATGAAGGAACATCTTTTTAAGAGATCTAAGAAAGATTTCCTTTCCTGTTTGCAATGGAGAGTCATACAAAGAGAAGTCCATTTAATCCCTGTTCTCTTATTTCCTATTTGAGATCCTGTCCTTGTGAGGCTGTAATGCCTAGAGATAGGACAGAAATATTGGAATTATGAGAAGAGATATTGCCAACCTTCTTTCCACACTGTGGATAGATATGATGTGACGTATCTAGTTTATTCCTGATACTGTTAGTTGAGTGCACAAAGTCTGAAACATTCTGCATACAGATTTCACATTCAATAATATAGCATCTATTTTTCAGGCCTATTTTAGTTGGAGATTGTATTCCTTGTAGCTGAATGCTTTTTGCTGCTAAGTATGGGATCTCGTTCCCTCCCTCCTAGTACTTTGCAAAGGAAAGGGGAATTGGCTGTGGATTGGTAAGTAGCTTAGTCAGAAAGTGCTGAGTGAGGACTAAGTGAAAATCTAAAGTGCAAAAGTCAGAAAAACATTATTGGAAAGTAAGTGTCATTTTAAATCATAGAAATTTCAAAACTGTAAGCAGAGGGAAAACTATGTCTTACTTAAAGTGCAAAGGGTACACTTGAGTCTATGAAGAAGAGGCAAACCAAAGAATCTCAGAGAATCTGCTCCTCCCAAAAGAGGAGCAGAACCAGAACAAGGGTCAAGAAAGAAGGTTAAACAAATGTCATGAAATGGCTAGGGTGCTCACAGCTAGTGTTTTTAGAATCAATCTGCCTTAAAAGCCCAGATTAAGAGCTATGGGTGGGCTCATTTTTAAAATCCCACAATCCTTTCTATTCCTTTTTGCCCAAGTTTCATGCTACACACATCATCTTGTGTTAGGAAGGGACTTATAAGGACTGATAGCTCCGAATATGTCATTTTCTGACTTATTTTCTAAGATAATCAGCCAAATCAGCCTTATTGTTTTGCAAAATGTGATACCAAGAATATGCCAAGGATATTTTCATATACTCTGTGGTATAATCTGAATTACTGTGTCCCCTCCACAACTGATGTTGAAACTTCATCCCAATTGTGGTACAATTAAGAGGTGGAACCTTTAGGAGGTAATTAAGTCATGAGGGTGAATTGGGTCATAAATGAGATTGGTGCTCTTATAAATGGGGCTTCAGGAAGCCTTTTTACCTTTGCCACAGAAGGTGCCACCCATGAGGAATAGGCTCTCATCAGACACCCACTATGCTAGGGACTTCATTTTAGACTTCCCAGCCTTCAGAATTATGAGCAATAAAATCCTGTTTTTATACATTACCGAGACTAAAGTATTTTGTTATAACAGCCCAAGCCAACTAATACTCTG
The DNA here is from genome assembly GCF_000001405.40 of Homo sapiens. NCBI lineage: Eukaryota > Metazoa > Chordata > Mammalia > Primates > Hominidae > Homo > Homo sapiens. The sequence goes on along the minus strand of NC_000011.10, from coordinate 24,395,836 downwards.
AGACCAAGAAATCTCAGGAAACATCCTGAAAGAAGAGGAAATGCCAGAGCAGGAGGCACGAAAGAAGGTTACATAAATTCCATGAAATGGCTAGGATGTTCAAGCCTGGTATTGTTAGAGTAAATCTGCTTTAGATGCAGAGATTAAGAGATATGGGTGAATTCACATTCTAAAATCCCACTATCCTTTTAATTCCTCTCAGCTTTAGAGAGTTGAGTTTAAAAAATCTTTCCTAAGACTCTTCTGTGAGCTTGGCCCTAGATTTGTTATCATCTTTAAGGAATAACGATGCCATATTTTATGTTGATTTTTATATAATCCATACGGATGTAAAGCAAAGGACGCTCTTTCCCTCAGGCTCCTTACCCCTTTAAAGATGATTTTGCACATTCAGACTCAGTAGTTATATCTTCTACTTGATATAAAATAAACTATCTTTTTTTTCCAGAGTGTAGTCATCAATAAAGTTTGGTTGGCCTTTCCAAAGTAGAGCATTAAAGTCTTCTGTCAGAAATATATTAATAATCATCTCTACATTTTTGTCAAGACCCCCTGGAATAGGTGAACATATACATTAACTGCTGCATCAGCCAGGGTTTTTAGTTTAAGCAACAGGAAACAACTCTAGCTAACCTAAGTAGAACATTTATTCAAAGGGTATCAGGCAGCTCTCAGAATCTCTATGAAGGACTTAGAACCAAGGTAGGAACATATGCAGCAGAGGAACAAAGCTCCAAATTATGGTTCAGTGTGGCCCCATTGTAGACCCCACTATTGTTGCCACTGGGCATGCACGCTGGCACTTACTCTACTGATGTAGACCATGATGCCACCTTTGGAATGGTCACAACTTTTGCTTCTGAAACCTGATAAAGCTAGGGCTGCTGATGCCAGGCTCAGCAGAAAAGATTCTCGATAGTTCTTAATTATTTTCATCAACAGCATATTATTCAAATTTTGAGGTGGATACATGTGATTGGGAGACCCTGGGTTATGTTAATTTGTCTTATTCTCAGGAATACCAGGAGAGTGAATATCCGATGTTTTGTATTTTCGTAGAGGGCTTTGTGTTAGATGATTTCCTAGATGTAACAAAGAAATTCAAATTCTGGATTGAAACTCAGATTGGATGGACAAAAGAATGGCAAATATCCACACAGCAGTTGATTATCTTTTCTACTTCCTTTTATTGTCATTGTTCCATCACTGTTGATCATTTGTTTCAATTCAAATTTTCTGTCTTTTTTAAGAAAAATAACATGAATATATAAATTTGATATAACTGAGTATTAATAAGGAAACATATTCAGAGGGTGGCTAATTTATCCAATAAGCAGTAGAGCCTTGATTCCATTTGATGGGAGACCTCCAAACTCATGTTATTTCCACATTGCCTTTTATGACATTTGAGATTTAAGAAACACATTTAAGATGACTGATTATGATTATGGATAAGGCCTAGATATAATATACAACAAATGGGCAATGAACCTATATCCTGAGTTTGTTAACCTCACCCTGATAACAGGATGAGAGCTAAGTGGATACTAAATCTAGATTCCTTTCTTCCAGCTAATTTCTCAGCCCTCTTCCAGAAGAACCCCAACCAGAGATTCACATGAAACTGATAGTAATGGGTTGAGTAGAGGGAATAGCTTATAATTGTAGGGTAGGCTGTGTTTCTCCAGACCAGTGACTGAAGCAGCAATGACATTCAGAATGGGATTCTGCAGTAGGATATGGAAATCCATTAAGCCAATCAATGTCAGTGAGAGGTAGAAGAGGTTATGAGATAGTCCGGAAGACTGCATTTGAGAACCCATATGTAAGAGTAGCCAGGGACTTTCTAAACCACGGTGTAATAAGAAAGCCTTTCTCACAGTGTTTTTGGTTACAGCATAGTACTCCCTTTCTCTCTTTGCTGATGTAAGAGAAATGCCCTCTCTCTTCTCTCTCCTTTACATTTTACATTAACTCTGTACAGGGTTAGCTACATAACTTGTAGGAGGCAGTGCAAAATGAAAATGCAGGGCTCTGAGTTCACAAACAAGGAAAATGTGTGGTTAATGATATTAAAATATGGAATGTTTTTCTTTCTCTATCGTCTCTCTTTCCCCTCACTTTTAAATTTCTATTTAGTTGTATTCTAATTAAAGAAAAACTAAATTTTTAAATTATAGTACTGAAACTTACCATTAACTTTTATATTGTACAATGTCAGTTTAAAGTGCCTTACATTTAATTTTAGATTTTTTAATGTTAAAAATTCAAATACTAGTTTTAAATAAGAACAATTGCCTTATATGCAGAATCAGTGAAATTACATAACTGATATTTCATAGCTCCTGCATGAATATGTATTTTTTTCTTACCAGAACAGCAGAAATGCACAAATTTAAATAAGCTGTTTTTATTTTAATTCTCGATAAAGTCACATTTGCCAATACTGTCTACCTTCAGCTTACTAATGAATAAAGAAGTACTGAAAAGAAAATAAACTACATTTTGCCCAATCTTTCTCTTTTCTTTCTATGTCATTATTTCTCCACCACTAATTGTCTAATGCAGGAGAAGAAGGTAAGTAAGAATAGCTATGACGGGGTTATTTGGTCATTCTTATTTCTTTGAATGACATTGCTTTCTTCCTGGGTTTGAAGCAAGTTTCCTCACTCCTTACATAAGTATAACATAACACATTTTCTTTGAACTGGCTTTGGGTATCGCCCAAAGACTTGCGGGTCTTGTAAAATTCTGGGCTTATGAGCATCTTGAATTACATAGGAAAAGGAAAGCAGCAAGAAAGCGGGGCAGGGGGTCACACATACTGTGCATATCTCCTCTGCCCACGTGCATGTCCTATTGCTTCATCCGACTTCAGGGAAAAAAATACAAATTCAAAGATAATTGTATTAAAAGTTTCAAGATGGCAATGACAGAGCAATAAATCAAGTTGCGGGTCCTTCTGAGTGTGAAACGTGTGCTCTTCTACACAAAGCTGCCTGTGACACCTCTGTAGGAGACTCCCAAGGCAGAAGGTTTTGTGTTCACATTATTGTAGTGATATATTAGTAATTTATTTAACGCTCCCTCTCCCTCTGTCTCTCTTCCTCATATAGATTCACACTGACATAAGTTCTTGGATGGGAAAAATAGTGGGGAGGAAAATCAGAAAGGACTAGAAAACAGTAAAAACAACAGATTCTTGAGTCCGCAAAAATCATGCTCTTCTCTCACATCAACTCCAGTTTTGGCCAAAGCTTATATGATATATAAGATTAAAATCATATTTTTAAACTCTCAGTATCTCCTTGGTATCTCTTACTAAGAAACTCTCAGGAGACTCAGCCAGCCAGAATTCTAAAAATTCCCTGATATACTGCGAATCTGTAGAAGACAGGGAGCTCTCTTCACTCTGGTTCTCTTGGCTCCCTCCCTCATCAGGCCCACAGTCACAGTCAGGATTATATATGTGTACCATATATACACATATACACAAACACACACACACAAAAACACACACACACACACACATATATAAAATGACAAATATACGTGTGTGTATACATATATAAATAACATATATGTGTGTATGTGTATATATATATATGTTGTTTACATGGCTACTTGTTGTTCGCCTAGATTTCACTTATCTCATAGACATTTTCTGTACAATTCTCATTACATAAAATAACCAATTTTTCTAAAACACAGAAATTTTTAGACTAGAAGATAACTTTTAATTTATGGGTTTACAGCACATAGTAATTTTGGTATCTTGAAAAGACACATATGATATGTGCTCTGGCAAAGTTCCACACAAAGCAAAATTTTAAAATCAGGTTTTAATTGAATTCAAGAAATGTGCTCACACCTATAATCCCAGCACTTTGGGAGGCTGAGGCAGGTGGATCACGAGGTCAGGAGTTCAAGACCAGCCTGGCCAACATGGTGAAATCCCATCTCTACTAAAAATACAAAAATTAGCTGGGCGTGGTGGCAGGTGCCTGTAATCCCAGCTACTCGGGAGGCTGAGGCAGGAGAATTTCTTGAACCCAGGAGGTGGATGTTGCAGTGAGCCGAGATCACACCACTGCACTCTAACCTGGATGATAGAGCAAGACTTTGTCTCCAAAAAAAAAAAAAAAAAATTTCTTTAGTGTATTTCTTTGTAAAGTGATATTGATCATTTTCTAATGCACTCTCCTTGGGCATTTGCAATTTAAATTTATAGAGATTTTTATGTACATAATTTTTAAAATAAGCAAAACATAATTTATACTATGTGTATCTTTTACTACACTTTTCATATTTATAATAAAGGCTTGTAGTTATAAGTTGTTGAGTTTTAACAGGTGCCATACATGACATATTGCGTAGATTATTAATTAAACACTTTCAATATCTGATGAGGTAGATATTATCTCCAGTTTCGAGATAAAAAACCAAGGCTTACATGGTTTAAGTGATTTCGCAAAGTCACACAAATAAGTGAGTCATCCTACTCAGCTCTCTTATTGCCACACCTAAAGTCTCAGGCTGCACTACATTGATTTGTTGTACTTCTGTAAATGGGTCTAATGCATTTTGCATCTTATGTACATTGAATGAGTTATTCTGATAGAAAACTGAGCATCATTCATAAGCATTTTTAATATCACACATGTGAATGTGATAGAAACAACAGATATATTGTAAAGGAAAATGCTTCTACTGATAAAGTTTTTTTTTTGTTAGATGTAACAGATTTGAAAATGTACAGATAAATTTATTGCATCTATTTCAGAGAATCACTGCAAATTTCTAAAACTATGCATGCATTTGAAAATGGATATTTGAAACCACAACAGAAGACTACAGTTTGCACAGTTCAGAGATGCCTGATTGAAAGCAAGTCCAGATGCCAGCCTTTGTTCACAAATGACAGTGTTTCTCAGACAGGATCATTCATTTTTTCCTACCATTTTTTAGGTAAATGTAGGCTTATTTGCAAAGCTATTGCTTTTTTTTTAAGTTGGTTTTTCTCGCCTTCTCAGTCTAAACAACTATGTAGACTTTTTTTTTTCATTTTCAGTCCTGCAATTAAAATTTCAAAATTCAGTTTTGAAACTTCGCACATTAGTGACACTTATTTATTTGTATCGAGAAACAGACATTCTAGTTGAAAAGTACAGAGGCAAGCTTTATATTTTCTTAACATGCTTAATGTTGTATTTTAGAATTTATGAGCATTTTGCTGAGATGTATTGTCATATTCCTATTTCAAAATACTTAAAAGATTATTCTATGTTTATTAACAATGCTTTTGAAAGAGATTGGTTCTTAGAGATGAAAAATAGACACCACCCACATCAAAACACTTTAAGACCGATAGTTATGAATGGTAACAGTGCTGGTGGTGGTAGCAATAGTAATGGTGGTAGTATGGGGTATGCTTAAAAATATCCATGTTTGTGTGTGTGTGTGTTTGAACAGGAGTAAGTACGTACATTTTTAATTCTCAAGATTTATATTATTCAAAATTATCTTCCATTAGCTACGTAATCTAAAAATATCCAACCAGACCTTTACGTAAGCCCTCATATTGCATGAGAAATTCTGTCTTCGTTTTGATTCCAATACGCCACAAGTTGTAAACACAGCACTGATTTATTAACAGGTTTTACTTTCAGAGAAAATAAACATTACTACACTGAAAACCTCATTTAGATTTTAGAAATATTCAAATGTGGAAAAGAATGACCATCCTTAAATTCAAAAACATTTAATATGTGTTTATCTCCTCAGTGAGTACCTTGAGGCAAAAAAATGATGATTTTAATTTCCTTTCATTATTTTCAGACAGTGAGAAAGCGGATAAATCATTACTAATGAAAGATATATGCACTGATTTTTTAAAAAGTGATTTTATCTTGGTTTGGTTTCTAGTGGCTTTTAGTTTTGGATTTTACTGAATGGCTGTTTTGGTTCATTATCCCATGAATCTGAAATGTATTGGCTGAATGCATTTAAAGAGTTGCACGCTGTGGACATAGGCCCATCTTGCTGATATATAGCTGTGACGGAACACAGCACTGAGAGGAAAGTGGTTTTAATCTCAAATCTCAATGACCCGTACAGCCTGGGGCAGGCACCTGCATTTATGAAAGCAGCAGATCCCAAGACACGGGACTTAGTTCTAACTACATACTTCAGACATTTCTGCAGCAGTAGAATAGAATCCCTTGGAATATCGTGGTGGCAGCTGTTTCATGCAACCTTTGCCTCCGTCACTAGTCAGGGTCTATGTAGCATAGTGGCTTATTCTGGAAAAAACAAATTCAGCCCTTTGTCAGATGAGTAGGTTGCGAAAATTTTCTCCCATTTTGTAGGTTGCCTGTTCACTCTGATGGTAGTTTCTTTTGCTGTGCAGAAGCTCTTTAGTTTAATTAGATCCCATTTGTCAATTTTGGCTTTTGTTGCCATTGCTTTTGGTGTTTTGGACATGAAGTCCTTGCCCATGCCTATGTCCTGAATGGTAATGCCTAGGTTTTCTTCTAGGGTTTTTATGGTTTTAGGTCTAACGTTTAAATCTTTAACCCATCTTGAATTGATTTTTGTATAAGGTGTAAGGAAGGGATCCAGTTTCAGCTTTCTACATATGGCTAGCCAGTTTTCCCAGCACCATTTATTAAATAGGGAATCCTTTCGCCATTGCTTGTTTTTCTCAGGTTTGTCAAAGATCAGATAGTTGTAGATATGCGGCGTTATTTCTGAGGGCTCTGTCCTGTTCCATTGATCTATATCTCTGTTTTGGTACCAGTACCATGCTGTTTTGGTTACTGTAGCCTTGTAGTATAGTTTGAAGTCAGGTAGTGTGATGCCTCCAGCTTTGTTCTTTTGGCTTAGGATTGACTTGGCGATGTGGGCTCTTTTTTGGTTCCATATGAACTTTAAAGTAGTTTTTTCCAATTCTGTGAAGAAAGTCATTGGTAGCTTTATGGGGATGGCATTGAATCTGTAAATTACCTTGGGCAGTATGGCCATTTTCACGATATTGATTCTTCCTACCCATGAGCATGGAATGTTCTTCCATTTGTTTGTATCCTCTTTTATTTCCTTGAGCAGTGGTTTGTAGTTCTCCTTGAAGAGGTCCTTCCCATCCCTTGTAAGTTGGATTTCTAGGTATTTTATTCTCTTTGAAGCGATTGTGAATGGGAGTTCACTCATGATTTGGCTCTCTGTTTGTCTGTTGTTGGTGTATAAGAATGCTTGTGATTTTTGTACATTGATTTTGTATCCTGAGACTTTGCTGAAGTTGCTTATCAGCTTAAGGAGATTTTGGGCTGAGACAATGGGGTTTTCTAGATATACAATCATGTCGTCTGCAAACAGGGACAATTTGACTTCCTCTTTTCCTAATTGAATACCCTTTATTTCCTTCTCCTGCCTAATTGTCATGGCCAGAACTTCCAACACTATGTTGAATAGGACTGGTGAGAGAGGGCATCCCTGTCTTGTGCCAGTTTTCAAAGGGAATGCTTCCAGAATCTACAATGAACTCAAACAAATTTACAAGAAAAAAACAAACAACCCCATCAAAAAGTGGGCGAAGGACATGAACAGACACTTCTCAAAAGGAGACATTTATGCAGCCAAAAAACACATGAAAAAATGCTCATCATCACTGGCCATCAGAGAAATGCAAATCAAAACCACTGTGAGATACCATCTCACACCAGTTAGAATGGCAATCATTAAAAAGTCAGGAAACAACAGGTGCTGGAGAGGATGTGGAGAAATAGGAACACTTTTACACTGTTGGTGGGACCGTAAACTAGTTCAACCATTGTGGAAGTCAGTGTGGCGATTCCTCAGGGATCTAGAACTAGAAATACCATTTGACCCAGCCATCCCATTACTGGGTATATACCCAAAGGACTATAAATCATGCTGCTATAAAGACACATGCACACGTATGTTTATTGCGGCATTATTCACAATAGCAAAGACTTGGAACCAACCCAAATGTCCAACAATGATAGACTGGATTAAGAAAATGTGGCACATATACACCATGGAATACTATGCAGCCATAAAAAATGATGAGTTCATGTCCTTTGTAGGGACATGGATGAAATTGGAAATCATCATTCTCAGTAAACTATAGCAAGAACAAAAAACCAAACACTGCATATTCTCACTCATAGGTGGGAATTGAACAATGAGATCACATGGACACGGGAAGGGGAATATCACACTCTGGGGACTGTGGTGGGGTGGGGGAGGGGGGAGGGATAGCTTTGGGAGATATACCTAATGCTAGATGACGAGTTAGTGGGTGCAGCGCACCAGCATGGCACATGTATACATATGTAACTAACCTGCACAATGTGCACATGTACCCTAAAACTTAAATAAAATAAAAAAAAATAAAAAATAAAAAATAAAAAAAACAAAAAAAAACATTAAAAGCAATGGGAACATTAAAAAACAACAACAAAAAAAAAAAACAAAAAAAAAACATAAAAAACAAATTCAGGTGGCAGGAGAAGTTTCAGAAACCTGCATAGTAAAGGGGCATATTTGAGTCCTGAGTCAATATTGGTTCTTTTTCATGAATAAGCACTTATCTTTGGATAATCTAGGGAAAGATGCATTAGGTGAAAAGGCTAAGAACGTGGGTGTGAGTTTGAGTGGTTTCAAGTGTTGCACTTCAGAATGTTAAATAGAAGACTGCTATTCACATCCTAAATTAGAAGTCAAATGTTTCGGTCTTCATGTATAATGTACTTAATTTTCACTAAAATTTTATATGATGCATAAAGTACTATTATTATATTGCTTTACAGATGATGAAGCTTTAAATTAGAGAAGTTCAGCAACAGGCCCAGCATTACACGCAAAAGTGGTAGCTTTGAACACAGGTTCATCTGTCTTTAAGATCTGGCCTTTTAACCATCATGTTTTCCTGCTACCCAACCATCATTGTTCTTTGTCCTAAGGGAAGTGGAGGGAATGTCTCAAATTTGAGTGTTAAATCTACTGCCTTTATCTCTCAGTGGTATTTTGGGAGCGTTGTCTTGCAAACTTTCCCCTTAGATTTCCACAAGGGGGCATCCTTAGAACTCTCAGAAAGGATCTAATAAAATTAACTCTTAGTGGGAGGAAATCCAAGCTTTTCCATTTAGACCGGTGGTTCCCAAAGGGTATCCCCAGAACCAGCAGCATTGGCATTACCCGAAAACTTGTTTAAAGTAAAAATTATTGAGTTGCTCAGCAGATATACTGAATCAAATCTCTGGAGGTAGAGTCCAGTAATCCGGGTTTTAAGCCTTCCAGGTGATTCTGATGCATAACAAAGTTTTAGAACCAGTGAATTCTTGGTTTTATTACAGTAAATATGTTTCTTTTTAAGTTCAGGAATATTCGATTATTAATAAAAATTCCCACACTGTGAGAGCCACAACCCTAGAATATGATCATTGTCTCAAATTGAGGGCCAAGACTTATTCATGAATCACAAAATCAATTCAATGGACCCATAGAAAGAATACAGATGAGAATGCCAGTACCCATTACTTTTAGTAAGAGAAAAAGTTTCTTTGTGAAAGTTTGTTTTAAATGGGTCATGAGGTACAATGTATATTGTACTGTGGGCCATGGTCAAAAAGCCATTGCATAGTTTGAAAGCTAGTAAGATATGTTCTCAACAACATACAATATCCCCACGGCATTGCTGCAGCTGAGAAGGGTGAGTGGAACATAGAGGGAGTGGTCATCCTAGGACAGTAGTGTAGAAAGAATAAACTTTGTCACGGAATCCAATACTCTAGTAAGGAGAATATAGTTTTTGGAAAAACAAAACAAAGAAGCAAAACTAATAAATATACAAACAAGCAAATAACTCTCAGCATTCTGTAGGCTAGCAAGGAATTCTGTGCCAGTCTACTAGAAGATCACTGGTTCTCTTTGACCTGAAGAGAAATATTATTCCCAAACTATTATAACTTGGGGTTATTAAACACTTGTCTGACAGAATATCTGCCCACTTAAGTATCTCCCTGATGATAAGGTATGGCCTGCACCAGGGCCTCAGATTTTATGGTTATTAAGAAGGAATAATTCCCATTACAGTTAAAAGAAAGTTAAAAGAATCCTGACTTATTTGTTTCTCTGATGAGTTTACCTTGGGGAAGTCTACTACTAGAAGATAACGTATTGTATGTGGAGAATAAGAACATCATAGTTCCTGAGCAGGAAAAGTTCATTCAGGTTGTATTTCCCATTAATGAGCCGAGATGCTACTCTTCAGGCTTTTTTTTTTTTTTTTTTCTCTCTTCCTCAGCCCTGGTCACTGACTGTTACTCTGTAAGATCCTCGAACAAAATATTACAAGACAGGCTACATGACACAAGTTTAGACATGCTTTTCAGAAAGAGGCTCAAAGGATCAGGATAAAGGTGGTTTCATACAGCTATATATATATATCTGTATGTGTATATATATATGTACACACACACACAGATATATATGTGGGCAGATTTTCTATCAGACATGTATTTAGTAACCCCAAGTTATAATAGTTTGGGAATAATATTTCTCTTAAGGCCAAAGAGAACCAGTGATCTTCTAGTAGACTGGCACAGAATTCCTTGCTAGCCCACACACACACATATATATGTATGTGTATATATATATACACACACACACACACATATACATTTCAATAAAAATCACAAGAACACAAGTCAGAGCCATAGAAAAATCATGAAAATCAACTTACAGCTGTCTAATGTTTAGCAGTCCCCTGCCAGCATGGAATAAAGTCACCTGATGCTGTCAGATCAACATGCATGTTTATTTCATCTAACAACACACAAACACCCAGAATGCTTTTCTTCTCATATGTGAAGTCTGTGACATTAAGATACCATATAACTGAATACTGACTCCAATATTTGGTGATTGCAGGATTAAAAAAAAATCACTTCACCTTTTAATTCTCAACTTTTGTTTCTACAAAATGCAGATGGGGAGCAGTTGGGAATAACAATCTATGAATGCAAAGAATTCATGTAGCAATTAAGTGAGATCCACGCAAAGACCTAGGACCATGCTTGAAATATAGTAAGTCCTCAACAGAAGATTTCTACCATTATTATTTCATTCTATAGTAATTACAATGAGAACACAGTCACAGCTGTAAACTCCAATGCTCCAGAACTTTTAAATTCATTTTTTGTTTGCTTATTTATTTTTGTACGTCTACTGTGTGCCAACTCTAGGTATTGGAGTGAAAGTATGAATCAAACAACCTTCCTACCTTTCAGGAGCTCGCTTTCTACCAAAGGAGAAAGACATGCAAATGAATAGCTGTAATCAGTGTGACAGAAACTCCCATATGCCATGTAAAACACTGTGCAAACACAGATGGAAAACTTAAAGCTCCAGAGAGCAGCAACGTCTTGGTTCCACTTCCACATGCACACATGGAATTGAAGACATACAATGAAAACCTTGGGCAAACAAGGTGGAAGACCAGAACATAAGGATTATGGTTCTACTTTTATTTTCCTCAACTAGTAACTTCTTAAGTTTTGTTAGAAACCACCCATGATTTCGAAGACAGTAGGAAGCAGCTTGAAGGATCAAATATCTATTTAGGTTTTATAGCAGGGTTTAAAAAATTTGGTCAATCGACCCCTGAGAATCTTGTACGGGGGGTCTCTTAGTTAAAAAAAGTTTCCTTGGTAATATTAAGATATTATTGCCTTTTTCTCCATGCTTATATTTCCACTGATGATATAAAAATAATAATGGGGAAACTGATGGTGCTTCAGCTTTAGTCAAGATAATAGCACCAGATTATATTAATAGTCATGGTATACTTCACTTATGCTTTGCTTAAGAAGTAGTAAAAATATTAATCTTATTAATTCTTGACTCTTTTATATACACTTGTGTATTAAAACAGAAAGTATGTATAAAACACTTATATTACAAATCCGGCTATGATGGAAACACATCCAGTTGGACTAGCCGCATTTCCTTGCGAAAAATTCACAACATTTTTACTTGAAAGAACCGTTAACAGATAACTATGGTTATCAAGAATTGAATGTGGCTGGGCACGATGGCTCACATCTGTAACCCCAGGACTTTGGGAGGCCGAGGCGGGTGGATCACGAGGTCAGCAGATCGAGACCAGCCTGGCTAACATGAGGAAACCCTGTCTCTACTAAAAATACAAAAATTTAACAGGGCATGGTGACATGCGCCTATAGTCTCAGCTACTCGGGAGGCTGAGCCAGGAGAATTGCTTGAACCTAGGAGGCAGATATTGCAGTGAACCAAGATCACGCCACTGCACCCCAGCCTGGGCAACAGAGCAAGACTCCCTCTCAAAAAAAAAAAAAGAATTGAATGTTCAGTGGATATTTCTCAAGGTGCTATAAACTGTGTTTGTCATGTCTAATGTGGGTAGATTATACTCATAAAGACACATGTATGTGTCAGACAAAGACGGGAAGTTTGAGGTCAGATTACACAAAACCTTGCTGACCAAATTGAGGAGATTAGGCAGTACTCAGTAGGAAAATGTGAAATACAATATTTTTATCAGGGAAGATAAATAATCCACTAGATATTTTAGAATAGCAACTTACTGCTGAATATGATAGTATGGAAATGTTGAAGATTGGGTCATGATTTAGAAGGCTACTTCTATTCCAGATGCAGGCTGTGAAAGGACTGGAAGAGACATATGTCAAGTATATGATAGGACAAAAGGGCAATATGATATAGCAGTGCTGAATTTTACCACAAGCGGATATTCATAGTTTGTGTTTAACTTTAGTTTTCTAACTTGAAAAAATATTGCCAATGCTTACATGTTAACAGAACAAAGATAATTGAGACTTGCATTACAAGAGTTATATAACTGATTACATGCACTGTTATCTTTCTTGCTCTATCGTGTTTGAACTGTTGTTTGTATTTTTATTTTTATTTTTTTCTCTCTGGGACTACTTCTTGTGGTTATGTTAGAACATTTAGATGGGCATAATATAAAGGAAAAGCTATGCACTATATACACACAGACACACAGATACTCAAAATCTGAATTACTCTGACCTCTATCAGGAAAGAGATGAGATACTCAAAAGTAATGTGATTCAAGAAGGTTTACTTTACACAGAAGGAGTTGGGGAAGAAATGCATTAACCTTACTCCTCTTTCTCCTTACAGACTTCATTTTGGCATCCCCATTGGTGAAATTCCAAGAAAACCTGAATGCAATTGATGCAAATCAGCACACCAGGGCAGAGAGGGAGGTAGCAAAGGGTGGAGGCAGATCCAAATCGGCAAGCAGAAGATACTGGCACGCACGCACACAAATACACAGAGAAACATGTTCAAAACCCACCCAGGCCGAGTTGCAATTCCTTAAATGCAACAAGTAAATTTTCTGTCAACAACAAAAAGCTGAATTAGGCAAAGCATTGGTTTATTTGGATTTTAGCTCCATAGCAATGACTACAGTTGTGAGCCAATGAGATATAAAACAAAACAAAATGAAAATCAAAAATAGAAAACTAAGCTAACTTATTCTGTAATGTTTGGCTTTGAAAAAGACAGTATCAGAAGAGATGTTAGAACAAAAGCCTTTACAAAGTCACTTTCTGTAAAAGCCTGCTTAGAGCCAGAAGTCGCAGGTGCTAAGATGCTGAATTGAATGACCAAAATCAAAATATCCTTCTAGAACAGTTTCTTAACTTCCACACTGTTGATATTTTGGGTAGGTTAGTTCTTGGTTGTTGAAACTTTCCTGCACATTGTACAATGGGAGCAGAAGCCCTAGCCTCTACCCTTTGGACGTCAGTGGTGCCTCACCCCTGCTCAGTTGTGATGACCAGTATGTCTCCAGACATTATCAAATGTCCCCAGTTGGTCGAGGGCTTCATTGAGCCTTATGGAGAACTACAGAACTAAACCTTCAGTCTAGGCTTCCAGAGATGCCTGTTTTTTTTGTTGTTGTTGTTTTCTTTTTTGTTGTTGTTGTTTTTAACATGGATAGGGTATATTCCTTTCAACACATTTACATGAGTATATGTATTAGTCCGTTTTCACACTGCTATAAAGATACTACTGGGGACTGAGTAATTTATAAAGGAAAGAGGTTTAATTGAGTCACAGTTCTGCATGGCTGGGGAGACCTCAGGAAATTTACAATCGTGGCGGAAGGCAAAGAAGAAGCAAGCATTTTCTTCACAAGGCAGCAGAAGAGCGACAGAGTGCGGGGGAAACTGCTGCTTTTAAAATCATCAGACTGCATGATAACTCTCTCACTATCATAAGAACAGCATGGGAATAACCATCCCCATGATCTAATCACATCCCACTGGGTCCCTCACTTGGCATGTGGGGATTACAATTCGAGATGAGATTTAAGTGGGGACACAGAGCCAAACAGTATCAGTATACTAAAATGAGTTTATTTGTATAACAATTGTATTGAATGTTATGCAAAATAATTAGCCTGGTTAATTTCAATATACTTCCAAGTGTGTTCAACTACATAATCCCTATGTCTAAAACAACAATAACGACATTAATTTTATTCTAGATGTCACATAGAGGTGTGTGCGTGTGTGTGTATGTGTGCATGTGTGTGTGTGCATGTATGTCTGTGTTGTGTATACAGGAATATTCATATTTATGTGTATATACGTATGTCTATTTGTTTTGGAGTTGCAAATATAAGGTTTTGGTCAAGGGAGCCATTATATCAGAAGTCATCATTAAAAATAAATTCTAGGCCAGGTGCAGTGGCTCACGCCTATAATCCCAGCACTTTGGGAGGCTGAGGCAGGCAGATCATGTGAGGCCAGGAGTTCAAGACCAGCATGGCAAACATGGTGAAACCCCATCTTTACTAAAAATACAAAAATTAGCTGGGTGTGGTTGTGCATGCCTATCGTCCCAGCCACGTGGGAGGCTGAGGTACGAGAATTGCTTGAACCCCAGGAGGTAGAGGCTGCAGTGTGCTGAGATTGTGCCACTGCACTCCAGCCTGGGTGACAGAGTAAGTCTCTGTCTCAAAAATAAAATAAAATAAAATAAAATAAAATAAAATAAATTTAACTGTCATTGAAGTTTTTGACATTATCAAGTGGATTATTAGAAGAGTCTAATATCCAGTATTGCACTATATTTGAAGATGTCAGGAACAACACGGTAGTTTGTTTGAAGTGGCTATGGCATGTAGGGTATTGATGCTCCTGAAACCAAGCCCCAAGATGCTTTTGAAGGGAGAAATAACTTTCAGCTCTGCCTCCCAGACCAAACTCCAAGCACCCAGGTAATATGGACATCTCTCCTGATTCTGGTCCTAAGAGAACATGACCCTGCTTTTAAAACCAATAGCACAATACCTAGTCAGAGACAAGAAAGAAATCCTTTGACCACAGATGGACTGATCTTTCAAAAAAGTGCAAAAAGAAGGAAGCAGAGGATTTTTGGGGAGGGCAGAGGGGACCCTACTTAAGCTTTACCCCGGATCCCATGAACAGTTACGTAGCTTATGTCTTCTTTGCTGAATTCTCAGGCCACTTTCTTCAATTCCACATTTCTGCCATATTCTTCTGTGAACCCTTTTGTGGATCTGCAAGACCTGGTCTTTCCTACTTGGTAATGGCCAGGGTGCCTCTGAGGTTGCAGCCTTGTGACTCCAGGGAGATCTAGAATAGCCTAATATGGCCTAATCTAATGTTCCTCAGATTTAGTCATTCTCATGTTAACTTTATAATGTTTAAACAAACGTTACAACAAACGTTTAAACAAACGTTACAAAATACCACCCCAACTATTATTTACTAACTAGTCCTTGAAATGAATGGTTTTATATAGCTTAGGCTTAAGCAGTCATATTCATAGCATAATTATTTGATATGTCAGCTATGGTCCTCAACTAAAAGACACAGAGCAGCAAGTTGGATAGAAAAGCAAAACCATCTTTTTTTATGCCCAGTTATACATCCAACACACCTTAGTAAACATTGGTCTAATCTGCAGCCTCATGTAATCTGCCCTGGTAATAGATTTAGGAAAAATTGTTATTAAAGAAAAGGAAAAAAAGAAATCTACTTACAAGAATGTTCTTTTAGGGAGGGGTTTTCTTAAAAGATGCAAAATTAAAACTAGATAGGAGGAGTAAGTTCTGGTGTTCTATACCACTGTAGGATGACTACAGTTAGCAATAATAATATTATATATTTTCAGAGGAGAGTATTGAATGTTGTCAACACAAAGAAATGATAAATGTTTGAGATGACGGATATGCTAATTATCCTGATCTAATCACTATACATTATACATATCAAAATATTACTATGTACCCATAAATATGTATGCACAATTATTATATGTCAAATAAAAATAAACAGTAAAAAACATACTAAATTCGGCTGACAGGCTCATGTTTTCCTTTTTTTCCTCTGCTTTCTCCTGTCTGCGTAATATCTGGCTCTGGAGGCACAGCAGTCATTTTGTGATTATGAGGTAAAAGTCTGGAGAACAAATACCTGCATGATAAAGCTAAAGTCTAGGGTGCTTTTGTTTGCTTCCCTATGTCATGACTGCACTTCTTTACTGGGCTAAAATCCTTACGCTTGATTTTCTCATAAAGAGAGTTAAACATTTTTTTTTTTAATGTTAAGACATTATTTGTTGGATTTTAAAATATTTGCAGCTGAACACATCCATACCTGATACAGAGAATGACTATCCATAGGATGAACTGATCAAGAGAGAGCTAAATATTCAGACCAGTGGTAACTCTGAAAATGTGAACTCATGGAAATTTATAGAAATTCCTCAGCGGTCACTGGACTTTCCAAGAACCAAGCAATGGGAGATTAAGTTGATTAAGTTGATGTCTTAAAGTGTAGAGTAAATGTACCTCTTATCTGGATCATACAAATCTGCAGTTTATTCCATATTCATTTTATGAAATATACATAATAGAAAAGATATTTATTTCACTGGAATATAGTAGGAGGACAGAAAGGAAAGGAAAATAGCTGACATGTTTTTAGCAGTATGCGCCAGAAGTTTTAAGACATACTTTGTAAGCACTATATCATTTAATCTTCACAGAAATTGTTTTAACATATGAATAATTATCTCATATTATGGAGGAGGAAGCTGACATTTACAGAGGTTAAAAAATGTGTCCATGGTTTTAAAATTAGCAAAGAGCTGCTCACACCCACTCCCATCAGATTTTTTTTCCCTAACATTTCACTGGAATTACCGTTGCCAAGGTCCCATTGACCTACACACTGCTAAAGCCAATAGTTACTTCTCAGTCCCCACGTTGACTTCTCGTGAACATTCTATGCACTTGTTCACTTTTGCTCTCTGAGATCCTTCACCAGGCTTGGCAGCACAGACACCTGTTTCATTAATCTTACCTCCTGTGTTGCTGCTTCTTAGTTTACTTTGCCAGTTCATTGCTACTTTTACAATATCCAAAAGCTGGAATGACCCAGAGCTCAGGTTTTGGATCTCGTTTCTATCTTCACTCACTCCATTTGATGGTTTTCTTCACTGTCCTGGCCTTAAATGCTATTTAAAAGTGGTTACCAATTTATCTGTCGAGCCCAGATTTTATCCCTGCAATCAGATTTGAATGGTTATTTGACATACTCACTTGGATGACATACTTACTTGGAGTATTTGATATACTCAACTGAATGTGCAAGAAGCATGTCCTCCACCTACTTCTTGCACATTTTTTCCATTTTAATAATTGGCAATAACTTATTTCTAGTATCTTACTCAGTGTCATCATTGACCTTCATCTTTCTCTTACAGCTAACATGCAATTCATTTGTAAATCATTTTGATCCTTCATTCAAATTACCAGACAGTATCTACAATTCAATAATTTTATACCAATTTTTTGTTATTATGTTAAGTCAATCCTTTATTATTTTTTGAATTAATGCAATAACCTCCCAACTTATCTTCCGTGTTAATGTCTTTACTTCCTGCACCACTTTCCTGTGGCTGCTGTAGCAAAGTGTCACAGGCTTCATGGTTTACACAAACACAAATTTTTAATCCTACATTTGTGAAGGCCAGAAGTCAAAATAGGTCTAAGTGGGCTAAAATCATGGCATCAGCAGGGCTCACACTCTCTCCTGGTGCTCTATGGAAGAATCTTTTTCTTGCCTTTTTAAACTTCTAATTGTCACCTTCATTTTTTGGCTGTGGCTCCCTCCTCCATTCTCAAAGCCAACAGCATACCATCTTCAGATCTCTATTTGATTCCTACCCTCCTGCCTCCATCATTCACTTATAAGTACCCTTATGATTACGTTGGACACACCTGGGTAATCCAGGATAATCTCCACATCTCAAGATCCTTATCTTCATCGCATCTTTAAAATTCTTTTTGTTATTTAAGGTGACATGTGGGAGGCCATTATTCTGCTTACGCAGTCCCTACAGTTTATTCTTCACACAGCAGTCTGAGGTTCCTTTGTATCCTCACTGCTTCTTTACCATTTTATTTCTTGAATGTGCCAAACTCCGTATTAGCTGTTTTCTCACTTGAGATCTTCTACTCCAGAGCACTCATCGAACTGACATTCTATATATTTTACTTAATTTCTTTTAATCTATTTATATCAATTCACATGTAAGTGACATGAGAGTGGAGATTTTTTTGTTTGGATTTGTTCACTGCTCAACACTTACAAGAGTAGCTGAAACATAATGTTTAGGTATTCAATGGGCTCAAATTATTGTTTTACTTAAAGAGTAAACCATTAAATCTAAATTTTTCTGACTTTAAAACCTATATTCTTTCTATTCTGTGTGTAGTCTTCAAAGTGCAGTTTATGATCCAGCTGCATCAGGATCACCAGGTTGTGCTTAAAACGCCAATATCTGTGACCTACATAATATATAACACATTTGAAATTTCTTGGGATATAATTTAGAAATCCATATTTTAATAAAAATTCCAGGTGATTCCTTTGCATTCAGAAGTGTGACAAACAATGGACTATACAGAAATTATGGGTGTCACATTTTTGTAATATTTTATTGAGCATTTGTGGCCATAACATATTCAAGAAAGAATAACATATAAAAGAATTTATTCTCACTACTCATGGTCCAACTGCAATATCAGTAGAAGTTGAGGATATGGAGTATGTCCTAAAACTAAAGAGTGTTTGCTGCTCTGCTTTCTTACAGTGAAAGAAATTTTGGTGAAAGAAATTTTTAAAGAGACCTGAATCATATCTGAATTATAGAAGCCTCAAAACATGCTCTCTATGAAGGCCAGATAGCAAATACTTTAGGCTTTGAAAGCCATATACAGTCCTGTCCCAGACCCTGTATTGAGTTTCTTCTTTCATGACCGTTTGAAAGGTAAAAAATTATTCTTATCTCACGTGTTGTTAAAAGAAAAAAAAAGCGAAAACAAACCAGGTCATGAGCTGAACTTAACCTATGATTGTAATTTGCTGACTTCTATAGTAGAGCATTAAAATTTTGGTGACTACGGCCATGTAGTCTATGTGGATAATTCTATCTAATATTTCATTTTACATTCAGTGATTAACTCAGCTCTGTTATGTTTTGAAATATCCGTTTTATGCGAGAATGCCTCACAGATGTACTGGGAATTTATCTATGTGGTTTTCCTAGTATTTTGTTTATTTGTTGGAGATCTGGCATAGAACTCTCAGAAAGAGCTGATAAAGTTTAAGATGGCCTATTAAATTGTCTGATCCAGTCTTCTTGACAGTCAGTCACTGTGAGGGCAGGATAAGTTCAAATTTGTACTTGCTTCAAACCTTATCCTTGTGTCTTTCTCTATATCACTTTTAGAACTTGTCTCCTACACACTTCAAAATTTAATACCACTAAGTTGGTATCTCAGTGAGTTCTTGTCATTTTATTTATATTTTATTTTTCACTGCCTAAACAATAGCTGGCTCTTATTCAAAACAAGAAGCAAGACTGTGGGTGTGTGTGTGCATGGTTTTTATAAAACGGTAGGGTAGAGACAGAAAGAGACAGACAGAAAGAGAGAGAGGTTCTGCCCATGTATACCCTGTGCTAAAACTTCCAATAGTTCCTTTCCTGGCTGGCATGCCCATTCCCCAGTTGCTGTCAGTTTCTGATGGCCCACAGCGTACTTCCTTCTCTAGACAATTGCCCTTCACTGACTAGAGCTTTTTCTAACCCTGGAAGTTACACTGACCTCCTTTCTTTGAATGACCCACAGCCAGTGATTGATTGCTACAGGTACATAAAGGGGACTTCCATGCCTTCAAAGAGAACAATACTGGTGGTTAATTTATTTACAGATATCTCCCCCTGTGAATTAAGACAAAGGTAAGCATTTCCTGACATTGTACTGTTACTCAGCATTTTTTCTTTTTTGTTGTTGTTGTTTGTTTGTTTGTTTGACTTTCTTATTTTGTTTTATTCTCTAACTTATGGTTTTGTTTTTCAGTTGTCCCACCCCCGAGAAACCTCTGTTTATAAAGAACTTTAAAAAAATCTTATCTTTACCTCTGTCTCTAGGAACTTTATTATAAAAGAGTTGATGCCATTTGTGGCCCTATGAAACAGACTATAAGGATAAGATTAAAGAAGTAAATCATTCAACAAACAGTGGTAATGAGGGTATTATTATTGGTAGTAAATGGAGTTTTGTAAGTCCCTGGAAAGCTA
Source organism: Homo sapiens (assembly GCF_000001405.40). NCBI lineage: Eukaryota > Metazoa > Chordata > Mammalia > Primates > Hominidae > Homo > Homo sapiens. The sequence goes on along the minus strand of NC_000011.10, from coordinate 24,375,097 downwards.
TAGCAATGTATTTGCCAAGATGTTTACCTGTAGTGAGCTTAGATCAGATAAAGTGTAAAGAGAATGCCTGGTTAGCTTATGTCCCTGGAAACTGAGAAGCATGGGAGGATTGGTAACCATTGCGTAGTCTGGAATTTAGTGATTTTTAATAAGTGCAATTAATTCACCGAAGAGCAAAATGAGTCTCAGCCCTACTGATTCACAATTTAAAGCAAAATGTGAGAATTGGAGAGCCTCATCTGTAACATTTAAAGACACACTCATCTTCTGCAGCTTCACATAAGATAGATCTAAAAACCCAGAAACACAACCTAATGGAAGATTATCAAGGTATCAAAGATGGATTCTTAGTTGGGGCATATACAAAATGGCAAAATCACAAAAGTAGTAGGGAAATAGTGGGACCTTGAAACTTCAGATGGTGGAGAATGTGTATAAAGAAACTTGAGAATCTTCAACTCTTAGGTAGTTTTATATCCTGTAAGCTACTGCATTATTTGGGGCATAATTAATGCAATATTCAGCAAGATCAGAATGGCAGCCAAGTATCCTCAGCCACAGTTTTTTGGAGATTGTTAATAAAATATGGAGAAAATGATGGATCTAGGAAAAAGATAGGTAGAAAAAAAGGATCGTTGCTCTTGTATGAGACTGTACTTTGATAGAGATGGAGTGCCTGACCTAAGACCTCACATGACTATGTAGTCTGAATAGGCCATTGTGAGCTGGGTTGTGTTACCACCAACTCATAAGTTCTGATGAGCCCTACTGCAATAGATTGTAAAATAAAAGTGGCACATATGAAATTGAGCTTGAACAGGTCTGGAAGTCATAAGGAAGTTCCATGAACAAGTTGCTCCATTCCCTATGTCACCTATCACCCTGGGGTCAATGTCTCTTCCTCAGCTCATACCTATTTTATAATAAGATGTCTCTTATAATTCCTTTCAAAAGAAGTAAATCTCAAAGTTGGTTCAGACATGAATTATCTACCATATGTAGGTACAAGCCACAAATGAATTGCTGTATCACTAAACTCTTACTGTGAATGATACTAAAGAACATAGTAAGGAAAAAGTCTTCCTATAGATGTACTTGGTTACTGTAATTTATTGTACATCTCATGTAGAAAAGAAGTAGCTAAAGTTCATGATATATATGAATTCATGAATGGGAAAGAATGATTTTGTTGATTGTTCTAGAGCTAAAGAGAAGGAAAGTTAGATTAGGGACAAAAAAGTTGGTGAAAGAGGCACGTGAATGGATCTATGAGAGTTGGTCAACAGGATGTGCATCTTTGGATCATAACTCTTCCTAGTAGACAACATTCATTGTAGCAAAGTTACTACATAATTAAGTGGAAAGGATTACTCCTCCAGTTGACATCAGCCAATTTACTCTGGGAGATTCTGTAACTGTGCAATGGGATAATGAATGAGTCAGCCCTGGTGGCAAATATGGAAGTGATGCATTATCTCAACTGCATGGAACCCTTCTCTTCCAAACTGATCTAAAACTATTGTCACTGCTGAATGCCCAACTTGTCAGCATCAGCTGTTAATTTTGGCTTTCCTAACTGTATTCTCATCCCATAATGAAGCTTTGGTCCACAGTTTAAAACGAAATAAAACAAAAAACAAACAAACAAAATCCAAGCAGGATTTTGTGCTCCTTCAGTGATTGCTGTTTCCCTCTGTTGCGGGGGCATATGTGCTTAGGATTCTTGCCACTTGTTTTTCTGTGAGCATGTTTTGGGGAAGAAATATATGTATGTATATATATATTTAATAAAATACATAAATCTCTCCTATATCTTTGGCCCAAGAACTCTGCATTAAACCACCCACATCTTGTCTTATAGTGATTAATTAACTATGCTAGTTGACTTAGTCTCTTTGGTGTCTGGCCATATGTGCTTCAGATAAACAATTACTTGTCATCTCTCCCTGAAGTAATCTCTCTCTCCCTCATTTAAAAAGATAATTTAAACTGATCTGGCATTAGGATGTCTCACACCAAAACATAATTAACTAGGAGACAGTGGTTTACTTTTATCTGTGGACTATATTATTTAAGTTCTAGAAATTGTGGTGTGTATGGCTAGTATAACCTTTAGGGATACAAATTTCTAAAATATGTTAAGTACATCCATAGCAATAAACCTTTTTTTAGCAACTGCAGAAATAATACAGGAAGAAACGTTGAATATGACTAGACATCCAGATAAGATTTTGAGTTTCACTGAGACTTTAGGGTTTTACTTTTATGAGTCTCCAAATACATTCTTCTATTTTAGGGATTTCTTTGTTTTTTCACAAATGTTAGATAATCTCTGAGCATTATTTTGTGCTTCTGCATACATAAGTGTTGCTTCACAAAGTTTTGTGACAGGATTATAGTTAATCTCTCAAAGAGTTTATAGAATGTTAGAGTTTAGGCAAAAGTAGTTAAATAGTACCTTGCTCTTTATTTCTTTGACTGGATAAGATTTCATTCACTATTTTGTTTGGCTATAAAATACACTCTTGACCAGATAATGTTACAGGGTTTTAAAAGATGTTATAATTCTCGTTAATGAGAAAGACTCTATTGATGTTTCTGCCTTTGAAGAAAGAGGAAGAGACAATGAACCAAGGAATGTGGATGGCTTCTGGAGATTGGCAACAATCTCCAGAAAATAGCCTGCAAGGAAATGAGGACCTTAGTCCTACAACCATGTGGAACTGTTTTCAGCCAACAATTTGAATGAGCTTAAATGCTGATGCTCTCTAGAGATGTTAGTAAGGAAAACAATCCTGTGGTTACCATGCTTTTAAACCAATGAGACTGGTGTAGAAATTCTGATCTTCAGAACTGGGAAGTAATAAATTTATATTGTTTTAGATGACTTATGTTGTGGTAATGTTTTACAATAGCAATGGAAAACAGACTCACACATGCATATGCATATGCTATTTACATATTTGCAGCCACCTTGTATATTTCGGTTTTATAAAATGAATAAGACTTTCCTCTGTGTCTGTGAAACTGTAATTTTTAATATTGTATTTTTCTTTATTGATATTCCATAATTCCCTATGCCATTCTCTTATATATTTATGTTGTTTCCTATTAATATGTATATCTGTTTATCATTATTTTTGTGTTGAAAAATAAGCTTATAATAAATTTGCAGCACATTTCATATGCATACACAAAAATACAAAATACAGAACCGATAATAATATGTGTCCATATGGCTTGGCTGAGTATTTTCTCATTTTTTTCTGAAGAGATTATATTAATTTAAAAAGTGTCTTTAAAAACTTATATAATGCTGGAGATATCAAGAGCATATAAAAATCATTTTTTTGTATATGTAATCTTAGACTCTGGGTCACTGTTAGCATATTAGAAAGCTACAGACATGTTTGTTAAAATTTTGCACTTATATCATTTCTCTTTTTAGAATCAGACTTACAAATCTCAATCTTTGAACATGGGTTCAAAGCTTTTAGTTTTCCACTTTTTAAATTATATGTAAAACACATATTACAGGCTGGGCATGGTGGCACACATCTGTAATCCCTGCTACTCAGGAAGCTGAGGTGGGAGGATCACTTGAGCCTGGAGGGAGGAGGATGCAGTGTGCTGAGAACACACCACTGCACTACAGCCTGGGTGACAAGAGTGACACCTTGGCTCAAAAACAAACAATAACAACAACAACAACAACAAACTACTTTAAAATCTATGTGAAAGCAAAAAAGAACCTGTATAGCCAAGACAATCCTAAGCAAAAAGAACAAAGGTGGAGGCATCATGCTACCTGACTTCAAACTATACTACACGCCTACAGTGAAAAACAGCTTAGTACTGGTGCAGAAAAAGACACAGATTAATGGAACAGAATAGAAAACTCAGAAATAAGACTGCCCATCTACAACCATCTAATCTTCAATAAACCTGACAAAAACAAGCAATGGGGAAAGGATTCCTTATTTAATAAATGGTGCTGGGAAAAGTGACTAGCCATATGCAGAAAATTGAAACTGGATCCCTTCCTTACACCTTATACAAAAATTAACTCAAGATGGATTAAAGACTTCAATGTAAAACCCAAAACTATAAAAATTCTAGAAGAAAATCTAGGAAATACCATTCAGGACATAGGCACAGGCTAAGACTTCATGATGAAAACATCAAAAAGAAATTCCAACAAAAGTAAAATTGACAAATGGGTTCTAACTAATCTAAAGAGCTTCTGCACAGCAAAAGAAACTATCATCCAAGTGAACAGACAACCTACAGAATGGGAGAAAATGTTGGCAATCTATCCATCTGACAAAAGTCTGATATCCAGAATCTATAAGGAACTTAAGCAAATTTACAAGAATAAAACAAACAATCCCATTAAAAATTGTGCAAAGGACAAAAACAGACACTTCTTAAAAGAAGACATTCATGCGGCCAACAATTGTGAAAAAAAAGCTCATTATTGATTATTAGAGAAATGCAAATCAAAACCACAATGAGGTAACATCTCACACCAGTCAGAAGGTGATTATTAAAAAGTCAAGAACCAACAGATGCTGGTGAGGCTGTGGAGAAATGGGAATGGTTTTACTGTTGGTAGGAATATAAATTAGTTCAACAATTGTGGAAGACAGTGTGGCGATTCCTCAAAGACCTAGAATCAGAAATTCTATTTGACCCAGCAATCCTATTACTAGGTATATCCCAAAGGAATATAAGTTATTCTATTATAAAGATACATGCACACATATGTTCATTGCAGCACTATTCACAATAGCAAAGACATGCAATCAACCCAAATGCCCAACAGTGATAGACTGAATAAAGAAAATGTGGTATATATACCCCATGGAATAATATGCAGCCATAAAAAGGAATGAGATTATGTCCTTTACAGGCACATTGACAGATCTGGAAGCCATTATCCTCAGCAAACTAACACAGAAACAGAAAACCAAACACTGCATGTTCTCTCTTATAAGTGGGAGCTGAATAATGAGAACGCATGGACACAGGGAGGGGAACAACACACACTGGAGCCCGTGGGTGAGGGCAGGGGGAGGGAGTGTATCAAGATAAACAGCTAATGCATGCTGGGCTTAATACCTATTTGATGGGTTGATAGGTGCTGTAAACCATCATGGCACACATTTACTTATGTAACAAACCCGCACATCCTGCACATATGTTCTAGGACTTAAAATAAAATAAAATAATAAAAATTCAAATGGCTACAGGCAAAGACTGCTTGCAAATAATTAAATTATGTTCATAGACAGTATTCCTTTTGCCTGGAATGACTTTTGATCCCTAAATAAACCCTTTTCAACATAGCTATTACTTCGTTGAGGAGATATGTATATATCCTATTTTATATATAAAGATTTAATTATGAGAAATTGGTCACATAATTAAAAAGGACAAAAAGTCCCACAGTCTACAGTCTGCTAGCTGGAGATGTAGGAAAGCCTGTGGTGTAATTCAGTCTGAGTCTGAAGGCCTGAGAACCAGGTGAGTGAACAGTGTAAATTACAGTCCAAGGGCAGAAGACTGACGTCTCAGCTCAAGCAGGCAGGCAGAAAGAAGAGTCAAATTTCTGCTTTCTTGGCCTTTCAATTCTATTACTGGCCTCCACAGATTGGATGGTGTTTACTCACATTGGGGAAGGCAATCTACTGAATCCACTGATTCAAATGCTGATCTAATTTGGAAACATTCTCACAGACACATGCAGAAATAATACTTAAACTGAGAATCTCATAATGAAATGAAGTTGACACATACAATCAAGCACCAGAGGTTCATACACTAGAAAGTGTTTCAAGACCATCACTGTCATCTTAGATGGGCCCTTTTGGTGACCTTAAGGTAGTCTCTACATACACTTATTAGAACTAACTATATTGTAGTTGTTGGTTAATTTCACTGCTCCATTACTGGACTATAAGCTCTGTGAAAAGAGAGAATAGTTTATTGGGGGTTGTGCCCTCTTGTCCATTTTAATGCCTAGAACATAATAGATATTAAACAGTTGTAGATAAGGAAATGATTTAATCAATTAATTAAGTGGGGATTTATTACTCCAATAATAAAGACCTCACCTGTAAATTGGTGCATAATTATACTATTTGCCTCATATAATATAAAATCTTACAAGGATTTAATAAGTTAATATGTGACAAATATTGAGAGCAGTATGTTATACAGTATAAACCTTGCATAAATGCTATTTTTCAAAATTAGTATTAAAATTAAGAATATGGACATTAAGAATTATTGCAGAATATACATATAGATTTAGAAATTCTGGAACTCGAGGTGAAGATACCAGATGATGTTAATTGATGAATTAGAAACATACAGATATGAACAAAATCTGCTTTCCACTTCTGTAATCTTGATACTAAAATCAAACTAACTCAAAACAACTGTTGATCTTCTTAGTTGGTACACTTATAAGGGAAACTATGATAAAATTCTTAACTTTACTGAGTGTGATTATGTAAAATCACTGAAATCCATGGGCCTGGTCCAGAGATGACTCTGTAACCCATAATCTGAATTCTTCCTACACAACAGAGTCCATATCATTTAATGGTGATATACTGTGTCCCCATACTTGTTTCTCTATCAAAACAGCATAATTATAAAGATAAAATTGTTAATTTCTGGAAAGAAATAAGTTACGCTATACTTATTGTTTTATCTCAGTAGCCAGCACCATCAATTCTCATATCCATTTGCATTCACATAGAAAGTTTACCCTGATATCATTTGTTGAATGGTGTAGACATAAATAAGACATTAATATTCATAAATATGCTATCTAGCAAGAATTGGCCAAAAGGCTAACTAGTCACAGAAAAAAAAAGAATGTACAGATTCTTGAAATGTGTTGCTTTGTACATTTATTTCTAATTTTTTCCTGTTTTTTCCTTGATAAATTGCTCTTTGAAGCTTGTCTAAATTTCACTCTTATTGCATTTTCTCTCAAAAGTCAGATTTAGCAAACCCCAATATAGGATCAAAGTTTTGTTTGAAGCTAAAAGAAAAAAAAAACTTTAATGAATTTTTGACAAAATTATAGAAACAAATTTGATACTGTTAACTATTCTTTTCTCTCCAAGCATATAAATAAACATGTTTATCTATTTATATGTTGCCATCTAAGTGTGTTCATGCTAGTATGAAGTGTAATATCTCACACTGGAAGAAAAATCTATTTTCACCACTGAAAACAAACATTTCAAAAATCGTCTTTTGATTAGCATTTAGCCACATCAGTTTTGAGGTTGCTGTGATGAGACTAGTCAGTTTCCAAATTTATTCATTCGGTGGGTAACGGTGGTGGTGAAACGTTAGTCATATTGTTACATCCAACAAATCAAATATTTGTTGAAATTGTTTACTTTTTAATTGTTTCTTGCATTATTTAATCACAGCTTACACAATAAAACAATGTAAGTAAGAAGTTCAGAAATTGATGCTAAAATTCTACAACCCTCTGTTTTCCTAAGTGTTTCTTTGAATAACCAAATATGGCCCACGTAAGTTGTTCTCTTTTGTCTTTTACTTGACATAAAACTGAAACATGCAGATAATCTTCTGTTTGTCTAAACATCCTCATTCTGGGGACTGTATGTGCATGCCATGAAGTGATAGACTGTGTTTCCCCTACAGAAATTTATTGTTTCCTTTCCCCTACAGAAATTTATTGTTAATCAACAGTTTTGTTGATTTTCTACTTCTTTTTTTGTTTGCAGTGCCAAATGGCAATAAATATTCATTGCCTGTTTTTGATAAAAAACAGAGAGTTGAGGAGATATATCATAAATTAAATATCTTCTGACCTACTAGAAAGGATGAGCTGCAAAGATTGAGATTTAGGAAGACAGGTGTCCTTGTATGTCAGCGCAGTGGTCTCTAACTAGACAGCTGAACTGAACCTTGTAATAGCAACCTGCTGAAAAGCACACTTAAAAGTCACAAAAAGTTGAATTCTAATTAAGCATTCCAGTTTGGCTTCTCCCTATATGACTGGGATGTTTTTAAGAGACTTAGCTAGATATGACAAGTGCTTCCATTTCACTGTTATAAAATAATGATTTTCAAAGAAAAAAGCTATCATAAATTATCACATAGCAGAGCTTTTAATGGAATATAAAAGGCTGCTAATTTTTTTCTGTATTAGCTTTTCCTCTTCCCGTGGCGTACAGCATTCATCTTCTAGTTGGATCTGTAGAGTAGTACATTGTTTATACTCATGCATGACTACGATTTTTGAAACTCAATGTTTAAAATGGAAGTATTTTAACTTTTAATTAAAAAATAATTATTTTTGTATTGTAAGTTCTCCTTTTGGTAAGAAATTATGATTTTTTTATGATTGCATCTTCTTATTTTTTCAGGTTAGTCTTAGTATAGTATATTTGTTTTCTAGTCTTCGCATCTGTCTGCTAACATAAAAACTAATATAATATTGATTTTTTAACAGTTATGCTTATTTTGAAGTTGGAAGCATTTTTGGATCAATCGTTATATTGTTTCTTCACTGTGAGACATAGTATAAGAGAAATTTCTAACCTGCTGGCATCACTAGAAAAACTTTTGCTTCCTTTTATAAAAATATAATGAAACCCAAAAATATATGGAGGGTATTTCAGAAGGAAAAGTTTCAAAATCAATAATTAAAAACTTCCAAAGAAACTTGTATCAATGTGTTTCCTTACATTTAACAAAAGGTTTGAGACAATGGTAGTAGCTGAAGAAAGGCTGAGAAACCTGAAGTCGATTACAGTTAGGTGTACTGTTTTTAAATGCACTACCGGCTAAATGACTCAAGGGTTACCTCATTATTCTTTGATCATGAGCTTGCATCTCCATTCTCAGCTTTGAGACTCTCTTGCGTGACATTAACTCATGAAATACCTGTCCAGTAAAATATAGTTGAGGGGATAAGGTAAAGCATTTATTTCCTCAACTATATTAATACTAAAATTGGGTGTTCTGTTATTTTCATCCGTATACTTTTATACTATATTTATAGAAATAGTATATCATAAGGGATAGGAATGTATTTTTCAAAAATGACGACCCCCCAATATTTCCAAGTACAGGGCAAGAAAAGACAATAAATAAAATGTTGTCTTTCCTTCTACCATGACAAATGTCTTCATAATGACCTGTGTTGTAATTTTGAGTCTTGGAAACCATAGTGTTCTTCCCAGGGACATGGTAAAAAACACAAGACTTGATTGCAGGCCTCTAAGCCATGGCCCATCCATTTCTTCCTAGTTGTCTGTTCCATACTGACCAGGAATGGCCTAAAGAGGACATTTGTAAGTCTTTCAGTTTGAATATCCAAGCTCAATTTGCATACCCTCAAAAACCAGCTTTGGTAATTCCTTGGCCCTAAGGTTTTGCACACTGTAGGTGTGATCAACTTTTGGGAGCTGGGGAAGAGGCTTGAGCCGACTATATAAGCAGGTATGAACCTTGTGTGCAGAACCGTGTAGGTTTGAGTACCGGTGTGGGGGCTCCCGGAGGTTTGGGAACAGCTCCTAGGTGAAATGTGCCCTTTACTCTATGCATTTATTTCTCCATGGAGAAGAATACAACAGAAGCAGGGCCATAAGAGAACCATGTGAAATTTGGAAGTCAGGACACGGGACTTTCTTGACTGAGTCTGAGGGCAATATTACAAACAGACCTCATATTAATATTTCTTTCTTTTAAATTATTAACTGCTTGTCCTTAGTTAATGTCTTCACCACTCTGATACCTACTTTAAAGCCAGGATGACTAGATTTGAATTCTTGCTCCACCACTTAAAATGGTGAAAGCTTGAGCAAATTTTTTTCCCTTTGCTTCAGATTCCATCTGCAAGAAGTGGGTGACAATCATATCTACATAGAAGGTTGCAGTAAGATTAAATTCATATTTATGAAGTGCATAAATAGTGCCTTGTACATGATAGCATTATAACTATTGGTTTTAAAAAATAAAAAGTTTTGTACCTGAACATAATCTTATATTCCTCTTGAGACAGTTGCAAAAATTAAAAGTAAATAAAACATTGTACCCAAAATATACATCATAAGAATAAAAATCATAGGTTTTTTGTTTCTTTTTTTACATTTCTACTGTTGTATAGCTTAATTGTATATTGATTTATTACTTTAATAGTCAATGATACTGCATTTTACCCTGGGCTTGCTGGTAAGTTACAAGATGTGATGCCTTCCTTATATTTAATTTCCATTGTTTTTCATGAACATTAATCTGAGTGAATGGGAAGCCCTTATTAATCTTTTTATTGGAATCTAATCCACTTATTCAGTGTGAGCATTTAGCATATACTCAAATTAGTGCAAAGCTATGATGAAGTTTAGAATAGCACAAGTTAAATATATGAGTCAGATTTTTAATTGATTTTAATTATTATTTGTAATGCAAACATAATAATTGTACGTATTTATGAGGTATGGTGTGATAGATATCAATAAAAAGATACGTATTCATAGATAAATAGTTCTTAAAAACAAGGTTTCGTGCTGTTGCCCAGGCTGGAGTGCAGTGATGTGATCATAGTTCATTGCAGCCTCAAACTTCTGGGCTCAAGCAGTTCTCTCACCTCGGTCTCCCAAGTAGCTGGTACTACAGGCACATGTCAAAGATCCCAGCTATTTTTATTTATATATTTTATATAAATGGGCTTTCTTTATGTTGAACAGTCTGGTCTTGAACTCCTGAGCTCAAGTGATCCTCCTGCCTCAGGCTCCCAATGTGCTGGGATTAAAGGCATGAATCACTGTACCTGGCCTTTCAGTGTGGTATTTTGACTCCTGTACAACATGTAGCAATAAAATAAAGGTATTTAGCAAATTCATCACTTCAAGCACTTATCATTTCTTTGTTTTGGGGACATTCAAGATACTCACTTCTACCTATTTGAAAATATACAATAAATTGTTAATCATAGTCACCCTACAGTGCTTTGGAACACTAGAACTTATTCCTTCTGTCTAGTTGTAATTTTATTTCCAAGAACCAACCTCTTTCTATCCCCTTTCCCATATTTTTCCCAGCCTTTAGTTACCACTATTCTACTCTCTACTTTTATAAGATCAACTGTTTTAGCTTCTGCGTACATATGAGTGAGAACATGTGCTGTTTATATTTCTGTGCCTGGATTATTTCACTTAACGTCCTCCAGAATCATTCATGTTTACATGAATGACAGGATTTCACTATTTCCATGGCTAATAGTTTGGCATTATCTATCTATGTCACAGTTTCTTTGCCCTTCATTTATTGATGAACATTTATGTTGATTCCATATCTTGGATATTGTGAATAGTGCTACAATAAACATGATAGTGCAAATATCTCTTCAATATACTGATTTCCTTTGGATATGTACTCAGTAGTGGGATTTCTGAATCATATGACAGTTCTATCTTTAGTTTTGCGAGGAACCTCCATACCATAATGACTGTACTGATTTACAATTCCACTAATGGTGTATAAGAGTTCCCCTTTCTCTGCATTCTAACCTGCATTTGTAAATTTCTGTCTTTTTAATAATGGCCATTTTCTAACTGGGTTAAGATGATATCTCATTGTTATTCTGATTTGCATTTCTCTGATGATTAGTGATGCTGAGCATTTTTTCATATAACTGCTGGCCATGTCTTCTATTGAGAGTTGTCTATTCAGAACATGTGTCCATTTTCAATTAGGTTATTTGATTTTTTGCTGTCGAGTTGTTTGAGTTTCTTGTCTATTCAGATGAATGGTTTGGAAATGTTTTCTCCTAGTTTTCTTTTTGGTCTGTTTCCTTTTCTGTGAAAAGTTGTTTTGGCTATTCACAGTCTTTTGTAGTTTCAAATACATTTTAGATTCTTTTTGTCTATTCTTGTGAGAAATACCATTGTTACTTTGATAGAGATTGCATTGAATCCATAGATCATTTAGGGTAGCACGGTCATTTTTACAATATTAATTCATCCAATTTATGAACAAGAGATGTCTTTCCATTTTTCTTTTCTGCTTCAATTTATTTCACCAGTGTTTTATAGTTTTCCTTGTAGAGATATTTTATCTTCTTTGTTAAATTTATTCTTAGATTTTTTTTTGTAGTCAGTGGAGATGGAATTGCTTTTCTGATTTCTTTTTCAGCTAGCTCATTATTATTGTGACTGAGTTTTGAATGTGATTTTGTATTTTGTAACTTTAGTAAATGTTCCATTTCTGTGAGTATTTTTGAGGGAGTCTAGGTTTTGTTAATATAAAAATCATGTCATCTGCAAACGGAGAAAATTTCACTTTCTCCTTTTCTATTTGAAGCCATTTATTTCTTTTTCTTGCCTAATTGCTCTGGCTACAACATCCAGTATTATGTTGCATAAGAAACATTAGATTAGGCATACTTGTGTTCTTCTAGTTCTTAGTAAAAGATTTTAGCTTTTCGCTATCCAGTATGATGTTAGCTGTGGGTTTGTCATCTATGGTTTTTATTGTGTTGAGGTATGTTTCTTTTATATACTCTTAACCAAAAATTGTATTTATAAAAGGATGTTGAATTTTGTCAAATGCTTTTTCTGCGTCTATTGAAATGATCATATGTTTTTCCTTCATTCTATTGATATGCTGCATCATGTTTATTGCTCTGCATATGTTAAACCATCCTTGTATCCCTGGGATAAATCCCACTTGATTATGGTTTATAATAATTTTGATGTGCTGTTGGAAGTGGTTTGCTAGTATTTTGTTAATTTTTTCACCTATGTTCATCAGCATATTGGCTGTAGTTTGTTGTTGTTATTACATCCTTATCTACTGTGTGTATTAGGGCAATGCTGTCCTCATAGAATGAGCTTGGAAGAATCCCTTCACTTTCAATTTTGTGGTAAGTTTTGAGAAGAACTGGTGCTAGTACTTCTTTGAAAGCTTAGTAGAATTTAGCAATGAATTCATCCAGTCTTGTGGATGCAATGGGTCCATCCTGGACTTTTTGTGGGGATTGGGAAGAGACTTTTATTACTGATTCAATCTCATTACTAACTATTGGTCTGTTCAGGTTTTTTATGTCTCCTTGGTTCAATTTTGGTAGATTGTGTATATTCTGTAATTTATTCAGTTTCTTTAGATTTTTCCATTTTTTTGCATAAAGTTGTTCATTTGGCCTTGCATTTTTGTCTGAAGCAACATTCTAGCCAGAGTGACAAATATGTAATGAATTAATGTTATCTTCATAAAATAAGTTATGTTAAAATAATATATTAAAGTACATGTCCACTATATTTTTCTGAAAGTTACTTTAGACTAGAACTTGAGAATGAATAAGTTTCTTGTTTTTTATATTTATTTATTGTATTAAAACTGAAGATAAATTATTCCAGATTTAATATTAGATTGGTGTATTAGTCAGTTTTCACGCTGCTGATAAAGACATGCATGAGACTGGGCAATTTACAAAGAAAGAGGTTTTAGGTTTATTGGACTTACAGTTCCATATGACTGGAGAGCCCTCACAATCATGAAGGAAGGCAAGGAGGAGCAAGTCACATCTTACATGAATGGCAGCAGGCAAAGAGAGAGCTTGTGCAGGGAAACTCCCATTTTTAAAACCATTATATCTTGAGAGACTCATTCACCCTCATGAGAACAGCTTAGGAAAGACATGCCCCCATAATTCAATCACCCCCACTGGGTTCTTCCCACAGCAAGTGGGAATTGTGGAAGTTACAATTCAAGATGAGATTTGGGTGGGGACACAGCCAAACCATATCAGTTGCTGCAAAAGTAATGCAATTGCAGTTTTCATCTTTAAAAGTAATGACAAAAAACAAAATTATTTTTGCACCAATGTAATACAACATAAGATGGCAATCAGTCACCTGAAAATTTTTAACGTTTTCTGTTTAAAATGAATATTCATAATATAATTTATAAAGATACATGTGATTTTGGAAATATACTCACATTATTGAAAATCTTAAGATTAAATTATAATAAAGAATTTATTTGACAGAGATAGAGGTATTACATTCCCACTTAAAAGCTATTTTTTGACCGGGCGTGGTGGCTCACACCTGTAATCCCAGCACTTTGGGAGGCCGAGGCGAGTGGATCATGAGGTCAGGAGATCGAGACCATCCTGGCTAACCCGGTGAAACACCGTCTCTACTAAAAATACAAAAAAATTAGCTGGGCGTGGTGGCGGGCACCTGTAGTCCCAGCTACTCTGGAGGCTGAGGTAGGAGAATGGCGTGAACTCGGGAGGCGGAGCTTGCAGTGAGCCGAGATCACGCCACTGCACTCCAGCCTGGGCGACAGAGCAAGACTCCATCTCAAAAAAAAAAAAAAAAAGGCTATTTTTTAAACAAAGCATAATCATAAAAATGAATTATGTATATGTCCAATGCTTGCTGATGTGTTTAAATGATTCAGCTCTGTAAATTATTAGTAAGCTTGTTTAAATTATTCATTGGAGATCTATACAGATATGACTATGCTTTTACACTTAAAGTATTTTCTAACTATTCACAGTCTAGTAGTCTTGATGCCAAATGCTTTCTTAAGACCCTTATAACCTTGTCCCTGATATGAAACCTCTACATAGAGCAAACTCCAGCTTCCTTTGAATGTCATTAGTCAAAAAGCACATGAACAACAGTTGAAATATAAAGATCTCTAAAGCGACAAAGATAAATTTGAGACGAAAGATCTGTGTCTGACAAATAAGGATTTGTTTGAATCTCAATATAGTACTTTATAAAAAGTTAATCTTCAAGAGTTTCAGGAAAATATTTAAACAATATTTTAAATTTTTAGTTACCTTGAGACTTAAACAGCTCTCTAATTTGTAATTGCATAATATTTCTAAATATAATTTAATCAATAAAATGTGGTATCACACAGGTAAGAAAATATGCTGTGTTGCATTTCTCATAGGCAAAATATGATTGCAATATTTCTACAATATATCTTATACCAATTAAATATAAAAGTTTAAAACACCCAAACCTAATACATGCCTTAAAAAATGCTAATTCCATCTACTCCTTCTGTTCTGTCCACTTTGTAGTAGAAACCACCTTTTCTCAATGTTTAAGTACTCATATGCTTGTGCTTTCTCTCTCTCTGTCTTTCCCTCTTCTCTTTCTTAATGAAAAAAAGTTTAATTGCATATAGATATATACACATATAAGATCTAGTAAAATATATGCAAAACAAATAGATACCCACATATCATATATATTATATAAAATAATATGATGCAGAATGTAATATATTACTATATTATATGTTATATTCTGCATCATATATTATTTTAGATATGTTCTGCATATAACATATATTATAAATATTCAGAATACATAATTTATATATGTACACAAACATATGAAACAGAAATAGTTGCCCAATTAAACCTTGATTAGTATAAAACTTGGACACTATCATTGTTTAGGAAACGTCTGCTCATTTTCAAAGATAGATGTTTGCTTTATTTTCTAACGTAAAATAATAGTTGTCTATTAAGAAAATGCCAGTATCTGTAATAACAACCCCCAGACATATGATAGCTCAAATGTAATGAATGTGTATTTTTTACTCACAGCAAAGAGAAATGATTCTTCAGCTGGCAATTCTCCCCCAATTTGTCATGTCGCTGTCTTTAAGTGGCTTGTACTTTCAAAGTGTAAGTTTGTATTAAATCAGTGATTGGGAAGAATATTAAAATTTTAGAAGTTTTCACCAGCCAGGGCTGTAAGTGGCTCAGTCAATTTTCTCATAGCCTACTATTTAGAATTCAATCACATTGCCATACCCAACTGCAGAAGAGGATGCATAATGGAATTTAGCTGTGTGTCCTGGAAAAAGAAAGGTGTTGAGTTTTATTGGCATTGAAAAAAAACCCTCAGGATACTTTATTTTATTTATTTATTTGTATTTATTTTTATTTTTTGAGATGGAGTTTCACTCTGTCGCCCAAGCAGGAGTGCAATGGCACAATCTCTGCTCACTACAACCTTCACTTGCCGGACTCAGGCGATTCTTCTGCCTTAGCCTCCCGAGTAGCTGGGATTACAGGCATGCACCACCACACCCAGCTAATTTTATATTTTTAGTAGAGACGAGGTTTCACCATGTTGGCCAGGATGGTTTTGAACTCTTGATCTGAAATGATCTGCCTGCCTTGGCCTCCCAACAGGATATTTTAAAGTAAAAACTACTGTTAAATCAAAATGACTGTTAGTGAGCTACATAAAGATGGCCTAATAGTTTTCCTGAGTACAGGTCAATACCTGTAAAAATAAAAATAAAGAGTAATAACAAAAGTTATATCCATGATTTAGGGGCAGTGATTTGAAAAGTAATGACATTTTTATAAACAGATAAAAGCACATAATAGAAAGATAATCACAGTGATTGGGAAAGACTAATTATAAGATAATAGTGTAAGGGACAATAATTTTTCTGGGGAAAATTCTACTATTGATAGAAATGCAATAGAAATGCAGGTAGATAATTGAGTTGATCACACTAAACTTAACAAAAAAAGAAAGCTAAGAAAGAAAAACCTTTACATATAGTGTGGTTAAAACAAAGGGCAGAGTTTTGGTTTGTTTAGTTGGTTGGTTGGTTGTTTTTTTCCAAGATAGTGAATTGGAGACATTGTGAGTATGCCTTTCCCAGTTAGAAGGGCAAAATAGTGTGTAGAGATTTGTGCTGTGAATATTTTTCTAAGAAGTGGCATAGAAAATTCACAGGAAAACCGAAGGAAACCACAGGCTTTTTCAAAGAAGTGATAGGCTGAAGCCTACGCTGTGAACCAGACAGAAAACTGTAAGACTCCAGAATGTGAGAAGGGAATAAGCTGCCTCCAGGGTATACACTGCCACTGGGGAAACTGGCAATCTACGCCTTAACCCTACCTAGTGCTGGAGCTGATTTAGTTAGCGGTGGGAAGTATATGAGAAGCAGTGTCACTGGGGCATGCTTTGTATGCAAACCCAGTTTCCAGCAGGTATAGAAGGAAGTCATTCCTGATCTTACCTCACAGGGGGCTCGCAGAAATCTGCCAACTAACTCAGGCACTTGTCAAAGGTTGAGGAAAGCTTCCAACTGACATTTGCAATAAAATTTTTAGTAGGGACAACCTCCCCTTGGCCAGAACCCAAGGGCAAGTAAGAAGTGTGCTGTAGCCACGGGCGCAGGAGCTGGGTGCCCCTGCTTCACTGGTAGAGTGGGAGGGGCATGGCCTGAAAGCCATGGTTTCTGTCTCTGAAAGAAAAGCTATGGCCTGTGGCAGTTTTGAGTTCTGACTACAGACTGCCTGGAACTTAGCTAGGTGCTGCTAGTGAAACACGGTGGATGTGACACCTGCCTTGCCAAGTGTGTGGAAGCTGGGTGAGGCTAACTGCCCCCTGCTATTCCCTATTACCCATGCAGACTCCTCTGCTTCAACAGAGGCAGCTCTGCTCCTCTCTGAAACATTACCTCAGTGGGCAGAGAACTGCCCACCAATCCCCACTGGAGCCACTGCTTGTGCCACGCATGAAGACCCAGAGAAAAGTCTTGCCTGGCTCAGGCCCCACCTGCTTTTCCCCCCCTACTCACCCTGGTAGCTAAACACAAAGGACAGAAGCTCTTGGGAGATCTATGGCCCCACTCATTGCCTGAGACATCAGACAACCTTCCTTAGCTAACAAAAAGCAAACAGAAATCCCATTACTACCGCCGCAGCTGGTGCTTTATTGCAAGCATCACCTCCTAGGTGGAGGCCAACTGATGAGCTCTATTACAACAGAGATCCCCAACCCCCAGGACATGGACTGGTACAGGTCCCTGGCCTGTTAGGAACCAGACTCCACAGAAGGAGGTAAGCAAGTATTATTGCCTGAGCTCCACCTCCTATTGGATCAGTGGTGGCATTAGATTCTCACAGGAGCATGAACACTATTGTGAGCTGTGCATGTGAGGGATCTAAGTTGCACGCTCCTGTGAGAATCTAATGCCTCATGATCTGAGGTAGAATAGTTTCATCCTGAAACCATCCACGTCCCTGGTCTGTGGAAAAATTGTCTTCCACAAAACAGTTCCCTGGTGCCAAAAAAGGTTGGGACCACTGCATTACAACATCTTCAGGCAGAATAGCACAGTGCTCAGGAAGGAGAAAACGTTTTCATGATCTCAGCTATCACCATTGCCTGCATCACCCTGCCTAACGAGGAGGTCCTGAGTCTGTCCACATGAATAGTTCATTATTACTGTAACTGGCATTTAAGAAAGCCCACACACTAAGGCTATTTATACCAAGGAATCTCACAGAGTCAATTTCACTCCTCTGCTACCCCCATCACAGCTGGTGCTGTATCCACTGCTGGGAGTCTTGATGACAGGTCACGTAACTGGACCCCTTAGAGACATTCCTCAGCAGCAGCCTGGAGTATGGCAGTTCCACTGGCTGGCTAGACCTAGAGGAGCAGCAGGATTCACAGTACTCTGTCCCTCAGGGACTCCTGCTCCTAAGGGAAGATGGAGTATACCACATCAAAGGAGCACCCTGTGGGACAAAATAATGCAGATGTGTGGTCTCTAGTCCCAAAACTTTCTGCTTGTGGGAGGTTTCTTTTTTTATTATTATTTATTTTATTTTATTTCTTTATTTTTTTTTTATACTTTAAGTTTTAGGGTACATGTGCACAATGTGCAGGTTAGTTACATATGTATACATGTGCCATGCTGGTGTGCTGCACCCATTAACTCATCATTTAGCATTAGGTATATCTCCTAATGCTATCCCTCCCCCCTCCCCCGACCCCACAACAGGCCCCAGAGTGTGATGTTCCCCTTCCTGTGTCCATGTGTTCTCATTGTTCAATTCCCACCTATGAGTGAGAACATGCGATGTTTGGTTTTTTGTCCTTGCGATAGTTTGCTGAGCATGATGGTTTCCAGCTTCATCCATGTCTCTACAAAGGACATGAACCCATCATTTTTTATGGCTGCATAGTATTCCATGGTGTATATGTGCCACATTTTCTTAATCCAGTCTATCGTTGTTGGACATTTGGGTTGGTTCCAAGTCTTTGCTATTGTGAATAGTGCCACAATAAACATACGTGTGCATGTGTCTTTATAGCAGCATGATTTATAGTCCTTTGGGTATATACCCAGTAATGGGATGGCTGGTTCAAATGGTATTTCTAGTTCTTTCAGCAGAGGCACAGTGCAGTGCCAAGCTCGGCAAGGAAAGTCTACTGCTCTACTCCAACAGTCAGGCAACCCTGGTGCTTTTAAAGGGTCTTGGAGATGGGGATTTCTTCTTCCCCTCACCCACCAGTTCAGACAGAGCTGGGACTTCTCCCATAGGAACTTGGCATGGGTGCACCTATAGACAGCTTTACTGGAACACTTCAGTGTGACAGAATCCCCACAGGAGGAGGGCCCTCCTGATTCAGGCTTGTACAAGAGGTAGAGTTTCAACGCTACATTAAACATCAGCGTTCCTGTGGAGGAAAAGAGGTGCCTGTCTAATCTGAATGGCTGGAAAACTGGGTCAAGAGTGTGACTGGAAGGTGGATCACTTTCCTGCTGGCCTGGCAGGTGAGCTGTGGTGGCTGTCTCCTTTCTCCCTGAAAAGACTTTAGTGTATTTCACTGAGAGCTTCCAAGCCACATCTGTCAGGGATGAGACCCCTGCCTAGCATTTACCTTCCTTTTTTATTTTTGAGATGGAGTCTTGCTCTGTCACCCAGGCTGGAGTGCAGTGGCACGATCTCAGCTCACTGCAACTTCTGCCTCCTGGATTCAAGCAATTCTCCTGCCTCAGCCTCCCGAGTAGCTGGGATTACAGGCACCCACCACCATGCCCAGATAAATTTTGTAGTTTTAGTAGTGATGGGGTTTCACCATGTTGGCCAGGCTGGTCTTGAACTCTTTACCTCAGGTGATCTGCCTGCTTTGGCCTCCCAAAATTCTGGGATTACAAGCGTGAGCCACTGCACCCAGCCACCTACTTGCTTTAGCCACAGCTGGCTTTTACCTATGGACACCTTCCTTACTGGCCTAAAGCCTGAACTGTTCAACCTAGTAAATTAAATACTGGAGGAAAAATAAGTAAATAAAAATGTGCACAGCACTGAGGAATGAGATAAGCTTCAGGACACTTCTGCCACTCAAACTCCACAGGAGACAGTGAACCTGCTCACACACTGAGCACATTGCCACTACAATTATCATCTGAGAACGCCATCATACGAATACTGTCTATAACCAAGGAACTCATACAGAGTCTTCACCCATGAAAGTATCCACAGCCAAATCAGGTACAATAAACAGTAAACATTAAAGTTATATCCTCAAGGGAAAAAAAATGGAAATAAAGAAACACAGTTGAATCACAAATAAATTCAAAAATAATTAAAATAGCCTATCCAAATGAGAATAAACCAGAAAATTAATTTGAAAAATATAATAAAACAAGGTTTTGTAACACCCCCCAAAAATCACACCAGCTCACGAGCAATGGATCCAAATCAAAATGGAGTCTTTGTAATACCACATAAAGAATTTAAAAAGTTGATTATTAAGTTATTCAAAGAGATGCAAGAGAAATATCAAAACCAACATTTACAAAGTTTAAAAACAATTTAGGATATGAATAAAAAATTTTCTAAAGAGATAAATATATTAAAGGAAAACTAATCCTAACTCTTGACAGTGGAAGGCACATTTAGAAAGTTACAAAATGCATGGAAAGTTTGAGCAACACACTAGACAAAGTAGAAGAAAGAATATCTCAGCTCAAAGACAAGGCTTTTGAATTAACCTACTCAAATAAAAATAAAAAAGAATTAATTAGAATAAATGAACAAAGCCTCCAAGAAACATGGGATTATGTTACATGGCCAAACCAAAGAACCATTGCTGTTCCTAAGAGAAAATAGTTTGGAAAACTTATTTGAGAGAATAATGGAGGAAAACTTCCCTGGTCTTACAAGATTTAGACATCCAAATACAATAAGCTCAAAGAAGTCCTGGAAAATTCATTGCAAAAAGACATCTCCAAGGACATCACAATATAGTACACTGGACTATCTAAAGTCAACCTGAAGAAAATAATTCTAAGAGCAGTGACACAAAAATATCTGGTAACATATAAAGGAAAACCTATCAGATTAACAGAAGATTTCTCAGCAGAAACCTTACAAACTTTACAACCTCAGAAGGGATTGGGGTTCTATCTTTGGCCTTCTGAAGCAGAATAACAGTCAACCAACAATTTTGTATCCAGCAATACTAAGTTTCATAAATGAAGAAAATATAAAGTATTTTTCAGAAAAGCAAATGCTGAAGGTTATTGTTACTACCAGACAAGCATTATAAGAAATGGTTTTAAAAGTCCTAAATCTTAAAATAAAAGGTTGATATGCACAGAATAGAACATCTTGAAATAATAAAACTTACAGGAATTATAGAACTATAACACAATGAAGAAAACAAATTTTTAGGTAACAACATAATGGCTATAACAGTACCTCACATCTCAATACTAATGTTGAATATAAATGATCTAAACGCTTCAATTAAAAGATACAGATTTACAGAAATAATTAAAACAATCACAAAATTAAATCTGCTCTCTTCAACATACTTACCTAACATTTAGGGATTCGTACAGACTCAAGGTACAGAAGTAGAAAATGATGTCCCATGCAAATGGATACTAAACGCAAGCAGTAGTAACTATTCTTTTATTTATTTATTTTTTTTTGACAGAGTCTCGATCTGTCGCCAAGTTTGGAGTGCAGTGGTGCAATCTCGACTCACTGCAACCTCCACCTTCCCGGGTTCACTCCGTTCTCCTGCCTCAGCCTCCTGAGTAGCTGGGACTACAGGCACCTGCCACAACGCCTGGCTAATTTTTTGTATTTTTGGTAGAGACAGGGTTTCACCATGTTAGCCAGGATGGTCTCAACCTCCTGATCTCGTGATCCGCCCTCCTCGGCCTCCCAAAGTGCTGGGATTACAGGCGTGAGCCACCGCGCCTGGCCATAACTATTCTTATATCAGATAAACCAGACCTTAAAGCAAGAACATTAAAAAGTAAAAGGACATAGAAGGTCATTATATAATAAAAAGATCAATCCAATAAGAATATATTACAGTCCTAAATGTATATGCACCTAACTCTGGAGCTTCCAGATTTGATAAACAATAAATACTAGTCCTAAGAAAGGAATAGGCAGCAACACAATAATAGTGAGAGACTTCAACACTTTTCACTGATAGCACTAGACAGACCATTAAGGCAGAAAGTCAACAAAAAAAACAATGGATGTAAACTGTATTCCAGAACAATTTGAACTTAACAGATATTTACAAAATACTCTACCCAAGAATATATGCTACTACAGAATATACATTCTTCAGATCAGCACATGAAATGTTGTTTAAGATAGGCCATATGATAGGCCACAAAACGAGTCTCAATACATTTAAAAAAAATCAAAATCATGTCACATATCTTCTCAGATCATAGTGAAATAAAACCAGAAATCAATTGCAAAAGGAATCATCAAAACTACAGAAATACATGCAAATTAAACAACTTGTTTCTGAAATATTTTTGATTTAACAATAGAATCAATAAATGGTGCTGGGAAAACTAGATAGCCACATGTAGAAAAATGAACCTGGATCCCTATGTGTCACCATATGCAAAAATCATCTCAATAAATGAAAGACTTAAATCTATGACCTGAAACCATATAAATTCTAGAAGAAAACTTAGGAAAAGCTCTATGGATAATGGTCTAGGCAAAAAAATTGTGACTAAGACCCCAAAAGCAATTGCGATGGAAACAAAAATCAATGGGACCTAATTAAACTAAAAAACTCCTGCATAGCAAAAGAAATAATCATCAGCATAAACAGACAACTCACAGAAGAGAAGAAAACATTTGCAAGCTATAAATCTGACACAGAACTAATATATGGAATCTATAAAAAACTCAAGTCAGCAAGAAAAAAAACCCATTGAAAAGTGGGCAAATGACATGAATAGATGTTTCACAAAGAAGATATACAAATGGCCAACAAACATATGAAAAAATGTTCAACAGCACTCATCATCAGGGAAATGCAAATTAAAACCACAGTGAGATACCACCTTACTCCTGCCAGAATTGTAATTATTAAATAGTCAAAATACAATAGATGGTGTGGATGCAGTGAAAAGGGAATGCTTATACACTGCTGGTGGGAATGTTAATTGGTACAGCCTCTATGTTATGATAGGAAGGAGGACCATTAATTTCAGCCCACCAAATTGTCACTTTATCATATATGTATGTATATTAACTCCCACTTATTTAATATGAGATTATATATTGAAAACTTTATATCTTCAAAATTTTTAATAACCTTTGCCAATATTCTTTCTCAAACTTGGCTATTATCTTTCCTATTTTTTTACATTAAGTTTTAGTAGTAAAAGCTATCTTGTAGCATGATATTAGAGTAAAATATGGGCTTTAGAGATAGACCGATATGAGCTTCAATCCTGCTACTCCAGATGTATTTCTTATTAAAAAATGGCCCAATTATCCAAACTCTAAAAGCCTGTTTCTTTATCTGTGACAGGGAAATTGTGTGCCTCAAAGAGCTGCTGTAGGTATTAAGTAAAACAATGAATGCAAAATGTTTTCTTTAATGCCATGTAGATGATAGACGTGTAACAGATGTCAGCTCTCTCAATTCTGAATTTCTTTAGTGGAAATGCACCCTTTTTATTCAGAACCAAAATAATGGAGTTATTTTCATACTTTTTTTTCTTTTATATTTAGTCACATAACAAAACTAGTGGTATTTTCTTAAACCTATCTATTTTCATAATATCCTATTTTTTCTTTTTTTTATTGCTCCCATCTTGATTAAATTCTTCACACCTGGCATACCTAACCTTCCTATCTGTATGCCTTGTTTCTCTAAATCCCCATTTTCTTCAACTTATTGTGTTTCTGCTGGGTATTACCATCAATTAAACTTCATTAAACATTGCCTTTATAATTTTACTTCCCTGATCAATGACCCTCAGTAGCACTGTGGTTCCTAATGACTCAATGTCTAGTTATATTATCTGTTAATAATTATGAATTTGTGGACCTGGATAAGGATATTTCAGTTAATTCACATGTATACTCTTCCCTTGTGGAAGGCAATCCTTTTGTGGAATAATTTTTCCAATGCTAATTCCATGCCCAAATCGTTGTCTGAATTTTCATGGCCCAGAACACTTTTGTAGACTTTCTTGCAGCACACAAGTAACAGAGAAAAGGAGAGAAGCTATGAGACAGCCTTCTTTTGCTCTAGTTATTGCTCAAATTATCAAGCTTATCCTGGCTTTTGTCTTCACTCAGGCTTCTGTTAGTTATAAAATAATCAGAACCTTTTTTTCTTTGCTTCTATCCATCCAAACTCTAACCAAAATCTTAGGCCTTTTCTGGGTTCTGATAAACTTTGAAATTTGTACTATTCAAATTAACATATAACAATGACAAATAATGTCAGTTTTACCACTTTGAATCCTATGTGTATGTGACTTTTACTTTATCCAACAGTAACCTATTTTGGATGAACAGTCAGTGCTCTTGTTATGTATTTCCTAAGTTCTGCTCTGGGGATCCAACATTCTTACTCATTCCCATAAAGTTTATATCTCTAGCAGTGACTCTGTTCCTTTCATTTTGGGGACTCCTGAATAGTCCTACTGGCCTTGGTTTTATAAATTGCATACCCAAACTGCAAACATATTATGGTTGCAAACAATATTCTATGGTGTGGTCTTTACTTCTAAAATCTGCCCAAGATGATAAACAGGGATTCTCTTAAACATCAGCTAACACTTTTATTCATTCCTTTAAGAAATAATAATACT
This sequence comes from Homo sapiens, assembly GCF_000001405.40. NCBI lineage: Eukaryota > Metazoa > Chordata > Mammalia > Primates > Hominidae > Homo > Homo sapiens. Next base: position 24,350,131 of record NC_000011.10, on the reverse strand, counting down.
ATGTGTCAAGTTCTTGGTTCTTTTCAGTGAACAAAATAGACAAAGATTCCTGACCTCCTGTAATTTACACAATAGCTGGGGAGCTGGGGAAGGCAAGGAAGCCAAACAGTAATGTAGTTGAGCTTGCTACTCATATTGATAAAAGTTTGAGTTTTCATCCCTACAACAGTTATACTTACTAAACAGAGGACATGGTAGAAGTTCATACTGCCATAAATGGAGTATTTTTGTCTCTCTGAGCCCTAGAGATCTTCACTCATGTACTTCGCTCAACAGGAATGCTTGATAGACATTTGTGGACATGGTAGTATTATCTGCTTAACATACAGGTGAGGAAACTGATGATGAGAGAGTCTATAGAACATGTCTGAGTTTACACTGTTACTGCCAATAATATGAGGTTCAAACCTAGATTGTCTAAGTCATCTCGTCTTTCCATTAGAGCCCTTTGCCCTAAAGCACTCTTCATTATCTGTTTATTATTGTTATAAATACACATTTCCCTTTCTAATAATGTTACTTTCTTAGGGTGGGCCATATATATACCTATACATACTATCCACGTATGCTTCAGGTACATTCCTGTGAAATAAGACTATAGTAGATGCTCAATAATACATGTCCTTGGCTATTCTTACTTAGATGTAAATGTAGGGGACACTTTTAGGACATAAAAAATATGCTTAGTTTGCAGTGAAAGTTTTAAAAGGCTTATTCTGTATTAATTCTGGGAGCTAAATCTTCAATGACAGATGTTGCCATTTCTCTGCAATTTTATTTTCCATTAACTAGAACATTTTCTTCTGCAAGCATATGCTCATTGGTACAGAATAGCTACTTGTGTGTGCAATTACCAATTCTGAATGCACCAATGGATGCACTGACTTCAACTTATACAAGTTTTAAAATTTGTTTGGCTTTGCTCAACTATTTTCTGTAAGTCCTGATGTTAATGCTGTGAACCAAGTAGTTAGAATTGCTTTGAATATCCTCCTAATTGGCCTGCACTGTGAACAATTTGATTAAATGGCAGCTGGATCTTTTGTGTACACTCTGTCTCATAGATATCATTTTACTCCATATGGTGCAGAAGAAAAAAAATCACAGCCAGAATAATTTTTATCTGCCTATCTGACCTACTGTGGTACTTTACTCAGGGAACAGAAGGTTATTGTAGAGGAAGAGATGAAGAAATTGAAAAACATTTCTCTAACTTTTCAAGGTCTCCAACCCTATCCAAAGAGTCTGTAGAAATAAACTGGTGTTTTAAACATTTATGGTTAAAACCTCAAGTTTTAATACTAAAACTAATCTTATTTTCAAATTTTTCATTTTAATAATTACAGTAAATATGATAATACAATAATAAACAGAAGGGTGCTCTGGGGAAGAATTAAGACTAAACATTTTGGCTTTAGAAAATATTTGTAGTCCATGTCTTGAATTAACATGTAATTATCAATCTTATGAAATACTTTATATAAAAGCTCATTTCTGAAAAGATAATCATTACAGGCAGTTGCCAGAAAATTATCAAGTACAAAGAAAATTATGAATTTCTATATAATAGAACTCCGATAACTTTTAGAGTAAGTTTTGATATTGACGTGATGTTTTTTACCTACTTTGCTCATAAGGGTGGATTTATTAAAAATGTGCTTTTGTGCCAGGATATTTTTTACCTTTTAGAGAGGAAAATAAACATTTGACTTCATGTTTTCCAGTTGAGCTAATTAATTGTGTAACAGCGGTCATTGCAAATTGATTGCCTATCAGTGGCCAATTACTATAGCCTCTATGTTTTCTGTGAGTATTGAGCTCCTGTTATTTTTTTATTTTGACACAAAACAATATCCTTTCCATGTGGCAACTGAAAATTTCTGGAGCAAAATCTGGTAGAATATGTTGAGCAGCACATTCATCTAGCTGCTATAAATGGAGCCAGTGGGAAATATTTCTCTTTATTCTACAGAAAGGTTAATTTTAAGAAAATGAATTCAAATGTGGGAATATTAAGTGAAAATGTTCAATTTACAAAACTTTCAATAAAACCTAAAGAAAAGTATTTTTTAAAGTTTCCTTCAACCATTGAGACATATAAACTGAAGAATGAGTATTTCAACATTGTCTTTTTAAAAAGAAAAATAATTTACTGATAAAACATAGATAAAACAGGTTTCTGTGTTTGATAGCGATTTCTATAGTGGAAATTGTATATATACACATATATACATATATATATATATATGTGAAAGCTTTCCTAATAGATACAATAAAGGTAAACATAAAATAAATTTTTGTGAAATGATTTCCATATTAACCTTTAGGTACCAGTGTCTTCGGACTTTAAAAAACAGTTTCTTTCGTATTTGCGACAAATTCATTGTAGATAAAATTCCCATTTAAATTATCATTTGGATTCCCAAAATTCTGTAGTGAATAACATATGTCATCTATATATTTATATATATATAGTTATTATATATGGCAAAATTGCCAAAAAAGTAAATTTCAAATGTTCTTACCACAAAAAGACAAGTATTTGACAAGATGAATATGTTAATTAACTTGACTTAATAATTCCACACTGTATGCATATATCATAATATCACTTTGTGCCCTCTATGTATGTGTGTGTGTGTGTGTGTGTGTGTGTGTGTATGTGTGTGTGTAGAGAGAGAGAGGGAGAGAATTAGGTTCTTAGTTTCCAGCTTTCTCTTCACATATCACAAAATGTAAAGGTTGAAGGTTTTTTCTTGATAAATTCTGGTGGACCAAAGTATAGGAGTTCTATACTCAGTTCTGAAATGAGACCTAGATGAGTTCATTTTCTTTGCTTTTACATGCTGTTTCTAGATCATACTTTGTGTTCAAACTTGATTATCTGGGATCAAAATCAGCAATCATAATATAACTGCGTAGTAGATATACTCGTTGAAAATCTTACTCATTGTAAAAGTACCTATTGGTATTTACTGATCCATAAAACTATATGCTTCCTCCTTTCTGAGATTTAAAATCTACACTTTGCTGAAAGAAAGCATGACCAAAATATATTACATAATTCCCATGTATTACCAATATTGTTTTACACATTGTAGAATTTTACTTTTCACATATTCATAAAACTAGCATATGTAACAATGCTGTGTAGGAAAAGAGTAAGAAAGGACAGCAGAGATTACATTCTAGAAATATGTGCAAACTTCTAGAAATGCTGGGTAACTATAACAGTCTCTTTAAATCTAGAGCTGTTTGTACAAAAGGGGAAGGGGCAAAGAATATGACGATAAAGAGACTCAATTGGTCAACAGGCAAATAAAAGAATATTCAACCTGTAACAATAGAAATGTACATTACAGTCACACTGAGATATGATTTTACACAAAACAGATTGAAAAATATCAATAAGATTGGTAACACTATGTGTTTATGTGAATGTGAAAAATGAAAATCTTAGATATATCTAGGGAGAAATAAAGCTGGTACAACCACTTTTGGCAAACAATGGCAAAATACGAAGGAAAGCCAAGTTGTACCTACTTTCTGGATATTCTCTGGATACTATGAAACAATAGACAGATAGAAAATGTAACTTAAATCTAGTACTATTTTTAATCGCAACTCTTACTAATATGTGAAGGAAGACATGGACAATATGTTCACTACAGAACAGTTCATAATTAAAAAAACTGAAAACTTTCTAATTCTCCCTATATAGGAGAATGAATTAATAAACTGGTTTATTTATGCAACAAAATGTGTACATTAAAATGCAGAAATTGCATCGACATACATATATTTGTCTATATCTCAAAAGCATAAAGTTAAGGAAAACATATGCAACTGAGAAAAAGCAGAGATATCATGATATTACTCATAAAACATCATAAAACTCACAAAACTTATAGAATATTCTGTGTTTCAACAATATTAAGATATATATTTTTACATCAATATCTGGGTAAATTTTACAATCAATAGCATGTCAAGTTAATTTAGCATAGTTTCTTCCTCATTGATACTTAACTAGAACTAAGTTTAATTATAAATTAAAATGTCTTAGAATTGATGATGGCTTGGTAAATAGGACCTTGAAACCTGCAGAATTCAGAGTTGCAGAAACAGAAAGCACAAATTCCCTGAGCCACTATGATTAAGGTAAGTGGAGCCACGCCTGCTTCCAGTTTTGTTCCTGTACATAGCACTATATAAAAATTATTGATTTAACATTTTTTTTCTAAGTTCTTGAGTAGAGCAAAGTATTCTAGCCAACTATTAATCCAAACAGGTGCTTTAACTTTAGCTTCAAAAGGCAGTTCCATAGATTTATGAAGTTGGCTGGCTCTAGGTTGTGGGATTTGTGATATGACCAGTAGTTCTCTAATCATATGCCCACTCTTACATATTGTTTGGTATGAAATGTAACTTTGGTTTTATATGGTGCTTTATGGGCTCTCATGCCAATGGATCAAATACTCTCTAATCCCTCAACTAGTGGTCCTGATTGATACCAAATGGGCAACAAGATTGTGTATCTATTTCTGTAGGAATGAATTGTTGCCTCTTCTTGGGTGCAAGGGAGGTCAACTTTCCACCAAGTGACCAGTTGATTTTCTTGAGGGATGGCACAATTTTAGGGACTCAGATTTGATACTGTTGATGACAGTAAGCCAGCATGCGGTAGCTAGATCCACCTTCCTATGTAGAATTCCATGCAATTTGGCCTATGCCGATCCCCGACACTTGACACCAGAGCCACTTTATTAATGTGCTAATTGTACCAAACCCTGAGTGTTTGACAAGAGAAGGTGATTGACTTCAACTGACCAAGTCATATAGTCTACTTGATTTTTGTGTGCCCTTTCTATAGTGGTTGCTTCCAATTAGACATTACTATATGATATAAAGATCTACACAATTAATATGAACATTTATAGAAAGGTTACCAAAAATGTATAAAAATAACATGTTCACATAAAACTACATAATACAATAATGCCATTATTCAAAAGAATAGACAACTGTAGGAAGAATGAGACTATCTTCTACGAGATTATATGCTACAGTTTGCTGTGTGCTAATTTTTTTCAAAGATTTATCCATTTATATTTTCATGTATGTACAAGTCAAAAGCTTAGCAATGAGCATTAATTTTAATTGATTTGGCATTTACTAGGTAGAGTTTGAGTTTTTTCTAACAGTCTTAAATTAATGAGGTTTTATAGCTTTGAAAAGGATCTGAGGATGTCAAGAGACCGATTATTTAAAGCTAATAGGATTTAACTTCCTCCATTTTTAAAAAGCTGAAAGTTAGAAAGGTAAATAATAATTGTTGCTACAGTATGAAGAAAAAAGGTGTTATGAAGGTTAAATGCTAAACAATCTACAAATATTTTGAAGTATGTCATTTTCACTTGTAAAAATCAATTGAAAATATAATATGTACGTGCGATAAACTTTTCTGTAAGTATTGCTAATATAAGCTGTCATTTTCTGATAGATGTGTTTTGGCAGTCAAATCTTATTTTTTTATAGCATTCAAGGAAAATCTGAATAGCCACTTACTGTTTAAAAAAATTTGTCAATTAAATTATTGAGACAACCAGGTGGGAGGGGGTCCCTGGAGAAACTCTGAGCAACCTGCACACTGGGTTGGAGCCACAGAAGTGCGTGCCCTTTTGCACTGGGCAGGAGCAGGGCTCCTCCTCCTCCTGGTTGAAACCTGGGATTCAAGCTGCAAGAGGGAAGCGCTCTAGCAGGGGATCTCGGCCTAGTGAGAGTCCCTGTTTCCCCCTTTTTGTCCTTTTCACCCGATAAAACCCTATCTTGCCATTCAAATTGTCTGCGAGCCCGAATTTTTGTGGCGGTGGGATATAGAACTCTGTCTTTAGCTGAACTAAGGAAAAGTCCTGGAACATTATGTTACAGGCTGTTTTCTATATGTTTTTTACATTGTCTCGAAGTTGTAACAGTTGCTATAACTTACATTAAATTGTTACATGAATTAAAGCTATGATTGTAGCACTTTAAAAAAATATTAAATATAATTAAAACCAGGCAAACAACAAATAAAGGGCACAAATAAAATTATAAATATACTAGTGATTTCACTTCAGATTATATTTAATAGCTCTGGAGTGTTTATAGTGTGTGTGTGTGTGTGTGTGTGTGTGATTGTATTTGACACAGAATAGCAAAACACACAGACTCTGTTCTCTAAAAGGTTATAGTGAAGTGGCAGAGAAAATACATTTTCTTTCTTCATTTCTTTCCTTTCTTCCATCCCTGTTTCCATTTCTTCTTCTTCCTAAAGTTTAATGATTACTAGAGGGTTAAAAAATGTTTATATTGAGAAATTACTTTGGATTTGGACAGAGGCCCCCATTTGTCTGGTCAGTGGATCAATCAGGCCTTTAGCCTGAGGTCTGAGCTCTGTTGTCCTGGCAACAGAAGCCTGGTATTCATACAGTTCTTGAGCACTCATGGTGGCTTCTTTATTAAAAAGAGATGCCACAGAAAGACATGTATTTAGAAAGAGTCAGAAGTGAGAATATAGCGGTGAGAAAAAGTGAAAAAGACCTAGATAAATAGAAGGATATCCATGTTCATGAATAAGAAATTTCAGTATTTTCAAGATATCAATTTTCTCCAAATTGGTTTTAGGTTTAACATAATCCCATTCAATATATCAGCAGGATTTTTACTAGATAATGATATGTATGGAAATGCAAAATAGCTTGCCTACCTAAGACTATTTTATAAGGCAAACATGTAGGGCTTATAATTACTGGTATAAAAGTAGATTATCCTATAATAATTAAGACAGTGTGAGCTGAAGACAGAAAAAAATCAATAAACAATGAAGCCAATTGACAGCATTTATGGTCAATTAATTTTCAAAGTTATAATAAGTGTCTTACAGTTTGGGTAGATCCCAAGTCTGCCTTCAGATGTAATAATTTGCTACATGGACCCATAGAACCTAGGAAAACTGTAATACACTGGGTTATGGTTTATGACAATGAAAGGACACAGATTTAAATCAGCAATGGGAAAAGGTACATAGGGCAGGGTCCAAGAGAGTTCCAAGTGCAAGCTTTCAGTGGTCTTCTTCCAGTGGAGACACAGAGACTGTGCTTACTTCTATCAGAATGAAGTTTTGTCAAACAGAAAAGCGCAGCCAAGACTTCATGTCCACAAATTTTATTAGAGGTCATTTTATGCATACATGACTGACCACCTGCAGGACTAATTTTAGTCTTTAATTACTTTAAAGGTCTACATGATACCATATGTCCCAAGGCTTCCACCATAAATCGCGTTGTATGGACTATCTGGCATGGTCTAAGTTCTCCAGGTAAACAAAGGTAGTATCCCTAGGTAAACAAAGATACTGTCATTGGTAGTATATACCAAGGGCTTAGTGGTTACCCTTGAGTCTTTGGGCAAGACCAAACCTTTTCTCTGATATACTTAATTCGCTACTGTACAATGCCAAAGTAATTAAGTGGAAAAAGAAAATTCTGTTTAACAAATACTACTAGGATTATTAAATATCCATGTGAATGGAATAAATCTTGACTCATACCATAAAAAAATTCTAAATCTACTGTAAACACAATATAAAGGTAACATTTTAGAATTTCTAGAAAAAAACAAAAAAAAATTATGACTTTGGGGTAGGCAAACAAAAACCAATAAGCATATAATTAAAATGATTGAGAACTTTTTATTTATCTATTTATTTATTTATTTATTTATTTATTTATTTATTTATTTATTTATTTTGAGACAGAGTCTCACTCTGTCGCCCAGGCTGGAGTGCAGTGGCGCAGTCTCGGCTCACTGCCACCTCTTCTGCCTCAGCCTCTCGAGTAGCTGGGATTACAGGCGCACACCACCAGGTGTGGGCCTGGCTAATTTTTGTATTTTTAGTAGAGATGGGGTTTCACCATATTGGCCAGGCTGGTTTTGACTCCTGACCTCCGTGATCCACCTGCCTTGGCCCCCCAAAGTGCTGGGATTACAGGTGTGAGCCACTGCGCCTGGCCGAGAACTTTATTTTTAAAAACTTCATCTTCAAAGTAATTGCAAATAAAATGAAAATCACAAAGTGATAAAAATACTTGCAGCATATATATTTTAAAAGCTATTTGTATCCAGAATACATTTGAAAGTTACAACTCAAATAATCTAAGAAGATAAACATACCAATCAAAAACTAAAAATAATTTTAAAAACTTGAACGGGTATTTTTAAAAAGAATATATAAAAATGGATAATAAGACAGTTATTAAGGAAATACAGAATAAAACCACAATTAAGAAGCAACAGGAATGTCTAATAAATTTTTTATCAGAGTTAAAATCGTACGAATATTGTGGATAAAATTTGTTTCTTTTGGATTTAAACATAAACTGACCATATGACTTAGTAAGTCTATGGTCATAAAAACCATAAGACAAAAAAAAAAACATATTTGCCTCAAAATATTTTCACAAAAATATTTATGGCAGTTTAATTTGTAAAAATCTAATATTAGAAACAAACTACATTATCATCATCAACTGAATAAATACACAAGTTTAGGTACTATGATGGTTATTATTGAGTGTCAACTTGATTGGATAAAAGGATGCAAAGTTTTGTTCCCGGGTGTGTCTGTGAGGCTGTTACAGAAGGAGATTAACATTTGAGTCAGTGGACTGGGAGAGGCAGACTCACCCTCAATCTCGGTGGGCACCATCTAATCAGCTGCCAGCACAGCTGGAATAAAGCAGGCAGAAGAACGTGGAAGGACTGGACTAGCTGAATCTTCCAGCCTTCATCTTTCTCCCATGCTGGATGCTTTCTGCCCTCAAACATCAGACTCCAAGTTCTTAAGCTTTTGGACTCTTGGACCTAAACCAGTGGTTTTCCAGGGACGCTTGGGTATTTGGCCACAGACTGAAGGCAGCACTGTGGGGATCCCTACTTTTGAGGTTTCGGAACTCGAGCTGGCTTTCCTGCTCCTCAGCTTGCAGATGGCCCATTTTGGGACTTCGCCTTGTGATCATGTGAGTCAATACTCTTTAATAAACTCCCCTTCATATATACATCTATCCTATTAGTTCTGTCCCTTTAGAGAACTCTGACTAATATGGGTACATTCAGACAATGGAATATGGCATGGCAAATAAAAGAATAAGATATTTTAATGCAACAGAATGTTTGCATCTCAAAATATTTTGTTTAATAAAAATAATGTTCTGCGCCAAGGAAGATGAATTCAAAAAGTATATATTGTATGATATTTTCACATGATATTCTACAATAGGAGATATTAATAATAGAAATAAAAGCAGCCTTTTTTTATTTAGTGGGTGAGGAAAAGCAGCAAAGGGCTATGACAGAACATTTTAGAGTGATGAGAATGTGTTATATCTTGATTAGGATGATGATTGCTTGAGTGTATTCACCTCTCAAAACTTGGTGAATTCTATACTTTAAATGTGTACATTATATTGAGTCTAACTTTTACTCAAATAAATTTTAAAAATAAAGAATGAACAAATGAACAGGTGATGATAAATATGGGACAGATACAAATGAATTTAATAGTTCTATTCTCTTAGGAATTTGTTAAATTCTTCCTCCCTGATATCTGAATCTCTCTCCATAGTCCCTATTTTACTGTAGGGTGCTGGTTCCAAAATGTGCAGAGTCAAGAATCAGAATAGGAAATTTTCCAATTTTCCACAAATCTATTATTAAAAAAATTCCCAAATCCAATTTAATACATAGTAATGCTACTTCCTCTTTCTAAGTGTAGGAAAAAAATGAACTTCATGAGGGGATTTTGAGAGCAAATAATTTGATGGATGCCTGAAGAACAAAAGAACTTGAGTATCTGCAGTCAGGAATCTGGCTTTGAGAAGGTTGAGTTTCATGGTGATGATCAGGCATGAACTAGAAAGATAATTTACAAATTGCCAGGAATCAATAATGGCTGTTTTATGAAGTGGTGGGGAAGCTAATCAAGCTTAATGATCTGAGAACAGAAACGATGCTTGATAAATGTTTATAACTTTTCCAAGGTTCCTAATTGATACACAGTGTTCTCAGATGCAGCAGTCATTTGAAGTAAGTAGAACAGATATTCCACAATTACTATTAATAATACATAAAAAATATATAGAGCCAAAATGAAATAAATTGTTTTCAAGATTTAAGTATAATATAGGCAGATGAAAACTGATTAGAAAAACAGATATGCTAACTAATCTGTCTATCCTGCCCTCTCTGCTACCCTTCCCAGTCTCTAATACCCACAGTTCTGCTCTCTACTTCCATGAACTCCAAACTTTTTTTGAGTTCCCACATATGGGTGACAATATGTAATATTTATCTTTCTGTGCCTGACTTATTTTGCTGAACGTAATGTCCTTAGGCTTCTTCATGTTGCCATGAATGGCAGGATATCATTCTTTTTTATGGATGAATAGAATTTCAGTGTGTGTTTATGCCATATTTTTTAATCCACTCATTGACTGATGGATATTTAGGTTGATTTCATATCTTCACTATTGTGAATAGTGCTGCACTAAACATGGGGGTGCAGGTATCCTTTTGATATACAGATTTTCTTTCCTTTGGTTAAACACCTATTAGTGGAGTTGCTGGCTTGTATGGTAGTTCTACATTTAGCTTTTTCTAAAACCTCCATACTGCCTTCCATAATGACAGTACTAATTGACATTTCCACCAACAGTTACACACATCTCCACATCTTCACCAGCAGTTGTTATTCTTTGTCTTTATTTATTTTTATAGGCTAGTGTTACAGGTGCGTCTTTGTTCTTAGAGCTCCAAAGATGGGGTGGGCCTCTCCCAAGATGGCAGCAAGCCTTTTGTTCTCTGACCTGGGGTTCTTGGCCTCACATATTCCAAGGAATGGAACCTTGGGCCGTGCAGTGATTGTTACAGCTCTATTAGAAGCAGTGGGTCACAGAAGAGAACTGTGGAACCCAGCGACTAGTGTTCAGCTCAATTAGGATGAACCCAGGCACTTAGCCAGGAAGGAACAATGGCGAGCCTCTAGCCTGATCAGGAGCGGCAATGGGTGCCTCATTGGATCAGGAGCGCAGCAGACACCCTGCAGAATCCAGAGGTGTGGAAGTCAGCGGCAGGTCTGCAATGGCGGCGATCAGCAGTGGTGGACAGCCAGCCATAGCTCAGGTTGAACGGGAACAAACAGAGACCAGAAGAGTGTGCAGTTGCAAGATTTAATAGAGTGAAAACAGAGCTCTCATACCATGCAATGGGAGGGGACCCAAAGGGGGTTTCCACTGCCGGCTCAAATTCCTGGGTTTATATCCCAATCACTGTCCCTCCCCCTGCGCTTTCAGGTAATAGATGATTTGACTATTTTTTACCTCCTGCTTTTAGCCTATTTGGTATTTTAGTGAGCCCTCCTTACTACCTGATTGGTCAGGTGTGAGCTGAGTTACAAGCCCAGTGTTTAAAGGTGGGTGTGGTCACCTTCCCCAGCTAGGCTTAGGAATTCTTAGTCGGCCTAGGCAATCAAGCTACTCCTGTCTCTCACTAGGATCGGGCATGGTGGCTCAAGCCTGTAATCCTAGTACTTTGGGAGGCCAAGGCAGGTAGATCACTTCAGGTCTGGAGTTTGAGACCAGCCTTGTCAATATGATGAAACCCCAACTCTCCCCCCCAAAAAATACAAAAATTAGCTGGTTGTGGTGGTGCATGCCTGTGGTCCCAGCTACTTGGGAGGCTGAGGTGCGTGAATTGCTTGGACCCGGGAGGAGGAGGTTGCAGTGAGCTGAGATCGCGCTACTGCACCCCAGCCTGGGTGACAGCTAGACTCTGTCTCACAAAAAAAAAAAAAAAAAAAAAGGACTAGATAAGAAGAATGAAGTCTGGTGTTTTGCAGAACTGTAGGATGAATATGGTTAACTATAATTTATTTTATACTTTCAAAGAGCTAGAAGACAGGATTTTGGGTGTTCACAACACAAAGAAATGATAAATGAGGTGATGGTTATACCAATTATGCTAATTTGATAATTATACATTGTATACACGTATTGAAATACCACTCTCTATCCCATAAACATGTGTAAATACTACTGTCAACCAAAAATAAAAGGGCAAGGGAGGTGAGGAAGAAAGCATGAATCCTCCACAGATTATGTTTTTATGACGTATGAGTGACCACCATAGGCACATTCCTAATTATAGTGAGAAGATATTTCAATAGTAACTATTTCTAGATGAAAATCATCTTTAGCAAATATCTTTCATTTTGGTTATTGGTTCTATCCAGTGTCAACCGTTCTTATGTCTATTATCCACTAATTCATACAGAAGCTAATTTGGTTAGTGCTGTGACTGGCTCTGAGGTGAGGGATTCCACAGAGGTGGCTTCACTTTGCAAGTAAAATCTAGAAGGAAAATGCCTTTGCCTTGGCACTGCTAACCTTGTACTTAACCACTAACCCCCATATTACAAACAAAATTCCTGTATTCATACTAGTTCATTGTCATCTGCTTTCCATTTTACTAAATTTTAGAGTAGGTATTTTGCACATAATATAAACTTTTACAAAACACTACCATTTTATGTTATGTTATTTCAATTTTCTTGAAAACAAATCATTCTGTGATGACTTCAGTGTTTTGTTTCCTAAGAAATAATGTGAAAAATGAAAAAAAAAAAAAAAAAAACAAGGAAAAACAGACACGCAATTTGGAGAAATCTGTATGTTACTAATTTTACATTGCCATACTATCTTTTGAACATTCTGTAACTTCTACTGTCATCTGAAGAAGAGAATATACAGACCTACATTATTGGCAACAGAAACACTGCTTTCTAAAAATCAGAATTTTGTTTTTATATCATGGTGATATTTATGTTAGAGATTCCAACTTTTTATGGAGACTTGTTTTTATTTTTATCTCTGACCAGGTATACCCTTTAAAAACTGTTGATGAAGCACATACTTAGTCGCATGACTTTAGGAAAAGCAATTTGTGGAATTCCACCTCAATTAAAAAATAATGAAATGATTTGTTTGTTTGTATCTGATACAAAAGCAGTAAAAGTGAAATTTTAAAAAATTAATGCAAAAAAGGATGAACTCCCAAAATATATATGTGATATACATGCTATTGTGTAATTCTTCTATAAGAGCTTGTATGAGTCTTGAAGAAGGCAAGAAATGCAGGTGTTTTTTGTTTTTGTATTTTTCTAAAGCAAAAGAAATGCAGGGTTGTTGCTTTGTTTTGTTTTTGCTTTTGCTTTTGTATTTTTTCATGCCAGAGCAAAAGGGATTTATTACCAATAACTTTAGTGTTAGATAAAGAGGATGACAAATATTCTTGATATTGAAACCTGAGGAATCTTAGTTGTTATTAAAATGAAAGTGGACATCCTGAGTTGTTTTGGAATCTATCCTTAATAAATACATTAAAGACATTAGTAAATCTCCTAGTTTTTTCTTAAGAGAAAACAATTCAGGTGGTTCAGCTAAGTCAATTTTATTATATAAAAGAGCAAAACAATGCATGTTTTAATGTATAACTGTCAGATGGTTTGAATATTTCATAGATAAACTTTAGACCAATGAAAAGTGTGCTTCTCAATGTTGGTTACAAAAGACACTCAAGAAAATGACATGCAAATTTGAAATATTGTCTTTTAAAATATCAATTCTTCATTAAAATAAACATCAATATTGATATTATGCAATTATAAGAGTGTTAAAATTAAAGTGTAAAATTGTAAGAGTGTTAGAGAGAGAGAAAGAAAGGAGGGAGACAGTGAGAATGACAGGATAGAGGAAGACAGGGAGGGAGAATGAAAATCAAAATTAATTAAGATACTGGCCAGGCACGGTGGCTCCTCCCTGTAATTCTCAGCAATTTGCGAGGCTGAGGCAGGCAGATCACTTGAGATCAGAAGTTCGAGACCAGTCTGGCCAACATGGTGAATCCCTACTAAAAATACAGAAGTTAGCTGCGGGTGGTGGCACACTCCTGTTATCCCAGCTACTTGAGAAGCTGAGGCAGGAGAAAGGAAGGAAGGAGGGAGGGAGGGAAGGAGGGAGGGGGTGAGGGAGGAAGGAAGGAAGGAAGGAAGGAGAGAAGAGAAAGAGAGATAAAAGAAAGAAGGAAGGAAGGAAGGAAGGAAGAAGGAAAGAAGGAAGGAAGGAGAGAAGAGAAAGAGAAAGAAAAGAAAGAAAGAAGGAAGGAAGGAAGGAAAGAGGGAGGGAGAGAGGGAGGGAGGAAAGAAAGAGAAAGAAAGGAAAGAAAGAAAGGAGGGGAGGGGAGGGAAGGGAAGGGACCCCTTCCCCATGCTCCTCATTGCATCATACCTCTTTGGGCTTTATTTATAGACCCACTGAGTACTAATTTACTCTCCTCTCATTCCCTTAATGTTACTTTAGTGAAATGTTTGGAAATTACAACTCTAGAAATGAAATGAGATTCTACAATGGTGCACAGTAGAACTGGCTCATACTGGGCCACAGGAGGAAATTGTTCAATTTTTAGGGATTTTGTGAGACAATTTTTAAAAACAGCTGTTATTATTCTTTTACAAAAATCTACAATAAAATATAATAAAAGGAAAGATAACTACTTGAGTTATTCCTTTCTAATTATTTTAATCTATGATTCCACCATATATGCTCTCAAGATTGTTTATGTCTTTTGTATCTGTATCTGAAAACAGCTTAAAATGATGTGCTACTGCATGTTTCTTCCCAAACCCACATTCACTCATGTCACATTGGTAGTTGAAATTAGTCCTGGTTGCTGCATTTACACTGCAGGCATTTGTGAGTACTATAAACCAGAATTTGGTGGTGGTGGTGGTTGCTTCAAAGATGAATTTTTAATCTCTTTAGAACACATTCTATGTGACTCCAAAAATTAGGTTCCATGACAACCTACATATCTCTCCTAAACCCACTATGGACCCCAACCTCTGTTCCAATACCAGCAGAGTTCCCATAAACATGATGATAATGAGGCTAGAGATAGGTAAAACAAGTGTAAAATAAAATAAAATAAAATAAAATTCCCTAAACAATCATTTGTAGTGATGAGAAACGCAGCCTCAGATTCTGTAGGAACCAGCATAAACTCCCAAGTCTTCCCCAGTTCAGTCATTTGGAAAAACTTACTTCTTCCAGCAACAAATCACGACAACACTTGATAAATGTTTTCTACTAGGAAATTTCATGGTAGTTGTTTTTAGGCTTTTAGGTACATAGCACTAAAACAGTTACTCAAGATCCAGACTCTAATAAGGAAAGAAGATTTTCACCATAAATTGCAACATATGAACTATTCAGACAAGATTGGTTGCATTCAGTGTGATATGGCTGTAGAACATATGAACTATTCAGACAAACTAGTAGAGTGTTCAAGATCTTCAGTATGCAAACCACTATTATTACAATATTCCAAGAGCTTAGTTCCAAGTTCCAGCCAAAGGCCAGTCATGAAAACAAGCCCTTCTTGAAAATTGAACACAGTCCTACTGAGTAACTGTTTCCGACATATACTATCATGTTCAGAGAACATGCTCTGTATGATTTTTATTCTTTTCAGTTTTTTAAGGTTTTCTGCTCTATTTTGGTGAATGTTCTGTGAGTGCTTCAAATGGACATGTATTCCATTGTTGTTAGTTGGAGTGTTCTATAAGTGACAGTTGGTACCTGTTTGTTATTTAATTTTTTATAACATTGTGGCATTTCTGTCCAGTAGTTCTGTCAATTGCTAAAAGTAGTTTTGAAGTAGCCAAATATAAATGTGGATCTATTTCTCCTTTGATTTCTATACATTTTTTGCTTTATTTTGAAGCTGTTGTTTGCTGTATAGACATTTAAAACTAATGAGATTTTTGGTGTATTGATCCTTTTATCATTATGTAATTACCTTTTTGTCTCTTGAAATTTTCTTTGCCTGAAGCCTACATTATATAACATAAATACAGCTTCTCATGATTGTTTTGATAATGTTTGTCATTTTTCAGTTTTCTTTTCCTTTCAACCCACCTATATTTTTATGTTTGAATTTAGTTTATGTAGACATGATAGAATTGGGTTCTGTTTTTTTTTTTTTTTTTTTTTTTTTTTTTTTTTTTTTTTATTATACTCTAAGTTTTAGGGTACATGTGCACATTGTGCAGGTTAGTTACATATGTATACATGTGCCATGCTGGTGCGCTGCACCCACTAATGTGTCATCTAGCATTAGGTATATCTCCCAATGCTATCCCTCCCCCCTCCCCCGACCCCACCACAGTCCCCAGAGTGTGATATTCCCCTTCCTGTGTCCATGTGATCTCATTGTTCAATTCCCACCTATGAGTGAGAATATGCGGTGTTTGGTTTTTTGTTCTTGCGATAGTTTACTGAGAATGATGGTTTCCAATTTCATCCATGTCCCTACAAAGGATATGAACTCATCATTTTTTATGGCTGCATAGTATTCCATGGTGTATATGTGCCACATTTTCTTAATCCAGTCTATCATTGTTGGACATTTGGGTTGGTTCCAAGTCTTTGCTATTGTGAATAGTGCCGCAATAAACATACGTGTGCATGTGTCTTTATAGCAGCATGATTTATACTCATTTGGGTATATACCCAGTAATGGGATGGCTGGGTCAAATGGTATTTCTAGTTCTAGATCCCTGAGGAATCGCCACACTGACTTCCACAATGGTTGAACTAGTTTACAGTCCCACCAACAGTGTAAAAGTGTTCCTATTTCTCCGCATCCTCTCCAGCACCTGTTGTTTCCTGACTTTTTAATGATTGCCATTCTAACTGGTGTGAGATGATATCTCATAGTGGTTTTGATTTGCATTTCTCTGATGGCCAGTGATGATGAGCATTTCTTCATGTGTTTTTTGGCTGCATAAATGTCTTCTTTTGAGAAGTGTCTGTTCATGTCCTTCGCCCACTTTTTGATGGGGTTGTTTGTTTTTTTCTTGTAAATTTGTTTGAGTTCATTGTAGATTCTGGATATTAGCCCTTTGTCAGATGAGTAGGTTGCAAAAATTTTCTCCCATGTTGTAGGTTGCCTGTTCACTCTGATGGTAGTTTCTTTTGCTGTGCAGAAGCTCTTTAGTTTAATTAGATCCCATTTGTCAATTTTGTCTTTTGTTGCCATTGCTTTTGGTGTTTTGGACATGAAGTCCTTGCCCACGCCTATGTCCTGAATGGTAATGCCTAGGTTTTCTTCTAGGGTTTTTATGGTTTTAGGTTTAACGTTTAAATCTTTAATCCATCTTGAATTGATTTTTGTATAAGGTGTAAGGAAGGGATCCAGTTTCAGCTTTCTACATATGGCTAGCCAGTTTTCCCAGCACCATTTATTAAATAGGGAATCCTTTCCCCATTGCTTGTTTTTCTCAGGTTTGTCAAAGATCAGATAGTTGTAGATATGCGGCATTATTTCTGAGGGCTCTGTTCTGTTCCATTGATCTACATCTCTGTTTTGGTACCAGTACCATGCTGTTTTGGTTACTGTAGCCTTGTAGTATAGTTTGAAGTCAGGTAGTGTGATGCCTCCAGCTTTGTTCTTTTGGCTTAGGATTGACTTGGCAATGCGGGCTCTTTTTTGGTTCCATATGAACTTTAAAGTAGTTTTTTCCAATTCTGTGAAGAAAGTCATTGGTAGCTTGATGGGGATGGCATTGAATCTGTAAATTACCTTGGGCAGTATGGCCATTTTCACGATATTGATTCTTCCTACCCATGAGCATGGAATGTTCTTCCATTTGTTTGTCTCCTCTTTTATTTCCTTGAGCAGTGGTTTGTAGTTCTCCTTGAAGAGGTCCTTCACATCCCTTGTAAGTTGGATTCCTAGGTATTTTATTCTCTTTGAAGCAATTGTGAATGGGAGTTCACCCATGATCTGGCTCTCTGTTTGTCTGTTGTTGATGTATAAGAATGCTTGTGATTTTTGTACATTGATTTTGTATCCTGAGACTTTGCTGAAGTTGCTTATCAGCTTAAGGAGATTTTGGGCTGAGACGATGGGGTTTTCTAGATAAACAATCATGTCGTCTGCAAACAGGGACAATTTGACTTCCTCTTTTCCTAATTGAATACCCTTTATTTCCTTCTCCTGCCTGATTGCCCTGGCCAGAACTTCCAACACTATGTTGAATAGGAGCGGTGAGAGAGGGCATCCCTGTCTTGTGCCGGTTTTCAAAGGGAATGCTTCCAGTTTTTGCCCATTCAGTATGATATTGGCTGTGGGTTTGTCATAGATAGCTCTTATTATTTTGAAATACGTCCCATCAATACCTAATTTATTGAGAGTTTTTAGCATGAAGGGTTGTTGAATTTTGTCAAAGGCTTTTTCTGCATCTATTGAGATAATCATGTGGTTTTTGTCTTTGGCTCTGTTTATATGCTGGATTACATTTATTGATTTGCGTATATTGAACCAGCCTTGCATCCCAGGGATGAAGCCCACTTGATCATGGTGGATAAGCTTTTTGATGTGCTGCTGGATTCGGTTTGCCAGTATTTTATTGAGGATTTTTGCATCAATGTTCATCAAGGATATTGGTCTAAAATTCTCTTTTTTGGTTGTGTCTCTGCCCGGCTTTGGTATCAGAATGATGCTGGCCTCATAAAATGAGTTAGGGAGGATTCCCTCTTTTTCTATTGATTGGAATAGTTTCAGAAGGAATGGTACCAGTTCCTCCATGTACCTCTGGTAGAATTCGGCTGTGAATCCATCTGGTCCTGGACTCTTTTTGGTTGGTAAACTATTGATTATTGCCACAATTTCAGAGCCTGTTATTGGTCTATTCAGAGATTCAACTTCTTCCTGGTTTAGTCTTGGGAGAGTGTATGTGTCGAGGAATGTATCCATTTCTTCTAGATTTTCTAGTTTATTTGCGTAGAGGTGTTTGTAGTATTCTCTGATGGTAGTTTGTATTTCTGTGGGATCGGTGGTGATATCCCCTTTATCATTTTTTATTGTGTCTATTTGATTCTTCTCTCTCTTTTTCTTTATTAGTCTTGCTAGCGGTCTATCAATTTTGTTGATCCTTTCAAAAAACCAGCTCCTGGATTCATTGATTTTTTGAAGGGTTTTTTGTGTCTCTATTTCCTTCAGTTCTGCTCTGATTTTAGTTATTTCTTGCCTTCTGCTAGCTTTTGAATGTGTTTGCTCTTGCTTTTCTAGTTCTTTTAATTGTGATGTTAGGGTGTCAATTTTGGATCTTTCCTGCTTTCTCTTGTAGGCATTTAGTGCTATAAATTTCCCTCTACACACTGCTTTGAATGCGTCCCAGAGATTCTGGTATGTGGTGTCTTTGTTCTCGTTGGTTTCAAAGAACATCTTTATTTCTGCCTTCATTTCGTTATGTACCCAGTAGTCATTCAGGAGCAGGTTGTTCAGTTTCCATGTAGTTGAGCAGCTTTGAGTGAGATTCTTAATCCTGAGTTCTAGTTTGATTGCACTGTGGTCTGAGAGATAGTTTGTTATAATTTCTGTTCTTTTACATTTGCTGAGGAGAGCTTTACTTCCAACTATGTGGTCAATTTTGGAATAGGTGTGGTGTGGTGCTGAAAAAAATGTATATTCTGTTGATTTGGGGTGGAGAGTTCTGTAGATGTCTATTAGGTCTGCTTGGTGCAGAGCTGAGTTCAATTCCTGGGTATCCTTGTTGACTTTCTGTCTCGTTGATCTGTCTAATGTTGACAGTGGGGTGTTAAAGTCTCCCATTATTAATGTGTGGGAGTCTAAGTCTCTTTGTAGGTCACTGAGGACTTGCTTTATGAATCTGGGTGCTCCTGTATTGGGTGCATAAATATTTAGGATAGTTAGCTCCTCTTGTTGAATTGATCCCTTTACCATTATGTAATGGCCTTCTTTGTCTCTTTTGATCTTTGTTGGTTTAAAGTCTGTTTTATCAGAGACTAGGATTGCAACCCCTGCCTTTTTTTGTTTTCCATTGGCTTGGTAGATCTTCCTCCATCCTTTTATTTTGAGCCTATGTGTGTCTCTGCACGTGAGATGGGTTTCCTGAATACAGCACACTGATGGGTCTTGACTCTTTATCCAACTTGCCAGTCTGTGTCTTTTAATTGCAGAATTTAGTCCATTTATATTTAAAGTTAATATTGTTATGTGTGAATTTGATCCTGTCATTATGATGTTAGCTGGTGATTTTGCTCATTAGTTGATGCAGTTTCTTCCTAGTCTCGATGGTCTTTACATTTTGGCATGATTTTGCAGCGGCTGGTACCGGTTGTTCCTTTCCATGTTTAGCGCTTCCTTCAGGAGCTCTTTTAGGGCAGGCCTGGTGGTGACAAAATCTCTCAACATTTGCTTGTCTATAAAGTATTTTATTTCTCCTTCACTTATGAAGCTTAGTTTGGCTGGATATGAAATTCTGGGTTGAAAATTCTTTTCTTTAACAATGTTGAATATTGGCCCCCACTCTCTTCTGGCTTGTAGGGTTTCTGCCGAGAGATCCGCTGTTAGTCTGATGGGCTTTCCTTTGAGGGTAACCCGACCTTTCTCTCTGGCTGCCCTTAACATTTTTTCCTTCATTTCAACTTTGGTGAATCTGACAATTATGTGTCTTGGAGTTGCTCTTCTCGAGGAGTATCTTTGTGGCGTTCTCTGTATTTCCTGAATCTGAACGTTGGCCTGCCTTGCTAGATTGGGGAAGTTCTCCTGGATAATATCCTGCAGAGTGTTTTCCAACTTGGTTCCATTCTCCACATCACTTTCAGGTACACCAATCAGACGTAGATTTGGTCTTTTCACATAGTCCCATATTTCTTGGAGGTTTTGCTCATTTCTTTTTATTCTTTTTTCTCTAAACTTCCCTTCTCGCTTCATTTCATTCATTTCATCTTCCATTGCTGATACCCTTTCTTCCAGTTGATCGCATCGGCTCCTGAGGCTTCTGCATTCTTCACGTAGTTCTCGAGCCTTGGTTTTCAGCTCCATCAGCTCCTTTAAGCACTTCTCTGTATTGGTTATTCTAGTTATACATTCTTCTAAATTTTTTTCAAAGTTTTCAACTTCTTTGCCTTTGGTTTGAATGTCCTCCCGTAGCTCAGAGTAATTTGATCGTCTGAAGCCTTCTTCTCTCAGCTCGTCAAAATCATTCTCCATCCAGCTTTGTTCTGTTGCTGGTGAGGAACTGCGTTCCTTTGGAGGAGGAGAGGCGCTCTGCGTTTTAGAGTTTCCAGTTTTTCTGTTCTGTTTTTTCCCCATCTTTGTGGTTTTATCTACTTTTGGTCTTTGATGATGGTGATGTACAGATGGGTTTTCGGTGTAGATGTCCTTTCTTGTTGTTAGTTTTCCTTCTAACAGACAGGACCCTCAGCTGCACGTCTGTTGGAATACCCTGCCGTGTGAGGTGTCAGTGTGCCCCTGCTGGGGGGTGCCTCCCAGTTAGGCTGCTCGGGGGTCAGGAGTCAGGGACCCACTTGAGGAGGCAGTCTGCCCGTTCTCAGATCTCCAGCTGCGTCCTGGGAGAACCACTACTCTCTTCAAAGCTGTCAGACAGGGACACTTAAGTCTGCAGAGGTTACTGCTGTCTTTTTGTTTGTCTGTGCCCTGCCCCCAGAGGTGGAGCCTACAGAGGCAGGCAGGCCTCCTTGAGCTGTGGTGGGCTCCACCCAGTTCGAGCTTCCCGGCTGCTTTGTTTACCTAAGCAAGCCTGGGCAATGGCGGGCGCCCCTCCCCCAGCCTCGCTGCCGCCTTGCAGTTTGATCTTAGACTGCTGTGCTAGCAATCAGCGAGATTCCGTGGGCGTAGGACCCTCCGAGCCAGGTGTGGGATATAGTCTCGTGGTGCGCCGTTTCTTAAGCCGGTCTGAAAAGCGCAATATTCGGGTGGGAGTGACCCGATTTTCCAGGTGCGTCCGTCACCCCTTTCTTTGACTCGGAAAGGGAACTCCCTGACCCCTTGCGCTTCCCAGGTGAGGCAATGCCTCGCCCTGCTTCGGCTCGCGCACGGTGCGCACACACACTGGCCTGCGCCCACTGTCTGGCACTCCCTAGTGAGATGAACCCGGTACCTCAGATGGAAATGCAGAAATCACCGTCTTCTGCGTCGCTCACGCTGGGAGCTGTAGACCGGAGCTGTTCCTATTCGGCCATCTTGGCTCCTCCCCTCGGGTTCTGTTTTTATCCACTCTATGAAATCTCTACCTTGTAGTTGGTGTTTTTAGACTATTTAATGTAATTATATATTTATATATAATTGTATATAAATATATATAATGTAATCATAAATTACAGATTAAGAATGGCATTTTATTATCTATTTTATCTTTCATTCTCTATTGCTTATTGCACTGTTTATTTTTCTTTGCCTTTTTGTGGATTACTTGAACATTTTTTAGAGTTCCATTTTAATTTATGCATATATTCCTTGCATAGATTTCTTAGTGATTACTCTCTATGTGTGTGTGTACATCATAAAATATATAGATGTCATAACCTACAGGTGTCACTATTTTACTACTTAAAAATAGTAAAATTACTTACTTAAAATAAATAAAATGTATCCAGCTTATCTTCCTTTTAAGTCTCTTCATTTTCCCAACTTTTAGAGTATACTTGTGTAACATATGATTGTCTATTTCCTCACTCTTACTTCAGTAAAATGAATAAAAACATATAGGTAACACCATATATTTAGTGAGCTTCTGGATTGAAACTGCATTCCTTTCTTTCTATAAACTTGAGAATAAATTTATGCAATACACCATTTAGAGAGGATTAAATTTTGTAGGCATTGTTATGTCAATTAAAATTAGGTATTAGATGCTTATATCTTTATATAAGGGACAAACTGATATTTGTGTTAGGGTAATTTTTTAGAGCAGTTTTGTTTCACACCAAAATTCAGAGGAAGGTACAGAGATTTTCCATATACTCCCTAATTTCAACACACCCCCAAGAGAATGGCACATTTGCTATAAAGAAATGATAAACCTACATTGACACACCATAATTACTCAAAGTCTATAGTTTAATATTTGAGTTCACTGTTGGTGTTGTAGATTCTATTGTCTTGGACAAGTATATAATGACAAGTACCCATTATTATAGTATCATACAGTGTATTTTCACTACACTAAAAATCCTCTGGTTCGGCCTATATATCCCTCCTTTTCTCTCTCATCCACTGGCAACCTCTAATTTTTTTTGTATTGTCTCCACAGTTTTGCCTTCTCCAGAGTGCCATATAGTTGGAATCATACAGTATGTCAGCTTTTCAGATTTTTTTTTCATTTAGTAGTATGTATTTAAGGTCTCTCCATGTCTTTCCATGACATGGTAGGGTAGCTCATTTCTTTCTAGCACTGAGTAATATTCCATTATCCGGATGTAATACTGTTTACTTCTCCATTCACCTACAATAATACCTTTTTTATTTGCAGCATTATTTGTTTCAGTAATGTCATATCTAGTTAAATGTGTAGTTTATCTGTATTGATCTGTCTCAGCATGCTTATGCTGTAATGGCTGAGTATGAAGGAATAAGCTTGTAGGTTATCTAAAGAGAACATACAACTTTCTAGAAAGAATATAGACAAAACCTTCTACATTAATGTATTTTTAAACATTACCTTTAGTAGCCATAAAATAAATATTACTTTGTTTAATTTAGATCATATATTAAATATATATATACATACATATATATGTATATATATATACATATATATGTGTATATACGTATATATATACATATATATGTGTATATACGTATATATACATATATATGTGTATATATACGTATATATATACATATATATGTGTATATATACGTATATATACACATATGTGTGTGTGTGTGTGTGTGTGTATATATATATATATATACACACACGTATATACATACATATATATATTTGTCAACCCCCATGTATTGGTTTCCTTTTGTGGTTTATCCCTTGCATTATGATAAAGAATATAAAACATGTTTTTTAAATGCATCAATATAAGACTCAAATAAGCATAGTAAGAACTTATTTGGCACTGGACTTGGTTCACAGGCTGTAACACTAAACCTTTCCTTGACTCACTGCTATCCTTTCCCCCTCAATGGGTGTTGTTATTTTAATTCTCTGTGTCCTAACAGTTACTAATACATACGTGTTTAGTACATAAAGCTGAAATACTTATCAACCTAGGAACTGTCGAGCAAGAGTGAGATTGAAATGTTATAAAAGATATCTCAGAAAAAAAGAAAAGGTAGCTATTATTATTAATTAACAACAGGAATAGAGTCTCATAGGTGAAGATATAGTGCAAGTGGAATCATAAAGGAAGGATCACCTGGGAGAGTGAGAGCGGGAGGACAGGGACATTATAGCAAAGAACTCACCAAAGAGATAATGTCTGAGCTGTATCTTGAAAGACGATTTGCTTTTTAGACAAGGCAGAGTGAAGTGCAGGGGCACAGGTAAATAGAGAAAACCATGTACAAAAGGAAATGCCTAAGCAGAAAGACAGGTGATAGATGAAAAGTTGAAACAGAAAGCTATGTGTAGTAATTTATGTTTTCAATTACCATCAAAATGGAAGCAAATGGAGCTAGATAAAGTCAAAGGTTAGATCAGGAAGTTGGCCTACCCTTAAATGTTACTCATGCACAGTACAAATGAATGCCTATATGCTTTTCATCTAAAGTTTTAGAGGTTAGAAATTAAACTGTTAATGACATGACATATACCTTTATAATTGTCTGGAAGCACAGACTCAAATTTAGAAAACTTCTTAAACTTCTTTAGCAGAATGAAAGCAAGAAGCTAAGAAGAAAGCTGGCCCCTTGGTCTGCCTCTCCTCTTTTGCCACACCTAGCTCAGCCTTGCACAATAAAAAAACCTGTCACTGATGTCTGTGGCCACCCTGGCCCACAAGCCAAACCATACCTCCCTAAAGCAGGTGCCCCATAAATATTCCTAAACTGTAGCCCCTTTACCACATAGATTTCTCATCACTAGGGTAAGGATGTAACCAGAGGAGAGCTGGAATGATGCCCTCCAAAGCACTGGACCCATGGCCTTATATTCTAATTATAATAATTTGAACATTATCTTGCAAACTAAAATGAGTTATTGAAGAAGTGAATATTATATATGCAGTTTTACTTTTCATATCGCTATAAATTAGGGCAAAACATGAATAGGAATAATTTTTCTTATAAGGAAAAGCAACATAATAGTTATATTCTCAACCTTCTTCAAAAGACTTCATTCATTAAAGTACTGTATAATAGAATTGTCAAACAACTAAATAAAGTGCGCACAACAATTTACCATGTGTAATACTCCATGTACTTCACGTACCTGAAATAATTCTGCTAAACTGTGAATTTAATGCTGCTAATGAGACATTTCAAACAATAGGAGTAATAGACTTCCTTTAAATAAGATTTGCATATCTTTAAGCTAAAGCTTACACCACCACTGCTCTGGAAATCCTTTGATCACCACGACATAAAAAGAACAGGAGGAAGGAAATGGGAAGAGCATTTGAACATGGACCTGGAAGTGGAATGTAGAAAGCCAGGTTTTCAAATAGCATTATCCTTTTGTTTTTCATCTACCCATGAAGAATGCAGGCTGAAACTCCAGAATTTTTTTTTTTTTTGAACACTTGTTCATCCACACTGTGAATCACAGACTAAATAAACATGAGAATGGTGACAAATGAAGGAATATCTTAAAGAGAATGCCAAACACATTAACATTGTTTTGTCTTAAAACTTCTGTACCTAAGGTTGTCAGGGGGAGGGAAGAGAAACTCATTTAATGAATTAAAAATGAGAGGCCCAAAACTCCAATTTTTCATTAACTTTTCATCCAATAGGAATTATTTTGACCACAAGAAGAATCCTTTTTTTTTTTTTTTTTGTTTGAGATGGTGTCTTACTCTGTCACCAGGCTGGAGTGCAGTGCCATGATCTTGGCTTACTGCAACCTCTGCCTCCCGGGTTCAAGCAATTGTCCTGCCTCAGCCTCCCAAGTAGCTGGGACTACAGACTCATGCCATCATGCCCAGTTAATTTTTTTTTTTTTTTTTTTTTTTTTTTTTTTTTTTTAGTATAGAAGGAAGAGTCTTTATCACAAGGTTCAGGGAGGATAGCTACCATCAGTGCTAATTGTGTTGATGCCAGTGGTTTTCCTGTCACTCCATGATTCCTGGTCAAGTAGTTGTTGGGTTAGTTGACACTTTAAGGTGGAAAGAGTTAAAGAGGTGGTAATACCCAGGTTCTAGAATACTGATTCATATTACAGAGACTATGGGAAAACTTGTTATTTGCAACACAATAGATATTGAAAGTCCCATTCCTGTGTGAACCATAGGTCTTAGTGAGTTCTTTGGGTATGTTTGGAGGATTTCTCTTGACTATATTGGGCATCATAAGTGGCCTAGTTCAAAAGTAGAACCCCTTAGTCCATTTCCTTCAGAACAGGGGTGATTAATTTTGATTGTCACTGGCTCTTTGAAAATGTGATAAAAGCCTGAACTCACAACTTAGAAAAGCACATGTAGCCACTCAAAACTTTTCATGCAATTTCAGGGAGTTCCTAACCCACTTTGGGCCTACACATGGGGCCTCTTAAGTGTTCTGGGTCTATTCCTCCAGAAATCATGGGATCCAAGGTTTCCTAATACAAAATTATCTGCATTTAGTTGGCATTTAGTAAGTACTGATTGATTACATACTAGTGTTTTTGCTTTTTTGGAGATAAAATGGAATTGATGGTTAAATATTTCCTAAAAACTTGAAAAATTATTTTTCTACAAGGAACTGATTTTCCAGTACAAATGTTCAATTTACTTAAATAATTCAATTTAATGAACATATGCTGTGCAACAAATATCTTCATATATACATGATGTCAACAAACATGTTCATGTACATAATAGTATATAAAAATAATAATGTTTAAGAGCATAAGCTCTCATGTCAGATGGACTGGGTTTGAATTGTTAAGACTCCTTGTACTTCAGTTTAATAAAACATAGAACAAATTAACATGTGGTACATATGGTTGTTATTTCAATTAAACAAATTTAAGCATATAAAATGTAGCAAAATATCTGACATAGCAAGTGCAGCTAGTACTTGGTTGTAATTATTATAAGAAAAAAGTTTATTATGCAAGAAAAGCTCTTTCCAGATATACACTTAATAAAAAGCAACTGTTAAGAAAGTTTATATCATATGAGGGGCTAAAATTTACTGTTGTAGCTGAAGTAAACACTTTAAATGGGTTATTTGACAGAAATGTATTGCTTTATGGTTTATCCTTTGAATTATTGTAAAGAACACAGAAGAATTTTTTTTAACACATCAAGATAAAATTGAAGTGCAGCCATATCAGTCCTGTTGATCAGTTCTTCTTTCTCTAGACAATGCAGTCAGAGTAAGAAGAGTATAGGAGAGAGAAACTGTAGGTTGATTGACTTAGGTTAATTTGAGTTGAGTAGCAATTCCATATTTAAATTTTCAGTCCTCAGGGAGAAGATGTTGGACTATTAAAAGAGCCTGCACAGATTCTTTCCCTTTGAGATAGATTACACTTCTCACTTAAACATACACTTAAAATGAATGGGGAAGGAATATAAAACTTGCTAGTAAAGTTGTGAATGATATGATAAAGTGTTTATAGAATAAATCTCATGCTGGAACTTACTCTGCTATTTATTTTCCAAAAAAAGCTTTTGATTTTGTTTTGTTTTGCTTACTACTGGAGAATTGTTTTGAGATAACATAGTCACTGTATATTTGAATAGCTAACTATTATTCCTGTTTCAATACAATTGCATTGAATGTGCAAACCTACCATAATTCAACCTACCATTTGTGAACAGCTTGAAAATACAGATAAGGGACTGAATGCAGCTCCGGATTTTATTTTATAATCTAGCTAGGCATCCAGGAGGCAAAACATTATTTTTTTTTCTACTTCATTATCATTGCAAAGTCCCACAAGAGATGTGCAGAATTGTCTCTATTTTGCAGAATGTCCTAGGGGATGAAGGTTACAAATCCTGTCCACTATGAAAAAGTGCTAACTTTCACTGCCAACATAGTCCAGGCAGATTTATTAGAGGGAAGCTTGACTTTGTACTTATTTCTTCTGATTCTGTAAATTATAGTGTCTGCAGAATAGATCACCAGGGAAAAGGAATCCTTCTCTTCGTTTCTACTTGTCTTGGAGATAAAAGTTTAACAGATTCTACTTCCTGTACAACTGCAGTCTAGAAGACAATCTGCTCATAAACACTGACTACATCCAATAGCCAATTTTTTAATAGTCCCTTGGAATAACGATACTAGATTCAAAATTTCACATCTTTGCTCACATTTTTGCACACTTGAAGTGATTTTTCACTCCCTACATTTACACAAATTCTATTTGTGATTTAAGATGTTAGTAAAACCTCATCTACTCCATAAAGTCTTCCTTGACCGCTAGATATAAAATGATATCTTGCTCCTTTCTATAGCATATGCTTTCTGTGACTTTCTTTTAAAATGTATAACTTCCTGCCTCAGCAAATGTGCATTTGGCTATTGTATGTAATACTCCCAATGAGCTTGTCAACTCTTCTAAAACAGAATCATATCTTATACATGGAAAGCACTCATCCCTATTCTTAGATCCAGAGTCCACTAGAAGACCTTGTTCTTGCTTGGGCCTCTGCCAAGTCTTCAAGCTCCAATCACAGGCTAAAACAGGGGCTGGCAAATCACATTTCATGGGCCAAATCTTGTTGAATGCTTCTTTTTTTCATAAATAAAGTTTTATTGGAACACAGCCACATCTATCTGTTTACCGATTCTATGGCTGCTTTCTCCCTGGCAGAGTTCAGAAGTTACAACAAAGACCATACACCCACCAAAACAAATTACATTTACTATTTGGTTCTTTATGTGAAAAAAAAAATAGACTAACCCCATGCTACAGACATAGAGGGCTAGAGACCTTCTCTCTCTTTACCCTGATTTTGCAGCTGTGGTAAGGTTAATGAGCTGGCAGCATTATCTTTGTTATTACCTTCCTCATCCAGTCCCCTCCTTGCTCCAGTAAAAACCTGCCTTGTTCCATCTTATCAAACTTCTGGATCCTACATTTGAACTCACAGAAAAGGCTTATGTTAGACACTGTTCTACTCTCTGTTTGAAAGCCACTAAACCCAGCATCATGACCCCCTTTTCTACCCTCCCCATGCTCTAGGAGCTCAGGAAATAGAAGAAAAGCAGGGGAGTTCTGGCTTAGCCAAATGAGAATGAGAATCATTCCAAGTGCATTGAAAAGGCTAGAATGGGCTGGGCATGGTGGCTCACACCTGTAATCCCAGCACTTTGGGAGGCTGAGACAGGTGGATCACGAGGTCAGGAGATCGAGATCATCCTGGCCAACATGGTGAAACCCCATCTCTACTAAAAATACAAAAATTGGCTGGGCGTGGTGGCATGCGCCTGTAGTCCTAGCTACTCAGGAGGCTGAGGCAGGAGAATCACTTAAACTCAGGAGGCGGAGGTTGAAGTGAGCCGAGATCACACGACTGCACTCCAGCCTGGGCCACAGAGTGAGATTCCTTCTCAAAAAAAAAAAAAAAAAAAAAAAGAAAAGAAAAGAAGTAAAAGAAAAGGCTAATGCTTCCATAAGACTTTTCCCTGGGCAAGAAGCATAACCTGCATAAGAAACTACAAAGAAAACTAAGGACAGGTTTTCAATAAAGGTTGTGAACTTGGAAAAATCTTTTCTAAACTATAATAATAGAAACTAAATTTCAATCAACTACTTAAAGGAAAGACTGGATCATCTTTCTTTCCTCTCTATAGAGAATCTTACTACAGAATTGTTGTTGTGAGTGAGGTGGCCTAACAGCATACCACTAAAAAGGTAAGCCAAACAGTGTTACAGAGGTGAGTCATTCCTCTAATTAAATGCTTCAATTAAGTTACTTTGGGGGATTTTAAAATAATTTGACACTTGCCAGATCTTTAAAGTTGATAATGTATTATTCCTTTTTTATAGTTCTTTATAAGTATTCACTGTGTATCTAATTTTGTAATCAGAGTTATATATTTTTCCCTTTAAGGGGGCTTCTCAAAAATGTAGATCTACCCCTGTCAGAAAATCATTAATTGCCACCTACATCTGGATGTTCCAAAGGCACCACATATTAAATATGAACATAGCAGCTCCCACAAACTCTAAACATAAGGCCAGTTCTCCTCCACGAAGATTTTTCTAACTTTCCCTCTCCTGGGCTGAGTTAGTTATGAGAACTCTTTTTCATTACCATAAACTCAAGCCCTTAGTAAATTGAGCAAATCCTGTTTAAAATGCAGGTTTTATAATAAACATGTTGGGGCAAAGATGGTTAAATGAGAAGTGGCTTACCATATTTATACAAAGGAATCATTTATATTAAGTTTTGCATATCCTCAGTTTTGTTTTGTTTTTTTTTTCTCTCACAAACCATTGTGAATGCTCTCTAGTTGATTTAGCATCTCTATAGTTTGTCATGCTTCTGAATTTTTTTTCATAAATATTCCTAACTGTAAAGAACCTGGAAATGGTTTTCATAGATTCATTAAAGTGAGGTAGATGCAGCACTGAATTGAGACTGAGAACACAAGGAGGTGGAGCAAGATGGCCAAATAGAAGCCTTCACTGATTGTCCTCCCCACAGGAATGCCAAATTGAACTATTCACACACACACACCCACACACACACACACACACACAAACACTTTCATAAGACCAAAAATTAGATGAGTAATTACAGTACTTAGTTTTAATTTTATGTTACTGAAAAACTCATTTGAGTATTGAACTGCTGACATCACCCTCCTTCATCCCCCTAGGAGTGGCTGCATGGCACAGAGAGAGAATCTGTGCACTTGAGGAAGAGAGAGTGCAAGGATTGTGGGATTTTGCATTGGAACTTAGTGCTACTCTGTCGCAGTGGAAAGTAATACCGGGCAGAATTCAGCCAGCGCCCACAGAGGCAGCATTTAGACAAGCCCTAGCTAGAGGGGAATTGCCCATGTCAGCAGTTGGAAACTGAGTTCTGGCAAGCCTTACTACTGCACTACAAAGTGCACTGGGGTCCTACATAATCCTGAAAGACAGTCTAGGTCACAAGGACTTCAATTCCTGGGAAAGTCCTGGTGCTACACTGGTCTTAAAGCCAGTGGACTTGGGGTGCATGTAACCCAGTTAGACACCAACCAGGGCAGCCAAGGGAGTGTTTTGGTCAGCCCTCCCCCAGCTCCAGGCATCTTAACAAAAAGAGAAAGAGGGTCCATTTGTTTGGGAGAAAATAAGGGAAGAGAACAAAAGTCTCTTCCTGATAATCCAGAGAATTCTGCTGAATTTTATCCAAGACTTACCAGGATGATCTATATGAGTCTGTAAGAACTACAGCATTACTAGGCTTGGGGGGACCCCCTAGGAAGATATAGCTGCAGTGACCAAAATCTTAGATCACAACACCTAAGTCCCTTCAAATACCTGGAAAGCCATCCCAAGAAGGATAGGTACAAATAAGCCTAGACTGTGAAGACTGCAATGAATACCTAACTTTTCAATGCCTAAATATTGACAAACATCCACAAGCATGAAGACCATCTGGAAAAACGTGATCTCACCAGATGAACTCCATAAGCCACCAGGGACTAATCATAGGGAAACAGAGATATGTGACCTTTCAGAAAGATAATTTAAAATAGCTGTTTTGAGGAAACAAAATAAAATTTAAGATAACACAGAGAAGGGACTCAGAATTCTATCAGATAAATTTACCAAAGAGAGTAAAATAATTAGAATCAAGCAGAAATTCTGGAGCTGAAAAATGCAATCAACATACTAAAGAATGCATTAGAGTCCCTTACTAGCAGAACTGATCAAACAGATGAAAGAATTAGTAAGCTTGAAGACAGTCTATTTGAAAATAAACAGTAAGAGGAGACAAAAGAAAAGAGAATAAAATATAATAAAACATGCCTATAAAATCTAGAAATAGCCTCAAAAGGGCAAATCTAAGCATTATTGGCCTAAAAGAGGAGGTAGAGAAGGATAGGGACTCATTCAAAGGGATAACAACAGAGAGCTTTCTAAACCTAGATAAATATGTCAATATTCAATTATAAGAATATAATAGAACACCAAGCAGATTTAATCCAAAGAAGGCTACCTCAAAGCATTTAATAATCAGACACTCAAAGGTCAAGGAAGAAGAAAGGATCCTAAAAGCAGCAATAGAAAAAAAAATAACATACAATGGAGGTCTAACATGTCTGGCAGCAGAAATCTCTGTGACACCTTACAGGCCAGAAGAGAGTGGCATGACATATTTAAAGGACCAAAGAGAGAGAGAGGAAAAAAAAAGAAACTTTAATTCTAGAGCAGCATATTCAGCCGAAATATTCTTCAAACACAAAAGAGAAATAAAAACTTTCCCAGACAAACAAAAGCTGAAGGATTTCATCAACCCCAGACCTGTCTCACAATAAGTACTAAAAGGAGTTCTTCAGTCTAAAAGAAATGGGTATTAATGAGCAATAAAAAATAATGTGAAGGTACAAATCTCATTGCTAATAGTAAATCTATGGAAAAATACAGAATATTACAGCACTATAATAGTGGTACATGAACTACTCATATCTTGGGTGGAAAGGCTAAAAGATAAACTAATCAAACATAACTACAAGTTTTCAAGACATAGTATAATAAGATATTAAGTAGAACCAAAATAAGATAAAAAGCAGGGATTTGGATGGAATTAAAGTGCAGAGTTTGTGTTAGTTTTAGTTTTGCTTGTTTGTTGGTTTATTTCTTTGTGTATACAATCAATGCCATGTTATCATCAGTTTAAAATAATGGGTTATAAGATATTTGTAAGCTTCATGGTAACATCAAATCGAAAAATACAAATTAGTATAACCACTATGGAGAGCGGTTTGCAGGTTCCCCAGAAAGCTAAAAATAGAGTTCCCATATGATCCAGCAATTCCACTGTTAGGTGTGTACGCAAAATAAAGTAAATCAGTATACTGAAGAGATTGCTGCACTTCTGTGTTTACTGCAGCACTATTCATAATAGCAAGAATTCATTATAAGATTTGGAAGCAACCTAAGTGTCCATAAACAGATGAATGGATAAAGAAAATGTGGTACACATACACAATGGATTACTATTCAGCGATAAAACAGAATGCAATTCTGTCAATTGCAACAACATGGATGTAACTGGAGACCATTATGTTAAGTGAAACAAGCCAGGTACTGAAACACAAATTTCACATTTTCTCACTTATTTGTGGGAGCTAAAAATTAAAACGATTGAACTCATGGAGTTAGAGAGTAGAATGATGGCTGCCAGAGGCTGTGAAGAGTACTGGGGGTGAGAGTAGGTATAAGCGGGGGATGGTTAATGGGTATGAAAATATCATTAGATAGAATAAATAAAATCTAGTATTTGATAGCACAACAAGGTGACTACAGTGAGCAATACTTTAATTGTGGATTTAAAAATAACTAAAGGAGCATAATTGAACTGTTTATAACACAAAGAAAAGGTAAATGCTTGAGGTGCTGGATACCTCATTTCCTTTTATGTGATTATTATGCATTTATGCTTGTATGAAAATGTCTGATAAATATATACACCTACTATGTCCAATAAAAATTAAATATTATTTTTTAAAAGCCTGAGAATAGCTACTGTTTTTTGTTCTGTTGTGCAGTGATTGGACAGGTCCCAGGACACAGGTCATGCTAAAAATGTCTCAAAGAGGCAGAGCTGCTACCTGTGTGTATTTATCCTGCTCCGCAACTTTTATCATTGAACATGGAATTTTGAGATTAGATGGGTCACTTGAAGTAATCAGTTCTTTGAAAGACTTAGTGCCAAGAAAAGAGATGAGTAGAGGGGATTCTAGGAGAAGGGGATAGAATTTAAAGAGCAACAACTCTAACATGTCAAGGAGTTCAAGAGACTATTGCCTTGACCCCAGAAGGTGTTCAGTAAACTTTTACTGAATGTAGATATGAATACTGGACTGTGAGAATGAAACTATAGAGCTCATTTTCCCCAAGGGCTAGAATTCAAATCACTTCATAACTAGGCTGAAATGGAAAGACTATATTTCGTATTAATCTTAACAATTCAGGATTCTGCAACTCAGTGATGCACCTGAAACTTGACTTATTCCATGTAGATTGTTTACCTGAGTAAAAGCTATTTGATGCATATATGTCTTTTAAAAAATTGAATCCTGTGATACTCAGTTATTGTTTTTAAACCAGGTAGATCATATCGCTTAAAAAGTTTATTACCAATACATATGCGTGGAACCTGCACCCTATATATTTCTATTCATCAGATCTGAGTTGAAAGACATATTTATTTGTTAGATGCTTACCAGATAACTCTAATGTATTGCCAGCATTGGAAACCATCTCAGGAACACAATTTGCCAACCCATTCATCATTACAGTATCTCAGAGAAGTCATTTGCTACTGTGTTTTTGATTTCTTACGATAGGAGCTCACTATTGGTTCAACAGATATTTTTACAAAATACTTTAATAGTTCTAGAAAATTGTTTTCAATATAAACTTACAGAGAATAAGAATATCTGTATGTTAAGCAGTGTCATAAATGCTATTAAAAATAAAATGCATTGAAACAAAGTGTTTTGGGAGGGTGTTAAATATAAATTTGCACAATTTAGAAAATACAGATTGATCAACTAATCTATACTTACTTAAATACAATAATAACAATAATGAATACTTTAAAATGTGTTTAAAATTAAAAATATTTCATTTTTCAAAAACATTAATATTTTTTGAAATTCAAGTTTATGCTCTTTGTTCTCATATTATATACTATCATTTTGGGAGGATCAGATCAAATTAATTTCAGATAAGTATGTCCAATTGTGGATAGACAGGTTTCCTTTGGAAATTTTTTGCGTACACTGGATAAAAGTATCCTATTAACAAATACTTGGCTGAGTGCTGTGGCTCACCCTGTAATCCCAGCACAATGGGAGGATGAAGGGGGTGGATCACCTGAGGTCAGCAGTCCAAGACCAGCCTGGTCAACGTGGCCCAATCCCATCTCTACTAAAATTACAAAAATTATCCAGGCATAGTGGTGGGCGCCTGTAGTGCCAGCTACTCGGTAGGTGACTCCAAGCTACTCAAGTAATCCCAGCTACTCCAGTAGGTAGCTACTCGGTAGGTCAGGATAATCACTTGAACACAGGAGGTGGAGATTGCAGTGAGCCAAGATCGTGCCACTGCACTCTAGCCTAGGCAACAGAGCAAGACTTTGTCTCAAAAAAAACAAACAAAAAAAAACAAAAAAACAAAACAAAACAAAAACCCTAAGGAATCTAAGAAGTAAATTACCTTTCAAAATTGCTACACAGTCTTAGCCCATTTTCAGAAGTCCTTTAATATTGTGTTATCCTGGGAACAGAACATGGAACTTCTCTATATTTCTTAAATGAGATTTTATTTCCCAATAGTAACTTAATTGTTTTCAAAAATAATTTCACAGTATATTTTTTAGAATCATCAACATCTCTGTTCTAATCATTGGAAATCTCAGTCTTAATGGATATAGAGAAATAGAAGGAAACAAAATATATTTTGGTTCAATTCATAATTTCTAGATAGGCTTACATCTCGAAGTGTGGCTCTTGCCTTAATATACATTTTTGGTTATTTAATACTACTTATCATTTTCATAACCCCATAACCCCACTAAAAAAAGTATTTCAAGAAGATAATAGATGTGATCAATGAATAAATTCCCAAGTCAGACATATTCACTGATTTCCTTATGTCTAGGATGGTATTTATATTTTGGGCTTATATGATTAAATGAATTCTAGTTATCTAGGTACTTGGACATATAAAGGAGAGTCTAATAGATTATGGTGTTTCCCCATCCCCATCGGCCTTATGCTGTGAATAGAACATGTTTTTCTTAAGCTTTAAATAAATGATATTTTCTAAATTGCTATTTTCTAATATGAAGATAGAGCAATTTTAGATGTTCACCTCCATGACTCCAATATTTTAAAGTTCCTATACCCATGGAACAATTTATTTCTCACATCTCTTTACTTGTAAATTAGTTCCATTAACTGTCAGAACTTATTTGCCAGAACAACTTTTATCAGCTCTTTTAGAAGTAAACTTACTTGTTCCTTTGAAGTATATAGAAGTAATTAGATGTCTACATTTTTTCCAGTTCCAGACCTGGTTTTTACCCCCAAAAGGTAAGGAGAAAATCATAGAAAGCTTCACAACATTAAGTGCATCATATTAAAGAGAGAAAAGGATCTACTGAATTGGATCTTCCTACACAAAGCATATTATTTTATAAAAGCTCTTTCAAAGTTAAAAATGAATCAGAATAACCTTTGTTAGAAATGGGTTGAAAACACATCCCTTAGAATAAAGATAATAATAGTAACAACTAAGAATATAATAGCAGATAACAAGTGCTTTAAGTAAATATTGAAACCCGGGAACTGCCTATTAGTACCATCAAAAGTCCTGTCTCACTTAAGAAATAGCTAGAAGAAAAATATTTACTTCAATGAAATTAATATATCATGTTCTATTATTTGAAAATGACTTTTTGAAGATTTGGTGGGAAATGCGACAGTTCTTCACTTTGTCTATCCTGGCACAAATGTCTTTTATTGAGACGTTATATAAATAATTTGATAAGGCCTTAGTTAATTGTATCCTACTCCTCGAATGTATGTTTTACCATATGAGCTGGGCAAGTGTTGGTAAATAATTGAAAATAAGGAAGCAAGTATGAGAAGGAAAATGGCAGGAGATAGTGATGTTAAAACATGATTTTTTTCTTCTTTTTTTCAATGTAACCGTTATAGAAGTGACATAAATTCAAAGAAAAGTACAATTGCCACCTCTTGGAGGACAGAACTATTGAGGAGTTGATGGAGAGTCTAGAAAGTAGTTAGGTTTTGTGGTCCTGGTATGAAGTCATGGGGGGTGGTGTTACATTTATATAATTTTGTCTAGTGTGGAGAGAGGTTAAGTCCCACCTCAGAATGCATGAGGGAAGTATTTCTCAGTTGATAATGCCCACTGAATAAATAAAAATATTGTTAAACCTTTCTTTCTCTAGACTTGAAGCTTCTTATAAGTGGAAACTAACACATTATATTTTGCCACTATTCTTGTCCTCCTATATCAGTCAGAGTACAATCAGGAAAACAAAAGCCTCTCTAGAATGTTTAAACTATGAGAGATTTCACACAGGAAATGAGCTACTTGCAAAACAACTGAAAATGCTGGAGGAGTGATCAAGTTATCTCACTACTAGCTCAGACTTGGTAATATAATCAGGAAGTTGCTTCTGTTATAGGTCAGGAGGCTGTCCACAATGTTCACAGTGATCTGAAACACTCAGAAAGTGAAATTCACATGGAAGGCCCAGCAGCTGGTACACAATCACATCCCTGATAGAGCCCATGGCTGCCTGCTGTTGCTAAAGGAAATACTTCTGCCTCCCACATTTCCTTGTGAAACCGCCTATCATTGGTGCACTCTAACTTGAAACTCCGCTGCAGAGAGATTTTGAAAAATATAGTTCTTAGACTTCCAGACCCTGTGATAGAATGGAGAAAACTAAAGGGGATGGAATTGATTCTGAGTATAGATAATCTGACAGAGTTTATTTTCCTTAGTTGTCATTAAGGACATAAATTCTTATGCACCTTTGTGACAATTATCTCTTCTCCAGAATTTCTTTAAAAAGAGCATTTATTCTGGAGTGAGCACATACAACGTACTGTACAATACATGGCAGAATAACATGTGATTAATTAATAGCCACTGTTCTCTGCTGAGTATGCAAATTATTGGCTGTGATATGAAGAAGATTTTAGTATGGCAGAGTTTGAATAGCAAATGGTTATTAATAACATGATATTTTCAACTGTGGCACAATCCCGTGGGGGAATCTAGGACCTTTAGAAATACAAATTTGAATTATAGATCCATTACTTATTAATTTGCATAAAGTGCACTTAGCATTTTCTGAGCTTCAGTTTTCTCCTACATCTAAAAATGGGGATTTATAACACACTTTCAAAATTGCATGAACATTAAATAAAAATAAAATAAGAACATATCTTTATAATACCTGTCACATAGTATATGCCAACTAATTAAAGGAAAGTGGCAACAGAGCTAGGACAAGGCTTAAATAGTAATCAATTGATGAAAAAAAATGGCAGAGGAAGAAAATAGACTCCAAGCCACTTTAATTTAAAATTTGAGTTAAAAGATAGATTAGTTTCTACTCTCTTAACCAAGGTGTAGAGACTTAAGAAGCATCTTGCTATATGAAAAATTGATTGCATTAATTTATTTTATAAATTTAGTGTTATTTTTCTTTAGCAAGAATCTCAGTTGTGAAGAAATGCAAGTTTTGAACAGTAAATTAAGAACATAATATCATAATTTATGTTCCTGATTTATGATTAAATACAGCTGATTAAATCTAGGTTTCTTTCCTTAGTAACAGTCTGACTGTGGAGAAATTTGCACACATGCCAGGAAGTAATAATAGAACTCAGTTCTATTATTGAATTCTATTATTGAATTATAAATGAATCACAGTTCCACATGGCTGCAGAGGCCTCAGGAAACTTACAATCATGGCAGAAGATGAAGGGGAGGCAAACAACTTCTTCACAAGGGGCCAGGAGAGACAGACAGTGCAGGGGAAACTGCGACTTTTAAAACCATCAGATCTCCTGAGCTCTCCCTCACTATCACCAGAACAGCATGGGGGAATCTGCCCCCATGATCCAACGACCTCCCTCCTGGTCCTTCCCTTGACACATGGGGAATAAAATTTAAGATGAGATTTGGGTGGGAACACAGAAAAAACCATATCATTCTGTCCCTTGCCCCTCCAAAATCTCATGTCCTTTTTCCATTTCAAAACCAATCATGCCTTCTCAACAGTCCCCCAGTGTCTTTACTCATTCCAGTATTAACCCAAAAGTCCAAGTCCCAAGCATCATCTGAGACAAGGCAAGTTTCTTCTGCCTATGAGTCTGAAGAATCAAAAACAAATGAGTTACTTCCAATATACAATGGGGGTATAGGTATTAGGTAAATGTTCCCATTCCAAATGGGATAAACTGGCCAAAGCAAAGGGGCTACAGGCCCCATGCAAG
Source organism: Homo sapiens (assembly GCF_000001405.40). Classification (NCBI taxonomy): domain Eukaryota; kingdom Metazoa; phylum Chordata; class Mammalia; order Primates; family Hominidae; genus Homo; species Homo sapiens. The sequence continues at coordinate 24,310,828 of NC_000011.10, read as the reverse complement.
TCTGAAATCTGGCTGGGCAGTCATTAAAATTTCAAGCTCCCAAATTTGCTTTGACTCCCTGTTTTACAGGTCATGCTGTTGCAAGTGGTGGACTCCCATGGCCTTGGGCAGCTTTGCTTCTGTGGCTCTGCAGGGTACAGCCCCTGAGGCTGCTTTCAAGGGCTGGTGTTGAGTGCCTGTGGCTTTTCCAGGTATATGTTGCAAGCTGTCAGTGGGTCTACCTTTCTGCAGTCTGGAGGGTGGTGGCCCTCTTCTCACAGCTCCACCAGGCAGTGCCCCAGTGGGGACTCTGTGTGTAGGTTCCAACTGCACATTTCCTCTCTGCACTGCACTAGCAGAGGTTGTCCATGAGGGCCCCACCCCTGCAACTGACTTCTGCCTGGACATCCAGGTGTTTCCATACGTCCTCTGAAATCTAGGTGGAGGTTCCAAAAGCCCAACTCTCATCTTCTGTGCACCCACAGAACCCATACCACATAGAAACCACCAAAGCTTGGGGCCTGCATCCTCTAAAGCAATGGCCCAAGCTGTACCTTGACCCCTTTTAGCTGCAGCTGGAGCAGCTAGTATGCAGGACACCATGTCCTAGGGGTGCACAGAGCAGTGAGGTCCTGGGCCCTCCTCACAAAGCCATTTTTTCTCCTAGACTTCTGGGCCTGTGATGGGAGGAGCTGCTGCAAATATCTGTGGTATTTGCAAATATCACAAATTTCCCCTTTGTCTTGGCTATTAACATCCAGCTCCTCATTACTTACGCAAATTTCTGCAGGCTGCTCAAATTCCTCCCCAGAAAATAGGGTTTTCTTTTCTAACACATGACCAGGCTGCAAATTTTCCAAACTTCTGTGCTCTGCTTCCCTTTCAAACTTAAGTTTTGATTTTAAACCATATATTTGTGTATGCATATATCTGAATGCCTTCAGAAAAATCAACTTACTCTTGAATGCTGGGTTGCTTGGAAATTTTTTTCTGCCAGATATCCTAAATCATCCCTCTCAAGTTAAAAGTTCCACAGATCTCTAGGCCAGTGGCAAAATGCCATCAGTCTCTTTGCCAAAGCATAGCAAGAGTGACCTTCGCTCCAGTGCCCAATAAGGTCCCTCATTTCCATCTGAGGCCACCTCAGCCTAGACTTCATTGTCCATATCACCATCAGCATTTTGTTGAAAACCATTTAGCAAAACTCTAGGAAGTTCCAAACTTTCCCACATCTTTCTATGCTCTTACAAGCCCTCCAAACTGTTCCAACCTCTGCCTGTTACACAGTTCCAAAATTGATTCCATATTTTTGGTTTGTCTTCATAGCAGTACCTTACTCCAGGTACCAATTCTCTGTATTAGTTCATTTTTACACTGCTCTAAAGATACTACCTGGGACTGGATAATTTATAACAAAGGTGGTTTAATTGACTCACAGAACTACATGGCTGGAGAGAAGGAAACTTACAATCATCGCAAAAGGTGAAGGAGGAGCAAGCAACTTCTTCATAAGGTGCCAGGAGGAAGAGCGCACAGGATAAATTGCCACTTTTAAAACCTTCAGATCTTGTGAGAATTCCCTCACTACCACAAGAACAGCATGGGGGAAACCACCCCCATGATGCAATCACCTGCCTCCAGGTCCTTCGCTTGACATGTGGGGATTAGAATTAAAGAGTGGAGTGCAGTGGCAAGATCATAGCTCACTGCAGCTTCAACCTTCTGAGCTCATGTGATCCTCCACATCAGCCTTCCAAGAAGCTGGGGCTACAGGTGTACACCACTATGCCTGGTTAATATTTTAATTATTTTTTTGTAAAGTCAATGTCTTGCCATGTTGCCCAAGCTGGTCCAGATGGAACTCATGGTCTCAATGTGATCCTCCTGCCTCAGCCTTCCAAAGTGCTGGGATTATAGATGTGAGCCATTGCGCTCAGCAATTATCATCCTTTTGGATGATTAAACAATAGCATGGATTTTAACAAGTTTATAGAATAATAACATAGATGAGAGTATAGAGTGTTTTGGTGACTGTATGGGGATTCTGGCTAGAAAAAGTTGGAGACAGAATAGAAAGAGCCTTCAAAATAATTACTGAAGAAGATATTATAGGAATCACAGGAAACTAGAGTACTGTGTCTATATGTCTTGATTCAATAGTTCTTGACTAACGACAATGGAGCAGGAAAAGTAAAAAAAAATCAAATTTACGTCCTTGAATGTTTTTGAAAATTATATACTATTTAGCTTATCAGTATTATGAACACTCAGAAGATTAAAAATATATTTTACAATATATTTTTACATCTTGTAAAATGTATTTTACAAGAAAAATACATTTAAAGGGACTTTGTAAGACTATTGACAACTAGTTGGGAAATCATTTGAATTTCATTTCTATTAGTTTTTAAATATTAGATATAGGAAACCATTTTATTTTTCCAAATATATTTGCCCAGAAAGCAAAATGGAAAGAGCACAAATCCTGTCTCTGAAAACATTATTTAGAAAAGACAATAGATAAATATTGGCCTTATAAATTTTCATTTTGAATATAATATTATGAATAATATTTTACATTATCTTCCAGTGCTTTGGTTTTACAGACTTATTTAATGTGAACATTATTTCTTGAAGTTTAATTAGAAATGTAGTCAGTTCTGATGTGCCTGGGCTAAAAATCAAAAGTGGGTATATGGATTTTTTCCCATAATGGCTGTTGCATTTCTTACTTTACCTGAAAAATCCCTAATTCTATACCTTTAGATGAGGTATTTTGAAAAAAAATCATGAAAAAAGCACTTGTGATACATGAAAAACAACAACAACAACAAAACAAAAAACAATAAGCACTCTTCTTGGTACCACTAAGGTACTGTAGCACTGTCAGTCATTCTGCTCAGAAATGCACGGACACACACACTTTATGTAATTGTCACATAAACCCCAAGAGGTAGATCTTATTTTTACTTTATAGGTAAGAAAACCATGGTTCAAAATGGTGAAGGGACATATTTAATGTCACACAACCAATAAATTACAGACTGTGATTTGTTCTTCCTGGTACCACCTCCTATCTTTTTTTTTTAATACACAGACTTGGCCCAGAATATACATGATGAATTGGAGGCACTTCAAGAGGTAACAAAAGGGGGAGCATGCTGCTTAGAGAGGCTCACAGTTTCTTTCTGTGTACCAGCAATATAAGAACAGATATCTGGGAACTAAAAAAAAATACAATAAGATAAAATAAACGTAGTCTTCAACTTTCTTATTGCCAGGTTTGTTCTCTGTGTTATTAGGGACTAAAGAATAAATAGGTATATTTGCAGTAGCTAAAGAGAACCAGCAAGTACTAAGTCAATTGTATATTCCAGAGGAATAGAACATAGAACCTCTGGTTGCAGTCTTTAAAATACTTGGGGTATTTATAACAAGAATGGGCTATTGCAAGAAGAATAAAACAAATGTGGAAAGATTCTCCTCATCATCAAATTTTTAAGCATGGTAATCACTGTGAAAGATGACTATTTGGCCATAAACGGAAGTAGTTTCCCAGCTTAATCTAGTAATCACTAAATTAATGTAATGAAATATGTTTTTATACCAAGTGAAACATTTGACTCTATGCAAAGGATACTCTAAAATATTCTAAATGGATGAACATTACATGTTACGTATATTTCTGAGTGGCGTGGTACATTTAAATTATCCAAGAGTAGTCCCCTAAAGATTGGCTTCCCAGAAAACAAAAATCTGGCTTATTAAAAAGGTTAATTAAAACAGGCTCCATGACTAAGGCAGTCAATTTTGATCAAACACAAGGCTTCGTTTTCTGTCTCCTAATTATTCCAGAGAGAATCTGACTCTGTTTTCAATTGTAAAAGCTGAGGTAACAGCTAAGGTTGTAGCCAATGTTCTGTCATGCTACATTGCTGTCTTATCATAGCTATTATCACATCATGGCACGTGCTGGTGCTTCCCCAATTACGTTCTACAAATAGAGAGTCAGGGCCCCTCTCTGGATTCTGTCTCTACCAATCACTACACACTGCTCCCAAATGATGGGTCAATGGGGAAAACACATGAATTTTCTCCAACAAACGGGGCTCCATGGGGCCAATATACATGCTTCCTGGTATGCATATTGTTCTACGCAACACAGACAATTCATCTATCACAGAAAAATAGTCATAGAACTTAATATCAACACTCAGTATCAGGCATTAGTCAAAATTATGGTAATATTTGTGTTACTAAATAATGAAGAAAATCAGAATTACGAGCTTCAGATAGTACATCAAGGTTCTAGAAGAAGAAAAGTCTTTCCTAATTTTTTTCCTGAAGTTTTCAACTAGGAATGTTCTTTTAATAAATCAAGTGTATTTATCATAATTTTGACTTGGAAATACTAAATGAAACAGTTATTTATCAAATATAATTTATATCCTCAAATAATTATATTTTTAGTTTTAGGTAATGAATCAATAATCATAAAATGCTTGGATTGTAGATTGAAAGAGAGATATTTATTGATAATTTACATCTTGGATAGATCTAGTATATGGTATAAATACTTGCATAACAAGATGATCTATCTGCATAACTGTAGAACTTTTGAAATATATGAAGAATACAAAACAACTAAGGCAGAAAAATAAGACATTCATAGGTTTCTTGATGAGATTTTTAATTAATTAGGAAGACGTTTAATAGATATATAACATGAAAATATTTTATTGTAAATATTTTTGGTAATGCTGCAATTTGTTCAGATATACTGCTAAATATAATATATATAATAAGGCAATATAGAAAAACATTTGTAAGTCCTAGATATTTCCATTTTTAGCCTAATTAATGAATCTCGACAAACTAACTTCTTAGAGTTTTATGCAGAAACTGAGAATTACAAGCTAATTTTATCTACTATCAAATACCTAATTTTATATATAATATATAAACATATATAACACATAAACATGGTATATGTTTATATAACATATAAACAAATTATATATTATACATATGCTTATATTTTATATATGCTATGTATACATTTATATTTGATATAAAATTTATACATTGATATAATTAGATAAATATATAGATACAATTATATTTATAATTATATAAAAATTATATATATTAGATATACAAATATATAGGTATTTAATATCCATATAAATATTAGATAAAGATACATTATATATAATTTATATATTTGTATAATATAATTTATATAATTACATATAAATTATATATTATATTTTAGTTATATATTATATTTTATATATAATTTTATCTATGTATGTATTATTGGCAAACTTTTTGTTATTTACCTGCTAGTATAGGCAAGTTCTAATACTTTCCATAATCCACATTATTTGACATATATAATTTAAAACCATGTCTCCCTTGACTGTAAGAATCCCTCCCACCAGCAGCCAACACAAAATAACATTTTAAAGGATTTATCTCTACAAAGTCCAGTCCTCCCATCACATTCTCTCTCTTTCTGTGTGTGTGTGTGTGTGTGTGTGTGTGTGTGTGTGTGTGTGTGTCTGTGTGTGTAGTGGCTATATTCTGGGGAGAGGGAATTTTGATGTATAATTGCATTTAATATACAATAGTCTTATTAGTATTACATAATCAGAAAAAGCTTCTATTCATCTATTGTATTTCTTAGGCTGAAATGCTTTCCCATATATAAAAAAAAAAAAAATCCACTGCTATTCCTAGTGTTTTGGCAAGCACGTGTTTTCAAGCAAATAACTAACCCATGTAACTTCTCAGAACATCAATCCTCTCCGTGTTGTTTGGGTAAGAGTACATGTTTTCCTCTTCATGTGTGCCTTTTTAAAAAATTAAATTTCTAGGCTGCTATGCCCACAGTCTGGCTTCTTTTTGAGAGTGCACTTGTGAACAAATTCAGAGTGTATATTTTTATATTGATGATCTACAGATACTATGGTCCCTGAGTCAAATGTTAATGCAAACGCTTAGATTTCCAGTATGAAAGATTCATATTTATCACTGCCTACTCCTCTAAACCAATAATCGCATGTCCACAGGCATATTGTTTAATAATGAGTAGGCATTAAATCAATATTTACAGTCCACTGTTATTTTCAGTTCAGCTCTTGTAAAGAGCAGGCCACATTTCTCTGGATCATTTTCTCCTGCTGATACTTGTGGCTTTTCTGAGACATGCAATAAATGGGTGCATGATTCCTGGTGAAGAATCACAATATGTGTTTCTGAAGAGGCAATAAGAGTTTGAGTTTTGCAATCTCTTTTGTCAATACCTTTGTACGTCTGTGGCTTAATGGAGGTCATCTGCCATTGCATATGCCTTATCTCCACTTACTTAACTCCACTTCCTCTTTCACCTTGTATGTGTAAATTTTAAATGTATATTTTCAATGTGTATGATATGTTTTCATGCAGATCTTTTCTCCAAGGATTGCTTCCGGCAGGTTTGTTTTCATCTTTATGTGTATAGAATTCTTCAAAAATTGTAGTCTCTGCTTATTTATTAAGTCATTTTTCTTTATTCTTTCTACCCATGATAAAAATTAAAAGAAACAAAAACATAACAGGCACTGTAAACTTGGACATTTAATCACTACATATTGTGCATATGATTTTGTCTTCTCATGTAACTTTTTATCAGAACTTTAAGGGGTTTTAAGATTATGTTGTGGAACTAATGCCTTTGTGCAGAGAGACACAGGTATTATTGGAAAAATCAGTCCTAGGGATTAACATAAAATCTTTCTTGGTAAATTAATTAATCCCTACTTACAACTAAACAAATGCAATTGTTTGCTTTAAATGGCAGCAACAATATGGGTGGAATAGAGGTTACACTTGAAATATTGAAATAAATGATACAAAAGTAATGTAATAAGGCAATTAAACTATGTGTGGTTTATTTTAAAAATAACTAATGTATTGAGCTATACACACACACACATGCCTCTCAATTAACTTTTTAGCTTCATTAGCCATTGAGATTTCAATCTCTACTCTTAATAATATAAAACATAGAGGATGCTGTTATTGCAATAAAAGTATATATCTTGGAAAACACAGAATACATATTTATTAAAATTTAAATAGTAATGTATAAAGCCAAGAAACAACATCAAAAATAGCATATTGAACAGTTAACCAAAATGCATAATAAGAAAGAAAAAAACAGGGCTTTAAGGTAAAAACTTACAGAGACCAAGAGCCACTTACCAGGCAACTCCCTCCCCAGCTGCCCAGGGCTATTATGACAATTTGACCACCAGAAGCTCCCCATAAACCCCACTTCAGGATATCGTTCCTAGATACGGTCAGCCAGAGAAAAGTTTCTCCCTTTACCAGTGAACATGACTTTCTCTTTGAAAATGTTTCCAAACTTGTCACTTCCCCTATTGATGCCAACCAAGGACTTCCAATGTAACTGAACACCAAGTGGAAAGTCTCCCACTTCCAAAATTCCCCCTTAATAGAAGTGCTTATTAATCAGAGACTCTCAGTCTTTTTTTTACTCTGAAAAACTTCTTTTCTATATCACTTTTGAAACCCTACTAAAATAAAGGTGATGGCAGATGGAACCCTTTGCCATGATTTACGCATAAACAGTCTGTATTAGTTCTCACACTGCTATAAAGAAGTATCTGAGATTAGGTAATTTATAAAGAAAAGAGATTATTTTTATATTTATTTATTTATTCTTTTTGAGATGGAGTTTCGCTCTTGTTGCCCAGGCTGGAGTGCAATGGCATGATCTTGGCTTACTGTAACCTCCGCCTCCCAGGTTCAAGCGATTCTCCTGCCTCAGCCCCCCAAGTAGCTGGGATTACAGGCACTTGCCACCACGGCCGGCTAATTTTGTATTTTTAGTAGAGATGGAGTTTCCCCATGTTGGTCAGGCTGGTCTCGAACTCCCCACCTCAGGTGATTCTCCCCCTCGGCCTCCGAAAGTGCTGGGATTACAGGCGTGAGCCACCGCGCCCAGCCAGGAAAAGAGTTTTGATTGGCTCATGGTTCCATAAACTGTACAGCAGTGGTTCCCAACCTTTTTGGCACCAGGGACCAGTTTCATGGAAGACAAGTTTTCCACAAACACGGGGCCTGCGGGTAAGGCAGAGATGCAGGGGCACATGGTTTCAGGATGAAACTGTTCCACCTCAGATCATTAAGCATTAATTAGATTCTCATAGGGAGTGTGCAACCTAGATCCCTCTCATGCACAGTTCACAATAGGGTTCCTGCTCCTATGAGATTCTAATGCTACTACTCAAATTACCAGAGGCGGAGCTCAGGTGGCAATGCTCACTCACAGGCAGCTCACCTCCTGCTGTGCTGCTCAATTACTAATAGGCCATGGACTAGAACCCGTCTGTAGCCTGGGGCTTTGGTACCCCTGCCCTACAGGAAGCATGATGCTGGCCATCTGCTTGACCTCTGAGGAGGCCTCGGGAAACCTGCAATCACAGCGGAAGACGAAGGGAAAGCAAGCTCATCTTATGAGGTCAGAGCAGGAGGAAGGAAGACAGGGAGGCACCACGCTCTTTCAAACAACCAGATCTCTTAATAACTCACTCACTCACTATCATGAGAAGAGCACCCAGATGGTTGGTGTTAAACCATTAGAAACCATCCGCATGATCCAATCATCTCCCACCATGCTCCACCTCCAACATTGAGGATTACAATTGAACATGAGACTTGAGTGGGGATACAGATCTAAACTATATCACAGTCTTTGTTAATTTTGTTTTGGAATTGGTTTTTTTCTTCAGCAAAAATATTGGAGAACATAATCATTTAAGTTGACTGCTTAATGCTGTCAACGACAAACAATGTTGGATTACATTAATTTAAGAATGAAACTTCTTTGAACAGTTATCTGTCCTGGTAGAAGCAGTCTGATCATTGTTGATACTTATGCCTTAAAAATATAATTTTTTAAGTGCAATTTTTAAATGACTGTATAATTTAAGAATTTTTATTTTTTTCTTAAAATGATCTGGTAAAAAAAGAAAAAAATCAAATGATTCCTTAGACACACTAACTTTAAAAATAATTTTGTTAAAGGATAATTTTCACACACACAGAAAATCATGACTAATGCAGATATAAAATAAACTTGTATTAAAAATGTATTTAAGTCATAAATTGAGACAACTTGCAAATGTTAGAAATAATTCAAAGTAAAATCCAAACAACAGACATATTTATAGATAAATATATTTATCTTTAAATATTAAATTTATTTTAATATTAAAATGAATTTGCAAATGGGCATGTAACTGGCTTTTTCTTGGGTTGGGGTATCAAAAAACTTCTAACGGGCAGAATTTAAATGTCTATCTATAGAAGAGAATTTGTTTACTTTCAGTTTTATTCAGTTATAATTTCTAGAGCATTGTAAAATAACCTAAGACAACAATACACATGCATTTCATGTTATTTGTTAATTTTGAAGGTTATATATTCAATCTCCAAACCTCGCTCTAGTATTCCAGTGTAAAGATATTCAAAATATCTTTTACTTATTCCAAAGACTTAAAATTTTTCTTACAGTCTTCAAAAAGAATAAAAGCACCCAGGAAAAATATATAAATATAAAATGCCAATAATTAGATAGTAGTTAACCTATTTCCAAGTAATACACAAATGCGTTTAATTGTTAACATTGCTAAAGTAATCATGATGGAGTTGGCAAGAGTTCACAAGAAAGGAAAAAGGCATTTTAGGGAGAAACACTTGACTTAGAAATGTAGTAGAAGAAAATAAAAGTCATCTCAGATAGTCTGTGTTAACACAATTTGATGTATATTTTTTGACATTGCACACCTCTTAATGGAGACAAAGACATTAGTAATGCACCTTTAATGGTCAAAATTAAACAGATAAAATTACAAAAGGCACACAATAATAGGTAACACTAATAAAACATTTACATTGTATATGAGGATCTATTCTAAATGACTCACATATTTTTATTCATGTAAGCTTCTCAAGACTACTGTAAGATTCCCCCATTATACAGATTAGAAAATGTATGAAGTAAAATTGATAAAATCTATATTAGAAAAGTAATTTGTTCCTGAATCAAGCCTGCCCCTCAGGTCAGAGTTAGATCTGCCCCTCCTCCTTTACATTGGAAAAATATTTATAATTCATGTAAATATGAGTGAAAGGAATACTGTTTTGAGTTTAGTACTCACATTGCTCTTCCTTGAAGAAACTCTTCACTTTTCTATGATAGTGAAGTTTACTATGTTACTACAAAATTACAAAAAAGCTTTCCTTTAGTGGTTTTCTCAGCTGTCCCACCATAATTATCATTCTGAGATCTTTCTATTAAGTGTCATCATTGTACACTTATGAAGCATAAAATTGTTTAATGCACATTTTTGATAATGTGATATGCTAGTCATTCAGATATGTATTTTAACAGATGAAAAGGAAGATAGTATCTAAATATAGATACAGATAAATACATTGAGAACAGTATCTCGCAAAGCTTTGGCAATACTTCTCATGGGGAGAGAAAAGAAAACCGTAAGGTCAAAAGTTAGCTGCAAATTGGAAGTAAAAAAATTTCATTTAATGTGGATCTTTCAACGTAAAGGCTTGATTGGGATTGATTCAGAATTGTGATACAACAGTCCAGGATTAATGGAAACCACAAAGTAAGGATCTTGAGGCAATTCAAAGAACTGTGGAAAACAAACTGTCTATTAACGTTTTCCATTGAAGAGATGGCAGCCGTTTCATGAAGTTCCCATAATAAACAACCAAACTACTTGCTTTACCAGGACAGTCCAGAAAGAGCAAAGACATGTCAGTGGAGATGGTGGAATAGCAAAATCATGTTAATGTACAGTATGGCATGGTTTTGGTTCTCAGTATCCAGAGTGTAGAGGTAGATAGATTTTGGCTTTCACTACTTTAGAATCATGTAGAAGAGACAGTTACAGGAATAAATAATTCTAATAAATAATAGTGGACAGTGCTGCATAGTTCAGGAGAAAACTTCCCAGAAGGTAGATTATGGAAGGTAAGAATGTAGATTATAGATCATCTAGGTAAAATGCCTTTAACAATGTAATATATTGAATCTCCATCTGAAGTTTCAACTGATTGTGTAGTCTTCTAACTGACTTATTTTAGAATGTATTTATAGCTAAGGGTCCTACCAATATATCTATCAGAATTATTTGTTTCTTAAGAATTTCTGAGGACTTGCTGTACTACCCCAACTTTAAGTTCAACTTTTTTTTTTTTTTTTTTGAGATGGAATTTTGTTCTTGTTGCCCAGGCTGGAGTGCAATGGTGCCATCTTGACTCACTGCAACCTCCACCTCCTGGGTTCAGGCAATTCTCCTGCCTCAGCCTCCCGAGTAGCTGAGATTACAGGCATGTGCCACCATGCCCAGCTAATTTTTTTGGTATTTTTAGTAGAGACGGGGTTTCTCCATGTTGGTCAGGCTGGTCTCGAACTCCTGACCTCAGGTGATCAGCCCTCTTTGGCCTCCCAAAGTGCTGGGATTACAGGTGTGAGCCACCGCGCCTGGCCAAGTTGAACTTTTAAAATTAACTGATGTGGAATTCTGTGAGTCATGTCACCTTTGGCTATGCAGAGGAAATAAAAGTCTTGTCAAAAGACACACACACACACACACACACACACACACACACACACACACACACACAACCTCTCTGTACCAAGATAGAAGAGAGAAAGAACAAAAACTGTTATCAAGTAAGCATTAACAGATTTATATGCATGTAAGTTAGCATGAGAAACTGATTATGAAATTCAGCCAAAACTGAACATATTTTATAAAGCAAAGCACAAGAAAGAACAACTTTTCTTATCTTCTTGAGACAAAGAACTGCACCTTGTTGACAGTCACCTGTATATCTCATGAGTTAATTCCAGAGGTTCATTTTTACACTTTTAGAAGTCATCTGGCCTGGACCTTGGTGATATCTCTACATTGTAAAAACCGATGATGGACCCAATCCCTAGAGAGGTGTATCTCTATTCCAAATGTTAAAATATGGCTCGGATTCATTATATCTCCAAGAAAACCCTTGTGAGAGGAGAGAAGAGAAAATGGTCTCCTTGCCTTCTATAAACATAGAATGCCATTTTAATTTCACTTTTTACATATGATTCATTTATAAGTAACTCTCAGATATCAACACAAGCTTGTAAAAGCTTTTAAGTGTAGTTATGAAAATGTGACTAGATACATGGGCTTTGTACACAGAAGAGCAATCAGAATAAATTTAACATGCCTTGTGTTTTTTCCCTGTGTCTTGCTTGCTTTGTTATGGATTTCCCATATAATGTGCTCTAGGTAGAAATTATTTTTGATAGGGGAGCAGGATAAAGAGGAAATGATAGAATAATGAATGGGAAGAATGAATAGCAAGCATGGGGCTATTCAGAGCAAATCCCTGCTGGGAAGAGATTTGATGATTTGATGACTTAACAATGTTGAGCAATTCTTTGCCAGGCTAATTTAATTTTCAGTTTGTCACCAATGTATGACTGTAGAGTGATTTGATTATGTTGTGCTCCTTTAAATCCTAGCTGAAATTTCTCAACAGTTGACAAATAATTTGAGCTGTTTAAAAATGCTTATGTCACTCTTATGCTTATATAAAAGCACGCATCGTTGAAATGATCAATTTATGTTACTGTTCTAGCCAATGACCAGTAGGATTTATTCGTCTTTTGTTTAAATTTAGCTCAGCACAGTGGGTGGCGATTGCTAGGCTTTCCAGAATTGCATCTATTTATCAGTATCTACATTTCACACCTCCGAAATCTAAAGATACTCTTTGTCAGGTGTATGATTTCTGAACCCCAAAATAATAACAAAACTTTAGTATAGTGCCTTTAGAGTTATTTAAAATTCAAGGCCTGTTCTCCATTGATGGCAATGCTTAAATTGCCTGGCTACACTTACATTTTAAGAAATTATGATAAGTAGAAATTCAAGTTATATATTTCAAATAACTCAAATAAAATTTAATACATTTCCCCTTTGCTTTATTAAAGCAAAAGCAAATAGGCCACATGTAGAATATAATTTCTTCAAAATCAAATAGGCCACATGTCATCAATTATTCCACTTGGGGATCCAGAGCATGATGGATACCAGCTGTGAGCTGTGGGGATCCAGGAAAACACAGGCTGCCTTTTCAATTTTCTATTACACAAAACAATATTAGCAAGAAAATAATCATTTGACAGTAAAAAGAAGGTTGATATATGTCGCGGAAATAATTTGTGCCAAATATGTAGGACTGAAAAAATGAGAATATCTTAAGAAGCAAATGTTTCTAAAAGAAGGGAATTATTCTAGTTCTGATAAAATATTTTGAATTTTAACATATTAAGAAGTATCTAGAATTTTACAGAGGGGAGTAAAATATTTCGTTATAGTTCTTAATTTTATAAATTGTATATTAGAAGGTTATGTATCGAACATAACATCTTCCTTTTCCATTTTCCCTGTTTCTCTCCTTCTTTATCTACCTGCCTTTCTCTCTTTATTGTATTATTTCTCTATTTTTTCTTCTTTCTTTAAAGTAAAAGTAAGCACTGGTTGAATAAAAAAGCCAATGTACTACTCTCCAAAGTAATTGGGGAGGATGGAATAGAAAACAAATTTTATCATAAAATAAAGCATAACAAACACCATATTATAAACATAGAAAACATAAAATATATGTGCTATAGCATATGTATATAAATATGGAATCTAACATATTTTTAAAATGCCACATCACACATTAAACAGCTAATATCAATCCATACATTACAGTTAACTGCAATGTATTGTTAATAAATTTTAATAAACAAGACTTCATTAAAAGGGAATAATAATAACCACATATTCATACCAAAAGACCATAAGCAACCAAAAGAGAAATAAAGTTTCAAAGGGTAAAAATGAAAATTAAAAAATAAGAATTTTAATAAATGACTTTCCCTCATGCCAAAGCCTAATCCAGAGTAAGGCCCTAACTCTCTTCCATTCTACGAAGACTGAAAGAGGCAAGGAAGCTGCAGATGTTTGAAGGTAGCAATGAAAAACAAGCTTAAAATTGGGCCAAATAAGTTAGGCAATTCCTCACCTTTCAAATTCTCTGGTTTTAGTGATATAGGTACTGCTGCTATTATTCAGGATTGGTTTGACTGAGTGTATTTATAGGGGATGAGAAAATATTGTTTCATCCTGATTTCATGTAATAGATATTAGGCTCTAAATTAGTTATATTAGTTAATGGTACTAATAACATTTATTCTGTAGAGCTTTTTAAATATATTATTTTAATTGTAAGATATGTATTTTTAGAAGTCTTAGAAAAATAATTTAATTCCTTTCCCTGAGCATGATACTTTTCTAAACACTTAAACTAAAATAATTTGTTTGGCACTATAAATAACATCCTTGCCCAAAACATTTGTCGTAATATTTGAAGGCCAGGAAAATATGTGTTTAAAAAACAATTAAACTTTTGACAAAATTTGGGCATCAGTGAGTGAGTCAAAGTAACCCTTGATGATTCTCCCTTAGTTATATTGTCTCTACTGAGTTTAATATAATAAGCCCAGTGCTTGCTCTGGGCAAAAATGTCAAGTTTAGATCCTCAGTCTGTCACTCAAAGTCCTTTACATTTTGTTCCTCCCTTTTCTTTCCATTCTTGTCCTGCATATATTCATCAAGCACCTTGGCTTTTGTTTTGTTTTGATTTGTTTTATTTTTAGGCTTATTGACTTACAAGCAGTCCTCCAAAATCACAGATTCCTCTTTCTTGCCCCTAGTCCATGGCATAAGTTGTTCAATCTCCCTTGCCCTTTTATAATCCTAAAGAAAATTCAGGATTTTCAGGGTCATTTCAAATTCCACATTAAAATACTAATGTTTGGGTTACATTAGTATTTTACTTGTACTTCTGTTCTTTAATAATACTTTCTTTTTCACATTCTATTTCCAATACTATCACAAAAGAATAGGAAAATAAATATGTGAAAAAGAATTATAAAGTATAGGTGTGTTCCTGAACTATAGTCCCTGAAGATAGCCATACACAGTTATCTTCCTCTCTATATGTAATCACTGCCCCTTTCATCGAGTGGAAAAGTTCATTTTCCCTTCCCTGGGATCTGGACTGGCTTTGCTTGCAGTGCAGACTGACCTTGTGACACGGTTCATCCAAGAGACACTTCAGGTCCATGCTCAGCTCTTACAAGGACTGGCAGCTTTCACTTTCAGTCTTTTTTTGAAACCAGCTGCCACATAAGAACTTCAACTTTCCTGAGACCAACAGGCTGTAAAGAAGCAAGCACCCATGTAGAAAGGCCTGGTGGAATAGCTCTGTAAGTGAAGTCTTCTTGGACCTTTCAGTCTAGTCCAGCTATCACCTTAAGGCAACTGAATTAATAATCCCATCTGATGAAGCAAGGAACTGAGAACCCCTCAGCTATCCACAGTCATTGCACAAAATCATGAGAAATAGTTTTGTTTTATGCCATTAAGTTTTGGAAGGTCTGTTATTCAGCAGTAGATACTGAAACAGTGTCTTAAACTGCTTAGCAGAAAAATAAATATGCAATGAGGAGATTAGAAATAGAACATAAACCATTTGAGAATCTTTTTTAGATTTTTCTATGCTGTTTATTATTATTATTATTTTCAATTTTATTAACTGGAAGATTAAACATACTGCCTTCTCTACTTGTTAGCTGTAGGAAGTTGGTCACATTAATTTCTATGTACCTTCATATCATTATCATTAAAATGAAAATAATAGACTTGTCCCTTGAGGTATGTAAAGAGTTTATAATATATGTGAAGTGCGTAGAATATTAGCCATCAAATAGGATTCATAAGTGTTGCAATTATGATTATTGTCCTGATTTCCAAGGGATATTAACTCCAAAAGAGTAATACGAAAAGGAAAATTTCAAGAAAATTGTAACTCGTTAAGTACCAAATAGAAACATTTATTTTACATCTAAGTACTATAATATAAAGTTCACTTTGGTTAGTCTAAAGAACTAACTCTTTTTTTTCAAGCTTATTTTTTTATTAAGAAACTTAAAATTAAATTTATGTTTAGTAATTGCAAATGTTTATAATATTCAATATAATATTAAGACTCATCTATTCTAGCTTTTCTTCAAATAGTAATTTGTATTTTCAGTAGTCGTAATATTTTAATTCTTATTTAGTGTTTATTTTAAGTATTTATTATAATTTATTCATCAAATATACTGATTGCTAGTATATTCAGTGTTTTGTGCTAAGTACTAGAGATGTAAAGAAATTAAAATGGCCCTGCGCAGTGGCTCACTCCTGTAATCCCAGGACTTTGGGAGGCTGAGTCGGGCAGAACACCTGAGGTCAGGAGTTTGAGACCAGCCTGGCCAACATGGTGAAAACCTGTCTGTACCAAAAATACAAAAATTGGCTGGGTGTGGTGGCACGCGCCTGTAGTCCCAGCTACTCAGGAGGTTGTAGCATGAGAATTGCTTGAACCCAAGAAGGGGAGGTTGCAGTGAGCTGAGATCACACCACTGCACTCCAGCCTGGATGACAGAGTGAGACTTTGTCTCAAATAATAATAATAATAATAAAATAAATAAATAAATAAAATAAAAAGCAAAAAAAGAAATTAAAATAAATATAAAACTAAAAGAAAAAAATTCCTGGATTTGTGAAAATTACAGTTTAATCTAGGAGGCTGACAATGACAAAAACCACAAGTTAATGTAACATTACGTTAATAATAAGTAATAATAATTGCAATACTCTGATGGCTGGTGCTCTGTGGGACATTTAACTAGATAATATCTTATTTAGAAAAATGAAACAAAAGATCCCTTGATATGTAACAAAAAGCTCAATTCCTTAAGAAGAGAAAGTGATACCAAGTGAAGTGTGTGTAGGCATGTGTATGTCTGTGTGTGTGTGTAACTCAAAGTGTACAAAGGTGTATAGGAGTCAATGAGGCTTCAGAGGTAGGTAGAGGCAAAACACACAGGCCTTGTGTTTCTCTGTGTAAGATTTTTGGGGGTCAGAGGTTGAGTTCAGGTAGATATAATCGAGTTCAGGTTTGAAAAAATCACAATGTAGAAAATAAGTAGAAAAACATGAGTCTGTGTCAATAAAAAAAAACCTGAATAAATTTCTGCTCACTTAACCCAGGCAATGTTTTGTAGTCATGGAGAATGAGTTAGAGATGTATGAATTAATTTGTAGCAATACTTACATGTTATTTAGGAAACTGCAAAAATGTAAAAAATAATTAAATATGGTAAATTTTAAAAGAACACTAAAATTAAATATAAATACTTATAAAGTATGCATGAATGTTTATGTGTATAGATATTTAGAGAATGATATGGAAGGGTACAATATGTACTAGTTTTTTAACATAGGCTACATGAGTAGAGTAGAATGATGTGGGTTTAGATGGAATAAAAAAGGGAGTATGGAGAAAAGCAAAAAAGAAAGAAAAATAGACTGTCAAACAAATCATATGGTATAATTACACATTTAAATAAAATTGCATATATGTTTACACATTTTTTTTAAAACAGTATTTATTAAGTGAAAAGAAAAAAATTGCTGGCAATGCTGTGGAAACTGCGCTGATTAGGCTGTAGAGTAAAAGAGTGAGACTATTTAATATGATTGTACCATGATCCAGGTGAGAGGTGACAAGTTCTTGGATTAAAGTAGTGGAGTATTTTGTAAAGTCAGTAAGGCTGATGAAAAAAATGAAAAAAATAATGAAGTAGTGGAGAAAAAAATCACATAGATGTTTAATAATTAAAGTATCTAATACTTTATGGTGCATTAGATATGGAGATTTCAAAGTTGACTCCTGGCTTTTTAATTTGTACAGTGGCATTGAGTGATACAGAAAACAGTGAAAGAGAACCAGGTTTTCAGGGAGGTGGTTTAGTTAAACAACATTTCATTTATATGCCTTTGAAGTGGAAATATTTGATGCTGGAGTGGAAATATCAATTGAATGGTTGGATGGTTGGTTTTGGAACTCAGAGGTAAATTCTGGAAATCAAATTTATGAGCAATCAGTATATAGATGACAATCAAAGCCACAAAAAAGGTTGAGATTACCACTGAGTTAGGAAATAAAATGAACACTCTTTCCACCTGTGAAAAAGAGAGAGATCGAGCAGAAACCAGATTCAAGAGAAAGCTTTGTGTGCCTGCATTTGCCTATATACAGGGTACATTTAATTTAGTAGAGATTTGAGTATATTTAAATGTTTAATGGATGAAATTTTGGGTTAAAAAAATGAATCTCAATATTGTGCCAGAGGAGACAAAAGTGAATGAAATTCTAAATTCCCAAATCATTTTGACCCACAATGCAGATGAGAAATTCATTCATAAATTATCTAGCTCTACCCAAACTTTCAATGATAATGTGTTTCTATTCCAGAAATGATTCCAATTTCTATGATTCAACTGTTATTTTTCTTCATTGAATGAGACATTTACAATGCTATTGTAAATTTTAGTTTTTCATGCATGTACAAGTAAAAGGAAGTAGTGTGCATCACATAATTAAAGGCTACTTTTAATTTGATTGGTTAGGAATTTGCTCAATTTATGTCTTTTGCATACCATATGCAAATACGAAGTAAGATTTCAAGTTTGTTTGCATACCACATGCAAACAAATGTTATTAGTTTTCTTGATCGCGTAAATTGGCATAGAGAAATATTCTACAAGATTAAAACACCGTTGACAATTATGTACCTAAAAGTTTCTATAAATATGTTTTTACTATGTTAAATATAACTGTTTGAATATATGTGAGGCACCTTTGAAATAAAGTTGTATATAAAGGCAGTAGTGTTATTATCAGCCAAACGTTATTAATTTTTAAACAGTCATATTCAACTCCAATATTATACTCATTTTGTTTTATGAATGTTAGACGGCTATTCCCATGACAGCAACTTTCTCCAAAGCTTTTGTTCTTCCAAATGTAGCATATTATTCAAAAGGAACGGCCTCACTTGAAGTCATGGATTTCAGTTTCTTTTTTGCCATGCCCCTAATTCACTGTTGCATCTTGGATATATCACTTACTGTTTCTGAACTTCTGTTTTTCATATACAATATAAGGGGAGAAACGATTGTGTACTAAATGCTTTCTAAACTCTCTTTAGTCCTATTAGTCAACGCATAATTTTTTCTAAGTCCGTAGTCCTCATTGTTAGTGTCTTGGCAAGGAATAATTAAATAATCTCCAGAGTTAATGCTGACCATTAGTGAGAATGTTAGTGACATTTGTTTTCAAGAGTAAAAGTATGTGTATGCTCCTTTAGTTAATCCGATTTTTGGAGATTGCTTAACGTTTTCTACAGTGAAAATTTTGTTGCTTAATTTGTTCTACTTTCTGGCATTAATGTGCAAAAATCACAAGCATTCCTAGACACCAATAAAAGACAAACAGAGAGGCAAATCATGAGTGAACACACATTCACAATTGCTTCAAAGAGAATAAAATACCTAGTAATCCAACTTACAAGGGATGTGAAGGACCTCTTCAGGGAGAACTACAAACCACTACTCAACGAAATAAAAGAGGACACAAACAAATGGAAGAACATTCCATGCTCATGGATAGGAAGATTCAATATCGTGAAAATGGCCATACTGCCTGAGGTAATTTATAGATTCAATGCCATCCCTATCAAGCTACCAATGACTTTCTTCACAGAATTGGAAAAAACTACTTCAAAGTTCATGTGGAACCAAAAAAGAGCCTGCATTGCCAAGACAATCCTAAGCCCAAAGAACAAAGCTGGAGGCATCATGCTACCCGACTTCAAACTATACTACAAGGCTACAGTAACCAAAACAGCATGGTACTGGTACCAAAACAGAGATATAGACCAATGGAACAGAACAGAGCCCTCGGAAATAATACCACACATCTACAAGCATCTGATCTTTGACAAACCTGACAAAAACAAGAAATGGGGAAAGGATTCCCTATTTAATAAATGGTGCTGGGAAAACTGGCTAGCCATATGGAGAAAGCTGAAACTGGATCCTTTCCTTACACCTTAAACAAAAATTAATTCAAGATGGATTGAAGACTTAAATGTTAGGAACTAAGTCTGAAAGAAAGTTGTAGCAGGATTATGCTCTCCCTGAAGGTTCTAGGCATTCTCTGTAGAGTATGCTTTAACATCTTTTGTAATATGGATAGGCTGGAGATTTTTCAAATCATCAAATTCTTGTTTCTTCTTATTTAATAGTGTAGTCCTCAATTTAACTCTTTCTGCTCAAATTTTACTAATAGCAGCAAAGAGATAACAGAACATATTTTTCAATGATTGGTTGGAAATCTTGTCAACTAAATATCCAACTTTAATTTTTACCCAATGCTGGATATTAATTCCGCCAAGTTTTCTGAAAGTTTTTTTTAACAAGGATTGCCTCTTCTCCAATGTCCAATAACATGCTACTCATTTCTTCCTGAGAACTCACCAGAAGCACCCTTAATGTTTGTATTTCTACAAACATAGTGTTCATGATGATGTATGTAGTCCCTAAGAAAATAGGAGCTTTCCCTACTATCTTCAGTTCCAACTGAGGCCTCACCAAAATTGCTGGTTATATTATTCATATAAATTATATTATTCATACATATATTATTCATATAAATTAATGGTTATATTTCTGACAATAATTTCTTCAAGGCAATATATACTTTTTCCAGCATGCATCTCAAAATTCTTTCAGTCTTTGCCATTACCAAATTCCAGAACCAATTAACCATCTTTAGGTATTTGTTACAATAGTACCCATGACTGGTACCAAAATCTGTATTTGTTTCTTGGGGCTTCCATAACAAAGTACCACAAAGTAGGTGGTTTAAGACAATACAAGTGTATTCTGTCACATTAGGGTAGACTAGAAGTCTTAAGTCAAGGTGTCAGCATGGCCAGGCTCCTTCTGTAAGTCCTATGGAAGAATCCTCTGTTTCCTCTTCAGCTACTCATGGCTCTTAGCAATCTTTGGCTTTTCATAATTTCAAGATTTAAAAACTTCATGGTGAGAGTTCAGTTGAATTTACTTTGTTTATATTTCTGTATTAAAATATCATCTTATTTACATGAATGAACTTGGATATAAACTTACAAAAATGAAGCTGTAATGCAGAAGTTTCTTCACTTAGACTTTCTGAAATAAATCAAAACTAAGAATAGGGTTCCCACATTCCATAGTGAAAACTTTACCATTTACTACCCATGTTTTTGTGTTATGATTCACAGGAAATATGCAATTTGTTTTGAAGACAGTTTTGAAACACATTCACTAAAAACAGAACAATGAACAAACTGATAAGCCTTAAACTGTGTGATTAAAAGAATAATATCTGGTCGATGCTTCATCTCTTCCTTGAATAAAATTTGCACTTTTTTGGTTATCTTTTTGTTATTATATTTTCTTCTAGTCTTAGGACCCTTCTTCTTAACTGTAGGATATTCTCAGTTATTGCTTATGGATTTGCTTCTAGTGAAAGCTTTTAAGAGCCCAGTCCCTTTCTACAGGTGACTTTTCTCCTCTGCTGGTTGTTTACTGTCTGATTTGCTTAATAAGGTTGAATTAATATTACTAGCACATTTCCTTCCCTCTTTCCCTCAATTCTAGTTCTGAGATAATACTCTTAGCATAAGTCCTTCTACTGGACCTAGCAATTGGGTGCCCCACTGATTCTGGGGATGGACTGCACACTTGCTTTAATATTCCTTTTGTTTAAACAGTGAGAAGAGACTCGATCTTCTGTTGAGGAGCACTGAGTACCTGTGTTGCCTCATAGGTGATAAGATTCATTGTTTTTCAACCTGTTTGTTCTCATTCTTGTCTCAGATGCTAGGTCTTTTTTTTCCAACCCCAATATTGCTGAGTAAAATTACATTGCCTGCTGCCAAAGTCCTAAATATAATAACTGATTATCTGAATTATTCCCTATAATACTTTCTTATGCAAGAGAATCCTTGAGACAGTTTTTTTTTTAACCTGCTGTGAATACAATACGTTGGAATTTTGGTCTGCATCATTAGCAGATTTTATGAATTAAATAACTTTTCT
Source organism: Homo sapiens (assembly GCF_000001405.40). Classification (NCBI taxonomy): domain Eukaryota; kingdom Metazoa; phylum Chordata; class Mammalia; order Primates; family Hominidae; genus Homo; species Homo sapiens. The sequence continues at coordinate 24,288,665 of NC_000011.10, read as the reverse complement.
TTCCCCAAGCATAATCTCACTCCAATCCATGGTTCCTGTATGCATTTTGAATTTTCAATGTATTGTTTCAATATACAGGATGTTAACTATTAAAATGTAACAAAGAAAACTTGGGTTTTCTTTGCTGAGAAGTAAGACAAAGCCAGAAAGGAGTCCCAGCTTTTTTCTTTTGCACCAGACAAATGCTGTTAAAGCAGTCTCATCTCAGCAGAATTTATGCATTTTTCTAAACTAACATTCACACTCATTGAACTATTCAATATTTTACTGAGGTCAAGCTCCACAGAAACTTTTTGTACAAAAAGAGTTTATTTTAGCATATATATTTAAGTCTCGACCTCAAGATATCGTAAGAAGTTACCAAATGAATTTTTTTTTATAATCATTTCTCATAATATGGTCGCTGGATCTGCAGTATATGCAATTTGTTAAAAATGCAAATCCCAAGGCCCACCTCCAGACTTGCTAAATCAGGAACTCTTCAGAGTGGAGCCCAGAAATGTGTGCTTTGACAAGCTGTGTTGGCCAAGGAAATGTTCCACTCAGATCTCCTGCTGCAGGAGCAAGGTTAACTGATAGCCTCAACTGTTCTGCTTTTGCATCTGGACTCACTTTTGCATAAAGACTACTCCTACCCAATGACTGAGTAGAGCAGGTGTACTAAAGGAGGCAGATTTCTGCAAGATGCAAGACCTTTAACAGGCAATTTTGGCCCACTGTAATACTTTTGCCAAAGCATTTTTAGAACTGTGCTGCAGTCTGAGACTCTTTATATCAAATACTTCCTCACCTCTCCCCCTCACTGGGGTCACTCTTACATCTTAGTCTGAATGCTTCCTGCCCCTCTTTGACTCTCTGTTCTTAATCTGTACAGCCATTCCCTTCAATGTCTATCTTTGTATAGGTATCTTTGTCTACCTATAATTTCATTTTAACATAAGTTCACTAGAAGACCCTAACTAACCCAAGTAATGCCAGGAATGGTGCAAGAAAACAGGAGGTATGGATGGATATTTTGGGGAACTAAAATTAACATTCAATCTTCTCAGGCCTTCTGATGCACATTAAAGTCTGAAAACCAGTGCTACAGGTCTTTTCCATTTTCACTATAGCTATCAGTATTGAGCAGATCACTGTTCTTATATTGAGGAAATTATCAAGTACTTTATCCTTCCGTGTATCACGTCTTAGACGCTAGCTGAATTCAGGGGAAAATTGGCAAAAACGACATCTAACTATCTCTATGAAATTTCTAATTAAACTTAAGAACAGAGAAAACTGAAACTATTATCTAGCAAAAAGACACATGTTGCTGCAGAAACTTGTAGGTGGCAAAGAGAATAAATGAAGATAGAAAATATCTCCTTGAGAAAAAATGAATTCTGTGGAATGATGAAAACCAGTGTATTCTTGTTTTATTTCTTTAGTTGAACTACTTTAACCATACTTTCATATGATCCTCCAAAATTTTATTATTCTGGATCTCTATTTAGTATATTACTCAAGTTATTGCATCCACAATAAGGCAACCACCATAATTATGCAACATTCTAAGTGTGAACACATTCTATTGACAAGCCCCGGAATGATTGATCATTGACTAAAAGTGTACACTTGGAATGGGTAGATTGTGTGATGCTGAGGAGTGAGCACAGTACCAGATAGGAAGTTTTTAAGCCCTTGTCCTCTCCCTCTCTCCCTACTCTAGTGCTCCCTCGTGGCTACTGTTAACATCTTTATGTCCATGAGAACCCAAATGTTCAGCTCCCACTTATAGTGAGCATATGTGGTATTTGGTTTTCTGCTCCTGTGTTAATACACAGGATAGTGGCCTCCAGCTGCATCCATGTTTCTGCAATGAACATGATTTCGTTCTCTTTATGGCTGCATAGTGTTCCATGGTGTTATGAAACACATTTTCTTCAGTGAATCCACCACTGACGCATACCAAGGTTGTTTACATATCTTTGCTATTGTGAATAGAGCTGTAAGAGACATATGGGTGCAGGTGTCCTTTTGGTGGAATAATTTATTTTCTTTTATATATATACTCAATAATGGGATTGCTCGTTTCAATGGTAGCTCTATAAGAAATCTCCAAATTGCTTTCCACAGTGGCTAATTTATGTTCTCATCAGAAATTTATCAGCATTTCATTTCTTCTGTAGCCTTGCCAGAATCTGGTGTTTTTTGACTTCTTAGCCGTTCTGATGGGTATGAGATGCTATCTCTTTGTGGTTTTGATTTGCATTTCTCTAGTGATTAGTGATGTGGAGAATTTCTTCATGTTTGTTAGTCACTTGTATGTCTTCTTTTGAAAAGTGTCTGCTGATGTCTTTTGCCCACAAATTAATGAGATTAATTTTTTTCTTGTTTAATTGTTTAAGTTCCTTATAAATTCTGGGTATTCGACATATGTCATGTGCATAGTTTGTGAATATTTTCTCCCATTGTATAAATTGTCTATTTGCTCTATTTCTTCTGATGTGCAGAAGCTCTTTAGTTTAACTAGGTTTCACTGGTCAATTCATGTTTTGTAGCAGTTGCTTTTGAAGACTTAGCTGTAAATTATTTCCCAAGACCAATACCCAGAATGGTGTTTCCTAGGTTTTCTTCTAGGATTCTTATAGTTTAAGGTCTTACATTTAAATCATTACTCTATCTTGGGTTTTTTTTTTGTATGTGGTAAAATGTAAGGATCCAGCTTCATTTTTCTTCATACAGCTGGGCCAGCTCTCCCAGTGTCATTTATTGAATAGAAAATTCTTTCCCTATAGATTATTTTTGTTGACTTTCTGGAAGATCAGGTGGCTGTAGGTGTGCAACTTTCTTTCTAGATTCTCTATTTTGTTTCATTGGTTGATGTGTTTTTGGACCGGTACCATGCTGTTTTGGATATTACAGCCTTATAGTACTAGTTTGGGTTCCAGTAATGTGATGCCTCCAGTTTTGCTCGTTTTGCTTAGGCTTTGATTATTCAAGCTCTTTTTGATTCCGCATGCAGTTTAGAATAGTTTTTTTCTAATTCTATGAAAATGACATTGGTAATTTGATATGAATAGCGTTGAATCTGTAGATTGCTTTGGGAGGTGTGACCACTTTGATGATATTAATTCTCCCAATCCATGAGCATGAAATATTTTTCCATTTATTTGTGTAATTTATGATCTCTTTCAGCAGTGTTTTGTAGCTCCTCTTGTAGATCCTTGGTTAGATGTATTTCTAGGTTGTGTGTGTGTGTGTGTGTGTGTGTGTGTGTGTGTGTGCGTGTGTGTGGCTTTATTTGGCTGCTAGCTTGAAAGTTATTGCTGTAGAGAACTGATTTTTTTTACATTAATTTTTGTATCCAGAAACTTTACTGAAGTCTTTTATCAGTTCCAGGAGCCTTTGGTGGAGATTGTAAGGTTTTCCATGTATAAAATCATATCATCAGTGAAGAACATAATTTGAATTCTTTTTGTATTTGGTTGCCTTTTATTTCTTTCTCTTGACTGATTGCTGTGGCAAGGACTTCTAGTAGTATGTTAAATACAAGTGGTGAAAGTGAGCATACTTGTCTTGTTCCAGTGAATGAGGGGAATGCTTCCAGCTTTTGCCCATTCAGTATGATATTGGCTATGGGTTTGTCATAAATGGCTTTTATTAATTTGGGGTATGTTCCTTCAATGCCTAGTTTGTTGAGGGTTTTTAACATGAAGAAGTGTTGGATTCAATCAAAAGCTTTTTCAACATCTATTGAGATAATAATATGGTTTGTGTTTTTAATTCTGTTTATGTGGTGAGTCATATTTATTGATTTGTGTATGTTGAACTAAGCTTACATCCCAGGAATAAAGTCTATTTGTTATGAAATAATTTTTGATGTGCTACTGGATTTGATTTGCTAGTATTTTGTTGAGGACTTTCATGTCCATGTTCATCAGAGATATTGACCTGTAGTTTTTTTCTTTTTTTGTCATTTCTTTTCCAGGTTTTCATATCAGAGTGATGCTGGCTTCATAGAACGAGTTTGGTAGGAATCCTTCCTCCTTAATTTTTTGAAATAGTTTCACTAGAATTGGTACCAGCTCTTTTTTTGTATATCTTGTAAAATTTGGATGTGAATCCATCTTAGAAATTTATTTACTTTTCTCCAGATTTTCTAGTTTGTGTGAATAGAGGTGTTGTTAATAGCATCTGAAAATCTTTTATACTTCTGTGAGATTGGTTGTAATGCCAACTTTGTTGTTCCTGATTGTGCTTGTTTGGATATTCTTTATTTTATTTGTTAATGTAGTTAATGATCTATCAATTTATCCTCTTTAAAAAAGAAACTTTTGATTTCATTGATACTTTTTATGGATTTTTTGGTCTCAATTACATTATCTTATTCTCTAATTTTAGTTTTTTATTTCCTTTGCTAACATTGGGGTTGGTTTGTTTTTGATTTTTAGTTTCTCTACATAACAATCTTAGATAAGAACATCTTTATTTCTGCCTTCATTTCATTATGTACCCAGTGGCCATTCAGGAGCAGGTTGTTCAGTTTCCATGTAGTTGAGCGGTTTTGAGTGAGTTTCTTAATCCTGAGTTCTAGTTTGATTGCACTGTGGTCTGAGAGACAGTTTGTTATAATTTCTCTTCTTGTACAGTTGCTGAGGAGTGCTTTACTTCCAACTATGTGGTCAATTTTGGAATAAGTGCGATATGGTGCTGAGAAGAATGTATATTCTGTTGATTTGAGGTGGAGAGTTCTGTAGATGTTTATTAGGTCTGCTTGATGCAGAGCTGAGTTCAAATCCTCAATATCCCTGTTAACTTTCTGTCTTGTTGATCTGTCTAATGTTGACAGTGGAGTGTTAAAGTCTCCCATTATTATTGTGAGGGAGTCTAAGTCTCTTTGTAGGTCTCTAAAGACTTGCTTTATGAATCTGGGTGCTCCTATATTGGGTGCATATATATTTAGGATAGTTAACTTTTCTTGTTGAACTGATCCCTTTACCATTATGTAATGGCCTTCTTTATCTCTTTTGATCTTTGTTGGTTTAAAGTCTGTTTTATCAGAGACTAGGATTGCAACCCCTGCTTTTTTGTTTGTTTGTTTGTTTTCCATTTGCTTGGTAGATCTTCCTCCATCCTTTTATTTTGAACCTATGTGTGTCTCTGCACATGAGATGGGTCTCCTGATTACAGCACACTGATGGGTCTTGACACTTTATCCAATTTGCCAGTCCGTGTCTTTTAACTGGAGCATTTAGCCCATTTACATTTAAGGTTAATATTGTTATGTGTGAATTTGATCCTGTCATTATGATGTTGGCTGGTTATTTTGCCCGTTAGTTGATGCAGATTTTTCCTAGCATCTATGGTCTTTACAATTTGGCATGTTTTTGCAGTGGCTGGTACTGGTTGTTCCTTTCCATATTTAGTGCTTCCTTCAGGAGCTCTTGTAGGGCAGGCCTGGTGGTGACAAAATCTCTCAGCATTTGCTTGTCTGTAAAGGATTTTATTTCTCCTTCACTTATGAAGCTTAGTTTGGCTGGATATGAAATTCTGGGTTGAAAATTCTTCTCTTTAAGAATGTGGAATATTGGCCCCCACTCTCTTCTGGCTTGTAGAGTTTCTGCAGAGAGATCCACTGTTAGTCTGATGGGCTTCCCTTTGTGGGTAACCTGACCTTTCTCTCTGGCTGTCCTTAACAATTTTTCCTTCATTTCAACTTTCGGGAGTCTGACAATTGTGTATCTTGGAGTTTCTTCTCTCGAGGAGCATCCTTGTGGCATTCTCCGTATTTCCTGAATTTGAATGTTGGCCTGCCTTGCTAGGTTGGGGAAGTTCTCCTGGATAATATGCTGCAGAGTGTTTTCCAACTTGATTCCATTCTCCCCATCACTTTCAGGTACACCAATCAGATACAGATTTGGTCTTTTCACATAGTCCTGTGTTTCTTGGAGGCTTTGTTGGTTTCTTTTTACTCTTTTTTCTCAAAACTTCTCTTTTCACTTCATTTCATTCATTTGATCTTTCATCACTGATACGCTTTCTTCCAATTGATCGAATCAGCTACTGAAGCTTCTGCATTCGTTACATAATTCTCATGCCATGGTTTTCAGCTCCATCAGGTCATTTAAGGTCATATTAACTAGAATAACTACAATAGTTATTCTAGTTAGCCATTCATCTAATCTTTTTTCAAGGTTTTCAGCTTCTTTGCAATGGGTTCGACCTTCCTCCTTTAGCTCGGAGAAGTTCGATTGTCTGAAGCCTTCTTCTCTCAACTCTTCAAAGTCATTCTCTGTCCAGCTTTGTTCCATTGCTGGTGAGGAGCTGTGTTCATTTGCAGGAGGAGAGGTGCTCTGACTTTTAGACTTTTCAGGTTTTCTGCTCTTTTTTTTCCCCATCTTTATGAGAACAAAGACAAAACATACCAGAATCTCTGGGACACATTTAAAGCAGCGTGTAGAGAGAAATTTACAGCACTAAATGCCCACAAGAGAAAGCAGGAAAGATCTAAAATGGACAACCTAACATCACAATTAAAAGAACTAGAGAAGCAAGAGCAAACACATTCAAAAGCTAGCAGAAGGCAAGAAATAACTAAGATCAGAGCAGAACTGAAGGAAATAGAGACACAAAAAAACCCTCAAAAAATCAATGAATCCAGGAGCTTGTTTTTTGAAAAGATCAACAAAATTGATAGACTGCTAGCAAGACTAATAAAGAAGAAAAGAGAGAAGAATCAAATAGATGCAATAAAAATGATAAAGGGGATATCACCACCGATCCCACAGAAATACAAACTAACATCAGAGAATACTATGAACACCTCTACACAAATAAACTAGAAAATCTAGAAGAAATGGATAAATTCCTCGACATATACACCCTCCCAAGACTAAACCAGGAAGAAGTTGAATCCCTGAATAGACCAATAACAGGCTCTGAAATTGAGGCAATAATTAATAGCTTACCAACGAAAAAAAGTCCAGGACCAGACGGATTCAAAGCTGAATTCTGCCAGAGGTACAAGGAGGAGCTGGTACCATTCCTACTGAAACTATTCCAATCAATAAAAAAAAGAGAGAAACCTCCCTAACTCATTTTATGAGGCCAGCATCATCCTGATACCAAAGCCTGGCAGAGACACAACAAAAAAAGAGAATTTTAGACCAATATCCCTGATGAACATCAGTGCAAAAATCCTCAGTAAAATACTGGCAAACCGAATCCAGCAGCAAATCAAAAAGCTTATCCACCATGATCAAGTGGGCTTCATCCCTGGGATGCAAGGCTGGTTCAACATACACAAATCAATAAACATAATCCAGCATATAAACAGAACCAAAGACAAAAACCACATGATTATATCAATAGATGCAGAAAAGGCCTTTGACAAAATTTATCAGCCCTTCATGCTAAAAACTCTCAATAAATTAGGTATCGATGTGATGTATCTTAAAATAATAAGAGCTATTTATGACAAACCCGCAGCCAATATCATACTGAATGGGCAAAAACTGGAAGCATTCCCTTTGAAAACTGGCCCAGACAGGGATGACCTCTCTCACCACTCCTATTCAACATAGTGTTGGAAGTTCTGGCCAGGACAATCAGGCAGGAAAAAGAAATAAAGGGTATTCAATTAGGAAAAGAGGAAGTAAAATTGTCCTGTTTGCAGATGACATGATTGTATATTTAGAAAACACCACTGTCTCAGCCCCAAATCTCCTTAAGCTGATAAGCAATTTCAGCAAAGTCTCAGGATACAAAATCAAAGTGCAAAAATCACAAGCATTCTTATATACCAGTAACAGACAGAGAGCCAAATCATGAGTGAGCAAACATTCACAATTGCTTCAAAGAGAATAAAATACCTAGGAATCCAACTTACAAGGGATGTGAAGGACCTCTTCAAGGAGAACTACAAACCACCGCTCAACGAAATAAAAGAGGACACAAAAAAATGGAAGAACATTCCATGCTTATGGATAGGAAGAATCAATATCATGAAAATGTCCATACTGCCCAAGGTAATTTATAGATTCAATGCCATCCCCATCAAGCTACCAATTACTTTCTTCATAGAATTGGAAAAAAACTACTTTAAAGTTTATATGGAACCAAAAAAGAGCCTGCATTGCCAAGACAATCCTAAGCCCAAAGAACAAGGCTGGAGGCATCATTTCTACCTGACTTCAAACTATACTACAAGGCTACAGTAACCAAAACAGCATGGTACTGGTACCAAAACAGAGATATAGACCAATGGAATAGAACAGAGCCCTCAGAAATAATACCACACATCTACAACCATCTGATCTTTGACAAACCTGACAAAAACAAGAAATGGGGAAATGATTCCCTATTTAATAAATGGTGCTGGGAAAACTGGCTAGCCATATGTAGAAAGCTGAAACTGGATCCCTTCCTTACACCTTATAGAAAAATTAATCCAAGATGGATTAAAGACTTAAATGTTAGACCTAAAACCATAAAAACCCTAGAAGAAATCCTAGGCAATACCATTCAGGACATAGGCATGGGCAAGGACTTCGTGTCTTAAACACCAAAAGCAATGGCAACAAAAGCCAAAATCGACAAATGGGATCTAATTAAACTAAAGGGCTTCTGCACAGCAAAAGAAACTACCATCAGAGTGAACAGGCAACCTACAGAATGGGAGAAAATTTTCGCAATCTACTCATCTGACAAAGGGCTAATATACAGAATCTATAAAGAGCTTAAACAAATTTACAAGAAAAAAAAACAAACAACCCCATCAAAAAGTGGGCAAAGGATATGAAAAGACAGTTCTTAAGACATTTATGCAGCCAACAGACACATGAAAAAATGCTCATCATCACTGGCCGTCAGAGTTATGCAAATCACAACCACAGTGAGATACCATGTCACACCAGTTAGAATGGTGATCATTAAGAAGTCAGGAAACAACAGGTGCTGGAGAGGATGTGGAGAAATAGGAACACTTTTACACTGTCGGTGGGACTGTAAACTAATTCAACCATTGTGGAAGTCAGTGTGGCGATTCCTCAAGGATTTAGAACTAGAAATACCATTTGACCCAGCCATCCCATTACTGGGTATATACCCAAAGGACTATAAATCATGCTGCTATAAAGACACATGCACACGTATGTTTATTGCAGCATTATTCACAATAGCAAAGACTTGGAACCAAGCCAAATGTCCATCAATGATAGACTGGATTAAGAAAATGTGGCACATATACACCATGGAATACTATGCAGCCATAAAAAAGGGTGAGTTTATGTCTTTGTAGGGACATGGATGAAGCTGGAAACCATCATTCTCAGCAAACTATCGCAAGGACAAACAACAAAACACTGCATGTTCTCACTCATAGGTGGGAATTGAGCAATGAGAACACATGGACACAGGAAGGGGAACATCACACACCAAGGCCTGTTGTGGGGTGGGGGAAGGGGGGGAGAGTTAGCATTAGGAGATATACCTAATGTAAATGACAAGTTAATGGGTACAGTACACCAACATGGCACATGTATACCTATGTAACGAACCTTCACGTTGTGCACATGTACCCTAGAACTTAAAGTATAATATAACAAACAAAAAAATGTTAGATAATTAATTTGAGATCTATTTTTTTGCAACAGATGTTTATTACTATAAACTTTCTTCTTAACACTGCTATGATTACTACCCAGAGAGGTTGTTTCTCTGTTTTCATTAATTTCAAAATCTTTTTCATTTCTTCCTTAATTGTGTTGTTTACCCAAAAGTCACTCTGGAGCAAGTTGTTTAATTTCCATGTAATTGTGTGATTTTGAGAGATCTTCTTGGCATTGATTTCTAGTTAAATTCCATTATGGTCTTTGAGTAAAATGGTATAATTTCAATTTTTTTGAATTTATTGAGACTCACTTTATGGTCCATGTGGTCGACCTTGGAGTATGTTCCATGTGCAGACGAGAAGATGTATATTCTGCATTTGACGGGTTAAGTATTCTGTAGATGCTTATTAGGTGCAATTGGCCATGTGTCGAGTTTAAGTCTAGAATTTCTTTGTTAGTTTTCCTCCTCAATATTATGTTTAACACTATCAGTGTGTTGAAATCTCTCACTATTATTGTGTGGCTTTCTAAGTTTTTTGGGGGTCTAGAAGTACTTGTTTTATGAATCTAGGTGCTCCAGTTTTTGTTAAGTATATATTTAAGATAGTTAAGTCTTCCTGTTTAATTGAATATTTTATTATTATGTAATACCTTTCTCTGTCCCTTTTTACTATTGTTGGTTTAAAGTTTGCATCATCTGATATATGCCTTTAAACTTTTTTCTTCAATGTTGATCTTGGACAGTCTGGTCACCATATTCCTTGCTGATGTTCATGATATATAATATCTCAAAGGTGTTCTCTGGATTTCTTTTCTATATGGATGTATACTTTTCTAACAAGATCAGGGAAATTTTCTTGAATTATTCCCTCAAATATGTTTTCTAAATTGTTTACTTTTTCCTTCTTCTGTCAGAAATGCCAATAATTCATAGATTTGCTCATTTTACATAATCCCATATTTCCCAATGACTTTGTTAATTTTTTAAAGTTCATTTTTTTATATTTGCCTAACTAGATGAGTTTGAAAGACTAATCTTTAAGCTCTGCAATTCTTTCCTCTGCCTGTTCTAGTCTATTGATAAAGCTTTAATTTGTATTTTGAAATTTCTTAAGTGAGTTTAGGAAACTCTGATTTTTTAATTCCAGAAGCTCTTCTTTTCCATTAAGATGTTTATTTCTTCTGCCATTTTCTTAATTGCTTTAGAAATCTCTTTGTGTTGATTTTTAACCTTTTGTTGGATCTCTTTGTGCTTCCCTGCAGCAATTCTGGTGGATTCCCTTTTTTCTTTTCACAGAAATGATCTTTATGCACTATCTTGCTATTTCCAAGTGGCTGATGCATGCTAAAGCCCTCTTATTCATCATCTTGGAATAAAAAAATTCATTTTTTTCCACATAGAATTTATTGCATCATCTTAGTTAATTTAACCCTTAACATTTTTGTCTTGTTTCACAGCTTTATATTTACACTTTTTAAAATTTTAAATTAATTTCTTATTTAAAAATTTTACTGAATAACTCACTTAAGAAGTAACTTTTTTTTATAAAGCCGGGTTTACTTTATTAAACATATTTGTATAAATGTTAGGTTTTCAAAATATATTTAATAGAATTGGCCAGTTTCATCCTGTATCTCAATCCTGACCTCCCTCGATTAGATAAAGTTATCAGATCAATTTTAAAAAGGAATAAAGCATAGGAACTAAGAGTTAAGGATCTAACTTTATATTTACATCCTCACTGTCACTTATCGCAAATGCTGTCAGATTTTTTAAGTGAATTTTTCTCATACATATTAATGGAATAATGTTAGTATATATACTGAAAACTTTCTCATTTTAATACTATCATTGCAGAAAGTTTGTGGGTTAATGAAAAATCATCTAAGTGAGAAATAATTTTTTAAAGTGACATACATGTCGGAAATAAAATATATTAACTTAAAACAGATAAATATGTGTTCCAATATCAGTAAATGGCACTTGAACTAGGTTCTAATAAATGATGTTCTGAGGTTATCATTTAATAAACCATAGACATAATGTTTTCTCTGCTGGAAATAAAGGCTTTGTGATGCAATATGAAGAATAATTTTTCTAGAGTATGACTTTCTACCAATCATTTACACTTGCTTCTCTTCTGTTTGCTTGACAAATTTTTATGCATCTCTTATTTATTGAGTCTGTTGAATGCATTGAGAAAAGTTTTCATATTGAAAATTTATACTTTTAAAAATTTATTTATTACTTTAATTTTCTTTCTTTATTTCTTTCTTTATTTTCCTTTTCTTTTTTCTTTTCTTTTCTTTTTTTTGACAGAGTCGGGCTCTGCCACCCAGGATGAAGTTCAGCGGCATGATTTCAGCTCACTGTAAAACTCCGCCATCAGGGATAAGTCATCCTCCCACTTCAGTCTCCTGAGTATCTGGGACTACAGGCACGTGCCACCATACCTGGCTTTTTTTTTTTTTTTTTTTTTTTCGGTGGAGACACAGTTTTTCCATATTGCTCAGGCTGGTCTTGAACTCCTGGGCACAAGGTATCTGCCTGTCATGGCCTCCTAAAGTGCTGGGATTGCAGACGTGAACCCCTGTGCCTGGCTGACTTATTTTTAAATAACTTCTGAAAATGCACAAAGCTTAATTGTGTAGCTTGGTATATTTTCACAAATGTATACACTTCTGTAACTATTACCCAACTCAAAATAAAAAAAAAAAACATTTCCTTCACTCCTGAAGTCTCCCTTATATTTCTTATCATTTCCATTTTATGCCTTGTCCCAAAGAAGTAACCACTCTTCTGACTTCTATCAGTACAGGTTAGTATTTTTAACTTTGAACTTTATATAAATGGAATTATATGGCATATACTCTTTGTGTTTAGTGTATTATCCCACCGGACATAAATCACCAAAAATCTATTTTTGCACTCTTTTTATTAATTATTGACAATTTAACTTATATAGTTATAATAACAATGACCAGTAACAAAAATAGTTATACCATTAAGTGCAGACGAAATTGGGCAAGCATACATGACTTAGATTTGTTTAGATAATGAGATTTGGAACATTTTGAGTTGATGATATTTAGATGAGATTTTGGAATTAGCTAAAAAATTGGGGATGTTAGGATTAGAATAAATTTGGCACATAAGCAGATATAAATTTTGGGAGAGACATAGGGACAACTACAGTAGGTTGAATAGCAAACTCCTCCCAATGTTATGTCCACCCAGAACCTTAGACTATAACCATATGTAGAAATAAGGTTTTTACAGATGTAATCAAGTTAAGATTGAGTTGTACTGGACTAAATTAGGCCCTACATCCAATATGTTAAGTATTCTTAAAAAAAAGAGAAGAGACACAGACATAAACACAGGGGAGAAGACCATGTGAAGATTGACACAGAGATTGGAGTAATGCCAATGGGTGCCAGGTATTGCTGTGAACCAGCATAAGTGAGAAAGAAACAGGGAAGAATTCATCCCTAGAATCTTCACTGGGAGCATGGTCCGTGGACACCTTTATTTCAGGCAGCTAGCTTCCAACACTGTGAGAGAATAGATTTCTGTTGTTTTTAGCCACTATCTGTGGCAATTTGCTAGGGTAATCCTAATAAGTAATACATATTTTTTAACTCTGTTTTTAATTTTTGTTGCCTTTACTACTGATGATGCTTTATATCCCAATACAATTTAAACACTGTCAGAAAAGTTAGTGTCTTTCTAAAACACCTGTTTTGAGAATAACTTTATCTAGCCTAAAAGCATTTCATTTCTTAAAGCAAAGTTCATTGTTCTGGAGCAAAGTCTTTTAAAATCAGGAATCAATCTACTGCATTATTCTCATTCTATCATTTACTTACTTCTCACTAAATCTATGTCTTTCACTCACCTGCTCTCTCTCTTTCCTCATTGCTACCTGTGCACATGCTGATTATCTGCCCTGCTACCCATCCTACTTTTCTATACCAAGGCCCAGCTTCAAAGCATCTATACCATGAAAGTTTCTCTATCACCTGCAATTGGTTTTAATCTCTTTGCTATTTCTGTTGTGATTTACGCATGTTATTTCAGCAGCTGCTATATTTCATTTTAATTCTTTATGTAGCAAAGCAGGCTTCTTTATCCTTTATTTGTGCCAGACCATGGTATCTGCTGAGATTAAAGCAACCTAGCAGGCTTTGTTATTTAACTAAATACACACTCTCTCTCTGCTTCTTAAAAATCATATGAAGTTTCAATTTACTAGCTATGCTAGTAGTGAGAGGTGACAGCATGCTGGCAGCCCTCGCAGCCCTTGCTCACTCTTGGGGCCTCCTCGGCCTCGGCGCCCACTCTGGCTGTGCTTGAGGAGCCCTTCAGCCTGCCGCTGCACTGTGGGAGCCCCTGTCTGGGCTGGCCAAGGCCAGAGCTGGCTCCCTCAGCTTGCAGGGAGGTGTGGAGGGAGAGGCGCCAGTGGGAACCCGGGCTGCACAACACACTTGCGGGCCAGCGCAAGTTCCGGGTGTGCGTGGGCTCAGCAGCCCCGCACTCAGAGCAACCGGCCGGCCCACAAGCCCTGGGCAGTGAGGGGCTTAGCACCTGGGCCAGCAGCTGCTGTGCTCGACTTCTAGCTGGGCCTTAGCTGCCACCCCGTGGGGCCGGGCTCGGGACCTGCAGCCCGCCAAGCCTGAGCCTCCCGCACCCACCGTGGGCTCCTGCGTGGCTGGAGCCTCCCCCACGAGTGCCACCCCCTGCTGCAGGGCTCCTGGTCCCACCAGACCACCCAAGGGCTGAGGAGTGCGGGTGCAGGGCAGGGGACTGGCAGGCAGCTCCACCTGCGGCCTGGGGTGGGATCCACTGGGTGAAGCCACCTGGGCTCCTGAGTCTGGTGGGGATTGGAGAATCTGTATGTCTAGCTAAGGGATTATAACTACACAAATCAGCACTCTGTATCTGGCTCAAGGTTTGTAAACACACCAATCAGCACCCTGTGCCTAACTCAGGGTTTGTGAATGCACCAATCGGCACTCTGTATCTAGTTAGTCTGGTGGGGACTTAGAGAATCTTTATGTTTAGCTAAGCGATTGTGAATGCACCAATTGACACTCAGTATCTAGCTAATCTAGTGGGAACATGGAGAACTTTTGTGTCTAGCTCAGGGATTGTAAATGCACCAATCAGCACCCTGTCAAAATGGACCAGTCAGCTCTCTGTAAAACAGTCCAATCGGCTCTCTGTAAAATGGACCAATCAGCAGGCTGTGGGTGGGGCCAGATAAGAGAATAAAAGCAGGCTGCCGAGCCAGCAGTGGCAACCCACTGGGGTCCCCTTCCACGGTGTGGAAGCTTTGTTCTTTAGCTCTTTGCACTAAATCTTGCTACTGCTCACTCTTTGAGTCTGCACTGCCTTTATGAGCTGTAACACTCACTGCAAAGGTCTGCAGCTTCACTCCTGAGCCAGTGAGACCACGAACCCACCAGAAGGAAGAAACTCTGAACACATCTGAACATCAGAAGGAACAAACTCTGGACACGCTGCCTTTAAGAACTGTAACACTCACTGCGAGGGTCCGCGGCTTAATTCTTGAAGTCAATGAGACAAAGAACCTACCAACTCTGGACACAGTAGAAGCAAAAGTTCTGGGTTAATTTTTATATAGCTTCCCCCAAGTAAGCCCACTGGCGTCACACAACCTTCCTTCAAGATGTACATCTGAAAGATTGTTCTGCTTTCCTTTCTCCCTCATCCCTACCCAAGATCAGAATATGACTATCACCCTCACTTCCCATTCCCCTAGGTTTTTATATGTGCATTATTCAGCCTCCCCAGACTCTCCCTCAGAACTGTAAACAACAAAGAAATATTTTCATAACTATCAGTTATTCTACCAATGACGTTCTCATGAAGACCTCACCCAGGCTTCTGGCCTACTCCCAACTGGAAGGGTGGCTGACAATATCCTCCTCAGAGCTGATGTTCTTGGATTTTCTTTCCTACATCACCCTGGAATTTATCCTTCATGTCTCCCTGTCTTGAATTCCCTGTTTCTTGGGCCTCTGCACATCCTAGGAGCTTATTAAGTTCCTGGACAAAAACTTTTTGTGTATTTTTCTCATTTAACTCACACAGTGCAATCCTATGTAGTAAACTGTCCTATTATCACAATTTTACAGATGAAGAAAATAAGGCTTATGGAACCTTAATACTTTGCCCAAAGCCAAACAGCTGGTACACTTGGAATTAAATACACATCCATTTCACTTCAATGTAATACTCTTAGTCACTATAACGGTATCAACAACAATAAAAACACAGTCTAGAAAGATATTTGTCTAATTTTTAAAATTCATATTGTCATGGCAACTTAGTGAACTATGCCAAAAAATAGTTCAGGTACAAAGAAGTAATGAACTAGACTCAAACATATCATGAATATAGCTTCAGTTCTTTTCTAGATCTATTGCAGAATACTTATAAGAATATGAAAAAAATGAGAAGTTGCTAATTTAATAGCAATTTTGACAGCAAAAAATGGACAGAATACATTTTTTATAATTTGCTAAAATTTTTTGAATGTTTATTTTTGTGTTAAAAATATTAATGTTAAAATACCATTTCTAAAGCATTAAATTACTTGAAAGCTTGAGTAATAAATAAAACATATTTAAGATTGAATTTGCTGTTGACATTGTCTAAAAATTTGAAATATTTTGCTTATATGAAGCCACGTTATTTTTACTAATACAAAAAATCCATTTTTGTTTTAAATTGTAGGACTAAAATTTGTTCAGATTGATATGTAAAAATAAAAAATAATGCATATGAAATATATTTTTTTCTAAACAATGATAGGTCTTGTATAGTAAACCAATTAAGTGATGCTTTAACTGGAAAATGCAGAGAAAAGGAAATATTAACCTATAAAAATTACTCCACTCATTAGAAACATGCCTTTTTATTATCTACCTTTCTATTTTTATTTGCGTAGAATGGGAAACCATTAGAAGACTGTATGTGCTGTTGTCTCAACATTACAGACAGCTGCATTTCCATCCCAGATGTGTATTTATCAGCTGTGTGATCTTGGTCATTTTAACTCTTTGCATAGGCTTTTTATTTGTCAAATGAATGATAACTACTTTTGTCAGGGAAGATAAGTTTAGACTGCAGTAAAACAATAACCAAATTAACAGAGATCATGCATGCAGAAATTTATTTTTCTCATTTACAAATTTCTAGAGGTACGTCATCAGACATTATAGCAGCTCTGCTCTATGATTCCTGGTGTGTGACTCCAATTCTCATAGTCCAAAATAGTGGCCCCCACATCTTATAACTAGTTGTGAAGACTTCATGAGTAATAGCACTTAAAGTATATATTACATTTAAATAAGTGTCAATAAATGTTAGATTTTTATATTACATGTTAAGATTCCAACTTGCAATAATCTACTTATTAATGTGAGTTGTTAAACACAGTGAATAATTTTTCTTCTATAAAATAACCAAATGTGTGTAACATTTTTAAAATATTTTGTTTTGCAAAAGGTCAGTGAAAATATCTGTGATCCTCCATTGACCCATTGGCCTTTGGAAGCCACCGAAATAGAACAATGGACCCCTGATGATGTCCACAGATGAATTTTATTTAATTTTTATTCACCATAGAATGTACTGTTAATTCTGTATTTTTATTTTTATAATAATCTATAGAGAGAATAATTATATGCTAGAATTTTGTAAATATATCCAATAATAGAGAATGTGGGCAATTTACATTCATGATTACATTCATATTAAGATATATCATGATTTAAGTGATGGTTAATTTTAGGTGTCAATGACTATATTAAGGTACCCCCAAGTAGTTGGCAAAGCATTATATCTGGATATGTCTATGAGGGTCTTTCCAAAAGAGATTGTCATTTGAACCAGCAAACTGAGTAGAAGACCGACCTTCAACCTACGTGGTGGGCACCATCCAATCAGCTGGGAGCTGTGATAGAACAAAAAGACTGAATAAAACAAAAAAGGCAGCAGAAAGGCTAATTCTCCATCTGTCTCTGGAGCTGAGACTCTCTTCTTCCCTGCCGTTGAGAATTAGAACTCCAGGTTCTCTGGCCTTTGGTATCCACAGCTGTACCAGTGGCCTGCAGAGTTCTCAGGCCTTCGGCCTCAAACTGAAAGTTCGATCATCACCTTCCTGGTTCTGAAGCATTCAGACTTAGACTTAGCCACGCTACTGGCTTTCCTGGTTCTCCAGCTTGCAGACGACCTATCAATGGATTTCTCAATTTTCATAATTTTGTGAGAGAATTCTCTCAATAAATCCCTTCTTATCTATCTATCTATCATATGTTTCTCTCTCTATCCTCTATATAGTCTATTGGTTCTGTCTCTTTGGAGATCCCTAACCAATACAATTGGCAATGACTTTACAACAGTTGAGCTAGATACCACAGAGGTGTATGTATACCCAATTAAACAAAACAAAACTATCTGGTTCTATAGCAATCAAGCCAAATACAGGCTTTGAGATCTTGTACAAGTTATATAATTTTTATATGCCTCAGTTTCATCCAAAATAAGGATAATAATATCTACCACATTAATTTGTAAAGCAAAGAGAACAAGTTGGTATGTTAAATGTACATAAAGATGCAGATTTTTTCTTCATATTTAACAATTTGCTTTATGCCATCAATTGTAGTAATTGTGATAACAATGCAGACATTTATTTATTATTGGTTCTCAATGGACAATTACATATGTTGCAATGCTAACCTTCTCTTCATAGAAAAAGACAGTTTTAGAGTGTTACCAAGATTTGTCTAATTTATACAAGCATTCGCAACTGCTCTCTGGGAGATTTTAAAGTATGAGCTATCCCTTCCTAAAATATAATTATTAGAAACCTTATTCTCTGCATCATGTTGAAGTCATAATAGAAAAATATGTTATCTATATAACATCAGAGACTTTATTGTTTATATATTAAAGCAAAGATAAATTGTTTACCATATTAAAATATCAGTATGAAGCTTATTGCCTGCTAGTTTTGCTAGTACTTCCCTCTTATATTGATTTTTTCTACAAATTGTATAATAAAGTAAAATATTAAGGAAATCATACTGTAGTAAATTTTCTACTCCCAGAAACATACTTACAAGCCTTAACTCTCAATACCTGTGAATGTAACCTTATTTTGAAATAGAGTCATTGCAGATATAATTAAGGATCTTGATATGTGATCATCTTGGATTTAGGGTGTACTGTAAATCTAAAGAACAGAATCCTAATAAAAGAAAGAATAAAGATATTTGAGACACATCAGGACACAAATTAGAAAGCTATGTGAAGATGCAGGTAAAGATTGGAGTGATGTATTTACGAGACGAGGAACCAGGAATAGTAAAAGCCATTAGCAATTAGAAAGGGGTAAAATGCATTCTCTGTTAACGCCTTTAGAAGAAACTAACAAGGTCAATACCTTGATTTTAGACTTCCAAACTCAAAACTGTGAAAAAATAAATATATGTTATTTTTAAGCCACCAAGAATATAATAATTTATTGTGGCAACCCTAGTGAGCTATTACATATATCTAATATGTATTAATATTTTTTTACTTTTGTGGTTATAATAATACAAATTAACACTGAACATTTTGATAATTTGCTTTATGATCTTTAAATGGAGACCATCTTTTAGTTTGAGAACTACTGGTATGAGAAAAAAAGTATTTCTGGAAAATGTAAACTGAGAAATTATAGTAGGCTAGAAAAGTGGAAAATGGCTGGAAGGAACCTGGAGAACATCTCTTCCAAACTTCTTGTTTTATAGATAAAACAAGACTTGGGATATGATTCAGACTTGGGATATGATTGGTTTTAACTTAACTGTCACTTGATTTGCATGGTCCCCTGCTTAATAGCATCAAAGAGAGGTTAAAAAACTTAAGAAGCAAAGGAATAGAGTGGCTGTTTAATCCATAGACTAGTTTCTTCCTTAATATGTCATTTTAAACCATCTTAATGATCACAGAAATCATTTCCACAAAGTTTCTATAACATACAAAACTGCATTTTAAAAGAAGCAAAACAAAAAACCAAACATCTTCTTTGTCACACCAGAGGTTGCCAGATGCAATACAAAAAGATCACCGATTTTCCTTATAGCCCAACAATGCTTGTGACTTTTGTAATTGATAAAGTTTTCTTTATTGAGATCTTTACTTCAAACTATACTACAAGGCTGCAGTAAACAAAATAGCATGGTACTGGTACCAAAACAGAGATATAGACCAATGGAACAGAACAGAGCCCTCAGAAATAATGCCACATATCTATAACTATCTGATCTTTGACAAACCTGACAAAAACAAGAAATGGGGAAATGATTCCCTATGTAATAAATGGTGCTGGGAAAACTGGCTAGCCATATGTAGAAAGCTGAAACTGGATCCCTTCCTTACACCTTATACAAAAATTAATTCAAGATGGATTAAAGACTTACATGTTAGACCTAAAACCATAAAAACCCTAGAAGAAATCCTAGGCAATACCATTCAGGACATAGGCATGGGCAAGGACTTCACGTCTAAAACACCAAAGCAATGGCAACAAAAGCCAAAATTGACAAATAGGATCTAATTAAACTAAAGAGCTTCTGCACAGCAAAAGAAACTACCATCAGAGTGAACAGGCAACCTACAGAATGGGAAAAAATTTTTGCAGTCTATTCATCTGACAAAGGGCTAATATACAGAATCTACAATGAACTCAAACAAATTTACAAGAAAAAAACAAACAAGGATATGAACAGACGAAGGATATGAACAGACACTTCTCAAAAGAAGTCATTTATGCAGCCAAAAGACACATGAAAAAATGCTCATCATCACTGGCCATCAGAGAAATGCAAATCAAAACCACAACGAGATACCATCTCACACCAGTTAGAATGGTGATCATTACAAAGTCAGGAAACAACAGGTGCTGGAGAGGATGTGGAGAAATAGGAACACTTTTACACTGTTGGTGGGACTGTCAACTAGTTCAACCATTGTGGAAGTCAGTGTGGCAATTCCTCAGGGATCTGGGACTAGAAATACCATTTGACCCGGCCATCCCATTACTGGGTATATACCCAAAGGATTATAAATAGTGCTGCTATAAACACACATGCACACGTATGTTTATTGTGGCACTATTCACAATAGCAAAGACTTGGAACCAACCTAAAAGTCCAACAATGATAGACTGGATTAAGAAAATGTGGCACATATACACCATGGAATACTACGCAGCCATAAAAAAGGATGAGTTCATGTCCTTTGTAGGGACATGGATGAAGGTGGAAACCATTGTTCTCAGCAAACTATCATAAGGACAAAAAACCAAACACCGCATGTTCTCACTCATAGGTGGGAATTGAACAATGAGAACACATGGACACAGGAAGGGGAACATCACACACTGGGGCCTGTTGTGGGGTGGGGGGAGGGGGGAGGGATAGCATTAGGAGATATACCTAATGTTAAATGGGTGCAGCACACCAACATGGCACATGTATACATATGTAACAAACCTGCACGTTGTGCACATGTACCCTAAAACTTAAAGTATAATAAAAAAAATAAATAAAAATAAAATAAAATAAAAATAAAAATACCTTCCAAAAAAAGAAAAGATACAAAGAGAGGTATTTTACAATTTTACCCTGTAATATCCAAATGCTCTTTTACTCCATGGTGTACTTCACCTACATTTTCATTTTTTGTCTTCATTTTTTGTCTTTGTAATTGATCTGCAGGCTAGTTGATCTTGACACTAATGCATTCAGAAGGCTCCACTGTGGAGCAGGGGAGTAGGTTGCTAGGCAACCTCACGAAACAGCAGCATTGCTGGGCCTCTTACCTATAAGAGTCTTGTTTGGGGAGAATCTAAGGCATTATACTACTTCTAACTCTTCTCCTTAGGCCTCAAAAAAACAGAGATTTGAATGAATACTGAAGGTATTTAAAAAGGATTATCGTGATTTTTTTTTTTTTCAACTCAATATTAATGTCTTATTCTCAGGCTTTAGGTGGTATCTTTAAAAACTTCCTTTGGCAGTTTTTAAATATCAGATTAGTGTTCTATTAAGGTCTTAAAATATGAGCCAAGTCAAGAGAATAACACATTTATTTCTCCTATTTTTGGGTTTCACTCACTGACTATTCTAAACCACATCTTCATAATTGTTTATAGCTGTTTATAATTCATAATTGTTGTGTTGTGCATTCAAAGGCCATTGTGAATATTAAGAAATATTACAGGGCTGTTGTAGCATTCAATAATTCAATTTTGTCACTATTTCTATTAGGTAAATATTGATTATGATCTAGTCATAGGGGAGAGAGGAAATCTAAACATTTGCTATTAGATTTGGTTCATCGTGGAGGTAGTAAACTTTTATTCTCAATTAGAGGAAATCATCTCATAAAATAGGAGATATTCATCTAGGAACACATGGACACGATTTTATTTTTTTTTTTTTAACCATTGTGCATTTCTTCCTCTTCTGGTGTCATCTCAACACAAGAGAGAGTTGATTTGCTAGGAAATATAAAACAGCTTTTTAAAATGTGGTCTGCACTACTAGAACAATTCTCTACATTTGTGTGTGTCTGTGTGTTTTCCTTGAATCCAAGGAGGTGATGAAGAAACATTCACTTTTTACTAGTAATAGTAAATGATTTACTAGTAATACTAAAAATTACTACTATTTACGAGTAGCAGTAAAGGTCAAACAATGGTACATATGTGATTCTTCTAGGGCTTTCCTCAGAATGATGTGTTTAGATAACAGACAGACACAATTTTGTCTATTTATATAGCATGTATATTTTTTCTTGTGCTCATACGTATTTTCATATGCTGTTAAACTTCTGTATCATTTTTATTATGTACATATTTAAAAGTAGCCTTAAAATCTAGGTTATTTATTAATATTTGTAATGGAAAGGTAATATGGGCACTTAGTAGGGACATTTGTCATGGGGAAAATACCAAACTAATTATTTAATTAGAAAAAAATTCTTAAGTTTTCTTTTTTATACTTTTTTTTTCATTGGTAGATGAGATCTATTCACTGAACCTGTTTACATAACTAAGGCAAGTGGAAGGAATATGGAATGACTACCCTAACAACACCAGCTTTCCTTTCTGAATACATCATCCATCACTTTCTTAATTAAACTCTCCAAAGAGGGTCCATGATAAATATGGTAATCATGATTTCCTTAAAATATAGTAAATTATACTATATTTTAAATTAATATCATTTACTAACACTGTTATGGAGCATGCTCTGCCCTCTTAGAACTATTTTATTTTTATTCACAGTAAGCAGGTAGCTTACTTTGTTCAATATGTTATTTCAGAGAACTCTCTGAATATAGGGTTGTCATGAATTAAAATTAGAAAAGTAGCAATTTTCTTTCAAAACTGCTTTGAAACATAACACACAAACATAGTCATATACACATGAATAAATTTATTTTAGACAGAAAAGTACGTGATGTCCCTCTTAATATAAATCTTGAACTTTATACAGTAAAGGAACAAAGCTGGGCTGTATCAAAGTGTTAGTTATGCTCTGAGGCTTAGTACTGTTGTTGTTGACAATACATATTATCAGAAAATAAATTATTCCAAGAGCTGGAAATCTTTTTTATTTCCTAACCATTAAGAGAGGTATAGAACACTCAACGGAAATAAAGAGGTATAACAAAGCACAGAAGAAATTGTGTCTGAAAACTATGGTTTAATAACATTGCATTTACTGTTTGGTTATCTTTCCTATGTATATTAATTCAAATCTCCAGAAACAAAAAACTCAGCAAACTTGTGTTTGCAACCTGAATGATCCAAATGAATCCCATCCATTAATAGGACTTTACTTGATCACCAGACTGTTACCTAAATTTGTTAAAGTCCCTGAGTTTTAAATTACAAGCAAGATGATGCAACATTTCATGGTTTAACCGTTCAACTTTAGTTTCACAGATTAAGCATATTATATGGTTTTAGTGATATAATGAGGAAAGAATAGACAGTCATTTGTGCATCAGAAGCTGAACCCATAAATGCCTGGTCACCTTTGATTGATACAAAACAGTTAGCAAGTCTATTGCAGTTTTGCAGGAAAAAAAAAATCTCGAAACAAGTTAGAAGAGGTAGGTGTGGAGAAATGCACATGTGTTAAATATATAAGTGAAGAACATCTGTAAGGATTAATGATACACTTGGTGGAGGATAAGAAAGAAGGAGTTATAAATGATGCCTTTTAAGTCTCTGGGTTAAGAATCTTTGACATCTTAAATAAGGAATTTATTATGTACACACAAAAATATATTTGACATGACATCTGCCTTCTTAATTCATGTTTTCTGGTTATTATGACTGTTTCTGCATTTTTGTTTTATTCTCTGCCATTTCTAGTTTAATTATGGTTGTTCTTTCAAATTTCTATTTCCATTTGTATTTTCATTTTGGGGATGATCAACTTTATATTTTTAACAAATCCTTTTAAATTAGTCTTTCTTTGATTACTTCTCTATTTAACACATTTTACCTACACAGCCTCCCTTGCTGAAATTCCAAATCTGTTGAAATCTAGAGTTTTTATTCCAGATTTGAATTTTTAAAAACAGCTTCCTTTTCAAAATCTTTTCTTGAAAATTCAATGAGTATTTATGATGTAGTAATTGAAAATATTTTACCATAATTTGATGTTTTATCTGCACTACACAATTCTTTTTTCATATAAAGCTGTACATCTCCTCTCCTTGTTATTTTGACTAGAGTGATTCCTTGAGTAGTTGTGTATTTTTATTCAACTAGAAATGGCAAGAATCTATAAGACAGAATCTTTGTTGTGATCACAATAGTGTTAAATATGACAAGCCCAATAACTGGTACATATTAGACATGTCAAACTTGCTTAAATTTGTGAAATAAAGTATATTTTTATGTCATCATATATTGAAAGAAATCTGTTGTTGAAAATATTTACCTTTCAGATATATCTAAATCTAGTTCTTATTTATTTTTATAATCATCTTAGATTAGATATGTAATGGGAGAAAGTTTAATTTACCTTACGAAATACTTGGTTCTAAAATATAGATGCTTGCCACATTTTCTTTTAATCCTATTTCAATTCTAATTATTTCAATCAGAATACATTCAAATATGCATAAAAGTATTTTTTAAGTAAGATGGACTATAACTTGATAAGATTTTTAAGCTTATTACGCTTGTTAAACTTTTAAAAATCTTACATCTTCCCTCAGGTAAGGAAATTACCTCCTAATGTTTTTCTGAGTACTTGTTTCAAATAGATGCTTAAGCTCTCTCAATAACAATGGAATCAGTAGAATATCTGAGGTGTAGTCAAGGTATCTATCTATCATCTATCAATCTATCCATCCATCCATCCACACACACATACATACTAGTTACAAGTTGCTTCTTCTGTCTCAAAAGGTTTGTGAGTCGTTGTAGTTAATATCAAGTTAAATTAGGCATAATTTTTTTACTAAAAAAAAATCACTTGGGTTTTATAGAATGGAATGAGAATTATGGAGATGTCAATAACTGGTGGTGAACAAATTAGAAGTTAGATGTAAGACGTATATAATATCGAGATTCTGCTCAGTGTTGAACTATTTCAACTTTTGCTTCCAAATGGGTACACTGGTGTTATGATGCATTTCAGTTTGAAATTCTATTCTCAGTAGCATTTCCTTTGAAATCTCAACAAGCGTGCTGGATAGAAGAGCCTTATGTATATGTACTTATAGGCAAATGGAGTTCTACTTGTATTTATAAATACGAATGGTAAAATATATAGGTATGACTAAATGGAGAAAGACAGTACTTACTATAGACAGAAACACACACACACAAATATAAATATACATGACTTCCCTGTTGACATAAAATTTGAGCATGCTGTTAGATAAAATTTTACTATTCATATCACAGTCTACCATCAAAGGTTATTGCATGCCTCATAGCTCCCCTTAAAACAATAAGTAAGCAAATTGATGTTAACCTAATTATAAGTGGCCTATATGCTTTTCACATGTTTAGCTGTAGAATTCAGAAATATAGTCTTCTGTGAATTTGTGTATCTTTTCTTTTAACTCAGAACTATCCAAATGAAATTTTTTTTTAAAGAACTGAGTCAAAGTGTTTATTTTGAAACTAGAGCTGTTACTTGATTGCATTCCTCTAGAACTAAACTTGAAAAATTTAATTTGGCAAAGTAATTCAGATTTCCGCAAAGAGGTTTACTTGAACCAGATAAAAATCCTTTCAGGGAAGTGAATAAAAAATTATTTTCAAAACATAACATCTGGAATTATTCTCCTTTAACTCTATGGATTTGTTGATAATATCTTAAGATGAGGTATATTTTTTATAAATTCTCTACTAACTACAAGGCTTTATACAGTTTGGGTTTTCAATACATTTTAATTATTATGAATGCTTTTAGTGAGCAGATATACACCCCTTGAAACTCTCTTGTCTTTTAATATGTGTCGTATATATATACATATGCATCACGTAACTCCCCTAGAATCAGAAAAGCATATTTACTGATAATCTTTGAGCTTGTTTCTACTTATGAAAACTAGTTTTATAGAACATTTGTGCTGAAAGTGTATTGCTACTGTCTGAATGTTTGTGTTTCTCCAAAATTTATATGTTGAAAACTAATCTCCTAATGTGTTGGTATTAAGAGGTGGGGTCTTTGGAAGGTTATTAGGTCATAAAGGTGGAGCCCTTGTGAATGGGATTGATGCCCTTATAAAAGAGGACTGGGGGAGTTTGTTGCCACCTTTTGCCATGTGAAAACGCACATTGAAGGGAGCATCTTTACAAAATGATCCCTCACTAAACACTGAATCTACTGGAGACTTGATCTTGGAATTTCCAGATTTGTGAATTTGTGAGCAGTAAATTTCTGTTGTTTATTAATTACTCAGTGTCAAGTATTTTGTTAAGGTAGTTTGAATAGACTAAGACAGTGGTTCTAATCATACTTTAAGTTCTCCACTTCATTGTATTATTTTAGTCATTGAAAAAACTATTTATTCACAAGATGTCAGGAATTGAAATGCCAAGAATATGCCACTAAAACTATACAGAATTTAGTAGAAAAAAACCATGAAGGAAATAAGACCAAATGCTGTGAAGTGAATTGCTCATTGTCTTGTGATGTCAGAACAGTGGTATGTTTTATTTAGTACTGTATCTCAGTGTCTAGGCTGGAGCTTTTGTTGAATAAATAAATAAAAGGTAAAATAACTGCAAAGCTAGAGTTAGAACCTAGGCCCAGACCCAGTCTATTACACTTCCAACTGCCTTGTGCTTGCCTTGCAGATTAAGGTATAACCGATATGAATAAAGAATTCAATGACTGTTTAGAAGACAAAACAAAACTCTCTGAAACCCATGGAAATATCCAGACACTTAGAATTATTAACCCTTTACTACAAATTAAAGATGCTCACTAATGTTATCTTGTTGTCAATCTGATTTATACTGCCAAATTGGAATAACATATATAAATTATATACACATATATTCAATAGCTAGATATAAAAATCTGCTAGTGCTTAAAGAATACGTTTCTCTTATGTAATATAGTGGTTTCCAAACTGAGCGTGTGCATGATGATCCCTTAAGATGCTTGATGAATATTTTATTTATATTTATTTTTATCTACATTATATAAAATTAAACATATCTAATAATATTTATATAGAGACTGGCACTCTCATACACGCATGTTTTCTGTAGACAGCTTTATTTTTGTTAATTTTATTCCTTTAATGCAAACTATAGCTACCCTTGCCCCCCTTCCTCTAGGTTATGAAAGTATTTAATAATTCTGAATTGTGAGCCCAGGTTGAACCACAGCTCACATATACTGTTGTTACAATAGGCATGCTTATGGCTCTCTTTCATGTCCCTGAAGAAAAACACTGCTGAAAAATATGTTTTTTTGTCTTTTCTTTCTTGTTTCAAAGATGCTATAGTAGGCTTTAGATGCACCTTTGATTCTCTGTCACAATATAGGCTGTTGAGAGTCTGGGTGAAATGATTGATCCTGAAGTAGGACCACATCAGTTAGCTTGTCATATGTGATATTTATCTTCAGAGCTGAAAATTCACAGGGATGACTATATAACTATTCTGAGACACAACAGAATATTCAAATATTCAATGAAGTAATTTTCCTAAAAGAAGCACCTGGGAATAGAGGGATATTTACAAAAGTTTTACGTGTTTGTTCGGTAGCCATATAAAATTATTCAAAATGTATGTCAAGCTACCAAACTTTGAAATTTTACTTGAGAAACGTTGCCCTAAAACTATTCATTCTATGCTCTCAAAACATTAGGATTTGATAAAATTTAACTTGCATTTATAAAAGTATGTTTTTAAAAATAACATTATTGTTATTCCTTATAAAGTCATAGTTATCTAGAGCGAGATATGAAATCCCACACTTGTGTACATCTTTGTCATACTAGAACTGCTAGTACTTTGACTTTCTTTGACTTTTTAAAAAACATTTTCTTTATCAAGTATATTATTAATTGTTTTTCTTATGATAGTTTTTTCCTTTAATTGTATGCCAATGTGCAATAGGGATTCTCTCAGGTTTAAGTATATGGCTAGCTACATTTTAAAAGTATTAAGATTATTAGATCATGTGGCATATTTAGCACATTTAATACATGTAGAAAAACTTAAACCTCGTTATAACATTTATTACTAGATTTACTTGTTATGGTTACAACTAAAAATTTGTTAAAATCCCACAGAGTCTTTGCAAAAAAAAAAAAAGATTTAAATAAAATGGATAAAATGTAAGTTAGGTCCTATTGCTCTATTTCTCTTGGAGAAAAAGTACTAATATTGAATTTGTTCTTTATTAGTACAAGGTGCTTTCAGCATTCTTTCTTATTTCTATATTTTGTCTGAATTTTCCATGTTTTAAAAATAGGCATTTCACAATCCAAAAACAGTAATGCCCTTTGAAGAAATACAGCTCTCAGTAACAGCACAGAGTCTGCTAGACTGTCCTGTCAATGTCAGTGGGGTAAGTGCTTTCTAAAGAGTTTCTAGAAGAGATTGTGTGCTTGTGCTACACAATAAACAGCACTGGCTTCCAATAGAACTTTATGGGCAGGCTGGATGATTCCTGGCCTTTCCTGTGGTGACATTAAGCATCTTTATGGTAGTCACTTTGGTGCCCACTACACAGAGCTGCTGAATAAGAAGCAACATGACTTCAAAATTGATCCCTGAAAATCCAAATAATTAGTTCCTGTGATAATTATTTGACATTCTTATTTGGAACCATTTTTGTTTTATTTATGACATATTAATGCTAGGTCAGGTCTCCTGGAGTAAGCAATTTCATGGATCTTTCTTATTTGTCTCTCTCTTTCAAGGTTGCCTAGATTGATTATGGCCTGTTCCTTTGACAAGCACCTAAGGCCCCTGGATTTCTCCAGGCACTCATTAGTGTGACTGCTAATCCCTCTCAAGGCCCTGAAGATACTTCTTTAGAGATCCAAAGTAATTTTCTGGTATTCCATCTAATCTATATTCTAAGCCAAACCATTCTAAATACACTCAGAGTTAATAAAAATCCATCTTGT
Organism: Homo sapiens; assembly: GCF_000001405.40. Classification (NCBI taxonomy): domain Eukaryota; kingdom Metazoa; phylum Chordata; class Mammalia; order Primates; family Hominidae; genus Homo; species Homo sapiens. The sequence goes on along the minus strand of NC_000011.10, from coordinate 24,259,352 downwards.
CCTTTTTATGTGATGTAATAATGGACAAACAGAAATACTTGTTTGTTATCTGACTTGATTTATATAAAAAAGGATTTATATACAGACAGAAATGATATGCTTTTATTTAGGTTAGGAATCACAGAAAATCTTCTAAATAATGAAAGTACCTTACTCAAAGGAAGTATGTCTTGTAGATAAAATTATACTTTCTTTATAAGCTTGAAGTCTTAATAATATGACAATGGTTTGGGAAGTGAACAGCTTTCATAAAAACATCCCAAATTGTAAACATGCTCACTCTTACTTCAGGTATTTGCTGTTTTCTGCATAGGATCATCTTCTCTCACCAGTTATTCTTTCTTTCAATTGTGCATCTACTCTTCCCTTGGGGTGATCTGCATATTTAATCTGTGGATGAGAATAGTCTGGTAAACAAATTATGGGGAATATGAGTATTAAACACACAGGCTCAAGAGTTATAAGCAAGCCCGTTTACTTCATATTTGGCCTGAGTTTTAAACTAAGATTGACTTAAAATCTTCCTTCAGGGACTTATTTTATTGTAAGCACATTTAGCATGTGGAGAGTGCTATTAGTTCAAAAGGATGGTCTGTTGAACTGACTGGAGGAGGGAGTGTATGAATCTTTTATCATGAGTGTTCCTTTCATCTTCATTGAGTCTGGAAATAGAAAGCATGAATACTAAATAGAAGAGAATAATTCTAAGAAAATATATACCATGTGATTTGTTTATTTCGAATCACCTTTCAAACTAAAATTTTCATAGGCGAGAAACCTGTTGCTTCAAACTAGTCTTTGTAAAATGTTCTCAAATCAGTTGAGTATATTTTGCATGCATATTTCCTAGTAATGCCATGGAAAGTATTTGAAAGGAATAAATTCTAGGGAGGCACTGGCAGCTCATAGTTTCATATACTCAGGTTGTTGCTAAAAAATAGACTGAAGAAAAATATTAATAGTCAATATAGCTCATTCATAGAATGTTACATTGCCTGTATTCAAATCACAGCACCACTACTATCTGTGTGTCTCTGGCAGGATATTCAAGCTCTCTTTGTTCCTGCATCTGAAGAATGGGTTAAGAATAGCACCTACCTTCGGACTGCTTTGAGAATAAAGTATTTAATGTACAGCCCTCAGAAGTGTGCCTGCCTTAGAGTAAGAACAGGTCTATCACTTTGCACAATAGGGAACCATTTGGGTTGAATTCTTTGGGATTTGTGCCTGTTGGAACACAGCATATTAAGAGACTGGTGTCTTGACATTCTGCTACAAAACAGTCTTGTATAACATGATGTAAATTAACTGTTATTATTATTTTGATTTGTGCTGGGTGACCTTATTTCTTGGTTTGGTCAGGACAGTCTTGGTTTATTTCTATCTTCCTCATAAAATTGTTAACAACCTCTTTCATTCTCTGAATCCATTTATTCAAGCCTGTTTGAAAGAAATTTGCTAGCCCATTTGTTTAGAACTTTAATATAGAGTATTTTACTTTTATTTAAATCTCAATATATTTAGATTCAGACTCCAAGTCTGCATGGCCTATTACAAGGCAATTTTCTACAAAGATATTCACTTGGCTTGGGGCAAGTGAATGTTTGTTTGTTTCCATTTGGTTTTGCCAAAAGATTCAGATTCTTATTTTATAAGGCTTTACAAAAGTATTTTGACATAATTTCTTCATTGCTAATCAATTTAGTATCCTATATATAATTATTATTTCTGGACAACTGAGAAACAGTATACACTGTTTCAGCATTACTCAAAGTTTTCACATCATTATCCCTATGAAAAGTAATATTTGCTTAGAAGACTTAACTGAAATAAAAGGAATTTGGAGGCATTAATAAGAAAGCCGATAACACAACTTATCACATTTTCTTAAAATTTATACCATTATAAGAAAAATAAATACTAAAGAAGACATTAAATATTGAATTATATAAAATTTCCAAAAATTTTTTTATTTTTGAAAAGAAAAACTGGGGCTTGTTAATATGAACATAATTTTATGCAGATTTTATTTTTGTAATGGTTAAATGTAGTTCTGATCAAGGTTGTTTAAATAACCTTTTCACTTTATTTCCAGTTGTCATCAGTGATAAATTTGACACTAGTATGTAGCAAAAATAGCAAAAAGAAAAACAAATTATTTATCGTCGGGGATATCCTTCTTACCATTAATCTAAATGTGGTTAAGTTTATTTCTTTAAATTATGTGTCAGGTTATAATTTTTCTTTATATGTAATATTTCATTAAAAATGTTATGTTAAAATTTTTTATGAAGATGGAATTCAAAATCAATTGAACTTCTTCACATCAATAATTTGAAAGTAATTATGGTTTCTCTAAAGCATATACAGTTGTTCTACTAGTCTGTTTTTTTTTTTTAAGAGCATTTCAAAGTCCCTTCTTCAAAGTTAGATTTCCCCCGCATCTGAATTCATAAATTTCACTGGCATATGTTAGTCTGTTCTCATGGTCTTGTTCATTTCTATTAAATTCATGCATGCATTCAAATATGTCACTTTCGTAAACTATTTTTTTTGTTTGTTTGTTCGTTTTTGTTTTTTTGTTTTTGTTTTTGAGACAGAGTCTCGCTCTGTCACCCAGATTGGAGTGCGATAGAGCTATCTTGGCTCACTGCAAGCTCCACTCCCTGGTTCAAGCCATTCTCTTGCCTCAGCCTCCTGAGTAGCTGGGAGTACAGGCACACACCACCACTCCTGGCTAATTTTTGTATTTTTGGTAGAGACAGGGTTTCACCATGTTGGTCAGGCTGGTCTTGAACTCCTGACCTCAGGTGATTCAACCGCCTTGACCTCCCAAAGTGCTGGGATTACAGGTGTGAGCCACTGTACCAGGCCAAAAATAGCCTTATTGATGTATAGTTAATATACAATAACTACATATATTTAATGTATATAATTTTATGAGATTGGGCATGTGCATATATTCCTAAAGCTAACACCACAATAAAGTTAATAAACATATTCATCATCTCCAAAAGTTTCTTCATGCCCTTTTGTTTTTGTTTGTTTACGGTAAAAACAATTAACATAAAAATCTACCCTTTTAACAAATTTTTAAGTTTTCAATACAGTACTGTTACCTATAGGCATTATGTTGTATAGCAGAACTCTAGAATTTATTCACTTTGCATAATAAAATTTTATACCATTGAAAACAACTCATTTTCCCCTTTCTCCAGCTTCTCATAACCACTACTCCATCTGACTATTTGAATCAGAATCTTGTAGAGATAGCTGTACAACACCATGTTTACTGTGACATTATTCAGAAGAGTTAAGATGTGAAAGTAGCCTAAATGTCCATTTATAAATGAATAGATAGAGCACATAACTCTTGAATATCTTTCTTCTGGAAACCAGCACTTTGCATGAAGCAGTAGAGTGCCCATTTTGAGCTTATTTTCTGACATCAAAGCTGAAAAGAGGCAAGTCTAGCACTCTGGGTTTTATAGATTAATCAGTTTGCTATATTTATTTAATTATTCACATCTACAACATTATATTTACATATGAGAGCTTCTCTGTGACTAAAATCATGTTTTATTTGCAACTCCATGTTTTCTGAATAAAATTATAAAGACATATCGCCCTCCTCTCATTGCAGCTAGACTGTCATTACACACACACACCCAGATTTTCATAACAACTCATTTTTAAAGGATTTATTTACTGCTTTAAATTTTTTGACATATTTCTGTAGAACAAACACATCGATTTTAAATATTTCTTTTCTGGGATTCTAGCTAGTAGTATTAACTGTGCTTAGGAACTAAGAGCTGCAGATTCACCAACATGCAATGTAAGCTTTTTAAATCTCAAAATCATCTGGATTTGTGTTGTCTTTATATAATTTGGCCATGTTGGTGCTCCATGTTATAAGAGTTTGTTTCAACAATAAATGTTGTATTTCTTTGCTAAATTTGTGCACGGTGGCTCATGCCTGTAATCCCAGCACTTAGGGAGGCTGAGGTGAGCAGATCATGAGGTCTTTTTTATTGACTTTTAATAAAAATATATCTCTAATTTAAAAATATTTGATATTACAGTTCTTATTTTCAAAATGATTATCACAGTTGCAACTACTATTATCATTTTTATTATTCTTTTTTAACTTATCAAGTTATATAATCATTTATACCTCCATTTCTTTTTGTGTTGCTTATTATCCTACTGCTTTCTAACCATAGTTTAAATACAGTCTTCCAGTAGTAAAATCAAAAAATTCAGAAGTTGCAAATTCATAAGTCCCATATTTTTAAAAGAGGACTTATATGCATCATAAAACATTTCACAGGTTGTGTTGAAATACAATAGTATGTTTATGTTTACTAGTGAAAGAAATTGAAGGAACACAAAACCAAAATCTAGAAGTAGAAAACAAAATCAAAAAGGAAGATAGTACTTATATGGACGTTGATACCTTTATTTCTTGTGTTTTTTCTCAAGTTTTGAGCTTTAACTTATCCAGAAAAAGGCTTTTAGTAAAGATTCTAAATGGAAGAATGTTTCTGAGGATGGGCAATACTTTCTAATTTTTATTTAAGAGGGGTCGTTATGTTATCCTGACATTCTAGCAAATAGATTTTGCTGCAGCATTTCAAAAATAAACAAAAAGGGGAATTTTTCTAACAGTTTTCCAAAAAAGGAAGTTTGAAAATCCCAACATAAGGTTGTGTTTTTCAATGGCAATACTTTTTTTTTCCAGAAGTATTTTGTCAGTTATTTTGTGCTATACACAGATGGCCAATTATTCAGAGAACTTGATAAAGCAATAGATTGTGTAATGCGAAAATAAAGACAAAAAAAGCAAGTGTCTAAATGTCTATAAGTTTTTAGGTTGTATTGGCAGATAGCAGAAATCAAAAGAAAATTAAAAAAAAAAAGTAAGAGAAAGCCTCATTCTGGATACAAGGAGAAGGACATAAAATTCCATGAAGGTGATGACCAATACAGGTAACATAACAAGGTTTATTACGGTAAAGATTTCTGTCTAGTTTCTTCATTGTCATATCCCATGTACTCAGAACATAGAACACAAAATATTTATTGAATGAATAAGTAAATAAATAGATAATGAATAGCTGCTGAGCCTGCCTGATATAAGCCAGAAGATAAAACTAGAAAGAACCAAGGAAATACAAAAATAGGAGACAAAGGTGAACCGAGGTAACAATGATTCCAAGATATCTAAAGTGAACTGAACAAAACTAGGCCATGAAAGAGGAGCAGCTCTGTGGACTCTGAATATCATTATCAGATGATTTTAGTTACTTTATCTCATGAACATTCAAGTTCAGTTGTACCTAATTCAAGAAAAATTTTAGTTTACCTGTAACTCCTAAAATAGTTCTGTGGGTATAGATCATATGGAGGGAAGAGTAGACATAGTGAGAAAATATTTGCTTTCAAAGACTAAGTATAATGACCCAGATTGACTATTTCCATTTATAGCTCCAGGGAAATCAAAACCATTCACTGTTTTTTTAACCTAATGAAATGTTACATTTGAGGCATCTCACATACACTGGAAAAAGCTCAGGTTTACTTAAAGGCTCACACATCTTCCGTGGCATTTCTGGAGTTGAGTAGGTTAAGCAAATACAGTACTAACTACCTGCCATCTTAACCTTTCTGAGATAAAACCTTTGTTTCTGGTACAGAAAGATTACAGAAGCCTTTGAGTCATAGTTCTCTTAAGGGGGGAAATAGCTCCAGGAACACAGAACAGTAGTTATTCTCAGGTCACAAAGAACAGCCCCAAAGGGCAAGCTTGAAAAAAACACTCCAGCCACTGTGACATGTGGGGAATGACATTTGAGAGCTTTCCCTAAAGAGAAAGCAACTCAGTGATTGCTTCTTCCTTCTATTCTGCACTCTGCTTCTCTGTAGGTCAGTGTTAAACTATCTCAGTGTTTGCAGCTATTGAGAAGGAAACAGTATGCCAAGTCATAATACTATGAAATCTTTAGCAATCATTATTCCATTCTTTGGAATATTTCTTAGTCCTCTGCAGTGGATGCTGGCTGAGTCCAGTATAGGCCCAATGAATAAGAAATAGAATGTGGATTCTTACAATTTTGGCACAGCTAAGGATTTCTTCAACTATAATGCAAGTTCCCTATGGGTGAAACTTGTTCATTCACTCATGTAGCCCTTATTTTTAAAACAATGACGCATACTATACATCAAGAAGTATCTGTTGAAGAAAGGAAATAGGTAGACCCTTGTGTACTCACAGGACCTTAACTCACAATGATAAGGCAGTGAGCTTGTTTCTACTTCATGCTTCATGTCTTACAGTTCCTTACTGTACGTTATTGTCCCTCCCTATCTATTTTGTTCTTAGATAGGCAAACACATTTGCAATTCCTCTAACTGGACACTTATAATTGTGATGTTGAACATCTACTTGCCAAGACAAGAAGCTCATTGCATCCCAAATGCCTACCATAGTGCCTAACAGAGATGGTGCTCACAAACATTTGTTGATAGAATAATCCAATGTGTATTGTATATATCTAAGATGTGTTATTAATGGCAATTCACAAATTTGGCCAGTATTAGTTGAAAACCCAGTGTTTGCAAAGAACTACATGTGCCATAAGCCAAAGATAGTACATTAAAATGCAGGAAATGATCAAAATCCTCTGGTGACAGCATGAGTGGGGAACTAGATATAATTAAGACAAACAGGTAAGTAAAAATATGAGGCTTTTTATGCAAACACTTCAGAACGAGAAGAACACAGAAACATTGTTAGAAAAATTTAAAGATAGACTGATCATGTTGGGCCAAAGAGGACAGAGACAGCTGATTGAAAGTGAAATAATTTAAACTCAGCTTCAGCGATTGTGTGGATTTGCATACAGAGGGAGAGAAGGGAATTGCATAATAACAGGATACATTAATTAGTGCCATGCTTTCTCCAGTTCAGCATACCCCAGGAAAATTTTTCTTTTTTCAGATACTCAAATAAACCAAGTTTTGTTTTACTTACTTGAGGGCCTTTGGCATGCAATTTTTTTTTTTTGACCTGGAGTATACATTGCTTCTCTCCCTTCTCTGCAATTCAACTGATTTACTTTCAGTTCTCAGCTGAAATTTTATTTATGAAAAACTTCCCTCTTTTACTTCTCCCCCTTTACTCCAATCACTGCCATCACACTCATCAGGCCAGCTTCTTCTGTAACACACATTTGTAGCATTTCATAAGTCTTCATGGGACATTCGCCATTACTGTAATTAAATAAATCAATTAATTTTTAATTTGCTGTTTATGGTCTTAATTATTTTATCACTGGACTGTTAGTTCCACCCTTGAAAATATTTTATCACTCATATCGGCAACTAGAATAAAAATATTGACATAGAGGGGACTCATTAAATTCTTATTAAGTTACTAAATGAGCATGAGCTTTTCTTAAATATAAGTCCAAAGATGTCAGTGTCCGAAAAATGTTTGACTGATTTGAGTTCCATAACATCTGGGGTAAAATTTGACAATCCACTATGGAAAGCCTTGAGCCCTGCAGCCCCTGTGATGGCCATAACAATGAAGATTGAAAATGCAAGAAACTAAATTATTCTTCCTGCTAACAAATTATGAAAAGGGATTGTTGTTGTTGTTTTAGAAGATGCTCAAACAATTCAACATCATTAATGTTGAATATAGAGCAAAGACTTCTGTCTACTTAATTCTCCAGGTCACTATTTCCACATGGGCCGTCAACATAATTCAGATTTTAGGGAACTCAGTCCCACCTCATCTTAACTCTGTTATCCCTGTTCACCCAGAAAATGCACTTCTGTCTGGCCAAATCCTATGTGTTCTTACAGCTGCCATAATTTGGTTCCTTCTTTGTAACACTCCCACCTTCCTCAAGCAACTGCTGTAGCCCTCAGCACATTTTAACTTTTGCATTAATCCTGTTTCCATGTTCTCTTCTTTTCCCAGTGTAATCTCTACCTGTTTGCCTCAATGGCAACTATCATATGTCCCTCTTAAATTATAGCAATTTCCTCTCCCATATCTCAGAGATTTAACAGTCCAGAGGCATTATCTGCAGTCTTCAGGGTCCTTATCATTAATTTCAAGAAATTACTTTTTCACTTGCTTAAGACAAATAAGCAAAATTAACACAAAAAAACCTACTTCACTGAAGGTTTTAATCTCTCATTTTGCTACTGTTGACCCAAACCTTCTGTGTTGTGGTTATTTACAAAGACTCTGTTACCCGTTTCCACTCACTGAAGATTTCTATAATTGAGTCCTAGTCTTCTTATACCCTAATGTCTATGATCATCAGGGTGGTTGATTGTTCAAACAGGTGAACGATATAATAACCAAGCTTCAATGGTTTGTTCTTCCTTCAAACCAAAAACCTGATCTGTTTCCTTTTCAACTCTTTCTATGCCTACTTCTTAATTTCATTTTCTCCATTTCATAATCTATCTCCCATTGCTACACAGTGGAACAATTCAATTACTATGTTGTGATACAACATACACTAATAATACAATAATAATCTTATACTGAAGATAATTTTACAAATAGAATTTGAAATGAATCTAGAATAAAATCTTTAAATCTACCATATTTGTCTTGGTGTCAATTGAAGCCATTCAAAGCAGGGTGGTTTAAGAGATCAGATACCTATTCATACCAGTGTCTTTTCTCCTTTGAGAACAGGCCTTTAACTTCACACTGTCACATATGAGCAAATGCTAGTGAAGGCCTGACGTGTGTTTGAAGAAACCAAGCCAAAGAGTCTCTGAGGAAGAAAAAGTGCAGTACAATGGAACAAACAGATTTACTTCACCAGAAATAATTTAATTTTCCTCATTTTCCATAGAGCAATGCCTGGACACTTGTTTGTTTTACATATAAAATACCTCAAGGTTTCATACAAAAGGTTACCTAAATCAAAGAAATTTTGATTCCTTCATCAAAGAGGAGGAGAAGTCTCCACCTCTAGTAAAGCAGACGATTACAACTTGAAAATAACATTTTACTTGCTTAATTCATCAAAGTTTTTTTAATAGAAAAATAAAACAGAGAGGAACAGAGAAAGTCAAAGTAAATAAAAAGGAAAAACATACATTTATACTTACATTTGAAAAGGCTCCAGCAACTAACTAGGAAAGTGAAAGGAGGAGGCAGGAGCCTGTGTCGGTCCAGCTGTGTATGCTTCAATCCTACTTCCTGCCTTATCCCTGCACCTGCTACACACTAGACCACATGTAGGATAGACATTTTTATGTTGATGAAAATCTTCTATAATCTGTACTTTTCAATGCAACAAACCCTAGTAACATGTGTCTAATGGCACTTGAAAGTTGTCTAACATAAAAAAACAATTGAATTTTAAATGTTACTTTAGTTTAATTTATTTGAATTTAAATTTATATACCCACTGTGGTTGGTGGCCACCATATTAAACAGCATAACCACAAACTTTTTCTTTAGGTTTCAATGCTTTCCACTCCCACTCGACTATTTACACTAATTAAATTTGAACTTTTCTTTTTTATTACCTCACCCCTACATCATGAGCTTTATGTCATTTCCTTTCGTATCTCCAATATTTACTGTAGAGTATGAAAAATATTAAATGCTGAAAAATATTTATTAGGTAAGTGCTGGAGTAGACAAACTAGAAATTACAACTTCTCCAATTCTTAAATATATTTTACTTTACTTAAAAGTGTCATTGAGAAAATAGAATGATCATGTTAAGGCAATAGAAATCTTATTGCCTATTCAAAAACAAAAGATATAATTTTGTTGTGTAGCTGTTAAGGATTATTCTGAACATATTAGTAAAATCCCCTTAATGTGATAAAATTAGATGTTAAGATAACACATATCATTTTTAGAGTAAAAAATAAATTTTAAAAGATATCATAGTGCTTACTTATTTAGATTGAGAGCGTCTATATATTTATTCATCTGTCAAATAATATTTTATGGATCATGGATGCACCAAATTGGATAAATTGTAATCCTTCACCTAGTTGAATCCTTCAATCCAGTTGAATTACTGGATAACTGTAATTCCATCTCTACGAATCTATCCTAAGGAAATCATAAGAGAAAAGACAAAAATCATAGCCTACTTGATACTTTAGTGTTATTTAACTAATAAATAATTAGAGGTTACATTTAGATAATGGTGAAATAAATTATTCTAACACTATGTTGAAAGATCATTCAGCCATTATATTTATAACCTAAGGTAATAGTTAACCTTATGAATCAACTTGACTGGGCTAAGGGATGCCCAGATAATAATAATAAAACATTTCTGGGAGTGTCTGTAAGAGTGTTTCTGAAAGCCTTTGAATCAGTATACTAAGTAAAAAAGGTCTACCCTCATCATTGCAGGCAGGCACCATACAATCCATTGAGAGCTATTGAATAGAGCAAAAAGATGAAGTAACGGTGAGTTCTCACTCTTCTAAACCTTCAAATATTTGAGCTCCTGGTTCTTGGGCTTTTAGACTTGAGACTCTGGGATTTACCCCAGTTTCCCCTCATCCCACTGCCTTCTTGGGCCTGGGAGTTATATCATGGGCCCCAATGGCAATCAAGCCTTTGGACTCAGATTGAATTGCATCAGTGGCTTATGTGGTTATCCGAGTTGCAAAGGGCATGTTGTGAGATTTTTTGATCAACTTGCATGACCCAATTCCCATAATAAATCTCCTCTTACACATCTATTGTTTCTGTTTTTTAAAATAACTCTGACTAATATACATAATGTCAACAACATATGAAATAATATGTATAAATAAATAAAACAAATAGAAAGTTAAACCATTGCCAACATTATGTCTTGTGAAAATATGTTTCTCTTTTTTGACAAAAGCCTGGAAGATAATATGTTGAAAAGAAACACGTGTTGTTATGTTAAGAGTACATTTGGAAGGAGAGTTATTTTTCCTTTTATGTGTTTGATATGTTGGTAAAAAAATTTATATTATAAAATAAGTCAAAGAAAAATAGCATGTTGAAAAATAAAAAGGGCAATAAAATCAAATTTGTGTCAGAAATCTTATGCATGACAGATAGTAATAACATGTTTAATATAAAAATTATAAGTATCATAGTTCACTCAGCTGATTTTTTTAGTGAGATGTTCTTCTTTCTTCTGTCATATATATTTTTGCAAAAATCTGAATTATTAGCTTTTGGGTCATTTTTAGAGGTAGTGTTATTTAAAGTGTGTTTATACTAAAAATTGAAATATAACCAATCAACAGATGTACAGTAACGGCTGTCACCTCAAGCTCACTATATAAAAGAAACCGTAACAACACAAAGACAACATGAAATTGACTCTATACTGTTTAACAATATACTGACCATAGTGAATATTTACCAAATGTTAATGTGTTCTTTTATCTAAAATGCTAATAGCATTTATGAATCATAATTTTGTTTTGTTTAGTTTTCTAATCGGAAGTTATAATTTGGTATACAAAACAGTTTCATAACAAGTGAGATATGTAAAACCAGGAATCAAACTTTTAAAGACAGACTCCACTAAGAATTATTTAGTATAACAATGTAAGTTCATAGGCAATGCTAGTCAGTGATGAGAAAAATTGATAAACAAGCACAGATGAAGTAATAATAAATAGGTTTTTAATTATTGTATTAGCTTTATCTACTCTCTAGTATGGAAAGAATGTGCTCTTTAGATGTAGTTCCATTTGTAGTTAACATTTGTGATTTAATATAATTGATAAAATATCTCAATCATAAAATTCGGAGTTTATAAGTAAGCTTGCATAAAAGGAAGTTCATGTTCAATAGGCAATAAATTATCATTGCAAAGATTAGGGGCAACAAATTGTACTAATTGTAAAAAAGGAATTTCAGTTTATAAAGGAAAGAACAAATGCACTTTTGCTTATTGAATGTAGTTTTGTATTACAATCTACTCAATATGTTAGAAAATTCCCAGAGAGATCATTTATGATGGAACAGAGCTGAGCTTCACTGAGTTATGAAGGAACTCAGAGATTAGAATGCTGGCTTGATAAAAAGACAGGTCAGGTAGTGTTCTTCCTGGGTTGCATTTTCAGGGCTGGGACTGAGATCAGCAAGAATAGAGCATTTATTCAATTACAGTTGCAAAGAAGTGGCAGGTTCTGAAAAATTATGCTCAAAAATAAAATGACAATCAATGCAATGAGCTATAATTTTGTATCTGCCAATTATTTATTTCATTTGTTATTGTTTTATATGAATATTATTTATCACCTATTTTACTCTCACCTTCTGTCTGCTCCTCCACCCTTCGAACACACCCAAAAACATACACAATAATGTAAGCTTTGTGAGAGCAAGGAAGTCTGCTCTATTTGCTCAGAACCTAAAACCATGATTAAAATGCATTTAATGTCACATAAATCCCAAACTAGTTAGAACTGTACCAGGAAGCAGGGAGTTCACAGAAGTCATCTTTCTCCAGAGACTCTAGCCTCTTAAATATTGTTGGGAACCTTTTCTCTCTGGCTGAAAACCACTACATTTTAATATTTCTTATTCAGAAAAGGTTACCATATGTCTGTATTTACATCTCTGGATTAGGTGCCTTAAAGGCACACTACCTCGTCTAAAATGAGCTACACAGATATAAAGCTTATATTTTTTTCTTCTTTTGAAAGAGGAAATTTTATATTTACTGTTAAAAATGTATTTTAATTATCATAAAATAGAATAGGCTTTTTTTAATCATGAAAAATTATCCAGGTTATCTTGATTACACTATCAAGGAGAAAGAGACCAAGGGAGAAAGAGGTAATATAAAAATATATGAGATAGTATTAGCACATAGTAGAAATTTAGTTTTATTTGCCCCAATTCTTTAAAATATCATGTTTTTATAACAAATAGATTATCTTTTGTAATCGTTTATGAAAACACAGCTATGTTTTTTCAAAAAAATAAATTGAGAAGGCAGAGCCCTTCAGAGCTTTCATTTATTTCCAAAGAGAAATAAAAAATGATACAATGAGATTTAAGTTAAAAGAATATTTAAAGGGTATGGATTATTTGTAACTCTACATATATTTATTATAATGTTCATTCTCTGTGTTTTCCAATAAGTGATAGCAGAAAAAAAAGAAAAGGTAAAAATGAAAATGAAACACCTACATATGCTCAGGGAGAAAAGTCAGGAAAATAGTGCTAAATGATACTAAGCCATGCCACAGTAACAAATGAATAATAAAATATAAGTGATTTAAATTCATCATCCAAATTAGTGTAAGAATGTAATTTTCCTGGCTAGCCTATTTGAAGTGATGAGTAAGGGACTCTTGCAAGTGTTTCTGGGAAATAGAATAAGTGCAGCACCAAGCATAGCCTTTTTGTCTTATTGTCAGAACAGCTAGCCAACAAATGTCTCATCAGAGATGGCTTCTGACTTTCTCTTAAATTCTATGTTTTGTTTTTCATGGGCTCTAAGAAGATATCAGTGCACATTTACTTAAATAAAACTACATAGAAAAAGAGAGTAAGAAAATAAATCAAAACTCTACAAATTACTACTGTATTCTTTTAGTCTTCTATTAGGTGTTCATTTATTTCTTAATGCTAACTTTTGTTCTTTTAAGTGGCTTATGTTTCCTGTGCCCCTTTTATTCTCAAACATTCAGTGGCCAAAATTCAGGCCAAGTGACCACCATGTACAAGGCCCTGTGCTTATTTATTTAGCCTTTCACAACTTTAAAATGTATTTATTTTAAATTTGATTTTGGTTTCTAACTTTAGAACAAAAATTTTGTAACCTTCTCATAAAACATAGTATTAATTTGCTGTCTTAAGTATAATTTGTTTTTTTGTATCTGTGTAAAAGACCTTTTATTATATTTTTCTCAAGAGGAACACAAGAACATTTCCAACCTCCTATTGTACTATTTTCTTCCATTACCACATCATTCTAGCCACAGTGGTTTCCTTAATCACACCAGGCATGTTCAACATCAGTGCCTAGCACATGCTATTTCCCTATCTGGAATGCTGTAGCCCCAAATATCCACCTGGCATTTCCCTTAGCAGCTTCAGACTTCACATAAATGAAAACCTCTTAGTGATACCTTCCTGGACCAGTCTCTTTAAAATTACATCTGGTATACTTCACATCCTACATAATATATTCTACTCCTCATTCTGTTTTTGTTTTTTGGGGTTTCTTTTTTTGCAATTTTCACCATTTTTTTATGAACTGTGTTCCTTTATTGGAAAATAGGTTTTATAAATGCAGGAATTTCTATTTGATTTATTTCTTCTGTTTAGAAGAAAGTCTGAAGTTGTTCAATGAAACATAATTAAATGAATGAACAAACTTTACTGTGAAATATGGCAATGGAAACAGTTGTGATTTAATGTAACAATCACCTGAAATCAGATGAAGATTCACATCATTCATATGCCATTGACTATTTTTAAGACTTCAGACAATTAATCTATACTTTTTATTTTTTTCTGCTATAAAATTCTCAGTTTCCACCCAGAATTGTGGATATAATTTAATTTATTTTAGGTTAAAAATAAGTAGCCCAGATGTTAATTTCTAAATACCATTCTTAAGGGTCATTAATTATTTTGAAAAATGATTAATTTCAAGGCAAACACAAGGAAAATACAAGATGAATATATTGTCATGTTAGAAATTAAAGGAGTTCTAAAAATTATTAAAAGAGTACTAAAAATTAAAGAAGTACTAAAAAAAAAGGCATAGACATGATGACCCAGAATTTTCAGTGGCCAAATCTGAGACAATATGACCTTAAGAATTAATAAACCTACTAACCTGTTGGGTAAAATAAAAGCACATAGGTTTACACTGCAAGGTGGAAGGAAGGGAGGGAGGGAGGGAGGATGGAAGGAAGGAAGGAAGGAGAAAAAAGATAGAGAAAGGAAGAGAGGAAGAAAGAGAGAGAAAGAAACAAAGAAAGAGAGAAAGAAAAAGAAAGAAAGAGAAAGAATAAAAGAAAGAAGAAAGAAAGGGAAAGAAAGGGAAAGAAAAAGAAAAAGAAAGAAAAGAAAGAGAGAGAGAGATAAGGGGAGGGGAAGGGAGGGAAGGGGAAAAAGAGAGAGAAAGAAAGAAAGATGTAATTTTAAAAATTTGTCTCTCTCTTGTTCAATTACTAGTCATTAATTAACCTTATTATGGGCCATGAACTTTCAAAAAGATGTGACTTCTGTCCTCAAGTAGATGAGTGTTGATTTGGAGTGAAAATAATTCCCAGATAATGTGTTCATATTATAGAAAATACATAGTAACAAAAAGGAGTGCATTTGCCGATTCCTCTGAAAAACTGACTTCAAGGTATACCAAAAAACATTGGCTTTCCTAATAATATCTCTTCATTTATAAACAGAACAATTGAAAAGTACAACAATAGCAGTTTTAAATTTTCAGTTCATTTCAAAATGCTCAGTAATACAAGCAGTGCTTTGACATAACAAGGTCAATAAAAATTGATGTGCCAAAATTTGAATGTTACAGTGAGTCATTATAAACATGGTTGATATGGTTTGACTGTGTCCCCACCCAAATCTCATCTCAAATTGTAGTTTCCATAATCCCCATGTGTCGTGGGAGGGATCTGGTCAGAGCTAATTGAATCATGAAGGAGGGTTTTTCCCATGCTGTTCTCTGGATAGTGAATAAGTCACACAAGATCTGATGACTTTATAAAAGGTCAGTTCCCCTGCACACACTCTCTTGTCTGCCACCATGTAAGATGTGCCTTTGCTCTTCCTTCACCTTCCACCATGATTGTGAGGCCTCCCCAGCCATGTATAACTGAGTCCATTAAACCTCTTTTTCCTTATAAATACCCAGCCTTGGGTATTTCTTCATAGCAGTATAAAAATGGACTAATACAATAGTATAGCAAATGTCTTACTAGCCTCTATAGACATCAATATAGCTAAAATATCTTGATTAGTTTGAAATACATTTTTAAAGTAAAGTTTTTAACAACTTATTCATTATTCACTGATATATAGATTTAGTTGAACTCACCAATTAGTCATCAATAATTATAAAATATTTTAAGGCCTTTAAGCAACAAATTATTTTAAACTTTTCCTAGTTTTAATACTCAAAAATATTAAGTTTAGATAAGTCACAAAAAATTCAACGCTATAATATTTAATTTAATTATGTCATCATTAATTTATCCAACACTTAAGTTTCATAATGCATTTATGGAAACCTTAGCCTTGGATTCCTAATCACGTAAATTAATAGTTAAAACGTCACTTCCCTTACACATAGGTGTTTTAAGCAAGCAGTTTATCAAATTAGTTTGACAGAAAGTCATCAGAAGGAAATACAGGAAAGAAAAAACAGTAATCTGGGAATTGAGAGGCCTAAATTTTATCTTTGGTCCATTTGCATGACATTGGAAAGTTCAAATTTTCTCTACTTCAAAGTTTAAAGGGAATTAAATTAAAATTGTCAAATACCCAGCCCGTATCTAGTTATTTCTATTTACTATATATACACGGTTTTGCTATACAACTATACTATAGTTTTTCCTCCATTGAAGTCAGTATCAACTTTAAAATCATTTTTAACATAGAATTTCACCTGGTCTCTAACAGTGAAGTAGATTTGTCACTTGAGATAAAATGTATTTGGCATCAAATACTGAAATATCTCCAAGATCTTTCTTAATTCTAAAATTTAATGTTCTCTATTGTTCAGATTGTATAGTTTTGAGAAAACATCTAAAACAATTGTTTGCATTCTTTCAACTAAACTTTGAGCTTTCTGACTGATGTGAACAGAAGTCACTTTATAAGCTCAAATGCCATGTTCTTTTTTAATGATACTTAGGAAACTGTATTCCACAGTTGTGTTAATTATGTTTCCTCTCAATGGATTAACCACAAAAGTCAAGAGTATCTTCCACGTCCTTGATTTAAATGATATTGCTTTAATGGTGGATCTGGAGACTCAATAAATGTTAACAATTCATTAAAGTCAATACAGAGGCAGAGATAATTCAATACTTTTTATAAAAAGAGTTAAAGAGTTAACTGTAACAGTTAAAGCTATGTGCTTTTGTGACTAACACTAACCTGAAAATACTAAAACCAGATAATTTAATAAAATGTATTATGTGTAAACTTTAGAATAGCTAAATATTTCTTAACACTGAAGACCTGCTAAGAGTCTCTGTTTTGCTTTTCCATTTGAAATTGTATAGATACTAGCATAGTGCTATTCCAGGATGAGTCCTGGGCAAATGGAAACTGAACACATTAAAGATCCTTTATTCTATTATTTAACCTTCAGAAAGGAATAGGCTTTTATAATAAGGCTAATTAGGTAAAAATTCAATAATGAGGAACAGAAGATGCTATAATTCGGGCATCATATTTGTTTCTGAGGTTCCTTAAAAGGCAATATGAATAATGAAATATTAAAGCTGACTACATCTGTTTATAATAATGGAGGAACTGTACAGGTTACTTAAGGAAATGCAACAATTTACCTTTTATTAATTTTAGAAAAAGTATCTTACATATTTAATATAGTGTCTGCCTGCTTGTGCTATATTTTTAATATAATGAAAAGTACATTTGAACTAATTAAGTCATTAGAGATTAAGAATTTTTTCAATAAAATATTAAAAGAAATGTCATTAAAATATTAATGATTATTTTTCCATAGTGATATTATGGTGATTTCATTTAATTCAGTGTGTTACATTTATAATCAGTAAAAGAATATTACATTTTAAGTAAAGAATATTACATGTTAAATATAAACAAGAAGTAGCTAAGATTTTAATTTAATAGACATCAGTACAATAATGAGAGGAAGTGAATTAAAATTAAAATGAGTCATTACTTTTTGAGTTCAAAGTTAGGAATATTAGTTATGATGAAGATTTACTTGGAATATTTTTATCTAAATAACTTTAATTCAGTATTGAACTGACTGATACAGAGAAAAAAATAAAAAAATTGTAGCAACAACCAAAAAAAGGACAAACTGAGTCTGTCTTCCTACACCATTTATCCTCATTAATATGTAATCATTTATTCAGTCAGCGCATATTTATTCAATGTTATTTATTGTTAGGTATTGCCTTAGGTGCAAGAGTTTAAATACCTTAATCAGATTTTTTATCTTAAACTGTTGACAGTAGAAGATTGGTTGAAAGAACAGCCTCAAAAATTAAAGTGATTGAGTGCTATAGGAAGTGTTCTCAGAGCCCAGAATGAATAATAGATGAAAAATTTTACTCACAACTTCTCTTTCATGCATATCCTCTGGGATGCCACTTCATACAGTTCAAGCCCTATTTCTGGCCATTTCCCAAAGAAACTAAGGTTTTGCTTTGACTGTTCCCTCCCATTGGAATGCCTGTTCACTCTTTTCTTCCACATTGAATCCCATCCCTTTTTACATTAAGTCCCATTTCCAGTGCATGAAATATTCTGTAGACTTCACTTCCTTCCAAACTATTGCTTCCCCACAGATCTATCATCAAATAATTCCTACTTCTCTAAATTGACATTTCATTTCATCTGTACCTCCCTTAGGGTTCTTCACTGTGTAGTTGAAACTTTATTTGCATAAATTACTTCCTCTATGTGATGGCCATGAAAATGTGTCACTCAGATCTTCTACTGCAGGGAGAATATTTGAAGGCTCCACCTGCTGCCCTCCTAGATTTATCAATGTGCCCATGCAATGACTATGCTTCCCACCTTCTGCTCCCAACCATTGACTGGGCAGAGCTACTAAAAGACGTTTGTTCCTGAAAGATGGGGAACTCTTCTGATAGGAAACAAGCTGGAGAACTACATTCTGCCCTCCTCTGAAACTTTCTCAGAACTGTGCTGCAGACTGAGATTCTTCCTACACAATCCTCCTTCACCTCACCTTGTCTTCAAAGCTATCAGCACTGCAGTAAGGTGTAAAAGTTTTCCCCTCCTTCTCATGCTTGCTCCCCTTTATTCTTCATGAGCCTTTTTCTCAATATAGTTCTTGCCTGTACAATTTCATCTTATCATTGGCTTTTCAGAGGACCTGAAGTAAAATGAGGGGAGCCAAGAGTGACACAGGAAGATAGGCAACAAGATGGGTTTTGGTGACTTGCTCACATACCAACCCCCATACAAGGAGGGCACCATCCTGAGTCATATAGCTCCTGAAACAAGGTGACAGAGCAATTGCAGTCACTGCTGGTGATGTGGAGAAGAATGACATACACTTGATGAATCCTACAGTTAAAATATATGAAGACAGCAATACAGACAAAGGCAAAAGAATTATCTGGTTACTGCTAAATTGTTTTGATAGGAGACTGAAGTCTTTAAAAAGAAGTCAAGACCTAAATGCGAGAGCCAGAGGAGCTCCTTAACAGCTTAAAATAACTGTTTATTTCCCGAAGTAGAAAAGCCAGAACAGGTGAGCAGCAGATCAAGGATCTAATACAGTCACAGAGCTCTAGAGATTTGTATAAATGTTCAGCCAGGGTATATCTTTTATTATAAGTTCAGGACTCTGTTTGGGAAAACCAGGGACCCTGAAACTTACAAATATCTGGTTGGAACCCCGATGATGTTATCTCAGCAGATCTCCTTGACATCTCAGCTTGGAGAGGCTGGCAACCCTTCCCTAATAATCACTAGTGCCACTCTCTGCTGAGAGACCCCTCTGCAGAAATCTCTCCACTGAAAAGTAACAGATGTCTCCCTCAGAAGCTGCCCAGGTCTCCCCACCCCCTGCAACCAGGATGATCTGGGCAAAGTCCCAGCATACCCTGGCCAGGAGCAGGCTGGCTGTAATTAGAGAAGAAATACAATATACGACAAAGGAACTGAAGAAATTAGTTTGCATGCTTTGGCAGAACCAGGAAAGTATCCCAGGTTTGGATTTTGTGGGTGTTTAATTAAGTGGGCCAGAAATAGCCAGAATCCATTGACTTTTGTGCATGTCTCAGCATACAGGATTTAAACATCCTGGCAAAACCTCAAGGAATAGAGAAATATTTTTCCTTGAGTGCATCTTAAAAGCCTGGAGAACTGGCCAACAATGAGTGAAGTAGTGCCTGAATCACCCGGGCATACTCTAAAAGGAGAAATGAAGAGGCTGAGTGATCATGCTGGAATGAGTACATTATGCAAGAAGAGAAGATGCACCAGAGTAGTATATTCCATTAAAGAGTTCAAAGAACACACGCTTCACTGAAGCCATCAGGAGTGCTCTGTTGAAGGAGGATCAGCATCAAAAAAAAAAAAAAAAAAAAGAATGTTTAGTGGTAACTCTCAAGTGTAGACCAGTGCTCACAGCAGGAGAGGTGGCTCATAGTTGGGCTCATTTATATCCAGTGAAATTGTGGGACCCCATGTAATAGAGGTCACATGGAAGTGCTTAAAGGCCAGAAGCCTGGAGGCCTCAATTATCAGCAATGTTAAGAAGAAGCTCAGGGGCCTTGATCTGCAAGAAATTGTGGAAATGATTAATAGAGCATGTCCTCCCTAGGGGCAAAATAAATGAGCAGCCAGCTAAGGTCATACTTAATATCTACAACGAGAAAAAGAGAAGAATGATAAAACAGGAGACTTTGAGGATGATAGCTCCAGTGCACAATTATGGGCTTTTTCCAATTTTTAGATCTAGAATCCATTGATTTGAGAAAATGAGAATAATTTGTACCTTAAGAGCAATAGCAGTGATGAAAGCTATTTGCCCCATTACTTTCTCCTCTCCCTTTTCCAAGTTTCCCCCTAAGAGGCCAACAGAAATCATCTGGGAACTTTGCTCTAGAATATATGGAGATAATCTATGTAGTTCAAGGGATAAAAACAGTGGTCATGAAAATGCACTCTTTAGATCTACTTGAGTAGTTTCATTGACTGAGAGCTCCAAAAGATTCCCATGTAAATTAAGAATGGCATTTGTGCCAGGATCATCCTTCAAGGACTGAGCGTATTAGCGATACCAATTCTGGACATTCCTGCAAATGTAGGATACTTTTGACATGTAACTCTGACTCAAGCACTATCCATTTGCCTGGCCAAACTTTCTTAGAACTGTGGAGCAGACTGTGATCCTTTCTATTCAGTTTTTCTTCCTTTTCTTTCTTCTTCAAAATTGTCAGATATATACGATGGTCTGAAGGCTCCTCTTGTGTTTTTGAGCTTTCCTCCCTTATCTTCAAAAATATTTCCCCCAATATATCTTTTGCATATATAATTTTGTCTTGGTTTCTCCTTAGCAGAATACTTTGCAGCATAAACTGTGTCTTAAATCTCTTTAAATTGAACTGAATATTATGTACAAAATTTAATAAATTAACTCAAACAAAAACATGGATATAAAGTTAAAATATGTGTAATTATTGTAACGTGTGTAATTATTTCTATTATCATTATAAATTGTGAGATGACACAGGAGAACAGTAAACGAAAAAGTTATAAGGTGAATGAATTAATTAAATATTGACAGTTCTCACATTTAAACTATTGGAAGAAGTTAGGAGAAAATTCAGAAATTATTTCTTTAAAAGTAGTGAATAGTTTAGAAGGTAATCAGTACTACTTAAAAAAATTATAAAAATCAAGAATTGACTTTCTTACTCTGAGAAAAATTATGTTTTTAAAACGTAGATCTCCTAGAGACATAAGACATTATACATGGAGTTATTTAGATAAAGTGTAAAAGGATGTCAGTATGATAACTAAACATCCAAAAATATTTCTACCTATGGTGTCATGAATTTATTAGCAAATGTTTCTTCAACCTAAAAGATTCTGAAAATGAAGGAAAAAAATTAATTATTAGTGAAATGACATGCTCAGCTGCTCTTTATAGCAGAGGTTTTAATGCTGCAAAATCTGTACTGCCATAGCTACAGGGTACTGTCAGGCAGAATGTTGAAAAATTGCCTTTAGCAGTTAACAAGTATTTATTAACTTTAGCAACCCTAGTATGATAATTATAATTGCATAGATATTAAGAGTACAGCAAATTTAATAGTGTTATTTCAGTGTAACACACTATATTTATATAATACAATTTTTTGTTGTTAGACTATTATTTAGGAAGGTGCTTGAGAGATTTTTGTTTTGTGTTTATGTGTGATACAGTAAACCATTTGAGCAGAGTATTAGTCTTTCTACTAATAACATGAAGTTTAATTCTAAATAGATTAGACCTTGATAATGCCAAGTAATGACATATCTTATCATTTCAAAGTAGACACTTCCAAAATATCTTTGTTATTACAAAAATAATTTGGCTGAATTGAAAATAAAAAATTTCATTGAGAGTTAAACAAGTTTTTTTATAAAAATTACATATAAGGAATTACATCCACTTAAGGTACATGACATGATGAATTTTGACATTTGTATATACTCATGAAACTACCACTACAATCAAGATACACTACAATTGCATCATCTACAAAAGATTCCTCATTCCACTTTGAAATCCAGTTGTTTCCCCATTACAGCCTCAAGAAACCACTAATCTGCATTTTGTCACCATAAATTATAATATTTTTCATTTTTTAAAATTTATGTAAGTGAAAATATATAGTATATATTCTTTTAGGTGTGACTTCTTTCATATTGCATCATTATTTTGAGGTTCATCTGTGTTTTTGTATCAGTATTGTCTTTCCGTTCTATTGTTGAGTAGTAGACAATTGTATGAACAAACCAAGTTGAATTTACCATTCACCTTTTGATGGACATCTGAGTAATTTCTAGCTTTGGGCTATTGTAAATAAAACTGTAAAGAACATTAATACATGTCTTTATTTATATATTTATATAGATATATAGATAGATAGATATGTTCTCATTTCTCTTGGTAAATAGCTAAGAATAGCTGGAAAGCCTAGATTGTGGTGTAGATATATCTTAAAATTTTAAGAAGCTAATGATATTATCTTATATTCTCACCAATGATGTATGATAATTGCAGTTGCTCCAAGTTTTGATAAACACTAGAAATTTCCAGTCAGTTTGAATTTGCATTTTTCTGATAACTACTGATTTAGAATATGTGCTTATATGCTAACTGTTCATTCATATATCCTAATTTGCAGAGGGTCTGTTCACATATTTTGCACATTTTTAATTTGGTTGTTTGTCTATGTTTGTTTTTCATATGTTTGGCATGCCTTACTGAGTGGTAAAACATATATATATATATATACATACACATACACATATATGTTTAATATATATGTGTGTATATATGTTTAATATATATGTGTGTGTGTATATATATATATATACACATACAGATATTCTGTATAGAAAATCCATGTCGGATATATATTTTGTAAATATTTTCTTCTAAACTGAATTGTCATTTTTGTTTCCTCACAGTGTTTCTGTAAGAGTTTTTTATTTTAATAAGGCAGGATTTATGCATTTTTTTTGCTTTCAGTTTATGATCTCTGTGTCAGTGGCCCCATCTAAGAAGTCTTTGCTTTCGCCAATGCCATAAAAATTTTCTATTTTTTTCCTCTAGACATTTTACAGTTCTAATTTTTGCCATTAAGATTATTATTTCAACATAATTTGTGAAAAAGATGTTCTGTTTCCCATTAAGTTACCTAGGTACCTTTGTTGGAAATTATTTGACCATGTATATGTGAGTCTAGGTTTGGAGTCTATTTTTTTCTCTATAGATTGATAGGTCTATCTTTATACCATTAACAGAGCCTTGATTTTTTTATGTTTTTATTAAATCTTGAAATCAGGTGCCAGTTCTTCAATTTTGCTCTTTTTCACTGTTTCAGGTCTTCTGGAAAATCTGTATGCACATATAAAATTTAGAATCGGTGCCTGAATCCTACAGCCAGTTCTTGGCTCCAGAAAGCACTTGGAGAAGGGGTGAGTGAAGGGTTTGGGGGACTGCTCACTCTCACTGTAGGGCCTCTGGGATCCTAGCTGCAGGGGGCCTCATAGTCCCATGGATGTATGAGCTGGCAGAGGGAATTCCCAAGAGATTAGACAGAGGTGGAGCTGCAGCAGGCACAGAGCCAGGGACCTTTGAGTGCAGGTCAGCTCTAGTGAAACACAGCCGTAAGTGTCCACACCCCAGTACTTCTCCTCTCATTCTGAGAGTCTCTGGGCCCAGCTAACCATAGGGAAAAAGCTAGCCTGTTTCCCCATGGGACTGGGCATCTGTCCTGCAGGACTGCCTGCCCACCAGCCCCTCTTAGGGATCCTGCCTGGCCTCCCCTTAGGAGCATGTACACAGTACATCATTGGCTCTCTCATTGCAGCCCCTCTTAGGGATCCTGCCTTACGAGCATGTACACAGTACATCCACCCCTTAGGAGCATTTACACACTACAGCCTCTGCTTCCCAGCCTGGGTGCTTTGCTACACCTCAATGCATTTGCATCTCCCACTGCACGGGGAACCCAACTCTTTGCAGCTGAAGGAGGAACCCCAGGGCTGTGGCCTGTGGCTCAGGAGTGCTGAGCTAGGATCTGGCTCCTCACTGAAATGGATGAGGATCTCACACTCAGAAAACTGAAAAGGCTGAATTGCACAGCTTCACAGGCTGGTGTGGGATCCTGGCATGCCTCCCTTCATGGGGTTAGTATAGTAAGATTGTGGCCTATCTCCCTACCAGACCTCTTCCCATGGGACCCATGGCCCAAAAGACCTAACAAGGACAATAAATCATGGGAACAGTGCCAGTGATTTCAGGTGGGTTCCACAAGGTCCATGAACAAACCTACTTAACAGGTCACCTATCTCCCCTTTGTACCACAGAACACAGCTGCAAAGAGGAAGATAAACAAAAGAACCTCTTGGCTACCAGTCTAGCTATAGCCCATTGCTCTCAACCACCATCCACTGGATCGTAGCCCAAATTACACAAAAAGCAGGGCTAATTTGCCCCTCTGAGAAACCAGGAGCAAGAATTCAACAACAAAGACTCTGAACAGAGCCTTTGGTCTCTGAAAACTTCTAGAAATGAAGCCAACTGACTATACTCAATTTATACCACAATCTAAGGTACACAAGCCATCCCAGATAAGAAAGAATCAGCACAAAAACTCTGGCAACTCAAAAAGCCAGAACGTCCCTTTACCTCTGACGGAGCTCAGTAGCTCCCCAAACAATGCTTTTTTAACTAGTCTGAATTGTCTGAAAATGACAGACATGTAATTCAGAATCTGGATGGCAAAAAGCCCATTGAGATGAAGGAGAAAGTTGAAACTCAATCTAAGTAAGCCAAGCAATTCTGTACAGTTATTGAAAGCTGAAAGACAAAACACTCATTTTAAGAAAGACTCAAATTGAACTTTTGAGGTAAAATATTCACTACAAAAATTTCATAATACAATCAGAAATATTAACAACAGAATAGAACAAGCTGAGAAAAGAATCGCAGAGCTCAAAGACCAATTTTTCAATGCAACATAGTCAGACAAAAAAAAGAATTAAGAAACATTAGCAAAACCTCCAAGAAATATGGGATTACATAAAGAAACCAAATTTATGACTCATCACCATTCCTGACAGTAATGAAAAAAGAATAAGCAACTTGAAAAATATACTTGAGAATATAGTTCATGAAAATTACCCCAATCTTGCTAGAGAGGTAAACATGCAAATTAAAGAAATACAGAGAATCCCAGCCAAATGCTATACAAAATGACTCCAAGGCACATAGTCATCAGTTCCATCAAAGTCAACGCAAAAAAAGAATCTTAAAGGCAGCTAGAGAGAAGGGGGCAGGTCACATACAGAGAGAACCCCATCAGGCTAGCAGAAGACCTCCCAGCAGATACCTTACAAGGCAGAAGTGATCTGGGGCCTATTTTTAGTGTTCTTAAAAAAGAAATTCCAACCAAAAATTTTATAACCTGCCAAACTAAGCTTCATAAGTGAAGGAGAAATAAAATCCTTCTCAGACAAGGAAATGCTGAGGCAATACATTTCAACTAGACCAGCCTTACATGAGGTCCTTAATGGAGTGCTAAATGTGGATTTGAAAGAATGACACCTGTGACCACAAAGGCACACTTAAGCACATACCCCACAGGCACTATAAAGCAGTTACACAATCATGTCTATGTAACAACCAGCTAACAACATGATGAGTGGAATGAAACTGCACGTATCAACAATAACTTTTAAAATAAATGGGCTAAATTCCCCACTTAAAAGCCATAGAGTGGCAGGCTAGATAAAAAGACATGACCAAACCATCTGTTACCTTCAAGAGACCCATCTCATATGGAATGACATGAACAAGCTCCAAGTAAATGGGTGGAGTAAAATCTATTACGCAAATGGAAAACAAAAATGTGCAGGGTAACTATTCTTATATCAGATAAAACAGGCTAAAAGCTAATGAAAATTTTAAAAACACAATGAAGATTAGTACATAATGATAAAGGATTCTTGTTGCAAGCCCAACAAGAAGCCTTAACTATACTAAATATATATGCACCCAACATTAGAGCAGCCACATTACTAAAACAACTTCTTCTTGGCCTACAAAAAGACTCAGACAACTACACAATAATGGTGAGAGACTTTAACATTCCACTGACAATGTTAGGCACATCATTGAGGTAAAAACTAACAAAGAGACTCTGGACTTAAACTCAACACATAATAAATTGAACCTAATAGTCATCTACATAACATTCCGCCAAACACCTACAGTATATACATTCTTCTCATAAGCACATGGAACATATTCTAAGATTGACCATGTGCTTGGTCATAAAGCAAGATTCAATAAATTCAAAAGAATCAAAATTATACCAAGCACATTCTTAGACCACAGTGTAATAAAAATAGAAATCAATACCAAGAAGATCTCTCAGAACTACACAAATATATGGAAATTAAACAACTTACTACTGAATAATTCCTTGGCGAATATCAAAATAAAGGCACAAATAAAAAATTATTTGAAAGTAATGAAAATAGCAACACAACCATCAAAATCTCTGGGATGCAGCTAAAGTAAGTGTTAGGAGGAAAGTTTATGGCCCTAAATGACTTCATCTTGAAGCTAGAAAGATGTCGAATTAACAATCTAACTTTGCATCTAAAGAAATTTGGATAAAAGAACAAACCAATCCCAAAGCAAGTAGAAGAAAAAAAACTAAAATTAGACAATAACTTAATGAAATTGAGATACAAAAATACATTAAATGGACCAATGAAAGACTTTGTTCTTCAAAAAATAAATAAGATTGATAGACCCCTAGTGAGATTAACAAAGAGAAAATTCAAATAAGCAGAAACAACAAAGGTGATATTACAGCTAATTCCACAGAAATGTAAAAGATCCTTAGAGACTACTATGAACAACTCTATGCCCCCAAATCAAAACATTTGCATTAAATAGATAAATTACTGGAAGCGCATCATCTCCCAAGATTGAATCGGGAAGAGATTGAAACACTGACTAGATCAACATCAACTTCCACAATTAAATCAGTAATAAAGAACCAACCGCAAAAAGCTCAGGATCAGGTAGATTCACAGTCAAATTCTACAAGAATTGATACCCATCTTATTTTACAATTCCAAAAAGAAACTGAGGAGGAGGGGCTCCTCCTTAATTCATTTAATGAAGCCAGCATCAGTGTGATTTCAAAATCTAACAGACATAACAAAAAAAGAAAACTTCAGACCAATATCCCTCATGAACATAGATGCAAAAATCCTCAACAGAATACTAGCAAATTGAATACAGCAGCACATTAAACAGTTAATACACTATGATCAAGTGGGCTGTATTCCAGGCATGCAAATGATGTAATTGACTTTTTAATATTGAAAATTCAAACTTGCTAAATTTACTTATTAGTTGTAGTAATTATTTTAGTATGTGTTTATGTTATAAACAATCATATCTTCAAATAAAGCTAGTATTCCTTTATTTTTTTCTAAACTTTATGCTATATATTTATTTATTTGCTTTATTCACTGACTAGAACTTCCATATATGATTAAATGGAAGAGATAACAGTGGACATCTTACCTTGTTCCTAATATCAGGAGAAAAGCATCCAACATTTTATCATTGGTTTTGTTATTAGTTGTAGAAAGAAGTGTTTTCCAGGTAAAGTAACTAATATATTCAGAGGTTCAGAGGTAAGAGAGAATACACTATGCTGGCGAATCTTCAAAAGGTTTAATAAAGTCAGAGCAGAGAGTGTAAAGCAGGGATTGGAGAGATGTGAGGTCAAACAATATTTCCAGACATCAGGGGACTGCTTCAGCATCTGTTCCCCATCCAGTCTCTCTATTCACTTACTTAAATTGTCTCTATTGTTAGTCCCTGCCTTCATTGCTGAACATAACTTGCTTCAATTACTGAACTTACTTCTGGTTCACTAGTTCCTACAAATTCTCCCTTTGTTGATGAACCTTGTCTTCACCTGTGATCTTTTTTGTATATCTTAGTCCTACCTTGTAAGTTTGGCTCAACCACACAGCTGTTTTTAACTTCTGATCAGAGTCTTATCTTCCATTTGTCCCCATGATGCAGATATAGCCTATGGTGAAACAAAAGAAGTATTAATAAAAAGGAGAAGTAATTTGCTTCAAACATATTCTATATCCTGTATTTTATGCTTTGGCTGGTTTTCTAGGCACACCTTTTTCTGGACTCCTGTTAGGCAAAATCTTCAATGGTAGGCCCACATAGTTTGCAGTGTGATTCTATAGTGTAGACAGGGTCAGAGTAATTAATCAACTCCAAATAATCTGCAATGAGTCCCAATGTGAAAACCGTTCTGTCACAACTGGGTAGAACTACAGCTGCTGCCACACTGAATTGAAGAATCCGAATATATTATTTGACAGCTCCTATAGTGCATTAAATGCATAGACTTTAAAATCATTCACACCTGAGTTTAATAACGCAACTTTTCCACTTATCAACTCTGTGACTTTGGAAAATATGCTTAGGATTTCTAAATCTGTTTTCTTTACCAAGACAAGTATAAATAATATAGAATACCTGTAGAGCTGCTGGGAGGACAAATGAGATAGTGCTTATTATCATAAATGATTCTGCCAACAACCTATATATCTTTGTGGCCGCACCCTTTCTATTCAGGTCACTCAACTTCTATCTGCCAGCAGCTTTATCTCTTTGCTGGAGGTGTTTATCTTGCCACTAGAGCCTGCTTTGCCTATAGATGTGGAAGGTTAAAAGACCTGGAGAATTATTCTTGGGAGTTATTGGGGTGATCAGACCCAACACCAGGTCATGGGGGTGACGAAGTCCGGCGGAGTCAAAGGATTGAGAAAAAGACAGTTTGAGAGGTAAAGTGGGATCAGGGGGCCATCGCTAGAGTATGGAGGCTGCAAAGGCCCCGAGCTCTGGGAGCCCACGCTATTTATTGGTAATCCAACGGAGAAACAGGTGGTGAGAATGTGGAGGTCGAAAGGGCATGTTGCATTAAGCACATGATTTACAGCTGTGATGGTTTAGCATTTGCTCTGCTACTTGAGATCATGGAGGGCAGGTTCTTTTAAATCCAGATATAATGGATCCTGGGAGAGCAAGGAGCAAGGAGCCAGCAAGTCTAGAACTATTCCAGAGCCACGAGCCCTGGATTTTATCCAAGCCACGAGGGATTTTATGCCCTGGGCTTAGATGATGATGCATCAGGGGAGCCTTCCACCCTTTAGCACAAAGCTTGGTGTTCCAAAGGCCACAAGGGGTTTTAGATCCTGGACCCCGGACATGTTCCAACACTTTTTTACATTATGTCAGACATGCAAGCCCTGCCTCAGCTTCTCCCAACACTCAGCTTTTTCCCAACATGCCCCCTCTTCTCTTTTTTGTAAAAGAGAAGGTATCATTATTACTAGCTAATATTATTACTAGCATAAAAGGTGGCCTTTTAACTAAGCAAGGTGATTGCAGGCTGTGCAGCCCTTCATTACCAGTTGGTGATCCAGCTTCATTTTCCTTAGCCCTTATTCAAACTGGAGTCACTCTGATTTGAGTACTTCTCACATATTTCCCCTTTCCCTTTTACAAGAGGACCCTTAATCCCAGGGGCTGCAGAAGGATAAAGGTCCGTCTTCTGTAACTTCTTCATGCTGAATAGGGGCAGTGATATTCCTGCCTATTAGGGTCTCTTGTATTCAGGGTAGAGAGGAGCTGAGTCGGAAAGCACTGGTCCATTAAGCATCGTGACTCTGGTCGGTCTTCATTCCATCTTTGCATTCAGATTCAACTGGCTCATGCCTCGTACTGGGGGAACCCGGTCCATGGTTGGGATCCATGGGTCCCTCCAGTCTGCCATTCCATGGTCATACACATCTTGAGGGCATCCACACGGTTAGTTCATCTCCTGCAGAAACACAAGCATACCCTCACCCCCACGTTAGTAAATCTACTGAAACAGAAGCAAAAACGTTTGTGGCTGTGACCGGGAGGCCACTGATGAGAAACAGGCCCCTTCTAACAGAAGGCACAGAGAAAGCAAATTGAGGATTTTCAAACCTTCAATTTGCACTGTACAGGTGGGCCCACTAGATGCCGTGGCTCATGATAGATCTTCAGATGTTTGGTGGGCACCCACACAAACATCTGATCATCACCTGGAAAGACACAAGCAAATCCTTGTCCCCATATAATTATCCTTCCTTTTTCCCAGCTCTTTGTATGTGACCATCTTTTTCTAAGGCCTGTGGCATTACGATGAGTTAAAGAATGGAATGCTTGTGCATCAGCAAAAGCTGCAGACACCAGTGCATCCGTCCTTCGATTAAGTTTAAAGGACCGAAAGGTCCTGTTGGAGAGAAAAGAAAGAGCATTTTTATCCTTACCTCCCTCCCCTCTATTCCTTTTATATTTGCCCTTTGAGCCATAGCTAATTTCCATAATTCAGAATGTTCTTGTCTGTCCCTGCAAATCTCTGCTAGTCTTTGCTAGTCCCTACTTTTGTACCTCTTTAGGGCACTGACCTTATATTGCTAGTCTTCATCTATCCCTATATGTTCCTGTCTTTTCCTACCTGTTTATCTCTAGCTCTACTTACTTAGCTCTACTCTACTTACTGACATAGCTCTAGCTCTACTTATTGCCTAATGGAGCAGTGAGAAGAGGGCCACCATCCTCCAGACCCCAGAATGGTAGATCCACTGATAGCTTGCATTGTGCACCTTAAAAAGCTGCAGACACTCAATACCAGCCATGAAAGCAGCTGAGAGGGGAGCTGAACCCTGCTTGAAAGCCGCAGGGGTGAAGCTGCCCAGGGCCATGGGAGCCCACCTCTTGCATCACTGTGACCCAGATGTGAGACATGGAGTCAAAGGAGATTTTTTGGAACTTTGAGGTTTAATGACTGCACTATTGAGTTTCAGACTTGCATGAGGCCTGTAGCTCTTTTGTTTTGGCCAATTTATCCCATTTGGAACAGGTGTATGTACCCAATGCTTGTACCTCCATTGTATCAAGCTAGCTTTTGATTTTACAGGCGTATAGGCAGAAGGGACTTGCCTTGTCTCAGATGAGACTTTGGAGTTCCATTTGTGGGTTAATACTGGAATGAGTTAAGATTTGGGGGACTGTTGGAAGGGCATGATTGTGGTTTGAAATGTGAGGACATGAGATTTAGGAGGGGCCAGGTTTGAAATGCTATTGTTTGGTTCTGTGCCCTCACCTAAATCTCACCTTGAATTGTAATAATCCCCATGTGTCAATGGTGGGACCAGGTGGAGGTAATTGAATCATGGAGTGGTTTCCCCCAGCTGTTCTTGTGAAGTGATTGAATTCTCATGAGATCTGATGGTTTTATAAGGGGCTTCCGCCTTCACTGGGCGCTAATTCTCTCTCTTGCCACGGTGGAGTGGCATAGTGGAGTGCCTTCCACCATGATTGTAAGCTTCCTGAGGCCTTCCAGCCGTGCAGAACTGTGAGTCAATTAAATCTTTTTTCTTCATAAATTACCCAGTCTCAAGCATTTCTTCATAGCAGTGTGAGAATGAACTAACACACTGCCTTTCTTTCCTTCTGTCTCATGAATTAGGGAGTCATTAAGAAGGTAAGACCACTCTGAGTCTTATCTTCTCATATGAAATAAGAGATTTATTATTTTAAAATTTACAACCTTGTGAGAACTGGTCGAAACGTCTATGGAACACTATTGCTTTTGCATTGTGGGATGGGCCTGAAGTTGTCCTACTTCAGCAGTTCTGGAAATCAGGAAAAGAAACCTGATAGAAAGTGACAGAAAAGAGGCTGATTGGAACCCATGAACATAGACAGAAACCCACATTTGTCTCTCATTGTCTCTGTCCCCAATGCCACAGATTATCTTTAGAAAGATTGGAACTATTTGCCACAGAAGTGTATATGTGCTCATCCAGGAAAGACCTGGCTGCTTTCACACACTCTTGAAGTGAGTCAAAAGATCAATGAAATGTGCTTGAGCAACATAAATCTCTGGCATTCTAACCTGACCCCTAAGCATTAAAGCTGCTATTTCACTTCTGCCTTCACCATCTTGTAAATATTTACCTTGTGGCCAACTTTAACCTGGAAACACACAGAGAAGATAATTACGGCAAGTGTTGTTGACATGGTACAAAATCACCACACTTTGTTTACCCTGGCTAGTATTTCTTTTACTGTCAAAATAAGTTATTTGTGCTTAAATCTTTGTTTTTGAGTGTAGGGCCTGCTTCTTAAATAACAGTACTTAGTGTGTAGTAAAAATGAAAATTAATACTCATAGAGCAATCTTTCTTGATGATTGTGAAAATAAATATGTGGTCCTTTATCTTCCAAAAACTAATCTTTCTGAAACTGCAATGGATGTAGTTTAGGACACATACAAAAATTTTAATGAATGTATTTATATATATATATATATATATATATGTGTGTGTGTGTGTACATGTGTGTGTATATATATACACACATCTATATATACACACACACATATATATACACACACATACACACACATTTAGGTTTTTAACATCCCTTATATTAAGAATATAATTCAGGAAGTGCTTTCAGGTGTAGAACCACCTGAATGTTAAACAAATTAGATGGTTCTGATGAAGATGATTCAGGTGTTACATTTTGAGAATATCTGATCTAGTATACACAGCTTATGTTCTCTGTAGGCCTTTTAATATTTATTATGTCTAATACAGTAAATGTTTGAAGTTTATGGTCTTGCATGAGATACCATCTTTTTTATTTCAACCTAATTCAAATGATAAGGTAGAAGAAATGAAAATAGGAAAGAAACTGTCATATTTTTCTTGCGAACAAACACTGGCATGAATTATCTCAACAGACAAACAAATGCAAACATCATTTTTAAGTGTTTCACAGTGTTATTTTAAAATACTTACATGCAACAATATTTAAGAGGAAACCTGGTGTCTAACAGGAGAATATTTGAAACTCTTTAGCCAGATATTTCAAAATATGCACACAAACATAAATACAGCAAATGCACTATAACTTTCTGCATTTCAGAAATATTTTAATCTCTTGGCATTGACAATATTATTGGCAAGTTTAAAAAGAGAACCCATAAAGCTCTGCAAATTTTGGCAGACTTCCTTTTATCCCTCCTCATACTATACAAATAACCATTACAGTCTGTAGGAGACCAGTTCCTGGAAGGAGGCTATAATTAAAATGGATCATTGCCCCTCTCTAAGAGACTTTAAGGGTGAATGTATTCTGCCTTATATCCGTGCTAATCATAGTAGCCACAGAAAATTCCTTGCTTATAGTTCATGCCTCATTCATCTTTAAAAACTTTGTTTTCCTGTCCCATCTCCTGATGACCCAAACTTTTCCTATGTTACCCCTGGAATTCATAATAGGGCTTCATCAAAGTTATCTGTGTCCTAATGTCTTTTCTGAATCTTTCCTTAACTTTCTCACTCTAACAGGAGTCTAGCTGTCCTATGAAAATACTGCATTGCATAATGGTACAACTTGATAATCTTTCACTGCAAGGAAACTGCCATATATGTCCTTATTTACATTTGCATAATACTGTTATTTCTCCTCCCTAACATCTTCCTTTCAAGCTCATTCTGTCAGGGAATATCTCCTGCTATCCCACCTTGTTGATGGATAGCTACCACTTTGGATTCTCTTTAATTTCTGATTATTTCTCTCCTTCTATTTCCAATTTTCTGGTCTTTTAGGTCTTTAGGCTTTCCACCTCTTATATACTTTACTCGCCTCTCTTCAAACTACCATAGCTTTTTTATTTCTAGTTATTACTTCCAAAATATTAAGTTATCTTGTTTTCCAACAACTGCTTATCATCTTTTTATTTTACTCACTGCCTTAATCCATTCAGATTGTTAAAAAAAAAAAATACCACAGACGGGATGGCTTATAAACAATAGAAATTTATTTCTCATAGTTCTGGAGACCAAGAAGTGTAAGAACAAGATATCAGCAGACTCAGTGTTGGTGAGGGTCTGTTTTCACTGTTTGTTTGCTTTATCCAATCTATTTTTTATTGTAATTTTTATTCTAAGTTCTGGGGTACATATACAGGATGTGCAGATTTGCTACATAGGTAAAGGTGTGCCTTGGTCGTTTGTCACCTAGGTATCAATTCCAGCATGCATTAGCTATTTTTCCTAATGCTCTCCCTCCCCCAACCCCACCACCCAACAGGCCCCAGTGTGTGCTGTTCCCCTCCCTGTGTCCATGTGTTCTCATTGTTCAGCTCCCACTTAGAAAGGAGAATATACAGTGTTTGTTTTTACTTTCATGCATTGGTTTGCTGAGGTAATGGCTTTCACCTCCCTCCATATCCATGCAAGAGACATGATATTGTTGCTTTAAACGTCTGCATAGTATTCCATGGTATATATGTACCCCATTTTCTTTATCCAGCCTATCATTGATGGGCATTTGGGTTGACTGCATGTCTTTGCTATTGTGAATAGTGCTGCAATGAGCATATGCGTGCATGTATCTTTGTAATAGAATGATTTATATTCCTTTGGGTATATACTCATAATGAGATTTCTGAGTCAAATGGGTATTTCTGGTTCTAGATCTTTGAGGAATCACCACACCATCATCCACCGTGGTGGAACTAGTTTACATTGCCACCAAAAGTGCAAAAGTGTTCCTATGTCTCTGCAACTTGTTCAGCTTCTGTTGTTTCTTGACTTATTAGTAATCACCATTAGACTGGCATGAGATGGTATCTCACTGTGGTTTTGATTTGCATTTTTCTAATGATCAGGGATATTGAGATTTTTTTCATGTTTGTTGGCTGCATGAATGTCTTCTTTTGAGAAGTGTCTGTTCACATTCTTTGCCCAGTTTTTAATGGAGTTGTTTGTTTTATTAACTATAAATTTGTTTACGTTCCTCATAGATTCTGGATATTAGGCCTTTGTCAGATAACCACATTACAAAAATTTTCTCCGAATCTGTAGGTTGCCTTTTTGTTCTGATAATAGGTTATTTTGCTGTGCAGAAGCTCTTTAGCTTAATTAGACCCTGTTTGTCAATTTTTGCTTTTGTTGAAATTTCTTCCGGTGATTTTGTCATGAAATTTTTGCCTGTACCTATGTCCTGAATGGTATTACATAGATTTTCTTCTAGAGTTTCAATCGTTTTGAATTTTACACTTAACTCTTTAATCCATTTTGAGTTAACTTTTCTATAAGGCATAAGAAAGGGGTCCAGTTTCAATTTTCTACATATGACTAGCCAGTTCTCCAAGCATTATTAAATAGGGAATACTTTCCCCATTGCTTGTATTTGTCAGGTTTGTCAAAGCTCAGATGTTTGTAGCTATGCAGTCTTATTCCTGAGTTCTCTATTCTGTTATATTGTTCTGTGTGTCTGTTTTTGAACCAGTGCTGTGTGGTATTGGTTATTGTAGCCTTGTAGTATAGTTTGAAGTTAGATAGTGTGATGCCAACAGATTTGTTCTTTACTTTTTTTTGATGATAGAAAATACATTTTTTACTTTCCACATTTCTGCACAATTGAATTTTCATCATTAGTCCATATTACTTGTTTTTCTTTTTTATTTTATTATACTCAAAGTTCTAGGGTACATATGCACAATGTGCAGTTTTGTTACATATGTATACATGTGCCATGTTGGTGTGCTGTACCCATTAACTCATCATTTACTTTAGGTATATCTCCCAACACTTTCCCTCTCCCCTCCCCCCACCCCATGACTGGCCCCGGTGTGTGATGTTCCCCTTCCTGTGTCCAAGTGTTCTCACTGTTCAATTCCCAACTATGAGTGAGAACATGCAGTGTTTGATTTTTTTGTCCCTGTGATAGTTTGCTGAGAATGATGGTTTCCAGCTTCATCCATGTCCCTACAAAGGACATAAACTCATCATTTTTTATGGCTGCATAGTATTCCATGGTGTATATGTGCCACATTTTCTTAATCCAGTCTATCATTGTTGCACATTTGGGTTGGTTCCAAGTCTTTGCTATTGTGAATAGTGCCGCAATAAACGTGTGTGTATGTGTTCTTGTAGCAGCATGATTTATAATCCTATGGGTATATACCCAGTAATGGGATGGCTGGGTCAAGTGATATTTCTAGTTCTAGATCCTTGAGGAATCGCCACACTGTCTTCCACAATTGTTGAACCAGTTTACAGTCCCACCAACAGTGTAAAAGTGTTCCTATTTCTCCACATCCTCTCCAGCACCTGTTGTTTCCTGACTTTGTAATGATCACCATTCTAACTAATGTGAGATGCTATCTCATTGTGGTTTTGATTTGCATTTCTCCGATGGCCAGTGATGATGAGCATTTTTTCATGAGTCTGTTGGCTGAATAAATGTCTTCTTTTGAGAAGTGTCTGTTCATATCCTTCACCCACTCTTTGATGGGGTTGTTGATGTTTTTTTTTTTTTTTTCATGTAAATTTGTTTGAGTTCA
Organism: Homo sapiens; assembly: GCF_000001405.40. Lineage (NCBI taxonomy): Eukaryota > Metazoa > Chordata > Mammalia > Primates > Hominidae > Homo > Homo sapiens. The sequence continues at coordinate 24,222,368 of NC_000011.10, read as the reverse complement.
TTGTAGATTCTGGATATTAGCCCTTTGTCAGATGAGTAGATTGCAAACATCTTCTCCCATTCTGTAGGTTGCCTGTTCACTCTGATGGTAGTTTCTTTTGCTGTGCAGAAGCTCTTTAGTTTAATTAGATCCTATTTGTCAATTTTGGCTTTTGTTGCCATTGCTTTTGGTGTTTTAGATATGAAGTCCTTGCTCATGCCTATGTCCTGAATGGCATTGCCTAGGTTTTCTTCTAGAGTTTTTATGGTTTTAGGTCTAACATGTAGGTCTTTAATCCATCTTGAAGTAATTTTTGTATAAGGTGTAAGGAAGGGATCCAGTTTCAGCTTTCTACATCTGGCTAGCCAGGTTTCCCAACAGAATTTATTAAATAGGGAATCCTTTCCCCATTTCTTGTTTTTGTCAGGTTTGTCAAAGATCAGATGGTTGCAAATGTGTGGTATAATTTCTGATGCTCTGTTCTGTTCCATTGGTCTACATCTCTGTTTTGATACCAGTACTATGCTGTTTTGGTTACTGCAGCCTTGTAGTATAGTTTGAAGTCAGGTAGTGTGATGCCTCCAGCTTTGTTCTTTTGGCTTAGGATTGACTTGGCAATGCGGGCTCTTTTTTGGTTCCATATAAACTTTAAAGTAGTTTTTTCCAATTCTATGAAGAAAGGCATTGGTAGCTTGATGGAGATGGCATTGAATCTATAAATTACCTTGGGCAGTATGGCCATTTTCATGATATTGATTCTTCCTATCCATAAGCATGGAATGTTCTTCCATTTCTTTGTATCCTTTTATTTCATTGAGCAGTGGTTTGTAGTTCTCCTTGAAGAGGTCCTTCACATCCCTTGTAGGTTGGATTCCTAGGTATTTTATTCTCTTTGAAGCAATTGTGAATGGGAGTTCACTCATGATGTGGCTCTCTGTTTGTCTGTTATTTGTGTATAAGAAGAATGCTTGTGGTTTTGCACATTGATTTTTGTATCCTGAGACTTTGCTGAGTTGCTTATCAGCTTAAGGAGATTTTGGGCTGAGACAATGGGGTTTTCTAGATATACAGTCATATCATCTGCAAACGGGAACAATTTGACTTCCTCTTTTCCTTATTGAATACCATTTATTTCTTTCTCCTGCCTGATTGCCTTGGCCAGAACTTTCAACACTATGTTGAATAGGAGTGGTGAGAGAGGGCATCCCTGTCTTGTGCCAGTTTTCAAAGGGAATACTTGCAGTTTTTGCCCATTCAGTGTGATATTGGCTGTGGGTTTTTCATAAATACCTCTTATTATTTTGAGATACGTCCCATCAATATCTAATTTATTGAGAGTTTTTAGCATGAAGGGTTGTTGAATTTTGTCAAAGGCCTTTTCTGCATCTATTGAGATAATCATGTGGTTTTTGTCATTGGTTCTGTTTATATGCTGGATTATGTTTATTGATTTGTATACGTTGAACCAGCCTTGCATCCCAGGGATGAAGCCCACTTGATCATGGTGGATAAGCTTTTTGATTTGCTGCTGGATTCGGTTTGCCAGTATTTTATTGAGGATTTTTGCATTGATGTTCATCAGGGATATTGGTCTAAAATTCTCTTTTTTTGTTGTGTCTCTGCCAGGCTTTGGTATCAGGATGATGCTGGCCTCATAAAATGAGTTAGGGAGGTTTCCCTCTTTTTCTATTGATTGGAATAATTTCAGAAGGAATGGTATCACCTCCTCTTTGTACCTCTGGTGGAATTTGCCTGTGAATCCGTCTGGTCCTGGACTTTTTTTGGTTCGTAAGCTATTAATTATTGCCTCAATTTCAGAGCCTGTTATTGGTCTATTCAGAGATTGAACTTCTTCCTGGTTTAGTCTTGGGAGGGTGTATGTGTCCAGGAATTTATCCATTTCTTCTAGATTTTCTAATTTATTTGTGTAGAGGTATTTATGGTAATCTCTGATGGTAGTTTGTATTTCTGAGGGATTGGTGGTGATATCCCTTTTATCATTTTTATTTTTTCTTTTTGATTCTTCTCTTTTCTTCTTTATTAGTCTTGCCAGCGGTCTATCAATTTTGTTGATCTTTTCAGAAAACCAGCTCCTGGATTCACTGATTTTTTTGAACGGTTTTTTATGTCTCTCTCTCCTTCAGTTCTGCTCTGATCTTAGTTACTTCTTGCCTTCTGCTAGCTGTTGAATGTGTTTGCTCTTGCGTCTCTAGTTCTTTCAATTGTGATGTTAGGGTGTCAATTTTAGATCTTTCCTGCTTTCTCTTGTGGGCATTTAGTGCTATAAATTTCCCTCTACACACTGCTTTAAATGTGTCCAAGAGATTCTTTTATATTGTGTCTTTGTTCTCAGTGGTTTCAAAGAACATCTTTATTTCTGCCTTCATTTCATTATGTACCCAGTAATCATTCAGGAGCAGGTTGTTCAATTTCCATGTAGTTGAGCAGTTTTGAGTGAGTTTCTTAATCCTGAGTTCTAGTTTGATTGCACTGTGGTCTGAGAGACAGTTTGTTATAATTTCTGTTCTTTTACATTTGCTGAGGAGTGCTTTACTTCCAACTATGTCGTCAGTTTTGGAATAGGTCTAGTGCTGAGAAGAATGTATATTCTGTTGATTTGGGGTGGAAAATTCTGCAGATGTCTATTAGGTCCGCTTGGTGCAGAGCTGAGTTCAATTCCTGGACATCCTTGTTAATTTTCTGTCTTGTTGATCTGTCTAATGTTGAGAGTATGGTGTTAAAGTCTCTCATTATTATTGTGTGAGAGTCTAAGTCTCTTTGTAGGTCTCTAAGGGCTTGTTTTATGAAGCTGGGCGCTCCTGTATTGGGTGCATATATATTTAGGATAGTTAACTCTTCCTGTTGAATTGATCCCTTTACGATTATGTAATGGCCTTCTTTGTCTCTTTTGATATTTGTTGGTTTAAATTCTGTTTTATCAGAGACTAGGATTGCAACCCCTACCTTTATTTGTTTTCCATTTGCTTGGTAGATCTTCCTCCATCCCTTTATTTTGAGACTATGTGTGTGTCTGCACATGAGATGGGTCTCCTGATTACAGCACACTGATGGGTCTTGACTCTTTATCCAATTTGCCAGTCTGTGTCTTTTAATTAGAGCATTTAGCCCATTTACATTTAAGTTTAATGTTGTTATGTGTGAATTTGCTCCTGTCATTATGATGTCACCTGGTTATTTTGCTCATTAGTTGAGGCATTTTCTTCCTAGCCTTGATGGTCTTTACAATTTGGCATGTTTTTGCAGTGGCTGGTACAGGTTGTTCCTTTCCATGTTTAGTGCTTCCTTCAGGAGCTCTTTTAGGGCAGTCCTGGTGGTGACAAAATCTCTCAGCATTTGCTTGTCTGTAAAGGATTTTATTTCTCCTTCACTTATGAAGCTTAGTTTGGCTGGATTTGAAATTCTGGGTTGGAAATTCTTTTCTTTAAGAATGTTGAATATTGGCTCCCACTGTCTTCTGGCTTGTAGAGTTTCTGCTGAGAGATCCGTTGTTAGTCTGATGGGCTTCCCTTTGTGGGTAACCCGACCTTTCTCTCTGGCTGCCCTTAACATTTTTTCCTTCATTTCAAGTTTGGTGAATCTGACAATTATATGTCTTGGAGTTTCTCTTCTCAAGGATTATCTTTGTGGCATTCTCTGTATTTCCTGAATTTGAATGTTAGCCTGCCTTGCTAGGTTGGGGAAGTTCTCCTGGATAATATCCTGCAGAGTGTTTTCCAACTTGGTTCCATTCTCCCCATCACTTTCAGGTACACCAATCAGATGTAGATTTGGTCTTTTTATGTAGTCCTATGTTTCTTGGAGGCTTTGTTTGTTTCTTTCTACTCTTTTTTATCTAAACTTCTCACTTCATTTCATTCATTTGATCTTCTATCACTGATATGCTTTCTTCCAGTTGATTGAATCCACTACTGAGGCTTGTGCATGCATCACATAGTTCTTGTCCCATGGTTTTCAGCTCCATCAGGTCATTTAAGGATTTCTCTACACTGGTTATTGTAGTTAGCCATTCGTCTAATCTTTTTTCAAGGTTTTTAACTTCTTTGCAATGGGTTCAAACTTCCTCCTTTAGCTCGGAGAAGTTTGATCATCTGAAGCCTTTTATCAACTCCTCAAAGTCGTTCTCTGTTCAGCTTTGTTCTGTTGCTGGCAAGGAGGTGTGTTCCTTTGGAGGGGGAGAGGCACTCTGATTTTTAAAATTTTCAGCATTTCTTCTCTGTTTTTTCTCCATCTTTGTGGTTTTATCTACCTTTGGTCTTTGATGATGGTGACGTACAGATGGGGTTTTGTGGTGGATGTCCTTTCTGTTTGTTAGTTTTCCTTCTAACAGTCAGGACCCTCAGCTGCAGGTCTGTTAGAGTTTGCTGGAGATGTACTCCAGACCCTATTTGCCTGAGTATCATCAGCAGCGGAGGCTGCAGAATAGCAAATATTGCTGAACAGCAAATGTTGCTGCCCGATCATTCCTCCAGAAACTTCGTCTCAGAGGGGTACCTGGCCATGTGAGGTGTCAGTCTGCCCCTACTGGGGGGTGCCTCCCAGTTAGGGTACTCAGGTGTCAGGGACCCACTTGAGGAGGCAATCTGTCCATTCTCAAATCTCAAACTCCCTGCTGGGAGAACCACTACTCTCTTCAAAGCTGTCAGATAGGGACATTTAAGTCTGCAGCGGTTTCTGCTGCCTTTTGTTCAGCTATGCCCTGCGCCCAGAGGTGGAGTCTATAGAGGCAGGCAGGCCTCCTTGAGCTGCGGTGGGCTTCACCCAGTTCAAGCTTCCTGGCCACTTTGTTTACCTACTCAAGCCTCAGCAATGGCAGGCGCCGTCCCCCCACCCCCAGCCTCGCTGCCACCTTGCAGTTCAATTTCAGACTGCTGTGTTAGCAATGAGCGAGGCTCCGTGGGCATGGGATGCTCTGAGCCAGGCACGGGATGTAGTCTCCTGGTGTGTCGTTTGCTAAGACCATTGGAAAAGCACAGTATTAGGGTGGGACTGACCCGATTTTCCAGGTGCCATCTGTCAGAGCTTCCCTTGGCTAGGAAAGGGAATTCCCTGACCCCTTGCACTTCCCAGGTGAGGCGGTGCCTCACCCTGCTTTGGCTCATGCTCAGTGGGCTGCACCCACTGTCCTGCACCCACTGTTTGACAAGCCCCAGTGAGATGAACCCGGTACCTCAGTTGGAAATGCAGAAATCACCTGTCTTCTGCGTTGCTCAAGCTGGGAGCTGTAGACTGGAGCTGTTCCTATTCAGCCATCTTGGAACTGCCACTAGCTTAGTTCTTTTTGCTTGTCTTGACTATATGAACTCTTTTTTTTTTTTTTTTTTGGTTCCATATGAATTTTAAAGTAGTTCTTTTAACTCTGAAAAATGTCAATGGTAGTTTGATGGGAATAGTGCTGAATCTGTAAATTACTTTGGGCAGTATGGCCATTTTCACATTGATTCTTTCTATCCATGAGCATGGAATGTTTTTTCATTTGTTAGTGTCCTCTCTTATTTCCTTAAGCAGTGGTTTGAATTTCTCCTTGAAAAGGTCCTTCAATTCCCTTGTTAGCTGAAGTCCTATGTGTTTTATTCTCTTTGTAGCAGTTGTAAATGGGAACTCATTCATTATTTGGCTCTCTGCTTGCCTGTTGTTTGTGTATAGGAATGCTTTTGACTTTTGCACATTAATTTTGTATCCTCAGAATTTGCTGACGTTGCTTATCAGCTTAAGAAGCTTTTGGGCTGAGACAATGGGGATTTCTAGATATAAGATCATGTCATCTGCAAACAAAGACAATTTGGCTTCCTCTCTTCCTGTTTGAATACCCTTTATTTCATTCTCTTGCCTGATTGCCTTGGCCAAAACTTCCACTACTATGTTGAATAGGAGTGCTGACAGAGGACATCCTTGTCTTGTGCCGGTTTTCAAGGGGAATGCTTCCAGCTGCCCATTCAGTATGATGCTTTCTGTGGGTTTGTCATAAACGTCTCCTATTATATTGATTTATGTTCTTCCAATATTTAGTTTATTGATAGTTTTTAATGTGAAGGGATGTTAAATTTTATCAAAGGCCTTTTCTGTGTCTATTGAGATAATCGTGGTTTTTGTCTTTAGATCTGTTTATGTGATAAATTTCATTTTTTTATTTGCATATATTGAACCTGTCTTGCATTCTGGCTATTAAAGCCAACTTGATTGTGGTGGATAAGTTTTTTGATGTGCTGCCATATTTGATTTGCCGGTATTTTATTGAGAATTTTTGCCACAGTCTTCATCATGGATATTAGCCTGAAGTTTTTGTTGTTGTTGTTGTTGTTGTCGTCGTATCTCTGCCAGGTTTTGGTATCAGGATAATTCTGACTTCATAGGTTGAGTTATGGAGGAGTCCCTCCTTTTCAATTGTTTGGAGTAGTTTCAGAAGAAAAGGTAACATTTCCTCTTTATATTTCTGGTAGAATTCAACTGTATATCCATCCAGTCCTGGGCTTTTTTTGGTTCACAGGTTATTTATTACTGCCTCAGTTTCAGAACTTGTTATTAGTCTATTCACAGATTCAACTTATTCCTGGTTCAGTCTTGGAAATTAATGTATGTGTCCAGGAATTTATCCATTTTTTCTAGATTTTTTAGTTTAATTGCATAGAGGTGTTTATAGTATTTTCTAATGGTGGTTTGTATTTCTGTGGGGTCAGTGGTGACATCTCCTTTACCATTTCCTATTGTCTATTTGATTCTTTTCTCTTTTCTTCTTTATTAGTCTAGCTAGCTGTCTATCTTTTGTTTCCCCCTCACAAAATCAGCTTCTGGATTCTTTGGTTTGTGTTTTTTTGTTGTTGTTGCTGTTGTTGTTGTTGTCTTTTTTTTTTTTTTTAAAGGATTTTTCATGCCTGTATCTCCTCAGTTCTGCTCTGTTCTTGGTTATTTGTCTTCTCATAGCTTTGGGGTTTGCTCTTGATTCTCTAGTTCTTTTAGTTGTGATGGTAGGGTGTCAATTTGAGATCTGTCTAGCTTTTTGATGTGGGCATTTAGTGCTGTAATTTTCTGTCTTAACACTGCTTTATCTATGTCCCAGAGATTCTGGTATGTTGTCTCTTTGTGCACATTTGTTTCAAAAAACTGCTTGATTTCTGCCTTAATTTTATTATTTACCCAGGAGTCATTCAGGGGTAGATTGTTCAGTTTTCATGTAGTTGTGTGGTTTTGTGTGAGATTTTAAATCTTGAGTTCTAATTTCATTGTACTATGGTCTGAGAGACTGTTTCTGATTTTAGTTGTTTTGCATTTTCTGAGAGTTGATTTATTTCCAATTATGTGGTCAATTTTAGAGTAAGTGCCATGTGACACTGAGAAGAATATATGTTCTGTTTTGGAGTGGAGAGTTCTGTAGATATCAATCACATTCACTTGACTTAAAGCTGAGGTCAAGTCCTAAATATCTTTGTTAATTGTCTTGAATATCTTTGTTAATTTTCCTGAGTATCTTTGTTAATTTTCTTGAACATCTTTTTCAATTTCCTGAATATCTTTGTTAATTTCTATATATACATACACACACCCAACTATCCATATATATAACATATACATAAATACACACACACACACACACACACACACGTTAGTTTTCATTATTGAATTGGCCCCTTAACCATTATGTAATGCCCTTGTCTTTTTTATCTTTGTTGGTCCAAAGTCTGTTTTGTCCGAAACTAGGATTGGAATCCCTGCTTCTTTCTGTTTTCCAATTGTTTGGTAAATTTTCTTCTGTCCTTTTATTTTGATTCTATGTGTGTTGTTGCATGTTAGATGACTCTCTTGAATACAGAACACTGGTGGATCATGACTGTTTATCCAGCTTGCCATTCTGTGTCTTTTAATGGGGTATTTAGCACATTTACATTTAAGGTTAATATTGTTATATGTTAATTTGATCCTCTCATGATGCTAGCTGGTTATTTTACAGACTTGTTGATGCTTATGAAGGTTAGTTTAGCCAGATACAAAATTCTCAGTTGGAAATTATTTTAAGAATGATAAATATTGGCTCCTGATCTCTTCTGGCTTGTAGGGTTTCCACTGAGAGGTCCATTGTTTGTCTCATGGGCTTTCCTTTATAGGTGACCTGGCCTTTCTCTCTGGCTGCCCTTAAAATTTTTTCCTTCATTTTGACCTTAGATAATCTGAAGATTATATGTCTTGGGGTTGATCTACTCATGGAGTATCTTACTGGGGTTTTCTGGATTTCCTGAATCTGAATGTTGGCCTTGCTAGGTTGGGGAAGTTCTCCTGGATGATATCTTGAAGTGTGTTTTCACACTTGGTTCCATTCTCCCCATCTCTTTCAGGTACTCCTATCAGTCATAGGTTCGGTCTTTTAACATAATCCCATAGTTCTCAGAGGTTTTGTTGTTTGTTTTTATCCTTTTATCTCTAATCTTGTCTGCCTGCCTTATTTCAGCAAGGTAGTCTTCAAGTTCTGATTTCCTTTCTTCCACTTGGTCTATTTGTCTACTGATGCTTGTGGTTGCATTGTAAAGTTCTCATGTTGTACTTTTCAGCTTCATCAGGATATTTATGTTCCTCTCTAAACTTGTTATTCTGGTTAACAGATCTTGTAATTTTTTATCATGCTTCTTAGCTTCTTTGCAATAAAGTAGAACATAATCCTTTAGCTCAGCAAAGTTCATTATTACCCATCTTCTGGAGGCTACTTTTGTTAATTCATCCATCTCATCCTCAGTCCAGTTCTCTGCCCTTGCTGGGAGACGTGTTGTGATCATTTGGAGGAGAAGAGGCACTCTGGCTTTTTGAGTTTTCAGCATTTTTGCATTGATTGTTTCTCATCTTCATGGGTTTATCTACCTTTGATTATTGAGGCCGCCAAATTTCAAATGAAGTTTATGTGGGGTATTTTGCATTGATGCTGTTGTTATTTTGTTTTCTGTTGTTCTTTTAGCAGTCAGAACCTTCTTCTGTAGGTTTTTATAAATTCTGGAGTACATGTGCAGGATGTGCAAGTTGGCTACATAGGTAAATGTGTGCCATGGTGGTTTTCTGCACCTATCAACCCATCACCTAGGTATTAAGCCTAGGTGCTGCAATTTGCTTGGGGTCAACTCCATGGTGTATTCACCTGGGTCCCTCCCTTCCCTGGAGCCTATCACCAGTGGAGGTTGCAGACCAGTAAGATGGTAGCCTACTCCTTCCTTTGGGAGCTCTGTCCCAGAGGGGCACTGATCTGATGCTCACTGGACTGCTTCTGTATGAGGTATCTGGAAACTCCTGTTGGGAGGTTTCACCCAGTCAGGAGAAGCAAGGCCAGAGACCTGTTTCAATAAGTAATCTGGCTGTCCCTTGGTGAGCAGGTGTGCTGCATCCTTGCCTGGGATACAGTACTGCAGCTGCCCCTCCTAGGAGGCTCCCCTCAGTGATATCAGAGTTCTGCCCACAGACCCCTGGCTGGGGATGCTGAAATTCCCACAAGTGGGGCCTGCTTGGTGAGGAGGGATGGGTGGGGTCCCATTTAAAGAAGCAGTCTGGCCACAAATGGGCCCAGCTTCTGTGCTGCGCTTAGAGGAATTGCTCCTGGTTCAGACCACCCAGTCTCACTGGCACCAGCAGCAAGGGAAAATGCTGACTGGTGCTGCAGTGATGGTGGCTGCCCCTACCACCCATGAGAACTCTGTCTTCTTAGGCAGTCGCTAGCCTGCTGCACTGGCCAGTGGGGATTCCAAGCCAGTCGGTTTTAGCTTGTGGAGTTCTGTGGGAGCGAGACCACTTGGCTCCCTGGCTTCAGTCCCCTTCCCATGGGAGTGGACGAATCTCCTGCTTCACAGAAGTTCCCAGAGCCAGAGGATGCAAGTACTCCTGGGTCTCAGAGCCTGCCCAAACAGCCACCCACCTGCACAGCCGCTAAGAACCTTCCCAGCTCTGTGCTCGAGACCCAAGGCCCAGGTGGCATGGGCTTACGAGGGGACTTCCTGACCAACTGGCTGCAAGGATCCATGGGAAAAGTGTGGTTTTTCATGGAGCGGTAGCACAATCCCAGTAAGGGTCTGTTTTCTAGTTCACAGGCAGATGTCCTTTCATTGTAACCTCACGTAGCAGAATGGGAAGAAAGCTCACTGGAGCTTCTTTTATAAAGGCATGAATTCCATTCATGAGGCCTCTACCCTCACCTCTCAAAGGCCCCATCTACTAACATTAATTATAACATTGGGGGCGGGGCTAGTCTTCCACGTATTAATTTTGGGGATACAGAAACATTCAGTTCATTGCACTCACTTTAATAACCCAACTCTAAAAAAGTTTCTTCATTGGCACTTTATAGTTACTGATTTTTCTACTGCCTATTATCTTCCTCATAATTTTATTTTATTTCTATTGTGGTTTACATTCAATGATCCTTTAATAAAATGAATTATATTCACCTATCTTCCTAACTTCATTGTCTCACTCTGTCTGAAAATTCACCTAACAAACCTCCAATCTCAGTTCGGTAGTGGTACTCTCTCTTTTTTTCCCCGTGGACTTAGAAAAATACACAGTCCTACCAACTGAGTTGAATTTAAGCTTATGACCATATAAGCCATGAGAGGAGCCCATAAATTCTGCTATAATTAATCTGGTCCTCTTGACTATTTAAGGACTTTACACTAATAGTTATTCTACTTTCTCTTTATCATCTGTTTTTACTTGTTTACTAATCACCATTACTCTGTACAAACACTGTAATTGTTACAAAACCCTTCTGTGAATGCGCACCTCTGCCTACCTCCTACCTTCTGTCATAACCACACATCCCCACTGATTTCCTCACAAATACCACAAACTAAACAATCTGTCTTTTCCCACAAATAGCTAATTAGTGATGAGTACTTGAAATCAGGTATGTGGTAAAAATAGAGGGGAGGGTCTTCATTCGCAAGTTTTATGACTGCTAAGATATTAATGTTGACAGGTCAAGAATAACCCTATAGCTTTTTATGTGCTTGCTTGTTTTTCCTGTTTTTAATATTATTCATAATAGTAAAATAAATATTAGAGTGCACAAAGTGTGGGAATTTTGTACTGTACAAATTACATTTCCCACAATTACCTTCCCTGTATGTTTCCAGGTTAAATTTGGCCACACGGTAAATATTAACCAGACTGTGAAGGCAGAAGGGAAGCAGCAGCTTTACTTTTAATTTGTAAGATAGTGGATAGTGACACCATTAATTGAGGCTGGAAATCATGAAATTGGAGTTGGGAATGATAAAGGAGTTTGTGGAATTGTTAATTCTTACATATCTGTGTAGCATCCAGATAAAGATACCAAACGTCACTTATCAGGATAAAAAATACGTTTTATTTTTAGGATAAACAACTCTTAATTTTCCAGAGACTGTCCCATTGTAGCACTGAAAGTTCAGCATCTCAGGAAACTCCTTAGTCTTGGGCAGATGAAGAGATGGTCATCCTAGTTTTCATTTTTAACAAATATCATCTTACAGGACAGGTCACATTGTCTAACTGGTGTCCCAAAAGTATTTTATTGAACAGAAAGTTCTAGAACAGTGCTGCTATTCAGTGAGTTAAAATGTAAGCCCTAAATGCAAGCCAGACATGCAAATTTACATTTGCTCATAGCCTCATATTTTAAAAAGTTTAAAAAATCCTATTAGTTTTAATTATATATTTAATATAGCCTTGAATATTCACAATATAACTATTTTGACATATAATTAATATAAAATTATGGTAATATAGATAGTAATGAGATATTTTCATAAGTCTTTGAAATCCAATGTGTATTTCACATTTATATGTCATCTCAATTCTGATTAGCCACATTTCAAGTGCTTAATAGTCACATGTAGCTAGTGGCTATTAGCATAAATAACATCATCTTTCTGGAGAAACCTATGACAGAACAGATGTGTTCAAAATGAACTAATTGGCCTATTTTTGGCACGGAGGTAGAGTACATAAGAGAATGGGGTATAAAATTAGACAAATATGCTTAAGTTCTTCCTTACTATTTACTGGCTGGAAGATTTCAGGTGAAAATTTTAAATTTTTCCAAGTTTCAGATTGTATATGTTATGGTATATAATGTGCCTAGCACTACAAAACATATCATTAATAGCACATGTTAGATTATCCTATTATTTTTGCTATTTTAAAAATTGTTTCTGGAAGCAGGAAGTAAAAGAAAGAAAATCTGGTTGATCATGGGGTGGCCAACATTAAAGCCAATACTTCCCAATGATGGGACAATAGCGGGCCTTTATTACTAAGACTTATTTTCAATGATTATGTGAATTAACTAGGCAGTAAGAAAAATATAAAACACATTGTACTCAAATTGGAAATTTAATTTAAATATTTGGGTTATAGTAGAATTCATTTTGAACTTCTCTCATTTTATCTCTCCAAAAATGTGAGAGTTGGTTATTACTTAAAACTTTTAGATATCCATTAAACAGTGTACATACTGGGTAGCAGCAACCATCATCACACTATTGCCAATTAATTTATAATTTCTATTAGCATAAGATGCATAGTATAAAGCAGTTAATAGATTATTTTAGTGATATACACTTATGTATCCAGACTTCAGTCCTTTATTTGTAGAATTTCAAGGGCCTATAAAGTGGTTGTTTTCTTTATTCAGCTTTAATTTACTGCATTTTTTAGGCTATCCACTATATTACAGTTCTGTGTGGATGTAAAATTGAAAAGCATTTTTGGATAACTTACTATTTTTGTTTTACTTTTTATGGGGTGTACGTGCTATTGTTTTACATGCAATGATTGCATAGTGGTCAAGTAAGGGTTTTTAGGGCATCCATCTCCCAAATAACATTCATTGCACTGATTAACCATTTTCTTGTCATCCTCCCCTCCTCCAAGCCCCTACCCTCACTTTTCCAAGTCTTCGTTATCTGTCACTCTACTCTCTACATCCATCTGAACACGTTATTTGAGCATCCATTTATGAGTGAGAACACGAGATATTTGTCTATCTGTGCTTGGCTTGCTTCATTTAAGATGATGACCTTCAGTTCCATCCATGTTCCTGCAAAAGACATGATTTCATTCTTTTATTGACTGAACAGTATTCTATTGTGTATATATACCACATTTTCTTTATTCATTCACCTGTTGATGGATGTTTAGGTTGATTCCAAATCTTTGCTAGTGTGAATGGTACCCGAGATAAACATATGAGTTCAGGTATCTTTTTAATGTATTGATTTCTTTTACTTTGTGTAGATAAGCAGTAGTGAGATGGCTGGGGAAAATGATAGCTCTAAACTTACTCTTGAACGCAAGCTAAAATAGATGTATTTAATCAAATTTAGAACATCTTATAGAGTGCATTCTTATCAAAATTTATTAAATGGTTCCTATTTTCTCTGCATTTTGTCATATTCTAGAGCTACACAGACGAATAGGGATTGAACTTGATCAAGGATGTCATAGACAAGTAAAGGAAGAAACATCCGTAAAACACAGTCATATACACACACATCTCCAAAATCTTAAAACCTGTAATCAGATTATAGATGTTTAATTAGAAAAGCTATGTGAAGCACAATGGACAGAAGTATTAATGTTTGCAGGAGGTATCTGGGAAATCCACAGAGGGGATATAACTTTTCTATAACTAGAGTGGTTACCATTATGCATGAAGCACCAAAAAAGAGAGTGGGGTAGTGAAAAGAACATATCATACCAAGGGAGTAGCCTCAACAAAGCTCAGAAGCTAGAGAGTGCATGATTTGTTCCTGAGCAGTGAGTAGTCTTATGCGGTTAAAAATATAAATTTTATCATCTGTAGCAATTTGAAATGAGGATAGAAATTTCATCTTGGTTCATTTAGTAATGTGGCTGAAATGTAGAGGCCTCTCTCTAGTTTCACTTTCAAAAATATAGGTTGTTTCTTCTCACCTAGTTCATACATTTTCACTGTCTTTTCATAAAGTGCTAAACTCTAGCAATTTAGGGCCCCCTTTTTCATGATATATTTAAGCATAATTTTTACTAAAGTAATATTAGTTGTAAGAGTATATATATATAATACATTAGACAACATATATTTACTTATAAATACATTATGTTTATAAAGATACACAGAAATGAAAGCATTCAAACTATACAATTTTTTCTTTTTCTGAGATAGTCTCACTCTGTTGCCCAGGCTGGAGTGTAGTAGTGTGATCTTGGCTCACTGCTGCAACCTCCACCTCCCAAGTTCAAACAATTCTTGTGCCTCAGCCTCCCAAGTAGCTGGGATTACAGGCATGTACCACCATGCTCGGCTATTTTTTTATTTTTTATATATATTTTTTGTATTTAGTAGAGATGGGGTTTCACCATGTTAGTCAGGCTGATCTCCAACTCCTGACTTCAGGTGATCCACCCACCTCAGCCTCCCAAAGCTCCGGGATTACAGGCATGCACCACCACGCCCAGCCCGAGGCTTTATATTTTATTCTAAGAACACGAAAGATTAAAGAGGTGATGGTGCTGCACTGTGATTTCCAGTGTACTTTACTAAAGGAATATGGATTTCATAAGAGCTGGTCAAAGGAAGTAGGTCCTGACCTAAAGCAAAGAGTCTTGGATCTCCAACCAGTTTATTCTTTATTTGCAAGATCTTCCCCTTCGGCACAGATTTCAAGAAATCATATTCCAAAGATAGCCCTGCTAAGGGTTAGAGGCCTTAATCTGTCAAGAATAACAATCTTTCTCATTTTCTTGTTCATATAGTGTGCCGTCAGCCATTTTACTTTCGAAGAATTCCAAGACACGTTGCATTATTTACTTCTGAGCCTAGTATGTGTTTTTATGTTCCCAATTATTTTTGCACAAATTTTAATATGGATAACTTCTCCACCTGTGTCAAGAAAGGAAGTACCTGGCTTTTAAATTTTTTTTCTAAAAAATAATTTATTAATTTTTAATTTTTGTGGGTACATAGTAGGTGTACATATTTTTGAGGTACATGAGATATTTTTATACAGGCATGCATTGCATAATAATCACATCATGGACAATGGGGCATCCATCTGCTTAAGCATTTATCCTTTGTGTTATAAACCATCCAATTGTGCTCTTTTAGTTATTTTAAAATGTACAACTAAATTATCTTGACTATGGTCACCCTGTTGGGATATCAAATACTAGGTATTATTCTTTCACTTGGCCGTTTTTATTGGCTTGCCAAATGTGAGCAAAGAGAGAAAGGTGAGGAATGGGTCTTAAAACTGTTACTTCTCAGACATCAAAAATAGATTCAGACTTTTATTACTG
Organism: Homo sapiens; assembly: GCF_000001405.40. Taxonomy (NCBI): domain Eukaryota; kingdom Metazoa; phylum Chordata; class Mammalia; order Primates; family Hominidae; genus Homo; species Homo sapiens. The sequence continues at coordinate 24,207,086 of NC_000011.10, read as the reverse complement.
ATTCACCTCAGAGTGGTTTTGCAGAAAACTATTATTAATTACCTAAAACAAAGATTTATTGTGAGTATAACACCATATAACCAATACTATAATGTAGCTGCATATATTTTCATCATGTTAACATTAGAACAATGTACACGTTACAAAAAATAGCCAAAGCAGATACTCTTTCCATTTGGAAAAGTCCTTGTGTTATTTTTCAGTTTTTTTCTATGTACTTCAGGGGACTACTACCATAGAGAAAAGAAGGAAAAAAAATATTTAGCTGAGGTCAAAAATCTAGCAATTTGAGTATGTAGGAGCTTGAGACTAGTTCCATCCAACCTCAGAGTTCATGCTCTACTGCTGATACAATGCTATATATTTTTTTTTTTTGACAATACTAGATATTGTTTTAATCACTGGGTTTCACTCTACTGACCTGAGGGGGACCATTCGTAAAAAATCTTGTAGAGGAGCAATATACATTTTGATTTGTTTGCTCTTTATTAATTGTCTTTGTTTTGTGTTTTTTCTGTATTCTGTTTGTTTGCCTCTCTCTTTTTCATCATAAGCATGATAAACTGGTTTAAACCAGCAGGACTAATCCTTTTCATTATAGTATAAGAATATCCAGCCAGGTTACAGATCAATTATGTCTTTTTTGACAGTAGGAGTTCCAAAAATTAAGCAGAGAGTTTTGAGGCAGCGCACCATTACATTCAAAAAGTGCTAATTTTCTCCCAGTGATATTTTCATTTAGGAGGAGGTGTAAATCATCCTGTAAGATCCCAATGCTGTCATGGGTATTGTTGTCATCCTCTGACTTCTACCCTATTCCCATTCATCTCCATATACACCTTGGGGTCAAACAAAAAAGATTCGCTGGAAATAACACTGGTTAAATTGTCAAGAGATACAGCTTGAAGCTAATTCTGCCATGTATTGTATGTGAGACCTTAAATCACTTTCCCTCATTAAGTTGGGATGATCTCATCTCTAATAGACAAAGATTAATAATAGCAATTTCACATGGTTATTCTGAGAATCACATGAGAAACTGGCTTTGACAACATTTTGTAAGTTAAAAAGTGCTATGGGAATTGATTATAATGTGGGATTTTATTTTAAAGTAAATGGTATTCTCCCTACCTCATTAAGGTTCTGTGGTTTATTTACACTCACATGCTGTTTCTAATAATGTTTGTACACTTACATCATCTAGGAGAAAAATAATTTTAAACTCCCCAAAAAGTAACCACTTAATTCCTCCTGAAGATCTTCAAAAAAAAAAAACTATGATAAAATATTTATCCATCTTTTAAGTGTTCCTTGCATTAAGGATTGGGCATTATACTTGTAATTCATCAAATTTGAGGATACTTTTGGATATTCCCATACTCCACAAACCAGCTTGTGTTCCTCTGAACTTCACTTTTATCATTCGTAAAATGGATGGATATACTAACTTGCAGAAAATAGACGAATGTAAATGTAACCAGTGCCAGTTTCACAAATTAAATGGATATTTAGCAGAAATAATGTCATGTCAAATTATAAAATGTGGCAAATTTTCACAACTTAAAGATTCTAGGAGACGTCTTGTATTCAGAACTGTAGATTAATGCTATGTTCTTTCAACCTGGGTCATCTGTGTTTTCTTATATTTCATATGTTTTAGCTTTTCACATTTGGCTTTTAAATATGCACATGATGGGGAGAGCATTAGGAATACTCTAAACTTGAACACTAAATACCTTCTTGTTTATTCCTCTATACTTCTCTACAATGACGATCCTAATACATGTTAGCAACTTTTATACTGGTATAAACTGAGACAGTAATTCATATCTATGATTAGAGGCAACCTCCCTCAAATCATAGGTTTCAAATCCTAGTTCTACCATGAAGACACAAACTGTGAATACTCACTCAAGAAGAAATTGATAACCTGAACAATCCTGTATCTATAAATCTATCATCTAGCTATCTAAATAATATGAAAGTATAATTTAAAAATCTCCCTGAAAAGAAAATTTCAGGACCAGGTGATTTTACTAGGAAGTGCCACCAAACATTTGTGCAAGAATAATAGCAATTCAACACAAATTATTCCCATAATTTGAAGAAAAGTAAATAATTTCAAATTTATCTGAGGACAACATTATTCTAATACCAAACCCAAACCAAAAAAAAACTACAATAAAATTAAAGTAATATTCACCCTGAAAGTAAATACAAAAATTATTTACAAGTTATTAGAAAATAGAATTGAGCAATATATAAATAATATATATAATATATTATGACCAAATGGGGAGTACCCCAGTAGTTTTTTTCTGAGATACAGCCAACACTACCTTTTCCAAAGTAGTGTAGAAGATTCTGGACAAGATAGATGCTCACTCAAACGTTTTAGCTTGTATTTTATTATTCAGATACTCTTGCACTACTATTGTTTCCATTATAACTTCTTAGATTTCTAATAGTTTTTCTTGTTTTGATGCTATGCTGTTTGTTGCACACATTTCTCTTGGCATGTCAATATTCAATGTAGAGTTTTCCCCTTTGTCAAAAATAAGTGACCCTCTTATCATTACTTAATGGTTTCCACATTACATGCTACTCTGATTAGAATATTGTAAATTAAATATTATATTATAAATATTATAAATCACTTCCATCTTTTAGCAAATATTTCTATGGTATATCCTTGAATTCTTTTTTAAACACTTATGCAATTAAGTTTAATACACTCCAACAAAAAAATTGAATTAGCATATTTACTAAGATATTTTTAAACTGGAAATGTAAAGCTAGAATTCAATGGTGAATTAGAAATATTATTGTTCAGAAACCTACATCTTATTAAATCCTTCCAGATATAAGTTATGAGGAGCAGAGCCTTGTAGGCAGTGGTTGCTCCATCTCACTTATGCCCGAATGGTGAGTTTAATTTTGTAATTTAGTAATATGAAGTCTGTTGTTATCACACTCTAAACCATATCCTCTAACCTAAAATAAATCTGTAAGACAACTGATATCACATTTTACTGACCTTAATACATTTATATATTTTCACATTTTAACAACTCTTAGGGGATTGCATTTTACCACCCAAGAATCTTATAATTATTCTCACACAGGTGGCGGCTGTTAAGTAGTTGTTATTGCCTGCACATGTGTGAAATTGGTCTGAAAAATTTCCATTGGCGTCTTCTGGTAAAATAAATAAAGTAGCAGCATCAAAACTTGCCAGAGCTTGGAAAGTAATCCTGGAGATGACAGTGGAATACTATTTCAAGGAAGCAGGGTATATCAATATTCTTGACCACACAAAGGATGATATTATGTGAAAGGGTGGACATCAATAGCACTGAGTCAGAGAAAAACTAGAAAAGTTGAACTCTGAATATGAAGAAATTTTAGAATATTAAACAATTTTATTTCATACACACATGAGCAAATGTGCCATCCTTTACTGTCCTGCTTTCCTACCAAATTGGATTTACTATCTGCTCTTTTCTACCCTTCTTGATGCCCAGGAATGCTGACTTCTGCGATCGCATCACCTGAGCTCTCTTGCTTGGTATCTGTATCAGCCTGTTCTCAAGCTGCTAATAAAGACATACCCGCAAGTGGGTAATTTATAAAGAAAAAGGGGTTTAATGGACTCACAGTTCCACATGGCTGTGGAGGCCACACAATCATGGTAGAAGGCAAAGCTGGAGCATGTCTTATATGGCCACATGCAAGAGAGAAGTGCCCAGCAAAAGGGGGAAAAGTCCCTTATAAAACCAGCAGATCTTGTAAGAACTCACTCACTATCACGAGAACAGCATGAGGGTAACTGCCTCCATGATTAAATTACCTCCCACGACATGTGGGAATTATGGGAACTACAATTCAAGATTAGATTTGGGTAGGCACACAGCCAGACCATATCAGTACCTTTTGATTGTATTTGTCCAAAGTTTTCAGATGCCATCAGTAAATCACTCCTACTTCATCATGGACATCCCTCCCTCCAGGGCTATAGCTTTCTTTGGCCTCTTTCATCATTATTTCTTTTTTTTTTTTTTTTCATCCCTGTGGGTGGAAATACTTTCTAGCTTCTACTGTCTTTGGTATCACTTCATTTCTTGTTTGTACCTTTAACTATCTCCATAGGTTATTACCAAATCTCTTCATTGGAATAATTTGAGATAAAATAAGTGTTCTGTCAGAATTCTGATTGATACTAAAATATATATTAAATGTATGTTAAGAAATTCTGTCAAAGTTTATCTAAAAGTTTTTTCAATAAGAGAAAAAATACCATAAAATCTAACTGCTACATTGTATCATAATTTGCCATTGCTTTTTTAATACAAAATATAATGCTGTATCTTATAATTTATGACACTTTATATTTGAGGAAATATACTATTTTGATTCCCAAATACTTGACTTTGTTTATCTCTCAAATATTTTGCAACTTGGGGTCATAAAAGGGCATGTGTATAATTTATTGGCTCTACTTAATACCTAAAGGAAATTAAACCTTGTAATGAAAGACACATAATCCTGCCTAGATTTTGCCTACCTGATCTTTTTAATAAAACCACATAAACTTGTTCCAATTATCCAGCTATATTTTAACATCATTTTCAATTTTTTTAAAGCAACTTGTTTTTAATGCTGTACTTTCCATCGGTAACATTTTTCAGTAGAGCAAAATCCAGTCAAGTCAATTTATTTGGTCTTTTCTGTACTCACCTTATCCATATTGTAAGCCTACTTTTAGTACCTCTAAAAAAGTACTAAAAGTACTTTTAAAAAAGATGAAGATTAATCTTAATAAGTGTTGTATGTACTGGTTTAATAATTCCTGCTAACTAATTAGTAAAATTCATGTGCTGCTCCCTTTAATATGGGCTCCTTTGTTGACAGAAGAAAAAGAAATGCAGTTCTCAACTAGGTCTAGAAATGAAAATTAAAAAGCATGGTTTTGAATTTTAACAGACTGATGTTTACAACAAAGTTCCAACGTTTATAAGGTTGATATTTTTGCTAAGTTATTTTACAGCAATAAATCTCTCTAATCTATGAAACAAAAATAACTTTTATCTTACAGATAAATTTCTCTTCATTTATAAGAGGGCTCAGCATTAAATAGTATATGCTCAATAAATTTTAACCTTTAACAGTTGTACAGTTGTGAATTTGAATTTTCCACTTACATAATGCAAATCCCATCTCAGCAGCAATTATTATAGGAACTTATTATGTAAAACTTGCAACCAGCTAACCCTTTGTTTCCTGAAGCCTGATAACTATTTCTTAAATTGGAAATACATATATTCAGTTTACTTAAAACTTCAAAAATATATTCTTCAAATTTGTCGTTTAAGTCAAGTAACATTTCCTTGATGCTCAAAACATGCATGTAATTAAATAAAAAATATTAAAATAAATAGATGATTTATAGATATAGATGGACAGGTAGGATAGATAGGTAGGTAGGCCGATAGATAGGTAGACGATAAACAAGAAAATAGCATGGAACCTCCAGTGGCTGCATTGTAGAATTAGTATAGTGAATATTTTATTCTACTCTATGAGATAAATTGCAGTAAGTATCTTTATTTAGTGATTTTTAAAATATTAATTCCTTCTACCTATAGCTAAAGGAGAAGACAAAATTTTGAGTTTCTTAAGACTTGGCACAATCGATCTAATCTTTTTTTTTTTTTTTTTTTTTTTGAGACTGAGTTTCTCTTGTTGCCCAGGCTGGTGTGCAGTGGTGCCATCTCGGCTCACTGCAACCTCCTACTCCCGGGTTCAAGAGATTCTCCTGCCTCAGCCTCCTAAGTAGCTGGGATTACAGGCGCCCACCGCCAAGCCTGGCAAATTTTTTATATTTTTAGTAGAGACGGAGTTTCATCATCTTGGCCAGCTGGCCAGGCTGGTCCCAAACTCCTGACCTCAGGTGATACTCCGGCCTCGGTCTCCCAAAGTGCTGGGATTACAAGCATGAGCCACCGTGCCAGGCCCCATTTAATCTTTTAGGCCACCTTGTTTAATGTATGCCAGAATTGGAAGGGACTATTGTTTTATTCATTTCTCGTTTATTCTAATAACCTTTGCCTTATATCGTAACCCGTTTTTTAAACCTATCTCCTTATCTGTGATCTACGTTTTCTCCGAATAACTTAACTGTAAGGAAAATGAAATATGTTTATGTATTTTTTAAAACCTCCTTTATAAGGGGCTTATTATCTGTAGAAAATCCAGAATTTTCTATTGTATATTATTCAATCTTTGAAAAAACTTTATATTGTTCACTTCAAAGCTATTTACTAATTTCTTTTTAATATTTTAATATAATCTATTAACTGAATCTAATTTTAAATTTACTAATTACATTTTTAAATCTAAACTCTTCAAATACTCAGGGTCAGCCTTTAGTGTACAATGTAAACTTTAAATATTTCAAGTTAAGATGCATATGTATTGAATTAAAAATGGTATACAACCTGTGATTATGGCTATACAGAATTGTAGATGCATATATAAAAAGACTGGATGAAACAAAAGCAAAAAAAAGTTTATTTGCAATGAGATAAAATATCTACTGTTTTTTTATTTTTATTTTTACTGTTGCTATGATGTCCCTAGAATATTTTTGAAATTAAACTCTACAAATGTAAGTACCCATAATATATAATACTGTTTTTATACTCCCTAGGGCTTGTCTAATAGGAGATTGTACTAGGCTTAGGATGGAGAATTAAATGGTAAAATCAGCAGGAAACTCATAAGCAATCAGGAAATGATTTTTGAAAACTGCTCACTAGGCTAGGCATAGTGGGGAATATACAATAGTGAAAACACCATTTCCTTGACTTAGCAAGCCTAACTCTTTAAGAAATTACAGACTTTATTACTTTAATGCATTTGTTGAATTTTTTTTGCAAATATTTAAGCTCATCTGCCACCTATATTTTGATTTCCACTGAAACATAAGAAGGATTAATCATACATACAGCATTGTAAAGCTGGTAGACATGGCAGAAACTGTTTTTAGTTTATCTCAGATATAATTCCAAAACCAAAAATAGCTCAGTCTTCTAGTTTTAACACAGTTGCCCCAAAGATAATTTAATAAAAGTTTTTATTTTTGAATTATTCAAATTAACTGAATAGCAAGTTGTTCATTTCTTGGTTTTGAACAGGACACCTTCTACCACAGAGTATGGCTTGAGGCAAAATTTAGTGTCCTTTTATCATTTGTACTCTTGGATTTGTCTATTTAACGCTTCTGTTACTCTCTATTTTTGTCTGGATTAATTACAATATAGTACATTAACAAGTTAAATAGAACTGCATAGCTATCCAAGACAGCTTAGATGTTAATGGTGACATTTAAATTTGTGATTTCCAGGAATAGCAGGTTTTATTTTATTCCTGTCATGATCTTTCAAATACAACACAATATGTCCACAACAGTGTCTGAAGGAAAAGAAAATGCACATTGTTAATTTAACTGTCTAGCTTAGTTTACTACATAGCTGGAAAGCTTCCTGACATTATAGATACCATTCTTCCTCATGTCAGATTGCCTTTTCATACCAGAACAGAGATTGATATCATTCTTTTTAACAGTTTCATAATATTCCATTGTATTGATTTAATGTAATTGATTTCACTGGTCATCCACTGATAAATCATTGAGTTGTTTCTAGCCATTTGTTATAAATTATGTTGCACAACTTTTTTTCTGTGATTTCATGCACTTTCACAATTTTTATCCATAAAATAAATTTCAAGAAGTAGATGCGTATGTGCATTTTAAAATTTAAAAGATATTATTTGTAATCTAAAAAGTTGAAGTAATACATGATTTTACATGTTCTTCCATTCCTTTATTAATAGCAGGCAATATCAAGCACTGTGCTTTCTGTCAATTTGACAGCTGGAAAGATTGGTCTTGAGATATATTTTATTAAATAGTTGTGAACTTTGTTTGAAGACTAACTAAGAGCCCTGTATTCACATTGACTTTTGTTGCAGTCTCTCAAGTTGGCTATTGTTAGCAGAGAATTTGGCAACTTAGTGTGCAATAATATGCTTTCATATTACTGTAGGGATCTCATGAATATCACCCATTGTTCCCTTAATAAAAATTCTACAAGAAATCAAACTGTACAGTATTTGTAGCTTCTGTAAAATCTATCACATTCCAAGGAAAAGTTGTCTTCAGTGCTGACGATAGACCTGCTGCTGGCTTCTGCGATATAAATTCTAAACGCTTAGAATATCCTGCCTGATAAGAAAATCTGCTGTATTTAAAATGAATTTGTGGTTCTACATAACTGAAGCCTTAAGCCATGATGCACCAGTTTGACCAAATAAGTTTATCTGAACAGTGATATCTATGGTGAACACATGTTTTTACGGGGATGGGAGTGGTTGCAGAGGAAGGCTGGAGTTGGAGTGACTGAGTCATGCAGCATTGCAAGTCTACATGACTGACCCCCAATAGAAACCAGACATCAAGACTTACAAGAGCTTTTCTGTTTGGCAACATTGAGCATGTGTTTTTACACATCATTTTTAGGAGAACCGAGCATATCCATTTGTGACTCCACTGTGAGGAGACACCTGGAAGCTTAAGCCTAGTTCCTCCTGGACTTTGCTCCATGAGTCTTTTCACTTTGCCAATTTTAATCTGTATTGTTTTGTTGTAAAAAATCATAACCATAAGTAAAACTACTGCCCTGAGTCCTATGAGGCTAAGGAATTAAATTTGGAGGTGACCTTGAGACACTAAGACAAAGGGTCCAAATGGAGATATTTGGTGGTTACTAACATTCTGTTTCTTAATCTTCAGGTTAATAAAATGATAGACATTCACTTTGTAAAAAAAAAAAAAAATCATTCTGCAGTACACTTAAGTTTTGTATATATCTCTGTGTGAATTATATGCTTTGATAAAAAATTTTTTTCTCTAAAAAATTTTTTGTTGATTGCATGAATGTCTTTTTTGAGTGGTATCTATTCATTCACGTATATAGCCAACAAACATATGTAAAAAAGCTCAATATCACTGATAATTAGAGAAATGCAAATCAAAACCACAATGAGATACTATCTCATGCCAGTCAGAATGGCGATTATTAAAAAGTCAAGAAATGATAGATGCTGGCGAGATTGCAGAGAAATAGGAATGCTTTTCACGGATGGTGGCAATGTAAACTAGTTCAACCATTGTGGAAGACAATGTTGTGATTCCTCAAAAATCTAGAACCAGAAATACCATTTGACCCAGCAATCCTATTACTGAGTATATACCCAAATGAATATAAATCATCCTATTACAAAGATACATGTGTGTATATTTATTACAGCACTATTCACAATAGTGAAGAAATGGAATCAACCCAAATGTCCATCAATGATAGACTGGATAATGAAAATGCAGTACATATATCCCTTGGAATACTATGCAGCCATAAAAAGCAATGAGATCATGTCCTTTGCAGGAACATGGATGGAGCTGGGAGCCATTATCCTCAGCAAACTAATGCAGGAACAGAAAACCAAACACTGCATGTTCTCCCTTATAAGTGGGAACTGAACAATGAAAACACATGGACACAGGGAGAGGAACAACACACACCAGGACCTGTCAAGGGGTAGAGTAGGGGGAGAAAGAGCATTAGGAATGATAGCTAATGCATGCTGGGCTTAATACCTAGGTGATGGGTTGATAGGTGCAGCAAACCACCATGGCACACATTTACCTATGTAGCAAACCTGTACATTTATCTAGAACTTGAAATAAAAATAAAAAATTAATACAAATGTTTTAAAAACTGTGTATTTTAAATTATGTATGGAGTATCTATTTGTGTCAAGAAACATACTTGATCTAGGGAAAAATAAGACATAATCTCTGTTGACATTACTCACAGTGTAAGAGTAAAAGGAAATAAGGTGGACAACAGAGAAATTATTCTTTAGCTAAGTTGTAACATTGTAGTCTTTAAGGCTTAAAATATGTGGTGCGTCATTATATGAATACTGTAGCTCAGATATGATGCTGAAGGTCTAAATTTTGGCAGTTTGGCAGGTAAAATCAGTAATCTTGATTGGTTGATTGATTGATTGATTGAAGGAGAGTAAAGTGTCAACAATGTCTACGAAGTTGAAAGCCTGATAAATGGTGGCTATGCTAACAAGAGAGTAAACTCAGTTCAAAGAAGAAAATAATTATTTCTATCTTGAACATGTTGAAGACACCTGCCTCTGTGCCATTCAAATGGAAATGTGTAGAGAAAAAAATGAATTTATGGCTGTGAAGCTTGGAGAAGATGTCCAAACTTGAGATCTCTATTTGGGTCTCATCAATATCCCTATGGTTACTGTCTAGAGAGTGAGGGATCCCCACAGAACATGTATGATGAAAAAAGCAGTTAACTGAGTATAGAAGCCAAAGAAATAGAAAAATAAAAAGGAGCTAAAAAATGACACAACCACCAAAGATAAATAAGGTGATCAAGAGTGTTTTAAAGTCAAAGTAAGTGCAGAGTTTCAAGAAGGTCAGGATTGTCAACAGTGCTAAATTCAGCTGAGAGTTGCAGAGAGACAAAGTGTGAGTAGCGTCCATTGAATTTTGCAATTGGAATGTCATTGGTGACATGGAACACTAGAAAAGGAAGAAACATTACTTTGAGTTCATGACTGACTGTGGGAGGGCACACTTTTTGAGCAGTGTGGATTAGAAGTGGTAAAGAGAGAATGAATGAGAGCGAGCCCGGGGGAGTTGGGAAAGCTGAGATAACACGGAGAATGAAGATACAGTGTAGGTGTTGAAAACATAATGAAAGTATATAAATTACATAATAAAGACTAAGAAACCCTAGGAAAAATTATTAGAGAACATGGAAATGCAAAGAGAATTCAAAATTAGAGATGAAAACAGAAAAAAAATAAAGGCAGTAAGGTCTCATAATAATAATAATAATATAAAGGCCTGATGTTACTAGCAATGAAAATAGCATTCATAATCTTTCAGACAGTGGATTTCTAGGAGAAAAAAATATTCAAGCAGTACATTCCTTAAGTTCACCATGGACTTCTTTAGAAAAACATGCATGAAGAAAGGTGAAGAAAGTGACTCAGTCACAGAGCTATCCCATCTAAAATATTATGAACTATTTTGAGAGAATGGTAAAAATAAAATAGTAATAATAACCCCTATTTGTTTTTTGAGATAGTGGCAATTATTTGTAACTATTTGCCTAGTGTATTCCATAACATGATTTTCCTCCTAAATGTATGTGTAACTTAACTCCAACAATTATAAATTTCATGCCATATATCTATGGTCATGTAGCATAATGTAGATAATATTCCTTTATTAGGTATATAACTACAGTTAGGTCAGACTCTTGTGCCTCAGCTTTCTCATCTATAAAATGGTGAAACTAATACTTTACCTTTCCATCACAGAAGGCTGTTGTGAGAATCAACTGATGTAAAGATATGCAAAAGTATTCTATAAATTATATTTTCAATATTCTTATTAGTTTGATAATTGTTGCTATTTTTATAAATTGGGATATTGGAACAAGAAATCTTGCCTTTGCCATCTTTCATAACAAAATGGACTTTTAAACTACAACAAAATTATGTATTCTGAAATTCACTTATTTATGTGTTAGGTTTTCCTAGTGTGAAGTAGCTGGGAATAATTACATTATAATAGTGTTAGATCTTGTAGAAGAATCCACTATTATCATTATCTGAATCATTAAAATGTTCTTTCTGTCCTAAATGTGAAACCCTAAATGATAATACAATCATTCAGTCCAGTTCTTTCCTTATAGGTAAAGTGCTACAATTCCTAGATGTACTAATAAAAAAGGTATTGAATGACTGAAATAAACATACAAGAAAAACTATACCATATAATTTTTTTATGTAAGAGGAAGTAATAAAATTTGTAGTTGGAAAACTAGAAGACTTTTTTATTTTTATTTTTATTTTTTTGAGAAAGGGTCTCACTCTCTTATCCAGGCTGAAGTCACTGCAGCCTCGACCTCCTGGGCTTCAGCCATCCTCCAACCTCAGCATCCCAAGTAGCTGGGACTACAGGGATGCACCACCAAGCCCAGCTAATGTTTGTTGTTGTTGTTGAGACAGGGTTTCACCACAGTGCATGGGCTGGTCTCAACTCCTGGGCTCAAGTGACCCATCCTCCTTGGCCTTCCAAAGTGCTGGGATTACAGCTGTTAGCCACCATGCCCAGTCTCCTTTTTTTTAATGAGCAGTTTTAAAACAGCATGTATAAAATATAATTTCATCAAACATCTTGAAATACATTTTGACACTTAAAGTACATTGCTTTGAGTAATATCTTCTTTATTTATGGTGTTTCTGACTCAGGCTATTAAACACACTAATGTGCAATATAATCTTCATCTCATTACCTTTGTGGGTTTTTAAAATTTTTTTGTCTCCCTATGCTCATCCAATAGAAAATTCCCCACACCAATAATTTCCCAGGAAAAATAATGGTTATTTTTACTTATTGCTTTGAGGCAACTCTGATTTATTACACAACCACTTACATGTTCATTGTCCTATCAGAATAATTGCACTTCATTGAAATATGTTAGTATGTGTATAACATTCTGATATTCATATAGACATATTTGGTCCCATATTTTCTCATATTTGTATATATTCAGATTTCTTATATATTCATCAGAGGCTTAAAAAATATTTTCTTGCCTTTGCCTTCTTTATATTTTCTTTTGAGAATTACAATACAATCATGTGTTGCTGAACAACAGCGATATATTCTGAGAATTGTATCATTGCTAGGCAATTTTGTCATTGTGGAATATCACAGAGTACATTTACACAAACCTAGATAGTATAGATTACTATATAACTAGGCTATATGTTGTATCCTATTGCTTCTAGGCTACAAATCTGTGCAGCATGTTAAGCTCCTAAAGACAATAGGCAATTGTAACACAATGGTATGAGTGTTTATGTATCTAAAATGCCTTAACATAGAAAAGGTTCAGTAAAAATGTAGGATTGTAATCTGTTGGAACCACCATTATACAAAACATTGTGTTTTGCATCACAGACTGTATACATTAAATTATTTGGGTTGTAGTATCTGGGGATAAGAAAAGAAGAAATAAACTTATTTTGCATAAAGATTGAAATATTTAAAGGCCAAGAAATTACATAGCCTGATTCATATTTATATGGTTAAACTAATTTGAACACAAATATAAAATTGGTAAGTTTAAATATGTATAAATTAGTATGTATACTACTTATATTGGAGAAAATTTGGCTCCTTTATCCCCTTATGACAAAATCGTTCTTATGGTCTATTTCTTTCACTGTTTGGGAATGCCTAAATTATCCATTTTTGTTTGAACTGTGGTCTGTTGTGTCTGGCCTCTTTTACTTAGCATGTTTTCAAGGCTCATAAAAGTAATGGTATTCTAGAAAAATGTGAGTTGCATAAAAAATGAAAAAAATACTCAATATCAGTAATCATCAGAGAAATAAAAATTAGAAATATGATGAGATACTATCTTACATCAGTCAAAATGGCTATTGCTAAGATGTCGAAAAACAACAAATGTTTGTGTGGATTCAGAGAAAACACTCACATTGTTGGTAGGCATATAAATTAGTTCAACCTCTGTGAAAAACAGTATGACAATTGCTCATAAAACTAAAAATAGAACTACCATTTGACCCATAAATCCCACTCCTGGCTATCTACACAAAATAAATCATTAGATATTCAAAAGACATCATTACTCATATTTACTGAAGCAATATCCACAATAGCAGAGTCACAGAATCAACCTAAGTGTCCATCAATGGTTGACTGAATATGGAAAATGTGTCTCTATCGATCTACAAACATACATACACACACTGTGAAATAGCATGCAGCCATAAAAAGAATGAAATCATGTCCTTTGCAGAAACACGGATGGAGCTGGAGGTCATTATTGTAAATAAACTAATGCAGAAACAATACAACAAAAATACTATTTTAAGTGGAAGCTAAACAATGGGTACACATGGACATAGAAATTAAAATAGACTGTAGGGACTGCAAAAGTGAGTAGGGTGGGAGGGAAGTGAGAGTTGAAAAAGTAACTATTGAGTATCATATTCATTATTTGGATAATGAGTAAACAAGAAGCCTAATTCCCAACAGTATGAAATATACCAGTGGAACAAACAAGTGCATGTACCCTCTGAATCTAATTTTTTTTAATAGAACTCTATAAAGAAGAATATTGACAGCAACAAAATAAAACAGTATCAGAGTTAATTTTAACTAGGTTATTTGGGTATTAGACAATTAGTTTCTGATTCAGAATTCTGGGGACAAAAAAAAAGACAAGTTGAAACACTAAGTAAGTAAGCAACAAGTAAGTAAGCTAGTTATCCCCCAATATTTGATGATTGGGGGATGAAAGATAATTGAAAAGAAAGTTTTAAAATGTAAATGGGGTAGGCATAGTGGTGGCTATCACCAAACTCCTCATGTTTTCTCTTTAATGAATTATCCTAGGACCCTGGGTCATGTTTTAGAATAGATTCAGTAAGAACATGCGTAAATCGAACACAGTCAATTTCACTATTCCTTAACCCACTGATATGTTTTGGCTCAGTATTCCCATCCAAATCTCACCTTGAACTGTAGTAATCATCATGTGTCATGAGAGGGACTCCGTGGGAGGTAATTTAATCATGAGGAAGGTTTTTTCCATGCTGTTCTCATGATTGTGAATAAGTCTCACAACATCTGATGTTTTCATAAAGGGAAGTTCCCCCACACATGCCCTCTTCCCTGCCACCATGTAAGACATGACTTTGCTCCCCCTTTGCCTTCTGCCGTAATTGTGAGGCCTCCCCAGCCATGGGGAACTGTAAGCCATTAAAGCTCTTTCCGTTTTAAATCACTCAATCCCAGGTATGTGTTTATTAGCAGCATGAGAACAGACTAATACAGTAAATTGATACCAGAAGGGGGATGCTGCTCTACAGATACTTGGAAATGTGGAAGTGACTTTGAAACTGGGTAATAGGCAGAGGTTGGAAGAGTTTGGAGGGCTCATAAGAAGACAGAAAGATGTGGGAAAGTTTGGAACTTTTTAGAGACTTGGAGGGCTCAGAAGACAAGACGTGGAAATGTTTGGAACTTTCTAGAGACTTGTGGAATGCCTTTGACCAAAATGCTGATAATGATATTGACAGTGAAATCCAGGCTGAGGTGGTCTCTGATGGAGATAAGGTACTTGAAGGAAACTGAAGCAAAGGTGCCTCTTGTACTTTAGCAAAGAGACTGGCAGCATTTTGCCCCTGCCCTAGAGATAAATGGAATATTCAACTTAAGAGAGATGATTTAGGGCATGTGGCAGAAGAAATTTCTAAGCATCAAAACGTTCAAGACACGTCTTGGGTTAAAGCATTCAGTTTTGTGCATTCACAAAGATACGGTTTGAAATTGAAACTTATGTTTAAAAGGGAAGCAGGCCATAAAAGTTTGGAAAATTTGCAATCTGACCATGAGGTCAAAAAGAAAATCCCATTTTCCAGGGAGAAATTTGAGCCAGCTGCATAAAGTTACATGAGTAACGAGGAGCCAAATGTTAATCTCCAAGATAATGAGGAAAATGTCTTCAGGGCATGTCACAGACCTTCATAACAGCCCCTCCCATCAAAGGCCTAGATACCTATGTAGGAAAAATGGTTTTGTGGGCTGGGCCCAGGGCCCCCCGCTCTTTATGCAGCCTCCAGAGATGGTGCCCTGCATCCTAGCTGCTTCAGCTCTGGCCACAGCTAAAAGTGGCCAACGTAGAACTCAGGATGTTTTTCCAGAGGGTGCAAGCCCCAAGCCTTGGCAGCTTACATGTGATGTTGAATCTGTGGTTGCACAGAAGTAAAAGCTGAGGTTTGGAAACTTCTGCCTAGATTTCAGAGGATATATGGAAACAGCTGGATGTCCAGGCAGAAGTTTGCTGCAGGGGTGGAGACCTCATGGAGAATCTCTATCTGGGCAGTGCAGAAGGAAATATGGGGTCTGAGGCCCAAACAGAGTCGCCACTAGGGCACCACCTAGTGGAGCTGTGAGAAGAGGGCCACCATCTTCCAGACCCCACAATGGTAGATCCACCAACAGTTTGCCCTGTGCACCTGGAAAAGCCAAAGACACTCAACACCAGCCCACAAAAGTAGCTGGAAGAGGGGATGTATCCTGCAAAACCACAGGGGCAGAGCTGCCCAAATCTGGAGGAGCCCACCTCTTGCATCGTCGCAAATGCTATGTGACACACAGAGTCAAAGGAGATTATTTCAGAGCTTTAAGATTTTTCTGCCCTGCTGAACTTTAGACTTGCATGGAGCCTGTAGTTCCTTTGATTTAGCCAATTTCTCCCATTTGGAGTAGATGTATTTACACAATGCTTGCACCCACATTGTATCTAAGAAGTAACTAACTTGCTTTTGATTTTACAGGTTCATAGGCGGACAGGACTTGCCTTGTCTCAGATAAGACTTTGCACTTGGACTTTTGGGTGAATGCTGGAATGAGTTAAGACTTTGGGGACTGTAGGAAGGCATGGTTGGTTTTGAAATGTGAGGACATGAGATTTGGGAGAGGCCATGGGCAGAATAATATAATTTGGTTCAGTGTCTCCACCCAGATCTCATCTTGAATTGTAATAATCCCCACTTGTTGTGGGAGACACCTGGTGGGAGATAATTGAATCATGGGGGCAGATTTTTCCTTTGCTGTTCTCTTGATAGTGCTGTACCCATGACAGTGGATAAGTCTTATGAGACCTGATGGTTTTATAAAGGGCAGTTCCCCTGCACTTGCCCTCTTGCCTCCCACCATATAAGAAGTGACTTTGCTCCTCCTTTGCCTTCTGCCATGATTGTGAGGCCTCCCCAGTCATTTGGAACTGTGAATTAATTAAATCTCTTTCCTTTATAAATTACTCATTCTCAGGCATGTCTTTATTAGCAATGTGAGAATAGACTAATCCACTCACATTATGTTTTGATGGGACACTTTTTGTCAGTTACTTAAAAGAAGAAAAGGGGTCCAATATATTAGGAGTTGTGAAAAAAAGAATAAAGTAGAGTTGACTCCACCTATCTTTTTTTCCACACCTGAGTTTTAGCATAACTTGCAGGGAAGGAATTTGTTCTCTGTAATATTTGCAAGTGAGAATGGATTTGACAGTAATATTTCCTCATGGATAAAGATTCAAAAGCATTGATACCTGCAAAACATCTATTCAGTGGGCAGTCGGAGGTGTAAGATCAGTGGTATTTTGATAAATTCCTCTCTCTTCTCTTTCCCCAACTCCTGGCAGCTCTTGTTTCTTCTTCCACATTACTCTAACATATGTGTAGGTTTGAGTGTCTGAGGTGAGAAGGAAAGTAATTTCTCATATTGTCTTAGTTTATTCTATAACTATTATAAAATGCAGTTTTAATTACTTTTGATAAACTACTTTGTTTTAGAGAAACAAGTTTAATAATTCAAATCATATTTATAACTTATTAACTACAAAAAAGTATCTGTGTTCATGAAAGATTTTGAGTTGAAATAGTCTCTGAATCCTATCTGCATATGCTAAAAGTCTTACTTTTCAAACTGAAGAAGGAAAAATTTCATAATGATATTCTTCTAATATTTTATTAAGTTTCAGGAGAGTTTTTGATAAAGGAACAAAAATTGTTTTGATTGCAGATTGGACAACTTTAAGTTCTCAATTATGGGCTGAAATGACTGAATAATATAATCTCTGTCTCTACTTAGTGCCTCACTAAATCTGTATTTCAATGTCTTTTTTAGTTATCAAATTAAACTATGAAGGACTTCTTTTAGAATGTTGTATTTCAGAACTGGAATGAACTTTACAGATTATGCAGTTCAAATATCTGTTCAGTGTTTGATTTCCCGATGTGCTTTTTTTTCTCCAAGTGGCTGTCCAACTTACTAATACCCCAGCAGAGTTGAAATTCTCGTTCTTAACAAAGCAGTGCATTAGCTTGATGGATAACTGTAATTATTAGAATAGTCCTCTTTACATTTTCCCCATGGCTCCCACCAAATGGTCTAAGTTCTACCCTCTGCACACAAAACAAGGCTCATTTCTCTTTCATAGAGCAAATTCTGTACATTGGAAAATAAACATTTCTCTTCTGTATATTTTCTGCAGGCTAAATATTTCCAGTTGCTTCAGAGTCTTTTTTTATGGTATAATTTTGTCAAACTTAACTGTGCTTAAATTCCAATTACTTTTCTTAGGGAAAGATACTAGAATTAGACGCAAACAAATTCAGCTGAGAGAGCATAAAAATTCGGATAACAGGGCTCTATCCCTGCTTCTGGCACTATGTCGCTAACTTTCTCCATTGCCTAGACAAAGATCAATATCCAAAATTGAAAATTTCCAGTTCTTCATAGTAAGATTAACTTTTTACTTTAAATTGAAGACTAAAATTCTGAGTAGGTAATAATATATACTATGTTTTACTAAAATATGTTTTAAAGCTGCAGATATTGTTCCACTTTATTCTACACTAAAGAAACATGGCATTTTCTGCTGTACAGTATCACTTGTCTTTATTGTATTCTTTAAATATTTGTCTCCTCAGGACTAGAAACTTTGCCATTAGCACCTGGGATGTGCAGAAAAACAAAAAGCCATGTAAGGGCATAGCAAGAAGGGGACCATCAGCAAGACAAGTATAGAGGCTGCTGAAGAACACTGACACCTTGACCTTGAACTTCCAGCCTCCAGAGCGGTAAGAAAATATTTTTTTTGTTTTTGAAGCCAGCCAGTTTGGGTCATTTTTTAATAGTAGCCCTAGCAGACTAATTTGGCACCTCAGGACCTTCTCTTCAGTTCACGACCACAAGATACCATCCTTGGTGAGTATTCTCTCTATTCACCTACCAACCTATCCCAGTTCTAAACTAATAATGCCAAGTAATGCATATTTCTTAAATGAGACAAGGTAAAGTTTTTTGATGCTAGAATATGCTCATCTGTTACTTCTTAGAAAAGGGAGTTTGGAACATTATGATTTGAGCAATAAAATTATGTGAAGTATCTCCAAAGTGTCCAGTATTCTGTCCGGTTATGTTCTGTTTTTAGCTCCCCAGTTAGGATTGATACAAGCAAATTAAAACATAGAGGAGAAAAAATAGAATGGTGTGAGGAACATGTCTTAAGACAAAGACTAGAAGGAAGATCTATGTTAATGGGCCGAAAAAAACTGCCCATACGAAATGTTGCCACTTTGAAGAGATGTTAGTCTTTATGACTCTGGTGCTAAAAGAGTAGATATAGAACTAATTGGGTAAAAAACATTATGACAGATATTTATCTCCTGTATTCCACATATATTTCAATCTTAAAAATCCAAACTGAACTTCAATTTTCTTTTTGATCAATTAAGTAATTTACTAAGAATGTCAACCCTTATCTTTGTAAATGGAATCAACATTCTTTTGCTCAAGTCAAAAACCTAAGAGCAAACTGCTTATGTCTTTCTTTTCCTTCTACATGCAATCTATGAGCAAGCCCTGTGAGCTTTACTTCCAAAACATGTTTTGAATCATTGACATATCATCGCCACTGCTGCAAATTTTGTCCAATAACATCATCTAACTTCAACAGCCTCTTAACCAGTTTCTCTGTTCTGTTCTGGCCTGTTAATGGCCCATGACTCTACATCCAGGGTGGTTTCTTAAAAATAAAAATCCGTTAATCTTACTACCTTGTTTAAAACCATCTACTCTTGGAAAGAAACCCTACCTCTTCAACAAGATGTCAAAAGCCCCATGTGCCCTGGCCCAGCCCTCACCCACCTCATATGGCTCCCTGACAGTCTCCTTTCTTCAGAAACACATGCCCATTTTCCTTTCCTACAATAGCTCATGCTTGTTTCCTGCCTTAGGAAATCTGCATGAGTGGTTTTTGGGCTTTTGTTTGTCTGTTTTCCCACTGAATGGAATACTTTTCTTATTATATTCACATACTAAGAATTTCCATATAATTCTGATTTAGCATAAACGTTCTTAGAAAGGCCTCTAACCAGCCAATTTAAAATAGAACCACACTCAGTCTTTATTACATTATTTTTTTTAGATTCTTCAAAGCCATTAGAAACATTTAGTATATTGTTTAGTTACATGTTTTTCATTAGTATGAAAGTTCCATGAGAATGGCAACCTGACCTCTCCTGTTTGTCTTTGAAACCTCTGGGCTGGAACTTTGTCTGGCTCTAATAGTAATGTCCCTCCCAGTTTGAGTTAAGATGCTCAGAGGTGGAAAGTGCTATAGATGGATCATCTGTCCTTGGAAATATTCATCCATACTTTTAAGGGTAAATGTTATGGGGTAAAATTCAAGCATATATTTTGTAGCATTTCCTCAGGTAAACATTAAGTTCACTTTTAAGTATGTGAGTCTATGATTTTATGTGTTAACAATAAAGGATATTTTTCATGTAATCCTTTTTGTCAGGTGAATTCATTCTAATGGTGAATACAGATATACTGACCAGTGTTCTAGCACTCATTAACTGTGTGATCTTGGAATAATTAACTTAATATATCTATATCCAAGAATCTTCATCAATAAAATGTGATAATAATAGTATGTATCTTTTAGAATTCTGGGTGCATTGATAATAAATACAATAAAGTAAAATGACTACTACAATGTCTGACATGTAGTTAGGTCTCAAGAAATGTATTGATTTTCTTACTGAATTGAAAAGCAGGTTTATAAGACCAAAGGAATTCCAAAAACAATTTCTATGTCATCATACAGTTATATGATTCTTGTGATGTTGAATATAATTACTTGTAGCAATATTATTTCAAAAGCATATTCCTATATTTGTCCTCCACATTTTTTTCTTACTTTACTCAAGTTGTATATAATGCAGAGCTTAAGGTATGTACGAAAAAATAAAATTTTTACTTTTATAGTAAAAATTTATGTTTTCCAACTATTTATAATGTTGAAAATACTGAGATTACTTTTATGTAGTCTGGATATATTTTAAAATATTTCTAGTGAACACTAGCCTATAGGAAGATGAATAATAATTTGCATGTCATTTTTTTAAGAGACATGGTCTCACTTTTTTGGCTTAGCTGGAGGGCTCACTTCAGCCTCAAACTCCTGGGGTCAAGCTATCATCCTGCCTCAGCCTCCCAAGTAGCTAGGACTACAAGTGTATGTCACTACACAGATTAGCTCGCCCTTCCTTCCCTTCCTTCCTTCCCTTCCTTCCTTCCCTTCCTTCCTTCCCTTCCTTCCTTCCCTTCCTTCCTTCCCTTCCTTCCTTCCCTTCGTTCCCTCCCTTCCTTTCCTTCCTTTCCTTCCCTTCCTTCCCTTCCTTCCCTTCCCTTCCTTCCCTTCCTTCCCTTCCTTCCTTCCCTTCCTTCCTTTCCTTCCTTTCTTCCCTTCCTTCCCTTCCTTCCATTCCTTCCATTCCTTCCTTTCCTTCCCTTCCTTCCCTTCCTTCCCTTCCTTCCCTTCCTTCCTTCCCTTGCTTCCTTCCTTCCCTTTTCTTTCTTCTTTTTTCTCTTCTTGTTTCTATCTCTTTTCTTTCTTTTCTTTCCTTCTTTATTTCCTTTCCTCCCTCCCTCCTTCCTTCCTTCATCCCTCCCTCCCTCCTTTACTTCCTTCCATCCTCCCTCCCTTTTTCTTCTTTTCTTTTTTCTTTTCTTTGCTTTCTCTTTCTTCATTTCTTTCTCTCTTTCTCTTTCTTTCTTTTTCTCTCTCTTGCTTTCCTCTCTTTCCCTCTTTCTTTCTTTCAATAAAGACAAGGTCTCACTATGTTGCCCAGGTGGGTCTCAAACTCCTGGTCTCAATTGATCTTTCTACTTGAGCATCCCAAATTGGTGGGGTTATAAGCATGAGTCACCATGCCCAGCCCTAAGTCATTTTTTTAAATAATAAGTTGTAGAAACTAATTTACAGATGAAGAGAAATTTTATTTTATTTTATTATTATTATACTTTTAGGGTACATGTGCACAATGTGCAGATTAGTTACATATGTATATATGTGCCATGCTGGTGTGTTGCACCCATTAACTCGTCATTTAGCATTAGGTATATCTCCTAATGCTATCCCTCCACCCTCCCCCCACCCCACAACAGTCCCCAGTGTGCTGTTCCCCTTCCTGTGTCCATGTGTTCTCATTGTTTGATTCCCACCTATGAGTGAGAACATGCAGTGTTTGGCTTTTTGTCCTGGAGATAGTTTACTGAGAATGATGATTTCCAATTTCATCCATGTCCATAGAAAGGACATGAACTTATCCTTTTTTGTGGCTGCATAGTATTCCATGGTGTATATATGCCACATTTTCTTAATCCAGTCTATCATTGTTGGACATTTGGGTTGGTTCCAAGTCTTTGCTATTGTGAATAGTGCCACAATAAACATACGTGTGCATGTGTCTTTATAGCAGCATGATTTATAGTCCTTTGGGTATATACCCAGTAATGGGATGGCTGGGTCAAATGGTATTTCTAGTTCTAGATCCCTGAGGAATCGCCACACTGACTTCCACAATGGTTGAACTAGTTGACAGTCCCACCAACAGTGTAAAAGTGTTCCTATTTCTCCACATCCTCTCCAGCACCTGTTGTTTCCTGACTTTTTAATGATTGCCATTCTAACTGGTGTGAGATGGTATCTCATTGTGGTTTTCATTTGCATTTCTCTGTTGGCCAGTGATGGTGAGCATTTTTTCACGTGTTTTTTGGCTGCATAAATGTCTTCTTAGAGAACTGTCTGTTCATGTCCTTCGCCCACTTTTTGATGGGGTTATTTGTTTTTTTCTTGTAAATTTGTTGGAGTTCATTGTAGATTCTGGATATTAGCCCTTTGTCAGATGAGTAGGTTGTGAAAATTTTCTCCCATTTTGTAGGTTGCCTGTTCACTCTGATGGTAGTTTCTTTTGCTGTGCAGAAGCTCTTTAGTTTAATTAGATCCCATTTGTCAATTTTGGCTTTTGTTGCCATTGCTTTTGGTGTTTTAGACATGAAGTCCTTGCCCATGCCTATGTCCTGAATGGTAATGCCTAGGTTTTCTTCTAGGGTTTTTATGGTTTTAGTTCTAACGTTTAAGTTTTTAATCCATCTTGAATTAATTTTTGCATAAGGTATAAGGAAGGGATCCGGTTTCAGCTTTCTACATATGGCTGGCCAGTTTTCCCAGCACCATTTATTAAATAGGGAATCCTTTCCCCATTGCTTGTTTTTCTCAGGTTTGTCAAAGATCAGATAGTTGTAGATATGTGGCATTATTTCTGAGGGCTCTGTTCTGTTCCATTGATTTATATCTCTGTTTTGGTACCAGTACCACGTTGTTTTGGTTACGGTAGCCTTGCAGTATAGTTTGAAGTCAAGTAGCATGATGCCGGCAGAAAGGGCCTTTGACAAAATTCAACAACCCTTCATGCTAAAAACTCTCAATAAATTGGTATTGATGGGATGTATCTCAAAATAGTAAGAGCTATCTATGACAAACCCATAGCCAATATCATACTGAATGGGCAAAAACTGGAAGCATTCCCTTTGAAAACCAGCACAAGACAGGGATGCCGTCTCTCAGCACTCCTATTCAACATAGTGTTGGAAGTTCTGGTCAGGGCAATTAGGCAGAAGAAGGAAATAAAGGGTATTCAATTAGGAAAACAGGAAGTCAAATTGTCCCTGTTTGTAGACGACATGATTGTATATCTAGAAAACCCCATTGTCTCAGCCCAAAATCTCCTTAAGCTGGTAAGCAACTTCAGCAAAGTCTCAGGATACAAAATCAGTGTACAAAAATCACAAGCATTCTTATACACCAATAACAGACAAACAGAGAGCCAAATCATGAGTGAACTCTCATTCACAATTGCTTCAAAGAGAATAAAATACCTAGGAATCCACCTTACAAGTGATGTGAAGGACCTCTTCAAGGAGAACTACAAACCACTGCTCAATGAAATAAAAGAGGATACAAACAAATGGGAGAACATTCCATGCTCATGGGTAGGAAGAATCAATATCGTGAAAATGGCCATACTGCCCAAGGTCATTTATAGATTCAATGTCGTCCCCATCAAGCTACCAATGACTTTCTTTACAGAATTGGAAAAAACTACTTTAAAGTTCATATGGAACCAAAAAAGAGCCCGCATTGCCAAGTCAATCCTAAGCCAAAAGAACAAAGCTGGAGAAAAATTATATTAATAAGCTATACTCAAAGAAACTTATTTTTAATGGCTTCATTGTTTTCTTTGAGTTGATGGCTATACTGTGGAGGAAAAGGTTCTAAGCATGTTCTCTGATCACATACTACTCTTAATAAATACTTCTATCAGAAAAATTGTTTCAGTGAAAAGAAGACATTAAAAGTTACTCTGACATTAATCTGCGTGACCTCTAGGTGGTTTTTTCTTAGTCTTCCCAAAATTGATTATTTGGGAAAAGCAAACAATGTACAGTTTAGAAAAATTAAGTATGATATCTTTTTAAATTGCTCTTGTTAGTAGGAACTGTGGTAAAACATTCAAATACATTTTAATCAGCCTTAAAGATAGGTGTTTAATGCAGGTAATACACACTAATATAATTTAATGTATTTAAGTCTTTAGCTACCAACATATTCTGGCATGTTTGAGTTCTACAAAGGAAAAATAGTTTTGTTAAATTGTGTTGAAAATTAGTTCATTTTAGTGATAATAAAATAGATAGCTTATAAAATTTAAAATACATGAGTAAAAGCAAAAATATTCTTCATGTGCACTTAAATGCCTTGCTTAATTAAATTAAGCAAATAAAAATGTAAGTGAAAGGTATTTTAAAATATAAATTATGTTACAAACATGAACTTTAAACATCTAAAATTGTTGCTTCTATTCTTTGGAAATAGTATTATTTTTTCACTCAACATAATTCTAGGCCCTAAAAATGTATATATGAATAATAGTTGCTTCGAGTTTGTTGGTTTTTACCCCTTCAAAAACTATTAGGTTGGTGCAAAAGTTTACTGTGGTTTTTGCCATTACTTTCAAATGGCAAAAATCACAATATTTTTACTAACCATAAAAGGGCACCACTAATGATTTAGTAGTTTAGTATAAGGCCAGGTGTAACAGTCTCAAGTGCAGCTGCTTGTTGCTTGGAAGCCACAACAGAAGAGAGGTGCGGTGAAAGAAACGCAACTTTATTCAAATGTTAGCAGTTGAGAAATGGTCAGGCTCATGTCAGTAAGAGACCATTCCAAACACTAGGCTGGGAAGACGGGCTTAAAAAAAGGGAACTTGAAATGGGAGGCTTGTGGGAGTAGTGCTGGGTACAAGGTCTGCGTGTCTTCGTCTAGTGGCTATCTTGACTCATGATCCATTCAGAGCATGGGCTGGCATCATCTTAACAATGACCAGGTTGTAAACTAACTGCTTTGAGGTAATCCCTTGAATTTTGCAGCTGGGTCTCCATGTCTGGTTGGTTTCAAAATTAGCCCCTTGAATTGCTCAGCAAGCCCATAATTAGATAAGCAAGCAGAGTGCACAGGAGCTCCTGGTGGGAAAGGAGGGAAACAAAGGGCTTTTAGGAATGTTTCACTGGTAAAAGCAAGAAAGGGAAAAAAAGTTTTAAAATGAATTTTGAATCTAAGCTACTTTGTTACACAGGGACTATCATACATTAGTTTCAATATGTAGGGAAACAAAATGACAGAATAATGAGGTACTGTGGAGATCACATAAACTCTAAATACTTATAAAAAATGTAATTGATTATTAAGAACTAATGCTGTGGTAGGAGTTTGAAGACACTAATAGGAAGTGATTTGAAATGATTTTATTTCTCAATTAAATATATAGTATAGGTTCTCCTAACAATAAAATGCTAGACAGCTTAAATTATAAAGTGGCATTGTGATTAAACAAAGCCTGACAAAATTATACTGCTGTCTTAACTTTTGAAAAATGTTTTTAGTATATTAATACAGTCATAGATCAGTTAATGACAAGTTTGCATTCTGTGAAATGCATTGTTAGGCAATTTCATAATTATGCAAACAGAGTTATATTTGCACAATCCTCAGTATTAAAGCCTACTACACATCTAGGCTATATGGTATAGCCGATTGCTCCTAGGCTACAAACCTATACAGCTTATTACTGTATTGAATACTGTAGGAAATTATAACAAAATAATATTTGTGTATTTAAACATATCTCAACATAGAAAAGGTACAGTTAAAATATGACATAATAAGACAAAAAAAATGGTACACCTGTATAGCTTATCATGAATGGAGCTTGCAAAAGTAAAAGTTGCTTTGGGTGAGTCAGTGAGTAACAAGTGAATATAAAGGCCTAGAGTATTACTGGACAGTAGTAGATTTTATAAACTCCGTATACTTAGGCTGCATTACATTTGTTCAACAATTTTTTTCTTTAACAATAAATTAATATTAGCTTACTGTAACTTTACTTTTTAAACTATTTCATTGGCTTTAACTTTTTGGCTCTTTTATAATAACATTTACCTTAATACACAAATACCTTGTACACCTGCACAAAAATATTTTCTTTCTTTCTATTCTTAGTCAATGTATTTTTTCTATTTCTAATTGTTTTTACATTGATTTTGTTGTTGTTGTTAAAAACTAAGACATGGGCTGGGCGCGGTGGCTCACGCCTGTAATCCTAGCACTTTGGGAGGCCGAGGTGGGTGGATCACGAGGTCAGGAGATCGAGACCATCCTGGCTAACATGGTGAAACCCCGTCTCTACTAAAAAACATACAAAAAAATTAGCCGGGCGTGGTGGCAGGCGCCTGTAGTCCCAGCTACTCGGGAGGCTGAGGCAGGAGAATGGCGTGAACCTGGGAGGCGGAGCTTGCAGTGATGGCGCCACTGCACTCCAGCCTGGGTGACAGAGCGAGGCTCCGTCTCAAAAAACAAAACAAAACAAAAAACTAAGACACAACACATACATAAGCCTAGACCTCCACAGGATCCTAATAATCAAAATCACTGTCTTCTGCCTCCACATCCTGCCTTATTGCAGATCTTCAGGGCCAATAACATACGTGGAGCTATCACTGCGTATGATAATAGCAACTTTATCTGTAATGCCTCCTGAAGGACCTGAGGCTGTTTTACAGTTACTCCTTTTTTTGTAATAAGTTGAAAAAGTGCACTCTAAAATAACAAAAGGTATACTATAGTAAATCAGTGGCATAATCATTTATTACCATTATGAAGTATTATGTACTATATATAATTGTATGTGTTATACTTTTATATAACTGGTTAGGTTTTTTATACCAGTATCACCACAAATACATTAATAATGCCGGGTGCTGTGACATTATGATGGCTACAATGTTTTTTAGCTCCATTATAACTTTTTGAGGCTATCATCATATATGCAGTCCATCATTGACAAACGTTTTTATGTGAAGTTTGACTATATTATTATTTTAAGATAAATCATACTGAGAGGTGACATCAACAAGGTGACAGTGTAGAAGATCCTCTGTCATAACTCCCCCTCCCACCACAAAAATAAACTAGCAATTATTTAGAGTTAAGAATCCAACCCTGAATCCCTCAGAACTCAGAGAAGAAGCAGAAACTCCCCTGGACCCACAAAAACAAGCCATGACCAATAAGAGAAACTGTCACTTTGGACCATGCTACCCTTCTCCTAAGCCGGCATAATCCCACTCACTAAGAATTTCCCTAGACCCATGGTTTCAGAGGTGAGAAGAGGAAATTGTGGATGAACATTCAACTATTCCACCAGTATGGAGATCTTTGTAGGAAACACGCTCTAGTCCTGTCCCACGGGAAACATTGGAATTGCCAGAAGGGCTGAACCATCTGGAGTGAATTGGAGATAAAGAGTTGGTGTGCTGATGGCAGTAATTGTTGAATGGATCTTGGCAGCCGTTCTGGTTCCAAATCATTGAAATGCCACACAGAGGACACTGGCACACACCACAGTGCCTCAGGGGGCACAACCTGTGAGAAGGACCAAATCGCTGGCTTGAGTTTCCACAAATCCCAGGTATTTGCATGGAGCCTTCTCCTGACCTGGAAGCAATTAAAAAGTTGATGATTAAGTTCTGATGCCTACTTAGTTTTCTCCAGGCCCTAGAATGATCTCAAGTCTGTGTTTCATTTCCTGCGCAACACTTAAGTTCCAGTGCCTGCAGAGAGTCTTCTCCAGACTAGGAAACAAGACCAAAGTAGCAAGTTAGTTGAGTGCAGTGCTTTAGTTCTGGTCCCTACTGTAAGTCCTCCTCACAATGAGTAGCATTAATGGGTCAGAAGTTAAGTTTCAATTTTAAGTAGTAAATGTCTAATACCACTGAAGAACACCTGCAAAAGCTGAAAATGGTGGCTGTCTTCTCAAATGCACAGGCATCAGTGTAAGGATACAAGGATCGTGACATATAACACCATCACAAAAAATTTAAAAAAAAACCAATATCCAACAAAAGACCCAGAAGAATTAAGACTTGTGAAATGTCTGAAAAAGAATTTAGAAAAATCATTTTAAAGAGGTTACAGGTTATCAACACAAAACCCAGAGAAAAAAATCAAATAAAATTTGGAAAACAATTTAGGAATCAAATTCCTCATTTGACAAATAAGTAGAAACAATTTTCAAGGAAAAAATACTGTATAGAAATCTTATAAAGAATACAATAACTGAACTGAAACATTCATTAGTACACTTCAACAGCAGATTTGAAGAGATGGAGGAAAGAATCAGCAAGCTCCTAAATACAAAACATATGAAATTATCCAATCAAAGGAGAAAAAAAAGACTAGAGAAGTCCTAGATTCAGAGATTATGGAACACCATCGGGCAAGCCAGCATCCTCATAATAGAACTGTTCACAGGAAACAAGAGGGAAAAAGGTCTGTAAAGCATATTTGAGGAAACAGTGGCTAAAAATGCTCCAAATCTAGAGAAATATGACAGCATCCAGGTACCGAAAGATCAATAGGTCACCAAAAATCCAATCCAAAGAGAAATTCTCCAAGGCACATCGTTATCAAATTATCAGAAGTCAATGATGAAAAAATAGTGAAAGCAGCAAGATGAATGCAACAAGTAGCATTCATTGTAGCTTTAATACATCTTTCAATGGATTTTCTACCAGAAATCCTACAGCTAGGAGGGAGTGAAATAATATCTTCAAAGTGCTGAAGGAAAAATTAAAATGCCAGCCAACAGTACTGTACCCAGCAAAACTGTCGTTCAAACAAAAAGAAAGATAAAGACTTTCCCACATAAACAAAAGTTGAGGAAATTCATAAACACCAGACCTGTCTTCTGTGAAATGCTACAAGGAAGTTCTCCAATCTGAAATAAAAGGATCATATCCTGTAACAAGAAAACAGCTGAAGTTATAAACCCCACTGGTAAATGTAAATATACAAAAAATTCAAAATACTCATAGTATAGTGGTGTGTGTAACCACCTGTATCTTTAGTATGAAGACTAAAAGACCAAACTACTAAAGAAAATAACTACAACAGTTGATCAAGAGGCAATATAAATGTACACTGAGACTTCAAAAAGTCAAAATGTGTGGGAAAATGTGTTAAAATATATTATGATTTTCATTAAAGTGCTGAGCTAGCTTTGTAACTAAAATGAATAAGCCACTTTCTTCAATTTTTGTGAGAAATCAGATGAGATTTCAATAAAGGAAAGTATTATCTTACACAAATAAGTGATTCATCTTATTTACACAATGGTTTACTGGCACTAAAATTAAAGATTTATGTGACTTTTATTGAATTAAATTAATTATACAGTATAAAATTCTCTAACTAAATTTCCCCTTAGATTCGCTGTATATGTTTAATGCACACAAGACAAATATCTGAAAACATAAGCGTTTATATAGATTCTATTGAAATTTGTGCTGTCTGCTTAATTAAAGAAAAGCTTAACTATATGAAGGCGAACAAATTAACAGCATATGCCTCAGCTTCTCCTGGGAACACAGAAATAGTTATCTCTGTCACTTTATAAGTGCTTGCTATAATTAAAAGTTTTTTCACTGCACATATATTTCTTGGGAAAATAATTGACTTTTCAAAGGTTATCTTCTTCAGTAGAATGGAGAAAACCTGACCATAAATACTGCTAAATGTTTCTGATCATAAACATTGCAAAATAAGGAGAATAGCAAATAAATTGCAACATTGCACTCTTGTAAAGGGTTGTCAAATTTTTATAAATTGGTAATACGGAAAAATCCTAGTGTTCCCATTTTTGTGGATCATGTAAAAATATGGCACGGTGATTATCATTAATAATTGTTGTGTATTTAAAATTTGCTAAAAAAATCTTAAGTTTTCAACCAACAAAAAATTATAAGTATATGAGGTGACAGATGCGTAAATTAGCTTGATTTAACCATTTCACAGTGTATACACATGTCAAAACATCACATAATTTTTATTTTTAACTTTAATATAAAATGAAAATATATAATGTAAAAAAATGGAGATGATCTGTGACATGATTTCACCTACTTACTTTGTCTAATAAATGAGTTAACTGAGGCTCCTCTCTGCTAATGAAACCTGCAAGTTAAAGGAATTATAGCAATAAACCCTGAATTATTTCCCATTGAACATTCTATTATGCCATGTAGCCTACTTTCTGAAAATGTTTATTACATTTTAAGGTACATCTAAAATATGTGCTATTCTATTTCATTGAAATGTAATGATATATTGTTTTAGATTATTTGGGTTTGTTCAAATCAGAAATAAATTCAATTAAATATAAACGTAATTAACACAAGAAACAATGCCAAATATTTTTATCATGCCATTCTTTCCTAAAACTATAAAATCTCTTTGAAAATCATCAGTAAGATTAACAAAATAGACATAATATAGAGAGTTTTAAAAGATATGATTGGCTGGGTGCAGTGGCTCATGCCTGAAATCCCAGCACTTTGGGAGGCCAAGGCGGGCAGATCACGAGGTCTGGAGATCGAAATCATCTTGGCTAACACGGTGAAACCCCGTCTCTACTAAAAATAAAAAATAAAAAATGAGCCGGGCGTGGTGGCGGGCGCCTGTAGTCCCAGCTACTCGGGAGGCTGAGGCAGGAGAATGGCGTGAACCCGGCAGGCGGAGCTTGCAGTGAGCCGAGATCACGCCACTGCACTTCAGCTTGGGCGACAGAGTGAGACTCCATCTCAAAACAAAACAAAACAAACAAACAAAAAAGATACGATTAACCTGACTGTAATGAGTGAAAAACATTCAAAGCAGATTAAGGAAACCGGCATTCTTGTCAACACTTTGGGTTGTCAGTCTACTTTTCCCTCATGACTAATACACAAAACGTTTTAAATGTGATATAGATTTCTCTTGATTTAAACCGTCAATAATAATAATAATAAAACAGTATTTAGCTTTTATCTTTAATGACAAATAAAACTCAAGTAGATACATGTCTATAGATTTTCTTCTTAGCCAGCATGTCAAATTCTTATAAAAGTGGTGTGGACACATATGTAATCCTTAAATTCTACCATAAAAACAATGTTTATGGCAGAAAACTTCGACACTTTGTAAAATAAAAGTTGATATTTATGTAGATATTACCACATAGATAAATTAAGAATAATTTTGGCCTCAAAATCACATGTTTGATACATTTCACAATGCCAAACAGTTATATAAGTTCATTGCTATGTATTTATTTTCTGAAAAACAAATGATTGACTGTCATTGAAATAAAATTCTCATCCTGAGTAAAAGAACTAGGTAATTCACTCGATCACAGGTTTATAATATAATCTATATCAGAAAGATGTATTTATGTTTACTATGTATTTCGCAGTGAAAATCCTGCTGTATAATTTCTTAAGATTATTGATATAAATAAGTAACTTCATAGTAATGTATAATAACATAATGAAACATTGTATGTGGGTGTCTATGTGTATGTATTATATATAATATTATATACAGTAACTGGCAATGATGGTTAAATGTTTATTGAGCACTTATAGTATGTCTTACAGGTTCAGCAAATAGGTAATGTTTGCTAGGAAAGAAATATAACTTACATGGCTTATGTCATGTTATGCTATGTTAAATCATTATAAGCAATCTTTTCAAAAATTTAGACAACTTTTATAAGACAAATAAGTTTCTTTAAAAAGTTAATTTACCTAAATTAACACAGTAATTAATATAAAATATAAATAAAACCATGTTTATTAAATTAAGTTCATAATAAAATGTCTTTCCATAAATAAAATTCTAGGCCCAAATAACTGCCTCAGTTAATTCTACCAAATATTTAAAGAATAAATAATAATGTTCTATCCATATTCTTTCAGAAAATTGACAAGAGAGAATAACCCCCCATTGTATTTATGCAGCTGTATAACCCTGATACTGAAATCTGACACATACCATATTTAAAAAATTAAGCCAATCATAAGAATGGATGCAAACTGACTACAACTACTATAGGATAAACAGAATATCATAACCAAGTAGGCTTTTTAAAATCAGGAATGAATGACTTAATTAACATTCAAAAACAATTAATTATAACAAACCTGACATTAATACAAAAAAATAGAAATCCAAACCATTTTAATAAGAATTTGACAAAATTTATTACCATTTCATAATTAAATTTATGAACAGGAGAGAATTTCTTCAAACTGATAAAGGACAGCTTGCAAAAAAAAAAAAAAAAAAAAAAATGACAATACAGAAACTTAACAATTAATATGAAGTATAGATTCAACAGAGTGTCGGTATTCCAAGAGGATAATTTGAAGAAATATAAAAGAAAATTCCAAAGTTTATTTGAATATGCAAAGGATCTAATACAACCAAAGTAATCCTGCAAGAGAAGTATAAAGTTGGAGAGTTTATACTACCTGGTATCATGACACACTCTAGTGCTACAGTTACCAGCAAACAGGTGGTACTGGAGTAAAGACAGAAAAATATATCAATGATACAATGTAGAGAGTCCACAAATAGACTCACCTGCTTCATTTTCAGCAATTTGCCAAGTCGCTTTGATAGAGACAGGAGACAGCCAAGTTCCCCGGTGAATTCCAGCTTTCAAGCCTGAAAGAGCCTGAAGGTTGAAAAACTGAACTGATGGTCCAGGATGAAACCCACCCTTTCCCAACTAATTCTCTCTGAATATTTCCCACCTGCAGACTGGGAGGACGAGGTGGAGACTTGGGGAGTTTGCGCCACTTGCAGTAGGGAGGATTCTGGCCTCTTTGGTTCCTGGGTGGTGACCTATCTTTGAGGTGGGAAACCTGCTAGCAGGATTCTTTCTTGCTTAGTTGAGAGGTATTTTTTCTTTTTCCTTTTTGCCCAGTAAATTCAATTTTCCTCACCCTTCTATGTGTCCATAAGCCTAATCTTTCCTGGTTGTGTGACAAGACCCCAGTTTCAGCTGAACTAAGGAGAGAGTTCTGCAACAACTTCAAGGGCTATGGGAAAACTTTTAAAAAATATACTTATTGCTAGAATGACCTGAAAATGTTGTAGGAGGAAGAAGTAAACTTTTAGTTGTACCTTACAATATACACATAAATACATTAGAGAAGAATAATGGACCTAAACATATATCAAGTTTCTGGAATATATATTTTTTTATACACATTAGTTACACAGGCATTTTTATCAGACACAAAAAGCACAAGACCTAAAATGAAATTAGTGATTAATAGGATTTCTTGAAAATTAAAATTTATGTGTGTAAAAGACACACTAGATACTGAAAGAGAATATTTGCAGTATTTAAATATAACTGTATATAGAAAACATAAATGACTCATGTATAAAATGAAAGGATAAAAATTTAAAATGGGCAAGGTTTAAATAGATACTTTATAAAAGTAGGCATATATATGACTTATATGAACTTTAAAGTTGCTTAACATCGTTGGTCACTAGGGAAATGCTAATGAAACCATTAATAAGTAAGTACTTTATAACTACTAGAATAGCTAAAATTTTAAAAATTAGAATTTGGTATCATATATTGGCAAAGATATCAAAGCAACTAGAACTTTTATCAATTGCTGTTGGTAGTGTAAAAACTGCTTTGGAGACTGGCAGTTTTTTATAATGTTAAACAGACATTTGATCTTAACAGTAGTTCTACTAGTTTTTAACCCAAGATTTAAAAATATCATATACCCTCAAAGAAACACAAAAAAATATTTGTAGTAGTCCTATTTATAAAAGCACAAGCTTGGAATCAATCTAAATGTCTTTCAAGGGGAAAACGGGTAGAGAAATAGTGGTGTATGCATTTAATAGCATACTTTTCAGTAATTATTAAAAAAGAACAAATAATCTCAAAACAGTATATTAAGGAAAAGATGTCAATCATAAAATAGTAATACATACTTACAGTACATTTATATGTCTCCTATCTACAGCCAAATTAATCTAAAACAAGACAAATGAGGATGGTCGGAAGGGTAACCAACTGCAAAGGGACATGAGAAACTCTCCTGATGAGTTGAAAGTAGATTTTATTTTATAATGGGTGACAGCTACAGAAGTGAATGCAATTATCAAAAGTAAATGAACTAAACACTTAAAAGCTATAATTTTATTAAATATATATTACATATATCTATTTTTAAATATATTTGTTAGATAAAAAGCACTCTCTAAACTATTATATCTCTTTTTGAAAGGTAACAAAATATATATATTGAAAATAAAAACAATTACATAAGGTAAATTTATATGGACAATTATATGGTTTCTCAGAAGGGCAGATGCTATGGATATCAAAATTTAAAAAGGCAAATATGAAAAACATCTCACCTCATTTTTGACACTGGTTTACTATGTACTATTTTTAGTTTATGATTAGACCCTAGTGACTCAGCTAGTGTGAAATAGCTCTTGGTAACAAGAATTAAGCTATGTGCTATTTTGCTGATATTCAAATTTGAGCCAAACACACCATGAAGCTGCTGTGCAAAAGCCACTAAGTTAGTGGAATGGTTCTTTACTGCAAGTATGTCTTCATTTTGTCTTTGACCATTGCACTTCTCTTAACTACTGTGGCATATTGAAAATCGTGATCTCTTTTGGCAAATATCTTCAAAAAAGAAGGAAACATATAGGCAGAAGTTGAAGAGAGAGAATTTAACAACATAATGCTCAATTTGTCTGGGCGGTCTTAATATCAATCAATAGACCAGTTTATCTTTTATATACTGTCGTAGCATTATATGTCTTTTTAAAATTACTTAACAAAGTTTTAAATTATAGTTTTTCAGGGTGTGTTTTTGATTAACCATTTTGAAGGCATGACTACCTCTTTTTCCTTCATCATTAGTATCCTAATCACTGAACATAGTATCTGGCACATAATGAGAAAATAGGAATGTTTTCGAATAATTTTTAATGAATGAAAAGTAATGCTTCTTAGGGAACAGTAGGGATGGAAATGTCTCCCCCTCCTCTCAGCTTCATATGTTGAACTCCTTACCTCAATAATACTATATTTTGATTTAGAGCCTTAAACATTAATTAAGGTTAAATAAGGTTTTAAGGGTAGGGCCCTAATCCAATAGAATTCGTGTTCTTATAAGAAGAGAAAGATTCTGGGCATGCACATCCACAGAGGAAAGGCCACATGAGGACACAATGAGAGGGTGACCATCTGCAAGCCAGAAAGAGACGCCTCACTACAAACTATCTAGCACCACCCTTATTTCAGAATTCCAGCCTCCAGGAGTGTGAAAAAAAAATTATTCAGTTTAGGTCACTCAGTCTGTTGTATGCTGTAATGGCAGCTCTATCCAACTAACATAAGGAGAAAACATATGATTAATTTACAAAATAGATGCTGATTTTATCTCAGAATTTTGAGAATAGCAAATATCTTATGGTATTTATTCCTCAAACATCAAGTATATTGATTTTGCATTAGGAGCTAACATCACTTTTCTGTAAACGTTTGTTACATGTAGAGTTCAGACAAAATTCTACCTGTCCCTTAAATTGTTTTCTTCCTTGATTAGTATCAGATTGAGCTATGTAAATGGGAGAAAATTGCACTATTAACAAGAGTAAAATTACTGTTCTCACCATACATATTTCAGAAGACAAAGGTATAAGACAAATAGCGTGTTACTTCTCATAGAGAAATGCAGAGATTTATATGTGTGTGAATAAATGAAAGTATTTCAGTAATCATTTGTTTACCATCTGTCTTTAGACAGTGATTTTTAAACACTGATGGTTCAGTGCAGAATAAGAGTTTTCTACCACTTTAGAATAATAAATAACAAAAAGATACCTCTACAGTTATTGAAGATACAGAGTGATAAAGAAGGCCTTGAATCTATTTTGCATCCAAGAGGACAAAAAGCATCCTAGTGCCTATTCCTTCTTCCTATTTGTATATGGGCATTTTATAAATAAAATATTCATGTTACCAATATCTATGTGTTTTACTAAACATGGAAAGGCACAACCGGTACCAGCCACTGCAAAATCATGCCAAAATGTAAAGACCATCGAGACTAGGAAGAAGTTGCATCAACTAACGAGCAAAATAACCAGCTAACATCATAATGACAGGATCAAATTCACACATAACAATATTAACTTTAAATGTCAATGGACTAAATGCTCCAATTAAAAGACACAGACTGGCAAATTGGATAAAGAGTCAAGACCCATCAGTGTGCTGTATTCAGGAAACCCATCTCATGGGCAGAGACACACATAGGCTCAAAACAAAAGGATGGAGGAAGATCTACCAAGCCAATGGAAAACAAAAAAAAGGCAGGGGTTGCAATCCTAGTCTCTGATAAAGTAGACTTTAAACCAACAAAGAACAAAAGAGACAAAGAAGACCATTACATAATGGTAAAGGGATCAATTCAACAAGAAGAGCTAACTATCCTAAATATATATGCACCCAATACAGGAGCACCCAGATTCATAAAGCAAGTCCTGAGTGACCTACAAAGAGACTTAGACTCCCACACATTAATAATGGGAGACTTTAACACCCCACTGTCAACATTAGACAGATCAACGAGACAGAAAGTCAACAAGGATACCCAGGAATTGAACTCAGCTCTGCACCAAGCGGACCTAATAGACATCTACAGAACTCTCCACCCCAAATCAACAGAATATACATTTTTTTCAGCACCACACCACACCTATTCCAAAATTGACCACATAGTTGGAAGTAAAGCTCTCCTCAGCAAATGTAAAAGAACAGAAATTATAACAAACTGTCTCTCAGACCACAGTGCAATCAAACTAGAACTCAGGATTAGGAATCTCACTCAAAACCGCTCAATTACATGGAAACTGAACAACCTGCTCCTGAGTGACTACTGGGTACATAACGAAAGGAAGGCAGAAATAAAGATGTTCTTTGAAACCAACGAGAACAAAGACACAACATACCAGAATCTCTGGGACCCATTCAAAGCAGTGTGTAGAGGGAAATTTATAGCACTAAATGCCCACAAGAGAAAGCAGGAAAGATCCAAAATTGACACCCTGACATCACAATTAAAAGAACTAGAAAAGCAAGAACAAACACATTCAAAAGCCTAGCAGAAGGCAATAAATAACTAAAATCAGAGCAGAACTGAAGGAAATAGAGACAAAAAACCCTTCAAAAAATTAACGAATCCAGGAGCTGCTTTTTTGAAAGGATCAACAAAATTGATAGACCGCTAGCAAGACTAATAAAGAAAAAAAGAGAGAAGAATCAAATAGACGCAGTAAAAAATGATAAAGGGGATATCACCACCAATCCCACAGAAATACAAACTACCTTCAGAGAATACAACAAAACATCTCTACGCAAATAAACTAGAAAATCTAGAAGAAATGGATAAATTCCTCGACACATACACTCTCCCAAGACTAAACCAGGAAGAAGTTGAATCTCTGAATAGACCAATAACAGGAGCTGAAATTGTGGCAATAATCAATAGCTTACCAACCAAAGAGTCTAGGACCAGATGGATTCACAGCCGAATTCTACCAGAGGTACAAGGAGGAACTGGTACCATTCCTTCTGAAACTATTCCAATCAATAGAAAAAGAGGGAATCCTCCCTAACTCATTTTATGAGGCCAGCATCATCCTGATACCAAAGCGGGGCAGAGACACAACCAAAAAAGAAGATCAAGGTTTTAGACAAAAAACAAATCATTGTTTTTCTCCAATAATAATTGAATTTTAAAATCCATATCTTCTATAAGTGAAAAAGAGAACAGCAGGTAAACACATAAAATATTTGTATTCAAATGCTAAATGTTTATTTCACCTGATTTGAAAATATTTCTAATACACATGAAAGTTTAATTGCTCTCCTAATGCCTTAAAAACAATGATGTTTTCACAAAACAAGGGTCACTTTTAAAATGATTTTTGAGTCACCTTCTTTAGTATTTACATCTAAAGAAATATTAAATAATGCATGATGTACAATTTAGCATGATAGAGTATTTGTTATTTGGAATTATTTGAGTAGATATAAAAGGTTTGTATCTAGATCCATTTTGTGCAAAGTTAACATATTCATTTCAATCTTGTGTGCTTATTTCTGAGATTATTTTGAAGCTTTCAATTTTCATACCAACATAAAAATAATTTTTACATTGTGATGAAGATAAACTTTAGGATTAACTTGATGCTCTTGAATTCCATCTAAATGGAAATTTACTAATGTATTTTAAATTTGTTTCCAGAAAATATAAGAAGATAATTTAGGCACTTTGTACTTCTAAGAATTATGAATATTGGTATGTTTTATACACGCTTTGCTTTGGTAGAATTGAATGACTTGATAAAAATAATTATATATAATGACCTCTTGAAATGTGTTATTGTCATTTACATGCGGAGTTCATTTTGACAGTGTTCATTTTAGCACATTTTACTATGATATTTCAATTTTTATTTTGTTGTTGTTCATTTTTTTCTCTTGTATTTTAGAGTAGATATTTTATAAGTATTAAATGTAAATTATTTTGACTTGTATAGCTTTTTACATGCTCTACAGGAACCCATCCTGTCAAAAAGATAGAGCATTAGAAAAATGTTAAGAAACAATTTTTAATCTGTGTGAGATGCTGAGGCATCTCACAGAAATGGGGGACTAAGAACTGGAAAAAAACCCTAACAATTAATCTAACAAATTTTGCATGAACTCTACATTTAAAGTAATAAAAGAAGACCATTTCACTTAATTTTTCCCACAAAAAGTCTCTGGATGTAATACATGAAGAAATGATTAAATGACTCTGAAAGATGCAGAGAAGAAGGTAGTCTGTCTAGGGACTCTGGAATTTGAGGAATGACCCTGTCAAGTTCTTGTTTGTTGGTTTCTTTTTGGTTTGGGGTATTTTTGCATCTCATATATCCAAGGATAAACTGAGTCAGCAAGTAACATATTAAGTCACACAAGTTGCAATATCCCCTATTTATAATTTATCAAAAATTTTATAAAATAATAAAAGTTATTCACTAGAAAAAACTGATTATACAGACACTTTTGAATATGCTTTAACTCACTAGCCATCAGGAAAATGCAAATCAAATCATCATGTGATGCCACTCTACCATCTACAGAACAAAAGAAGATGCCAAGCATTGTTAAAGATGTGAAGCAATTTGCCCTCTCATAGATTTCTTGTAGAAGTGGTACAACCTCTAGGAGAAAGTATATGACGGGATCTACTAAAACTGAGTGTACACATTAGGCAGAGCCCTGGAACTCTGTATACCTAAAGGGTACATATCCAACAAAAATGAATATGTATGTTCATCAAAACACATACCTTTGAATAACAGGACTACATGTAATGGCCTCAAACTGGAAACGAAATGCTTTTCAGCAGTTTATGAATAATTACATTGTCATATACTTATATAATACTGTACAGCAATGAGAATGAATGAATGAACTACCACTACCTGCAATAACATGACTAGGTATAGCGAACATAATGTTGGGTGAAGAAAGCTTCACACAATATCAATGTTATATCATTTCAATTAAAGAAATATCAAGAAAAGCTAATATCATTCTATGATATTACGATTCAGAAGAGTAGTTAGTTGTTGTTTTTTGTTTTGTTTTGTTTTGTTTTTTTTGTGAGACGGAGTCTCTGTCACCCAGGCTGGAAGGCAGTGGCGCGATCTCGGCTCACTGCAACTCTGCCTCCCATGTTCAAGCAATTCTCCTGCCTCAGCTTCCTGAGTAGCTGGGATTACAGGCACATGACACCACACCCAGCTATTTTTTGTAATTTTAGTAGAGACGGGGTTTCACCATGTTGGTCAGGCTGGTCTTGAACTGCCAACCTCAGGTAATCCACCTGCCTCGGCCTCCGAAAGTGCTGGGATTACAGGCGTGAGCCACTGCGTCCGGCCAATATTAATTCTTGAAAGTTTCCTGAATGCTGATAATATTTATTTTCTTGATATGCTTACTGGTTACACGAATGTTCATTTGGGGAAGTTTATTGAGTTGCATAATTATGATTTGTGCAATGTTTTGTTCATGTTTTAATTAAGTAAAATCTATATTTTAAAATTTAAGTTTTGAGTCTCCACAACAAGTATACAGTGTTGTCATTAGCAGAAATATTGAAATAATAGTAGTTTGAAAATCAGCAGAGTGTCTCTCATTCTCAGTGAACAAACTACAGTGGCCATTTTAAAGGTAGCCAGCTAGTTATAAGTATTTAGTGAGTAGTGTTTATTAATTGGTATGTGTTTCTGAGGATATGAACATTGGTTTATTAGCAAAGTCAGGGATGAGGGATTCTATTTAATACAGTAATAGTTGTAATAACTCTCATTTTGATTTTCAGTTTTGGTATACTGAATAGACTCGGTTTATGTATTAAGTTTTTCACACAAAATTTAAACTGGGTCAAATCATGCATCTTGATTCTGATTTTGAATGATCAATTGATTTTAAATGTTGGATTTAAGGAGCTGAAATTTTTCTTGATTTGAATCAAACAACAAACTGGTTCAGCTTCATTATACGTTTAGTGAGAACATACTGAGTGTTTATGTTTAGCAAAAAGACCTTCATTCATGAAACAATTTAGAAATAAGTAATGCTATGCTTTTCTTAGGCACACATTTTAAAATTATAGATAGAGAAGCATGGCTTGGTATGGTAAAAGATAAATGCTTCGTAGTAAAGATAGGAAATGAGGGGATGACCGAAAGATATTTACAGAGCAAAGTAAACTAGAGATGAAGAACATTCTTATGTGTTTTTGTGTTCCTTCATTTATTTTTTAATAATGTGATAAAGGGTAGGCAATATAAATCATCTATTCTTCAGATTCTTTAGTCACAAAATGGGAATAAAAATAGTATCTATTCCATTTTGAATTATGATAGTTAAATAAGATAAACAGATGAAAGGCATTTACATAAGACCTGCAATTAGTAACCTTTAAGGAAGTTAACCTAATAAAGTCATTTTCTCATTATTTATAACATAGAGATGCACATATATATCTGAAGAATAGTAGTAAATTTAGTTGGAAGAAGATCTCATGGTGGCGAAAAGCCACAAGCTATTCTCCTGCTTTAAGTGAATAAATGTTTGGAAAAGGGGAGGGAAGCATTTAAATAAAAAGGTTTTAATTCCATCAGATTCTCTGATAACAGAACATTTATGTAGTTAACACATTCTTTTTTGCCCAGAGTCCAATCTCCCAATATCATAAGAATTTTTTATTTAATAATAAATGATGTCTACACAAGATGAATAATATTAATCTTTCTAATATGTATTCAAATTAATTGAGAGGAAAACAATCACATACAATATTTATAGCATAATAGGTATACAAACATGACAGCATACTAATAATGGTATGCTGTAAACTCTTTGTGTAAACATCTATTTTACCCACATCCACCTAGTAAACAGAAAGATTAGAAGCACTTTTGGTAGGACAAGGAAATGATGTTTTGGCTAAACTTTTAAGAGAATTTCATGGAAACATTGGACAAATTAATGATGTTTGAAAAAAATATTTTTTCTGTTCTTTAAATTAATCATAAATTTTTATATGATAAAAGATGCTGGAGGTTAGGTTGTTATTTTTTATTTTGAAAGTAACACACCTCAAGCAAAACACATTAAAATAGTCCCACAACCAACAAAATTACTTATAAAATTTTCTCTTCTATTTTCCTGTTATCTCATCCTCATAAAAAGTATCAGTTTGTCTACATTTGCTATGATAACACCTTTGAAATAAAGGAACCAACCTTCACTTACAACAAATTTTCTAACCCTTTATTTCCTGCACTATTACCTGATGAAAGAGAAAGAAAAGAGAGAGAGAAAGAAAGAAAAGAAAGGACAGGAAGGAAGGAAAGAAAGAAAGGGAAAGGAAGGAAGGGTGGGAAGGAAAGAAGGAAGGGAGGGAGGGAGGGAGGGGAAGAAAGAAAAGAAAACATGCATCAAAAGCTTTTCTATGAATAACGGCTAAACTCAAAGTCATAGAGGCACTGACTTTGATCTTGAATCCATAGAATCTTACCAATTCAACCCCAAGTCCTACATTCTGTCTTAGATTACAGCAACATGAATTACTCCTATTTCTCCAAACACTACTTTTTCTAATTAGTCATATTTAAAGAATTAAACTTCATGCTCGCACACAAACACACATTTTCAAATTCAGAAATTCCAAAGAGTAGATACAACAAGGCAAAATTAAGCAGGAGGCTAATATTCCTTTGGTTGCTGGTTATCACCCTAAAAATGGGAACAATATAACTTTTCCCTTGCAATATTAGAGCTCTGTGTATTTGGTGAGTACTTAGAGTGGGGCCAGATTGCAGAGGGCTTTGAATGTCAAGCTAAAGTGTTTATGAAGTGTTATGCATTTTTTTTTGTTGGCAATGGGGAGATCTGAAATATTTTGATGAAGAGAAGGGAGGAAAAAAAATAAATTTACTCTTTTAACCAATGGAAGAACTCACTACTAACCAGAGCCTGTGCTTGGTTGCAAGGAACAAAAATAAGACTCATTCTCTTTCACTAACAACTCATTCCAGTTTGGTACAAAAAGATATGCATTGATAAATTTGGAAATGATATTGTAAGTGCTATAATTGTTGATTAACAACTAGAACACACTAGATGATTCAATTAATCATAGTTTTCAAAAGGTATTCCTTATTTAAGATTAATTTATATGTGATAGAACAGATGGATTTAGAGAAAAATAAAATGAATAGCTAATTGTAATAACACAAATGTGAATTAATAGCTGTGTGGATTTGTGATATTACAATTATAATTTGGCAAAAGATATAAAATATTTTATTACTATTACAATCTTTTTATTTACAAATGAAAGTTACCATTCTTGTTTTTTATTGCATAAAGTGCATTTCTATTAAGACATCTTCAGTTTAAGCTTGGTAATTATTTAAAAACCAGGAGTTGTCCATAGAGGATACTATGCTTTGGCTAGGTGAACCACAACATTCTATTTCTTGTGGCTCATTTACTCAAGGGTTAGAATCGCAGGCTATTGGGTTAAGACCTAACTCATTATTCAGATTCCATCACCGAAGAGCAATGTCTCATGACCGCACTTGCATAGTTTGCCACAATCTTTCACATGGATCAGGCAACACTTGTACAACTCATTCATTATCTGATTTTTTCCCAGAGTCTACTATGTGCCAGATATTCTGCTTAAGTTATAGAGAAGCAAAATATAGTTTTCATTTTCAATCAATTATATTTTATTAGAAAAGAGAAAAATTAAACCAATTAAATCACAAATCCTTCTATAAAAGATGCATACAGAAATCTTAGATCATTATTTTGGGTGTGAAGATGGTATTAGATGGGATGCTCAGGAAATACAGCTATCAGGACGGGACATGTAAACAATGTGAGTAAAAAAACAAATATTCCAGGAAAAGCAAGCAATATCAAACAAAAATTTTCTCTTTAAAGTATGAAAAAGAGTCCCGTGTAGTTGAAGAGGGGCAAGAAGATGAGGATGTGGTAAAGGTTTAAAGATATAAGCATAGACCAGCTCAGGCCAACTCTTATAAGTAGATTGATTATATGATCCATTGTGTCATGAAGACTACAAGGTCATGGCTAGTTCACTGGCATAATTATAAACAGTGCCTGTTTTTAGTCTCAAGGGTACCCTAATTTGGATTAAAAAAATATGGTCGCACGTTGTGCATATGTATCCTAGAACTTAAAGTATAATTAAAAAAAAGAAAAGAAAAAAATGGTCACTTGGCATATAGGCCATAATAAGACATTTGAAATGTATTTGACAGAGCAAGAACCTACTGAAGATTTCAACATGTCTTTTAAGCAGATTGCTCTAGGAATTATGTTTAGATAGTTAAA
The DNA here is from genome assembly GCF_000001405.40 of Homo sapiens. Taxonomy (NCBI): domain Eukaryota; kingdom Metazoa; phylum Chordata; class Mammalia; order Primates; family Hominidae; genus Homo; species Homo sapiens. The sequence continues at coordinate 24,162,536 of NC_000011.10, read as the reverse complement.
AGGGGAGGACAATCAAGATGGGAAGACAATTTGGAAAGAGTTTGTTGTCCAGACAACAGATAATGGTCTGAATCAGGAAAACAGCAGTTAATATAAAAAAGATAATTGGACTCTTTAAAATTTTAATTTTGTTAATTCGATTTTAATTTTAGATACAGAGAGTGTATGTGCAGATTTATTACTGATATATAAACAATATATTTATTACTGATATATTGCAGGTGGGCAGTGAGCATTGCACAAAAAATGTAGTTTTTCATCTCACACACTCCTCGCTCCCTCCCCGCAAAAGCAGTCCAGAGCGTCTGTTGTTCCCATGTTTACATCCATGTGTGCTCAATGGTGAACTCCTATTTATAAGTGATAACACGTGGTATTTAGTTTTCTCTGCCTGTGTTAATTTCCTTAGGATTATGGTCTCCAGCCCCATACATTTTGCTGCAAAGGACATAATTAGATTCTTTTTTATGGCTATCTAGTATTTTATAATGTATACATACCTCATTTTCTTTATCTAATCGAGGGCACCTAGGTTGATTACATGTTTTTACTATTGTAAATAGTGCAGAAATGAACATTATGAGTGCATGTGTCTTTATGATATAAGGATTTATTTTCCTTTAAGTATATACCCAGTTAACAGAATTGCTGGGTTGAATGGTAGTTCTGTCTTAAGTTCTTTTAGATATTTCTACACTGTTGGCCGGGCGCGGTGCCTCACACCTGTAATCTCAGCACTTTGGGAGGCCAAGGCGGGTGGATCACGACGTCAGGAGCTGGAGACCAGCCTGGCCAACATGGTGAAACCCTGTCTCTACCAAAAAATACAAAAATTAGCCTGGCGTGGTGGAAGGTGCCTGTTATCCCAGCTACTCCGGAGGCTGAGCCAGGTGTATCGCTTGAAAACAGAATGCGGAGTTTGCAGGGAGCGGAGATCGCGCCATTGCACTCCAGCCTGGGCAAAAGAGCGAAACTCTGTCTCAATAAATGAATTAACTAATTAATTAAATTTAATTTAAAAATTCTACACTGTTTTTCACAATGGTTGAACTAATTTACATTCCTACCGGCCTGTATAAGTGTTCCCTTTTCTCTGCATCTTCACAAGCATCTGTTGGTTTTGACTTTTTGATGATAGCCACTTTGACTTGTGTGTGATATCTCACTGTGGTTTTTATTTGCTTGTCTCAGATGATTAGTAATGTTGAGCAGTTTTCTATATGTTTCTTGGCTGTTCAAATCTCTTCCTTTGAGAAGTGTCTGTTCATGTCATTGGCTCATTTTTAATGAGGTTATTAGTTTTTTGCATGTTGACTTGTTTAATTTCATTACAAATTCTGGATGTTAGATATTTGTCACATGCATAGTTTGCAAATATTTTCTCCCATTCTGGAAGATGCCTGTTAACTCTGTTGATAATTTCTTCAGCTTTGCAGAAGCTTTTTAATTAGATGGTCCCACTTGTCAATTTTGTTTTTGTTAAAATTGCTTTGGGGACTTACCTAGAATCTTTTAGTTAAGGCTGATGTCAGGAAGGGTAGTTCCTAGGATTTATTCTAGGATTTTTATACTTTGAGGTCTTACATTTAAACATTTAATCAATCTTAAGTTAATTTTTTATATGCTTAAAGGTAAGGGTCCAGTTTCATTCTATATTATATGGTTTGCCAGTTATTCCAGTATAGTTTATTGAAAAGGGAGTCCTTTCCCTGTTACTTGTTTTGTCAGTCTTGCTGAAGATCAGATGGTTGTAAGTGTGTGGCTTTATTTCTGAGTTTTGTAACCTGTTCCATTGGTCCATGAGTCTGTTTTTGTGCCAGTACCATGTTGTTTTGGTTACTATAGCTTTATAGTAGCTTGAAGTTGGCTAGTGTGATGCCTCTGACTTTGTTCTTTTTCTTAGAATTGCTTTGGCTATTCAGGCTCTTTTTTGTTTTCTATATTGTATTAGTCAGGGTTATCCAGCGGAACAGAACTAACAGGATATATGTTTATATGAAAGGGAGTTTATTAAGGATAATTGGCTCACACAGTCATGGGGCGAAGTCCCACAATAGGCTGTCTGCAAGCTGAGGAAGAAAGAAGGCAGTAGTGGCTTAGTCCGAGTTCAAAAGCCTCAAAAGCAGGAAAGTTGACGGTGTAGGTTTCAGTCTATGGCTGAAGGCCTGAGAGTCCCCGGCAAACCACTGGTGAAAGTCCAAGATTCCAAAGGCCAAAAACCCTGGGGTCTGATGTCCAAGGGTGGTAGGAATGGACTGAAGCATCCAGTAAGGAAGAAAGATGAACCCAGAAGACTGAGCAAGCCAGCTCATCCCACCTTCTTCCACATGCTTTGTTCTAGCCACACTTCCAGCCAGAATGGTGCCCACCCACATTGAGGGTGGATCTTCCTCTCCCAACCCACTGACTCAAACGTCAATCTCGTCTGGTAACACCCTCACAGACACACCCAGAAACAATAGTTTATGGGTTATCCAGGCATCCTTCAATCTTTTCAAGTTGGCACTTAAGCATCACACACATGAATCTTAGAATAGATTTTTCTAATTCTGTGAAGAATGACATTGGCAGTTTGATAGAAATAGTATTGAATCTATAAATTGCTTTGGGCAATATGACCATTTAACAGTATTTATTATTCTAATACATGAGTACAGAATATTTTTTTCCATTTATTTGTGTTGTGTCTGATTTCTTTCAGCAATGTTTGTATTTATCTTTCTAGAGATATTTCACCTTTGGTTAGCTATATTCCCAGGTATTTCATATTCTTTGTGGCTATTGTAAATGGTTTTGTGTTCTTGATTTGACTCTCAGCCTGGACTTTATTAATGTATAGAAATGCTATTGATTTTTGTACATTGATTTTGTATCCTGAAACCTTACTAAAATCATTTATCAGTTCTAGTAGCCATTTGGCAGAGTATTTAGGATTTTCTACATATAGAATCATATTGTTAGGGAAGTGAGATAGTTTGACATATTCTTTTCTTATTCGTATGCCGTCTTTTTCTTTCTCTTGCCTGAATTTTCTGGCTAGGACCTTCAGTGCTATGTTAAATAGGAGTAATGAGAGTAGACATCATTGTCTTGTTCTAGTCCTCAAGGGGAATGCTTCCAGCTTTTGCCCATTTGTTATAAAGTTGGCTCTGGGTTTGTGATAGATGGCTCATTATTTCAAGGTATGTTCCTTCAATGCCTACACTGTTGAGGGTTTTTATTATGAAGGGATGGTGGATTTTATCAAAATCTTTGTCTGTATCTATTGAGATGATCATATGGTTTTTGTTTTTGATTCTGTTTACCTGGTGAATTTCATTTATTTATCTGTTAAGTCAACATATCCTTGCATCCCAGGAATAAAGCTTACTTGATGTGTTTATGATGTAATTCTGGATACAGTTAGCTAATATTTTGTTGAGGATTTTTGCATTTAGGTTAATCAGGGGTATTGACCTGAAGTTCTCATTTTTTTGCTGTGTCTCTACCAGATTTAGGTATTAGACTGATGCTGGCTTCATAGAATGAGCTAGGGAGGAGTATCTCCTCAATTTTTTGGAATAGCTTCAGTAGGAATTTAGTACAACTTGTAGAATTCAGCTGTGCATCCATCTGGTCCAGAGCTTTTTTTGTTTGGTAGGGATATGTGTGTGTATATATATATATATATTACAGATTCAATTTCAGGGCTCAACATTGATCTATTCAGTGTCTCAATCTCTTCTTGATTCAGTCTTAGAAGATGTGTGTTTCCAGAAATGTGTCTATTTCCACTAGATTTTCTAATTTGTGTGCATAGAATTTTTCATAGTTTTTTCTAAGAATCTTTTGCCTTTTGTGGGATTAGTTGTAATGTCATAATTGTCATTTCTGATTGTACTTATTTGGATTTTTAAATCTAGCAGTCTATTAACCTTGTTTATTTTGAATCAACTTTTGATTTAATTGATATTTTGTAGAGATTTTTGCATCTAAATTTTATTCATTCTCTAAATTTAGTCATTTCTTTTCTTCTACTGGCTATGGGGTTGGTTTTTTCTTTCCCCCTTAGTTCTTTTAGGTCCAAATTGAGATTGTTAATTGAGATTTTCTAACTTCTTGATGACGGCATTTAGTGGTATCAACTTTCCCCTTAACACTGGCTTTACCTGCATCTCAGAGATTTTGGTAAGTTGAGTTCTTATTTTCATCAATTTCAAAGAAATTTTTTATTTCTATCTTAATTTTTATGTTTACCAGGGAGTCATTCAGGAATAAGTTGTTTGATTTCCATGAATTTGGGTAGTACTGAGAGAGGTTCTTCATATAGATTTCTGTTTTTATTTCAGAATACTCTAAGAGTGTGCTTGAATGATTGTAATTTTTTTTAATTTATTCAGACTTGTTTTATGACCGAGCATGTGGTTGATTTTAGAATATGTTGTGTGTGCAGGTGAGAAGAATATATATTCTGTGTTTGTTGGGTGGAGCTTTCTGTAGATGTCTATTAGGTCCAATTGGCCAAGTGCCTAGTTTACGTCCACAATTATTTTGTTAGTTCTCTACCTTGATGATCTGTCTAATGCTATCAATGAGATGATGAAGTCTCCCACTGTTATTGTGTGGTTCTGTATGTCTTTTTGTAGTTCCAGAAGAACTTGTTTTATGAATCTGGAAACTCAAATGTTGGGTGTGTATATATTGAGAATAGTTAAGTCTCCTTGTTGAGTTGAACTCTATTATTAAGTAATGTCCTTCTTCATATTTATTGGTTTAAAGTGTGTTTTATCTGATATAAGAATAGCAACTCCTGCTCTTTGTTGTTTTTTATTTGCATGGTAGATTTTCCTCTATCCCTGTACTTTGAGCTTATCTGTATCATTCCACGTGAGATGGGTCTTAAAGTAACACATGGTTGAGCCTTGTCTTTTTATCCTGCTGACCACTCTAAGCCTTTTAAGTGGGCTGTTTAGTCCATTTACATTCAGGGTTAGAATTGCTATGTGAGATTTTGTCTTCATATTGTTAGCTGGTTGTTATGTAAAATTGGCTGTATAGTGGCTTTCTATTTCCTTTGGGAAATGTGCTTAAGTGTGCTTATGTGTTAGCAGTTGGTGTTCTTTCAGTGCCATGTTTAGCACTCCCTTAAGTACCTCTCGTAAGACTGGTCTAATTGAAATGAATTTCCTCTGTATTTTCTTGTCTGAGAAAGATTGTAATTCTCCTTCATTAATGAATTTTAGTTTGGCAGGGTATGAAATTCTTGGCTAGAATTTTTCTTTAAATATGACGAAAATATACTCCCAATCTCTGATGGTTTATAAAGTTTCTGCTGAAAGTTCTGCTGCTAGCCTGATGGCATTCCCTCTGTACATGACTTGACCCTTCTCTCTAGCTGCCTTTAACTTTATTCTTTTATTTTTTCTGTTTTTGCATTGTCCTTGGTGAATGTGATGACTACATGCATTGGTATAATCATCTTGCATAGCATCTAGCCAGGGTTCTGTCTATTGCTTAGGCTTGTATGTCAATCACTATAGCAAGATTGGAGAAATTTTTATGGACTATATTTTCAAACATAATTTCAATATTGTTTATTCTCTCTCAGGAATGCCAATGAGTCCTAGATTTGAACTCTTTACATAGTCCCATATTTCTTGGAGGTTTTATTCACATTTCTTAATTCTTTATTCTTGATTTTTGCCTGATTGAGGTAATTTAAAGCACTTGTCTTCAAGCTCATAGTTTCTTTCTTTGTTTTGGCATATTCTGCTGTTAGTAGTTCTAATTGTATCATGAAATTATTTTAGTATATTTTTTAACTCTAGAAGATCAGTTTGGCTCTTTTTAAAGTGGCTATTTTTTTCTTTTAGCTCTTGGCATTTTACTGGATATCTTGAACTGGGTTTCAACTTTTTATTGAATCTCAATGAACTTCCTTAACATCCAGATTCTGAATTTAATGTCTGTCACTTCAGTCACTTCTGCCTGATTAAGAATCATTGCTAGAGAGCTAGTTAACTCATTTGGAGATAAAAGAACATTTTTTTCTTTGTTTTATTGCCAGAGTTCTTGTGCTGATTCTTTCTCATCTGAGAGAACTGGTGCTTTTTTAACTATGGCGTAACTTGAGTATAGTCACTTGGCTTTGTTTCTGGATTTTTCAGAGAGCCAAGGCTTTGTGCAGGGTCTTTATTTGGGTCTGAATCCTTGCCATTGGTTGCACAAGGGAGAATATTAGCAAAGTGGCTTTGGGGTTGTAGTTTGGGCTTTTATCTGTTAGATGACACTTAAGAATAATGGGCAGTAGATAGGTTCTTAGCCACATAGCTCCTTTGTATTTCTGGTGTTTGCAGGTGTGCTCTGGAGTGCAGCAGGGAGAGTGGTGACGCGCCTCACCATGTTCCCTTTTGGGCCTTAAAGGAGCCCCCTCCAATCACTGGCACTGCACTTGTGTGTCCTTTGTTAGGTGTTCCAGGCTATGGAGCTCCCTCAACAGAAGCCACCGCAGGGAGATAAGCCATGCCTTTTCTGGGCCAGTCCTGTAGAGGGAGGCATTCCGGGCTCCTGGAGCAGCCTGTGGACCCATGAGCCTCATCCATGTCAGTGCACTGAGTGTGTGGGCTCCTCCCCCGTTTGAATATTTGAGTGCTGGCCACAGATGTCAGCGCTGCAGCCCTGGGACGAGTTGAGGCTTTTTGTTCTCCCCTCACCCCAAAGTTTGAGGCAACAGGGCAGTGACCTCAGCAGTGGCAATGGCAGTGGGCCTGTGAGTTTTCTCTGGGAGCTCTGCTCCACAGAAACAGACTCATGGCTGATCAAAGTGATCAGCTGGGATACAACAATTATGCTGCCGGCCTAAGCCATGGGGCCCTGCCTGGTGAAGAACAGGGGGTCTGGGAACTCATGGAGAGAACAGTCTGTCCTTCTCTCCTTAGGACAGTTAAAGCACACTATAGGAGCACAAAAACAATCAGAATGTTTGTTTCCTCTCTAGCTGGGGGAAGCAACGATGATTACCACCGTGGCAGCAATGACAGAAGACCTTTCAGTTGTCTTTGGGAGCTCCATCCCAGAGAAATGCAGGCTGCTACTGATTTAAGTAATCAAGTGTGATGGGGCAGCTGTAATGGGGGCCCAGGCGAGGAGGCCCTGCCTGGAGAGATATAGAGGAGGAGCAAACTGTTGTCCATCTGCTTCTCAGCACCATAGATATAGCCCCTATCCAGAGGTACACACAAGAGCCTGGGGGCCCTTGTTGGCAGGTCTATTGCTGTTGGCAACAGGATACTTAGAGATCCAAAGCCTGTGGGTCTCTGTGGAGGCTTGAGCAGTGGCTCTGTCCATACTCCAGGCAGCTCTCCATGTGGTTCTGTAGACCAGAGGGTTCATGAGGGATCTTCTATGCCAAGGATTGCAAAGTTCCTTGGCAGAAGTGTGAGTCCCCAGGGACACTCACTCACTCACCCCTTCCCCACAGCAGGAAGCCCCCCTCTCCCCCGGGCTCTGTGCCAGTACCTGTGGTTGGTTCTCCTGCCTTTCTCTTTTCTGTTCTCTGTGGGTCAATATTGCTTCCTTGATGAATTCCAACACAGCCTCCTGGGCGATCCACTTGAAAAGTTAGTGCTTATTTGTCATTCTGTCTCTTCTCTATGAGAACGGCATGCACTAGCTTCTTCTAATCAACCACCTTGGCATTTCTCTTCACTGGATATATTTGAAATATTATTTAACAGGCAGAATTATAGGCCTTGTTGTTGGATTTAATATGGGAATAATAAACTCATAAATGTTTAATGTAATTTTCTTCACTCTTATGACATTCTTTGAAATGCATATTTCATTATCAGGTCATGAGAATAAATACCAGAAGAAAAATTTATGGTTTTAAGTGTCATATCAATGTAAGCAGGACAGGAAAGTACAATCCACTATGGATTTTCAAAGCTGAATAATAGTCCTTCTTCAAAAAGCATGTTTTTCTTTTTAACATCTGAATAATGAGCTTGGCCTAAATCACCAATGTGGAACTCCAGAGAATAATTTAAATATAAAGAAAGTTTGATTAAACAAAAAGATTTTGTGTTTATTTCATAACAGAGGTAGAGGGAAACATTTTAATTAAGCAGCTTATTTTCACTTTGCACTTTGTCTTTCTTCCCTAGTCATCAAATAATTTTACTGATGCTTCATCAGCCCTGTTCATTTGATTTTTTCCCACGCATGGTAAGCAGCTGTTTATACTTTCTTAGTCCCAATTTTTTTCAGATGACTGAATTCACAAGGAGTACATTTGTTTTCACTGTGCCCGAGGCCCTGTTTTCTTACATGCAGTTTGATAAATCTTGGTTATTTCCTACCAGGTTCTTGATTATATAGTATCTTCCTTTTTTATATGGCTTTCTTATTTGTGAAATGATTTTTATTAAAAATGCACATGCAAGACAAATAGTTTGTTGTCCTGAATAATATTGAGACCCTGCATTTCATAAGTCTGAGAAAAGTCATTTTTAAACAAAGGGAGGTCACAAAATAAGAATTCAGGAGGCATTTTTTGAACCAGTAATACACATCACTCTGATACTCAAGTTTTTGGGGCTAAATAGAGAAAACAAGAACACAATTCCTTACCTTAAAGACCTTATTGACAATTAAATAATGTGATAAGAATAATATGAAAGGGCACTTCAAACTGTATTTTACAGGTGCCTCCAAATATGTAGTGTCCTTATGGGGTCCTTGGAAGTGTTATAGCACACTAAGATATATGAAGCGACAGTTCCACATTTATTGAAGAATCTACATAATAGTGAGCAGGATTAAAAGTAAGTTACTAAACCACATTTTCACAAGAATTGTTTTATTGCACTCTGCAGGAAGTATTATGGCACCTAGCTTAACTTCACATTTCTAACAGAATGGGGCTTTTTATTCAATTCTATATCCCTTTTTCTTATCAAGTAGAAAAAAGCTGACACTTTAAGCACAAGGCTGTTCAAGCAGTTATCATGCACAGAGTTTTGTGCTTAGAGCAGCAATTTTCAATCAGGAATGAATATCAGAGTTACCTAGGAAGCTTCTCAGGCTGCACACACCATGGACTCATCCCAAAGAATGTAGTGAAAAAGCGGATAGTTTAATTATTAATAATATGTTTTCTCAAATAAGCTCACCTAGTTTGAATCCTGGCTTTCTCATGATTGACCCACTACTTATGATATCTTGATTACTTAATGCAAAATGAATATGATCGTGGCATCTATAGTGCTAGATTAGCTGTTTTATTTCTTTCCAGATATAAATAAAGATGCATTTCAATGAAACTTTTTTTTTAAATAAAGTCATTCTGGGGACATTGCTTAGAAGAAAAAAGGTATATTGGCTCCTTGTATTAGTATTCATTTGTTATTATGACAAATATCACAAAGCTAAGCAACACAAATTGTCTTCATATGTTGTAGATCAGAGTATGACAAAGGTCTTAGGGGCTAATATCAAGGTATTTTCAGGGCTGTGTTTCTTTCTGGGTGCTCTAAACAAATTTTGTTTCCTTGTCTTTTCAAGCTTCTAAAGGCCCAGCTCTTTCATCTCCAAAGCCAGTAATATTGCCTCTCTCTGTCCTTTTTTTTCATACTCCCATCTCTCTCTGATTTTCTTTCACTTTAAGGCACTCTGTGATTGCACTGCGTTCACTTAGGTAATCCAGGATAATCTTTTTCCCTATTTTTAAATCTGCTGATTAGCAACCTAATTCTAACTGCAACCAGAATCCCCCTTTGCCATGTAAAATGTCATATTCATCAACTCTGAATATCAGCATGTGAACATTTTGGAAGAACCATTATTTTGCCTACTTGCCTACTTAATTTTTTTTTTTTTTTTTTTTTTTTTTTGGAAGGAGTCTCGCTCTGTCGCGCAGGCTGGAGTGCAGTGGCGCAATCTCGGCTCACTGCAAGCTCCGCCTCCCGGGTTCACGCCATTCTCCTGCCTCAGCCTCCTGAGTAGCTGGGACTACAGGCGCCTGCCACCACGCCCGGCTAATTTTTTTGTATTTTTAGTAGAGACGGGATTTCACTGTATTAGCCAGGATGGTCTCGATCTTCTGACCTCGTGATCTGCCCGCCTCGGCCTCCCATAGTGCTGGGATTACAGGCGTGAGCCACTGCGCCCGGCCGCCCACTTCATTTTTTAAGAAATGGCAGGTCTTGGCATCCCAGGCAAACTCTCAACATTTAGAGGGCATTGTGAATTCCTTTGACAGATTACACTATTGCAAAAACTGGCATTTTGTGGGAATTTGAGTGTTCATCACTGCTATCCAAAGTAATCCTCACTCAGAATATGGCTAAGACTCCTGCAGAGGTTACATTATATGAAAGATTTCCTTACAATTGTCTTATCAGCCAGGTGCGGTGGCTCAAGCCTGTAATCCTAGCACTTTGGGAGGCCGAGGCAGGCAGATCACCTGAGGTCAGGAGTTTGAGACCAGCCTGACCAACTGACTGGCATGGTGAGACCTGTCTCTACTAAAAATACAAAAATTAGCTGGGCGTGGTAGTGGATGCCTGTAATCCCAACTACTCAGGAGGCTGAGGTAGGAGAATCACTTGACCCAGGAGGCAGATGTTGCAGTGAGTCGAGATTGTGACACTGCACTCCAGCCTGAATGAGAGAGCAAGACTAAGACAAAAAAAAAAAAAAAAAAAAAAGTCTTGTGTGCTTCAGAAAGGTTCTTACAATGTGTACACAGTAACTTCAAAATATGTTACTCTTAAGTATGCATAATAAATTGCATTAAATTCTCATCACAGGATTCTTCTATTTTGTTCATCTCATACAATTAGAATTTAAATCATGTTTCAGGGTATTGGAAGAAGATAGATGATAGATAGATAGATAGATAGATAGATAGATAGATAGATAGATAGAGTCTGTAGGTATAATGCTAATTCCTGATCACAAAACAAGTTCCAGTATCCAGCTTAGAAAAAAAAGTGTTCATCAATTTTAGTAGAATTTTAAAGAGGCAGTGTATGATAATTAACATACACAGTAATCAGAACTGCATGATAAATATGACAACCAGAAGAAAATCATAAAGGGATTGAGATATTGACTTCATTATTAACTAAAAAAGCAAATGAATTTACTCCTTGCAGAAAATGAGACTGTGAATCCCAGTTAGATATTCCTCTCCCTTCCACCTCCTACTATTACCTTGATTAATTTTAATATAATGACTCATTCCATTGTTTAGTTTTACATGTGTTTGCTCTCAACTTCAATGATTTTCACTTTGACCTCACTTCAGTAAATGGCTACTATAGCCATACTTAAAATGCGTAGCTCACAATATATCAAAAAGTTACCTCAAAATGAATTAAAACCTAAATGTAAGAGCTAACACTATAAGAATCTTTGAAGAAAACAAAAGTGTTAATAACATATTTTAATTGAACATTTTTGTAATTATAGTAAATAAAAATAGAATAAATGCTTCTGTTCATTTAAATGATACTGTAGATGGTATTTTTGTCCCTACAATGTTGAAACCCTAACCCCCAATGTGACTATTTGGAGACAGGACTTTTAGCAGTAAATTAAGATTAAATGGAGGGAAGGAGCCAAGATGGCCAATTTAACACAGCCAGGAAGAGCTTCACCCACTGAGACAACAGATCATTAAGAAGACAGGCACACTCTGAACAGATCTTTGGAAAGAAGACATTGAGAGTGGACAGAAAGAGGACGCAGACCCTGGGCTGAAAGAGAAGGAAGCTGCAAACCCTGCACAGGATTGCCAACTAGCAGGAACAGTTGCTGTTGATCAGGCCATGGGCGCCCATCCCCTAAGGCTTGCCATACTCCTCTAGGAAACTTTAGGGTTTGTTGATTGCCAGACCTGGACAGAGTAGGGCTATCTAACCTGTTAGATGGGGCAAGTCTGATCTGAGCAATCACTGCCTGCTGTTCTATCTCTGGGTCCCTGCCTGGCCATATTTACTCGCAGTGAAACCTCAGCTGTCTCGGAGAGGAGTTTGCTGGTAGTCACCCTCATACCTCTTTTGCCCGCAGACTCTGCTTAACAGTCTGAGAGCTTTTGCAGGTGGGTCTCTGCTAGTGGGCACTTGCCCTCAGCTGGTCCCTGCTGCTTTGCTGGTGCATGCACACACTAAACCCATTGCTGTCCTACCACTGAAGTGCAAGCACACCTGGGATGAACCATCACCCCACTGGTGGTGCACACATGCAGAGGGACCCATGCCATTCTGCCAGTGCTGCGCTAAGGCACTTTTGCTAACAGCCTCCCATCATAGTGTTGTTGTCAGTGGTCTGGGAACACCTCAGCCCCTCCAGCACAGCACGAGTTTAACCTTGAGGGGCCAGGAAAAGAGCTGCAGGCCTGGTCACATCCTCTTAGGGGTAGATCAGGAAGCTAAGGAATGCTGAGCTGAGCTTTGGTCCCTGAAATCACTCAGAAACAAAGCCAGTTGAAAACCCAACTTTTACCATAGTCAAACTCTCAAGAGTATCAAAGAATATAAAAGTGAAAAGGTCCCTTCGTAGGACAGCAACTTCAAACCTTAAAGGAACATCAGCCCACACACATGAGAAAGGATCAGAACTCTGGCAACTCAGGCAAGAACTCTGGCAACTCAAAATAGCTAGAGTGTCTTCTTACCTACAAATGACCACACTAGCTCCTCAGAAATGGTTCTTAACCCAACTGAAATGGTTGAAATAACAGACATAAAATTCAGAATCTGGATGTCCATGAATATCATTGAGATACAGGAGAAAGCTAAAACCCAATCTAAGGAGTATAAGCGATCCAATAAAATTATATAAGAGCAGAAAACTGAAATAGCCACTTTAAGAAAGAACCAAACTGATTTCTTAGAACTGAATAGCCCACTACAAAAATTAATTAATATAATTGTAAATTTTAACAGGAGAATAGACCAAGCAGAAAAAGAACGTCAAAGCTCAAAGATTGGTTCTTCAAAACAACTTATTCAGACAAAAATTTGTAAAAAGCATCTAAAAAGTGAACAACACCTCCTTGAAATATCTGATTTTGTAAAGAGACCAAACCTACAACTCACTGCACCCCAGAAAGAGAGAGAAAGAGAGCAAGTAACTTGGAAAACATATTTGAAAATTTATCCACAAAAATTTCCTCAACCTCACCAGAGAGATCAACATGCAAATTCAGAAAATTCAGAGAACTCTTGCAAGATACTGTACAAAATGATCATCCCCATGACACATCGTCATCATATTCTCCAAGGTCCACACACACAAAAAATATTAATGGCAGCTAGACAGAAATGGAAGCTTACTTATAAAGGGAACTCCTTCAAGCTAATAGCCAGCCTTTCAGAAAAAAACCTTACAAGCCAGAAGAGTTTGGGGGCCCATATTCACCATTGTTTAAGAAAAGAAATTCCAGGCTGGGCGTGGTGGCTCATGCCTGTAATCCCAGTACACAAGGTCAGGAGATTGAGACCATCCTGGCTAATATGGTGAAACCCCGTCTCTACAAAAAAATACAAAAAATTAGCCAGGTGTGGTGGTGGGCACCTGTAGTCCCAGCTACTTGGGAGACTGAGGCAAGAGAATGGTGTGAACCCAGGAGGCAGAGCTTGCAGTGAGCCGAGATCGCACCACTGCACTCCAGCCTGGGTGACAGAGCGAGACTCCGTCTCAAAAATAAATAAATAAATAAATAAATAAATAAATAAATAAAAATAAGGAAAGAAATTCCAACCCAGAATTTCATAACCAGCCAAACTAAGCTTCATTAGTGAAGGAGAATACAATCCTTTTCAGAAAAGTAAAAGTTAAGGTAATTTATTACCACCACACCTGTGTGTGGTCATAATAAAAGACCTGCCACCACAAAAACACACTTAAGTACGTAGCCCTCTGACACTATAAAGCAAATATACAATTATGCTTACATAACAATCAGCTAACAACATGACAACAGTATCAAATCATCCCATATCAATATTAACTTTGAATGAACCGGGCTAAATTCCCCACTTAAAAGGCGCAGAGTGGCAAGTTGAATAAAGCAGCAAGACCCAATTTTATATTGTCTCCAAACACCCATTTCACATGCATTGACACACGTAGGCTAAAAGTAAAGGGATGGAGATAGATCTATCAAGCAAATGGAAAATGTAAAAGAGCAGAGGTTGCTATTTTTATTTCAGACAAAAATAGTTTAAATCAACAGCAATTAAAAAAAGACAAGGGTATTACATAATGATAAAGGATTAACTTCAACAAGACTTAACTATCTTAGGTATATATGCATCCAACACTGGAAAACCCAGATTCATAAAACAAATGCTTAGAAACATACGAAAAAGACTTATATAATCACACAAGTATAGTGGGAATCTTTAAAACCACACCAATAGTATTAGATACATCATTAAGACAGAACACTAACAAAGACATTTGACACCTAAACTTGACACTTTATCAAATGGACCTAACAGACATCTGCTAAACAAGCCTGTATTAGTCCATTCTCACAGCCCTATAAAGAAATAATCTGAGACTGGGTCATTTGTAAAGAAAAGAGGTTTAATTGCCTCATAGTTCTGCAGGCTGTACAGGAAGCATGGCAGTATCTGCTTCTGGGGAGGCTTCAGGGAGCTTTTACTCATGGTGGAAGGCAAAGCAGGAGCAGGCATCTTACATGGCAGGAGTAGGACCGAGAGAGAGAGAGAGAGAGAGAGAGAGGTGCTACAAACTTTCAAACAACCAAATATCATGATAACTCACTCACTTACTCACTATCATGAGAACAGCAACAAGGGGGATGGTGCCAACCCATTTATGAGAAACCACCCCCATGATCCATTCACCACCCACAGGGTCCCACCTCCCAACTGGGGATTACAATTTGATATGAGACTTAGATGGGAACACAGATTCAAACCATATCAATGCCACACAACAACATTCTTCTCATCTGCACATGGCATATACCCTAAGATTGACCACATATGCAGTCATAAAGCAATTTTCACAAATTCAAACAAATTGCAATCATATCAACCATAGTCCCAGAACACAGCACAGTAAAAATAGAAATCGATACCAAGAAGATCTCTCAAAAACATACAATTACATGAAAATTAAACAACCTGCCCCTGAATCACTTTTGGGCAAAGAATGAAACTGAAGAAGTCAAAAATATTTTGAAGAAAATGAAAATGAAGATACAGCATACTAGAAACTCTAGGACATGGGTAACGCAGTGTTAAGAGGAAGTTTATAATGCTAAATTCCTATATCAAGAAGTTAGAAATGTTGCAAATTAACAACCCAACATTATACCTAGACAAACTAGAAAACCAAGAGTAAATCAACCCCAAAACTAACAGAACAAAAGAAGTAACCAAAATTAGAGCTGAAATGAGTGAAATAGAGACAAGAAAATCCATAGAAAAGATCACTGAAACTCTAAGTTCAAGTTTTGAAATAAGAAATGAGATATATAGACTGCTATTCAGGCTAATAAAGAAGATTCAAATAAACACATTAAGAAATGACAAAGGCAACATTACCAGTGACCTCACAGAAATACAAAACACCCACAAAAGCTATTAAGAAAACCCCTTGGTCTCTTTCCAAAGGCTCCTAGACCTGATAAACAACTTCAATAAAATGTCAGAATATAAAATTGATGTGCACAAATTAGTAGCATTTCTAAATACCAGTAATATCTGAGCTTAGAGCCAAGTCAAGAACACAATACCATATGCAATAGCCACAAAAAGAAGAAAATACATAGGAATACACCTAACCAAGGATTTGGAAGATCTCTGGAATAAGAATTACAAAACACTGCTGAAAGAAATCAAGATGATACAGCAAGATGGAAAAACATCCCATGCTCATGCTTAGGAAGAACTAATATTGTTAAAAAAATGGTCACACAGCCCAAAGCAATTTACAGATTCAGCACCATTCCTATCAAATTATCAATGTCATTTTTCAAAGAATTAGAAAATCACATCTAAAATTCATATGGAACCTGAATTTTAGGGTTCCTCAAAACAGCCTGAACACCCAAAGCAATCCTAAGCAAAGAGAATTAAACTAAAAGTATCACATTACCCAAGTTCAAACTATACTACAAGGCTACAGTCTCCAAAACAGCATGGTACTGCTATAAAAACAGACACATAGACAGCTTAGAGAAACCAGAAATAAAGCCACGTGCTTCTAATTATCTCATCATTGATAAAGTTGACAATATCAAGCAATAGAGAAAAGATTTCCTATTCAATAAATGGTGCTGGAATAACTGACTAGATATATGCAGAAAGCTGAAGCTAGATCCCTTCCCTTCACTATATGCAAAAATCAACACATGATGAATTTAAGATTAAATGTAAAATCTAAAACTGTAAAAACCCTAGAAGAAACCATAGGAAATTCCATTCTGGTCATTGACCTTGGCAAAGATTTCATGATGAAGACTCCAAAAGCAATTGCAACAAAAACAAAAATAGACAAGTAGTATCTCATAAAACTAAAGAGCTTCTGCACAGCCAAAGAAACTATCAACAGAGTAAATAGACAACCTACAGAGAGGGAGAAAATATTTGTAAACTATACATCCCACAAGTTATAATAACCACTATATATAAGGAACTTAAATCACCAAGAGAAAAACAAAACAAAACAAAAATTTAAAAATGGGCTTGAAAAGACACTTCTTAAAAGAACATACAAGCAGCCAACAAGCACATGGGAAAAAAAAAAACCATCACTAATTATTAGAGAAGTGTAAATTAAAACTACAATGTGATACCACGTCGCACCAGTCAGAATGGCTATTATTAAAAAGTCAAAAAATAGTAGAGCAGATGTTGGTAAGGATGCAGAGACAAGGGTGTGCTTACATACTACTGTTTGGAATGAAAATTAGTTCGGCCATTGCGAAAAGTATTTTGAAAATTTCTCAAAGAAAAACAGAACTAACAATCTTATTGTAATGACCTGGCAATCTCGTTACTAGGTATTTACCCAAAGGAATATAAATTGTTCTACCATTTATGTATTATAAAATTTTCTGAATTTATCTATCATAAATAAGACAATAAGACAGATTAAAAATATAAAAAAGTACATCTACCTGTATAAAGATTTCAAATCATATTTTAAATAAAAAGATGCATATGAGAATAATTTCTGTTTAAAATGGGGATATGTATACATACATATATTTGTATTTCTAAGTGTAATATATTTCTTTATAAAATTCATATTTCAAAATATGAAGGCAAATAAAACCAAAGTAAAGCAACTACACACAGGCAAACTTGTGTTTTCAATTATTTCACTTCTTGTTACGGCTTCTGTGGCTTGATTTTGGTTTCTCATTATCTCCTGCCTGCATTATTATATACTTTATTGTGTAACATGTTATAACAATATTACTCTAACCATCTCACTGAATCTAACTTTACTCTTCCCATATTTATGACACTGCTAACACTTTGACATATCAACAAAAACAGTAAGAAGAATAACTCATACTTGTATTAGCTTTACTGTATGACAGGTTTTAAGTGATTTTGATATACTAACTAATTCAATTCTCACAACTCAATGATATAGGTAATATTTTATTCACCATTTATAGACATTAAAATCAATGCACAAAAAATTTATATAAACTAAGGTCTGATAATTTGTTATTGGCAAACGTGGTTTCCAAATCCTGACAATGTGGATTCAGAGCCCATACTTTTCATCACTACATCATGGGTCATGCCACCAAACTGCTGAAAATCTTGTTATGGTTTCCAATATTACAATATAACATTCTTAAGCATGGAATACAATATTTTTCACATCATGGCCCATGCCTATCCCATAGAGCTAATTTCCCATCAAAGCAAAAAACACTTCCCTCACTTCACTTGTGTTTCAATGATAATACACAGATTATTTATCACTCCAGATTCTCCTTTTAACTGTGCCTTTACAAACAAGGCACGTTCTATAAAGAATATCCAGGCTAAAGTATTCTCCTTAGATAATATTTCCCCTGCCAAATACTGTTAATCAGTCTTTTAAAATGCTATTTTTATATCTTTTACCTTACTATTTCATTATTCTGTCATTAGGTATTATGATTTGTTTGTTTGCATAATAATTTCAACTGAAAAAAGGTTTATTCCTTTTTAATTTGTTTCTGTATCTTGATTGTTTAATATGAAACCATGCATATAGTAGGCATATCATAAATGCTTTATTGTACTAAAAATAAGCACACCAGGAACTTTTAGAATTGCATTATTACCCTCAATATTAAGGTACTGCTTTAATATTTGTATCTGATTAAATGTGGATGGCTCTATAGGAAAATAGGCTGATTGCTAGAATAAATTCACTGTATTGATTCTCTTATTTATTCATACTTTTGTAATATTTATGAAATATTTACATTGTTCAACCTAAAGTGACACAGAATTTAAAAATTTTAGAATAAATTCAAATAATTACAACAGAAAACAATGTAGGCTCTAAGAAATATTCAGCTTAAATTTTATGAAGTTTCAAATGAGAGAGTGTTTTTATTTAACAAGTAAAAATGAGATAGCCTCTTAAGTATGGTTTATTCTACAACATGTTCTAAAAGTCCGTAAGTTATTTAGAGATGTAGTTATATGGAACAACATTTCATTCAAAGAGAGAAAAACATTAAAATAAAACCCTTCAGATGCAAAACTATTCAGGTATGAATGGAAAACAAAGGTTTATTTATTGTAAGTGTGCATATGATGGGAGTAGGGTGGGATAGATAAAGAAATGAGTGACAACAGGCAAAATATAAAAGGAAGGGAATATACCTAGAACAGCTTCTGATTTTCTGTTAATTTATATAAGTGAGAAAATAAAAAATCTAATTGTCAATCCTTGCCTTGCTTATAATATTTTGCATCACTATTTTCCCATCACACTGTAAAATTTTGAGAATTAATAAGCTTTAAGTGCTTCCCCATCCCAGTTGTTTAATTTCCTTTAATGATGCTTAACAGTCATCAGGGACATGAATAAATACCTTCAGGCTCAAACGCACACATGTGCACAACGTGCACATACACACACACACCCCCTATATTGCAGCACTAAAATGTCTTATTAAAAAAACTTAGCAAAAGAGACATTAAAATCTTGGCCACTTTTGCACTCAAATATTACTATTTGTGATCTCTAAATAAGATTTTAAGAAGAGTTTTGGTCCTCAAGCCACGGTATATGCATTGTTGCATTTGTCTCCTCTTACATCCAAAATATGAAGACCACAGAGCTTTGCTAAGGAAGAGCATAGGAAGAGTTTTTATTTTTGGCATGTGACATGACAGGACAGCAAGGGCACTTGTGACATCAGGAAGCCATAGGAGATTCTGAGAGCCTGTCTCATCTGTGACCTCCTGTGAGTTTTGAAAATGCTGGAGCAAAAATTCCTGGCAATGAGCATTAACCTGGCCCCATTTCCTTGGGGATGCTGTCAGTTCTGCTAGTTCTTTAGGTTTGCTGGCTGACTTCTTCAGCCTCACTCTTGAAGGTCTTTTAGACCTTCTCTTAGAACTTGAGCTATTGTCAAGATGTTTTCTGAAATTATTGGTGGCACATTAATAGTACTAGTCTGAATGTAATGACTGTAGCTATTGGAGTTAAAGAACCACTGCAGGGAAAGTTCACAGAAATTCTCCCTTCTTAGCTGCCTTCTATAAATTATTTGAATAACAGTACATGGCTTATATATAGCTATCATGTACTGAACAAGTTTAAAAGGAGCCAGATGCTGTACTGAGTCACTTACTAATCATGAAACTGCTGAAACATTGCTATTATGGACCCTTTACTAATTGAAGGAAATGAGGCTTAGAAAGGTTAAATAACTTGTTCAAGTTCACTCAGTTAAAATGAAAAAAAAAAAAAAAAAACCCTGAGACTATTATGGAAAATTCATCGTGTAGGGGTAATGTTATCACAATAATACCATTGTTATGATATTTATATAATTATTATTTTCCTCCAACTAAGATTTTATCAGCCTCATGATCATTGCTTCGGTAACGAGATTTGGTAGGAAGTAAATAAATATAGGAGTCTTTCCGGCTTTGGTTTTGAAGTTCTGAAGCCTTAAGAAACTCTAGGTAAGAGAGAGATTTGGGAGAAACATAAAAAGTGAAACTAGGCCTCCTCCTCCTGCTAATGCCCCACTTCCTTAAAATAAAAGACTGCACAGAGCTACAGAGAGAGAGAGAAAGAGATGAAAAGAGACAAGTCCTATCTGTTGTTTCCTAGGTAGGGCCCAAGGAGGCAGCAACACTTTGTGATGGAATGACTGACAAGAAAAGTGCGTAGACATAGATACTTTCACAGATATTACTTATATTTATCATTTTGGGTAGCAAATTAGACTTTCAATAATGATGGTACCAAAATCAGTGGTGCCTTGTTGAGGGAGTCCACGTTTGAAACTACGTTTGGATTACATTCCTGCCAGCTGGCTGTTTTGCTCATGAGATAATTAAGTCCTGTGCTGAGTGAAGAACACTCACAAATATATGAAGATTGGGTTAGCTTGTCCACTGGGTTAGTAAGAACACTTTTATCATGGGAAATGATCTTGTGTTCATTCAGAAAATGTATCAAAAAAGAAAACCTAACTTATACATGTAAAATATTTTATACTCATTGCAAAAGAGGTTTCCAAATTAGTGATAAATATATGAAAAAGTGTTCAATTTCATTAATCACCAGAGACTGCAAATTAAAATCAAACTGCTATACATATACCAATACAATCACACAAAAATGACTAAATGAAAATTCCTACTATGAACATCAGAGTTGAACAGGTGAAATATTCAGAACTTTCATACATGGTTTGTGGGAACTTAAATTAGTATAACCAATTTATAAAATGGGTTTGTCAAAGCTACTCAAATACTCCTTACCATAGAATTGATTAATGGTATACTCATACAAGGAAATACTATAATATACTGAGAGAGAATAATTTATAATATGTACAACAATCTTGCTAAACCTCACAAACATAATACGTGGTGAAAGGAGACAAACTCAAAATAGTATGTATTATATAGTTAGTTACATTGATAAAAATACAAAATGGGCAAAACTATTATAATAACTAATTATAAATTATTAGTGAGAAAATCAGTTAAGACAGGGAGGGAGAAGTAATTGGAGGGAAGCATAAAGGGAGCTCCTGAGGTCCATTTAATACAAAATTTTTTATAAAATTATGTTCTGGTTGTTATAATTTATTGATGTATATACTTGGTATCATACTTATCATTTCCTATATATTATAATTCTCCATAAATTAAAAAAAAAAACTAATTCAGAGAGTATTTTTCCAGAGAATGATGTTATAAATTTTTTTTAGTTCTAAATGGGACAATTGTTAGGTAGACTTAGTTGAGAATTTTATCTCTAGTCCTCCCATAATTTCTCTCATGGATCTGTCTGGACCAGTATTCCACGTTCTTTGGACTTAATATGGAACTGGATTAAGTACTCAATAGTTCTACATAGCTGTGGGTTTTAATCTTTCTCCAGAACAGAAATACCCACCTTCAGTCAAGTTGTTCTAGGTGTTACAGGTAATGGTGGTACCAAACCCTCTAGCGTAGTGACTGATGTCATAGGTATGCTATGTTAGTCATATATTCTTATTAGTTTGCCTATTGACTTTATCATTTGGAATAACTAATTCAACAAGCTAAAACCTGACTCTTCAATGTAATAAAACAATCTTAGATATCTGATCCTTCTGCTAACTATGATAAGTACCATTACCACTTTGCTTTTGGTGGAAAATTGTAGCCACCTCTGCTTGTCAATACTTAGTCCCTTCCAGTACAATTGAAAATGGGGAGCCTATGTTTTAATTGAAGATCTCCCCACCAGCATACACCGTATGGCAAAACTGCATAGGACTATTAAGATTCTGACACACAAATAATTCATCCAAATTAGAATGAAGTTCAAGTCTTTCAAATCTCTCTCTCTCTTTAAATTAGCCATTTTTAGAGGGAGCATAAGCACATGATGAATCCAAAACATTTCCATCTCCCAAGTTTTTTAAGTAGCTTTTACTATATTATGTAAACATGTTTCTGTCCCACAATATCTATAGTACAGATTTAGATCTACGTTTGCTTTAGCTAAGCCATAAAGTAAAACTGCAGCTGTCTACCAGAGCCAGAATGCTGCATACATAACATTGTGTTAGGACATCTGTATCAGTATATTCTGACTGAAGCAAAATTAAACTCAATCTTTCTTGGTCCAGCACACTCAGATACTATTTGCAAGATTGTAGATACTACAGATGAGCCAGTGACATTGGGGTATAATCTTTCTCTCATCTACTATAATTTTCTTTTTAATACCCAGACTATGTTGGGCTCAAAGTTCGGCAATTGTGTGAGCAAGAAGAGGTTGTAGAAATTGAAAAAAAAAGTATGTTGAATTTCTATTCTTCATTCATATGTACTTTTTAATACTATAATTTTATTTATATTTCTTTCTGCAGGGGTATGATAGGCAAAGGGCTATTCTTTTATCCATGGGGAGAGAATCTTCAGTCTCATGGTGACTCCCAGGTGCAAGGTAAGCTGGAAAAAAAATGACCTTATCAAAGGATTTAAAGCAATCATGATTATTTTTCTAGGCCTGGAGACATGGCAGTTCTGAGTGAAATTGGGCTTTTCTGCAAAGTGGGGGAAAAAGTGTAGGGTAGTATTAGAGGCAAACAATAATCAATGTGTGCAACATCATGGCATTTATATTTATCATGTTCATACAAGAAAGGGAGAAGGCAATATTGAGAAATCTTGTATAGAATTTATTATTCACTTATGTATTTAATTTCCCATCAATCATAACCTTCATTTCTTCATTTGGTATAATGGATTTCAGTGAGTGAGTATTTTTTTTTTCTTTTGGAGACAGAGTCTCACTCTGTTGCCAGGCTGGAGTGCAGTGGCATGATCTCAGCTCACTGCTATCTCGGCCTCCCAGGTTCAAGAAATTCTCTTGCCTCAGCCTCCTGGATAGCTGGGACTACAGGCACAAGCCACCATGCCCAGCTAATTTTTGTATTTTTAGCAGAGACGGGGTTTCACCATGTTGGCCAGGATGGTCTTGAACTCTTGACCCTGTGATCTGCCCACCTTGGCCTCCAAAAGTACTGGGATTACAGGCATGAGCCACCATGCCCGGTCTAGTGAGTATTCTTAAAATCTTTTCCATCTTCTTTGAAACTACTGTCCATGTACATGTTGCCAAAATTATAATAACTGGATATTATTTTTCTGTCTTTTTTAACTGCAAGTTGAGTGTGAAGTTTGAGGATTGCATGAGGTGAATTGACAGATTCACTGATGGAGAATGCAGTGGTCTGTGGAATCTGGGCTCTGTAATGTCCCTGATTTTTGAAATGCCATGTACTAGGACTAACTTCACAAATCTGATAATGGAGTTTACCCATTCTCTACTTCAGTGCTATTCCCTAAAAGATGGAAAGCTTAGTGGCCTTTTTCTATGCTTGATGAGGTACAATGTAGGTATGCAGAAGGTTCTCAAAGGTTTGCCCTTGACTCATGTACCGGTTTCTATGTTGATGGGGGAAGTGTGATGATTTTGTTGACTTACCTTCTTCCCCAGTTTCTGCTTGTTTGAAACCACAGCTTTTCTATATAAGGTTAACATACACTAGCATTTTTCAGCTTATTTCCTTGGCAAGAAGTTTAGGCATAGGTTTATAAATATTTTTTAGTTCATAATATTCTTGCTCTTATTGTTTTATTATTGTTATTATTTTGGTTAGTTTTAGTTAATTTTTTATTACATTAAATATTCGGGGAAAGAAATGCTGTCAACCTGCTATATACAACACCATCTTTGCAAAAATGTCTTCTGATCAAATCATTTTTCTGTGTATTTTAAGTAATAATACATTAAACAAAGTTGCAAATTTTTTATTAAAATACTTTGAAATTCATCTCCTTGTATTCCTACTGACAACATTCTAGAAGACCCTTTAACTCAAAACAATATATGTGCAATGACTTTATGAGGGTTCTGCATGCTTTAAGTTTTTTTCCATTATTCCTCAAGATCTGTAATAATTTTATTGCTCATCAGATTAATTTTTAGCCTGGAATTTATGGACTTCAGTAGAACTTGTCTTCCATTGTTTTATATCCTGTTGTTTTTTCCTCCCAAGGAAGGCAAGAATATAGTAATTTGCATGTGAACTCAGCACACCTGATAAGGGTACATTAAGTGCTGTGGTAAATCAGAACCTGGGTCATATCAAGGACTAGCAATAATGAGCACTGAAATACAGTTATAACAAATTCTACTGAAGCACTAAGGGGATATATGGATGCTGCCACACTTTTCGCTACTGTTTGTATCTTAATTGAAAACTGTCTTTCTCTGTAATAAGTACTGCCTTTCATCCAAAGGTCTACTTGAGTTATTTCACTCATGAAACCTATTTGAAATGTTACAAATTCTGAACCATCTTCTGAACTCCTGTAAACATTATGTGTCTAAGCCACTTATTTGATATTTATCGCATGTTCTCTTTTATGAATATTTATTTTATAAACATATGTTTATAAGTATATAAATTTATGAATATATATATTTGCGAGCTCTCTTAACATGTGCTGTGTTTTTTTTATTGCAGTGCTATGTGTCTTATAGCTCTGTGGTATATTCAGGTTCTAACACTAGACATTGTACACAGTTGGCGTTCAGCCAGTATTTGATGATGGTGAAGATAATGTATAGTTTTATTTTGCTTCTGAAGGAGAAATATGAGTATGTCCATAAATAAAAACAAAATGTCTCTAAAAACATATATAATATTCACATTAATAAAAAGGACCTGAGTGGGAACATTAAACTCTCAAATTCTTATTTTTCATCACTTTAACTTTTGGGACATCCTTGTTCCTAAGGTACTCTAGAGCTAAGGGGTAGTGGTTTACTGGATTAGATGTATAACAAGGGCAGAAAGCTTTATGCTTATCATAAGTGGCAAGAAATGTCATTTTTTTCCTATGTTGATAAAATCACAGATCTCATGACATTGCAAACTCAAAAATAGCATAAGAATTTTCTCATGAAACTTTTATGAAGTATTACTTAAACACTAAAATATGCCTTCAAAGGGGTTGAAGTAGTGATGAGCAAAATGCTCCCCCCCCCCAAAAAAAAAAAAAAAAAAAAAAAAAAAGAAAGAAAGAAAGAAAGATGACGGATGTGGATTTAAGGAAGGATTCAGCTATATCACAAACCCAATATGGAGAGAATAATAGAAACTAATGAGTGACTAAAACCAGAAAATAAATGATTTAGAAATGTGGTTAATCTTTCTATTTGCACAAGCAAAGCTACCAGGCATCATAGTGCATGTCTGTAATCCCAGCTACTTGGAAGGCTGAAGCAGGAGAATCACCTGAACCCGAGAGGCGAAGGTTGCAGTGAGCTGAGATCATGCCACTGCTCTCCAGCCTGGGCGACAGAGTGAGACTCCGTCTCAAAAACAAAATAAATAAATAAAATAAAAGTGCCTTCTTTTCCTTATCTCTTTCTTATTGTCACTCTTATTTTACAACTCTCTTTTGTTGTTATTTCTCCTTGTCCTCAATTGAAATATTAGAAATATTACCTTTTAATAATTGTTCTATGAAGGGAAAAGAACACAATACGCCTCTTATAAAACAAATTTTCTTTAAAACAATTTCTTCCTTAATATTAAACCAATGCACTTCTGTTAAAGGGAAATAATCCTAAGGAGAGATGCAACTAATGTACTCTTAGAGTTTAGAGAATGAGAGGCGTCATTTATTTGGTTTGTGGGGAAAGAAATAGGGGGATCAGAAAAATTGTGTAAAAGGGCATTATTAGTGGTTTTCCTTGAAGTGTAATAAAATTGAAATATGCAGAAATCGATTCCTACATAGAAGGAAGGTCATTCCAAATACAGCCATCAGTCTAAAAAAGGCAAAATAAAGAAAAAGTTCATGTCACACACAAGAAAGTATTCCATTAGGCTCGGTTATAGGTTGAATTATGTCTCCCAAAAAAGTCTTACACTGAAATCTTAACCACCAATAACTCAGAATTTGACCATGTTTGAAAATAGGGTCTTTACAGTAGTAATTAAGTTAAAACAAGGCCATTATTGTGGGACCTAATCCAATATGACTTGTGTCCCTAAGAGGGTATTTGGACACACACATGAACAGAAGGAAGAGGAACTTCAGGGAAAAGATGGCCATTTACAAGTCAAGAGGAGAGGCTGGAAACAAATGCTTTCTTCGCAGCCCTCAGAACAAGCTAACCCTAGCAACAATTTGGTCTCAGGATTCTAACCCTCAGAATTGTAAGAAAATAAATTTATGATGATTAAACCACACAGTCAATAGTACTTTGTTGAGACAGCCCTAGCATATTAATGCAGGCACCTTATGAGCTGATTTTAAGTGGTACATGGCTGTCCATTTTTAACTCAAGTTTATGTGTTTATTATAATGTATACTAAAAATCAATGAATAAGTATGATTTCTAACCCAATCTAAATTAGAATATTATTAATGCTATTAATTTTAACAAGGCAATAGTAAATAAAAGTAGATGAAGGAGGGATTTATTTAAAATCATTATAAATACAAATATATAAAGTACAAAAAATGTTACATAAATAGTAAACAAAGCTCTTTGAGGATGGTAATGCTAATAAAGTGCTTAAAATTCTGGACACAGTTAAAAATATTAAAGGTAACTCAGCCTATACTCAGCATTCTTAGAATTATTTTAATTTTTGTATTTTAAAATAGCACTAAACATCTTCCACAGGTAAGGAGTTGTAATTTGTTAATGTATGAATCTGAATCACATGTACTGTGAAGCTAGTAGGTACAAATAAGATAATAAACTAAAGAAGAAATATAACAAGCTGACAGGATTGGCATATAAGAGCTGTTATAATACTGTTTAAGCCTTCTCTTTAAGAGTTACAAGGTCATATAAATTTGTATGTATGCTTCAATTAATTAGATGACATCAGCATATTTGTCAGTTTAGAAATTTAATGAGTCCTTTGTTTTTTCTACATTCCCCTGCTTAGCACAATGCATAGCTTGATTCTTTTGTCTTAATTTAACTGAAGAAACATACCTAATTGATATGAGCATCTACTATTTTGATTTATAGGAATAGATACTGTTATTGAGAATAGCTTATAATGATGTCCAAATTATGAACTAGGAAGTTTGGAATTTAATAGTTTTTCAATAAACTGGTTGAAGTTTCTTTTCAGTGAAGGAAGCACATATTCTTAGCTAATGCAGAAACTCTGATGCAATATGACCTGTGATGCAATATGTCAAAGATCACAGGGAAGAAACTAAGTCAGATGATAAAAGTGCTGTTGAATAGCATAGGCTAGACAAAGAGTTTGAAATCATTATATTCTGATGAAAACATTAACAAGGAAGTTTGGAGAGTGTCTTGAAATATATCCTGGTACTCTTCTGGGGTGAATGACAACAGAGTGTAATAAAATACCTGTATCTGTGAGCTCGGAGAAGGAATGGACAAGGAAAGAAAGCTAAGAAAGAGCAAAGGGAGAGTAGAGGTGCACTGTAGTTCAGAAAAATTTGTCTTTTGATTGGAGCTGCTTCAAAACCTAACTGTAGACTGATAGGAAAACAAAACATGGTTTATACACTTTAATACAAACTTAAAATACTTTTACCTCTGTGGATTTAATTTTATCAAACTCAACAAGGAAAAAGGAAGCTCCAATAGAAAAATTTACCCTCGTTTTCTTTTCCTTTCTCTCAGATTTAGCAGGTGGTTCAGAGGAAAAATGCTGCAAAAAGTTACTTGGCATATTTAATTCCCTCAATCCTTCTATGTGTGTGGTTACTATGACTATCATTATGACATTATCTATTATACAATTCATTTGAAATATAACCTAAGCTGTTATTAAGTTCAAAATCTCATTTACAATTGAAGTGGAATATTTAACATTTATTTAACAGGTTATTTACAATCTCTCTCAAGATTATCATGGAGAAATAAAATGATAATATAGCTATTAGTATTCAAACTTAAAGTTTTATCATTAAATATTACCTGATGATGATAAAAACTAATACTTTAAAGTGCTACACATTTGCATCACATTTATAATACATATTTTCATAGTCCTCACTTCCATTTAATTTGTAAGGAAACAAAAGTTCATGGAGATGTTGCATGGCCAAGGTAACACACCTACTAAGTGGCCAACAAGATTGAAATCCCTGCCTGTTTATTCCATAGAAGCTCCAACATCCTTACAGCGATAATGTAGACACATTACTGCTGCAATAATTTTAAATTTTAAATTTAAATTTAAACACACAGTCAAATTTTGAAATACATTTATTTTGGGATTACACTGTTTCCATTTCTGTTTTCTATAAAAACTTTTCTGTCTCTTTATTCCATGATTCATATTCCTTTAATCTAACAAAGATGCATGCATTCCTATCCAAAACTTTCTAAAGTAACATAAAAATAATACTGGAACTGATAGCCACCTTTAACTGGCTGCAAAATTGATAGAGTTGAGGAATAGCTGTGACACATTTGTGCTTTCCTTCCTTGCTCACACTGATTTTTCAATGCCAAACATAAAAGCTTTTGGCCGTTAATAGTATTATAAAAATATTTTGTTCAAATGGCTTTCCATGAACTTTCTTCTCTCTATTTCTTCATATACATATGCTACATAAATAGTAACACACTAATTAAGATTGCATTTGCATAGTTAGGTCACTAAATCTAACTAACCTTATTTTAGTTAGTTACTAAAAGAGTAAAAAACAGAAGCCCAAAATAAGCTAACCAGATACTCAAATACAAAAACATATATTTGGAGTTGACTTCTGGGAAAACAATGTAATTAAATCAGAAACCAAAAAAAAAGTTTGACCAAATGAAAATAGAGACACAACCTACCAAAATATTTGGAATACAGCAAAAGCTGTGATAAGAGGAAAGATTATAGCATGAAATCCTGAATGAAAAAGTTGGAAAGATCTCAAATTAAAAACCCCATGTCATACATGAAGAATCTAGATAAACAAGGACAAACAAGACACAAAGCTAGCAGAAGAAAAGAAACAATGAAGATCAAAGTAGAGCTAAATGAAATTGAGACCAAAAAATGTACAAAGAATCAATGAAAAGAAAAATGGACCCTTTGAAAGGCTAAACAAAATTGATGATGCACTAAATTAACCAATAAAAAAGGACAGAAGATTCAAATAAGCACAATCAGAAATGGCAAAGGAAACATTGCCACTCATACCACAAAATTAAAAAAAGATATCAGAGACTGCTGTGAACATATCTATGAGCACAAATTAGAAAGCCTAGAGGAAATGGATAATTTTCTGGAAACATACAATCCCTGAAGATCGAATCAGGAAGAAATTGAAATCCTCAACAAACCAATTGTGAGTAAATAAAATTTAATCAGTAATTTAAAATATACCAACAAATAAAAGCCAAACACCAGAAAGATTCACAGCCAAATTTTATGAGATACACAGTGGATAGACTTTACCAGTCTTACTGATACTATTCCAAAATGTTGAGCAGGAGAAACCCTCCCTAATTCTTTTTTTTTGAACTTTATTTTCGGAAACTAAGTCTTGCTTTGTCACCTGATCTGGAGTGCAGTGATGCAATCATAGCTCACTGTAACCTTGAAGTCCTGGCCTCAAGCCATTTTTCCCTCTCAACTCCTGAGTAGCTAGGACTACAGGTATGCACTAGCATGCCCAGCTCCCTAGAGGGTTTTTTTTTAATTTCAATAGTTTTTGGGGTACAAGTGGTTTAGGTTACATGAATAAGTTCTTTAGTGACTCCCTAACTAATTCTTTAAAACCAGTAAAATACTGATACCAAAATCTAGTAAGGGCACAACAAAAAACACAAAACTACAGGCCAATACTTCTTATGAACATAGATATAAAAGTTCTTAAGGAAATGCTAGCCAACTATACAAAAGTTCTTAAGGAAATACTAGCCAACTAACTTCAATAGCACATCAAAAAGATAATCCATCACAAAAACATGGATTTTATCCACTTGATCCATTTTCAAATGGGATGCAAGGATGGTTCAACATATGTAAATCAATAAATGTAATTCACCACATGAACAGAATTAAAAACTCTATGATGATCTCTTTAGATAGTAAAAAGCATTTGATAAAATCCAGCATCCCTTTGTGTCCAGAATTGGTTCCTTCTGGTGGGTTCTTGGTCTCGCTGACTTCAAGAATGAAGCCACAGACCCTCGCAGTCAGTGTCACAGCTCTTAAAGATGATGTGTCTGGAGTTTGTTCCTTCAGATGTTTGGATGTGTCTGGAGTTTCTTTCTTCTGGTGGGTTTGTGGTCTTGCTGACTTCAGGAGTGAAGCCCCAGACCTTCGCAGTGAGTGTTATAGCTCTTCAAGGTAGCGCATCTGGAGTTGTTTGTTCCTCCCAGCGAGTTCGTGGTCTCGCTGATTTCAGGATTGAAACCGCAGACCTTTGCAGTGAGTGTTGCAGCTCTTCAAGGTGGTGCGGACCCAAAGAATGAGCAGCAGCAAGATTTATTGTGAAGAGTGAAAGAACAAAGCTTCCACAGAGTGGAAGGGGACTTGGGTGGGTTGCCCTTGCTGGTTCTGGTGGCCAGCTTTTATTCCTTTATTTGTCCCTGCCCATGTCCTGCTGATCGGTCCCTTTTTACAGAGTGCTAATTGATGCGTTTACAAACCTTTAGCTAAACACAGAGCAATGATTGGTGCGTTTTTACAGAGTGCTGATTGGTGCAGTTACAAACCTTTAGCTAGACACAGAGCACTGATGGTTGCATTTTTACAGAGTGCTGATTGGTGCATTTACAAACCTTTAGCTAGACAGAAAAGTTCTCCAAGTCACTGGACCCAGGAAGTCCAGCTGTCTTCACCTCTCACCTTCATAATAAAAACCTTCAAACCCTAGACATAGAAGGAACACTTATTAAAATAATAAGAGCTGTCTATGACAAACCCACAACCAACATTATATGGAATGGGAAAAGTTGAAAGCATCTCACTAAGAACTGGAACAAGACAAGGATACCCACTCTCACCACTCCAATTCAACAAAGTACTGGAAGTTCCAACCAGAGCAATCAGGCAAAAGAAAAGAAAGAAAAAGCATCCAAATTGGAAAAGAGGATGTTAAATGATCTTTTGTTTTGCTGGTAATATGATATTAGAAAACACTAAAGATTTCTCCAGAAAGTGCTAGATTTGATAAACAACTTCAGTAAAGTTTTACAATAGCAAATTAACATATAGTAATAACTTGCATTTCTAAACACCAACAGCACTCAAGCTGAGAACCAAATCAATATAACTCAATACCATTTGCAAGGGTCAAAAAAAAAAAAACCTAAGAATACCTGTAACCAAGGAGGTAAAAAATCTGTACAAAGAGAATTACAAACACTGATGAAAGAAATTGGAGATTACACAAACAAAAGAAAAACAATACATTATCATGAATTAAAAGAATCAGTATCATTAAAACAATCACACTGCCAAAGCAACCTACAGATTCAATGCAATTCCTACCAATTATCAAGGTCACTTCTCAAAGAATTAGAAGAAACAATTCTAGAATTTATATGGAACCAAAAAGGAGCCCAAATAGCCAAAGTAATCCTAACATAAAAGAACAAAGCCAGAGACATCACATATCCAACTCCCAACTATTCTACAAGGCATTAGTAACAAACTCAGCATGGTACTGGTACAAAAACAGTCATATAGATCAATGGAGCAGAATAAAGAATCTGTAAATAAAGCCGTGTAACTGCAATCAACTAATCTTAGACAAAGTGGTCAAGAATAAACAATGAGCAAAGGACACCCTATTCAAAAAATTGTGCTGGATAAATTGGCTAGCCATATGCAGAAGAACAAAACTGGCCACTATCTTTACCATATACAAAAATTAACTGAAGATGGATTAATGATTTAAATATAAAGACTGAAACTATAAAAATCATTGAGGAAAACTTAGGAAAATATTTTCTGGATATTGGCATAGGCAAAGAATTTACGATTAAGACCTCAAGAGCAAATGCAACAAAAACAAAAATTGACAAGTGGGACCAAATGAAACTAAAGAACTTCCGCAGAGTAAAATAAATTATCAAGAGAGTAAACAGACAATCCCTCCAGAATGGAAGAAAATATTCACAAACTATACATCCAATAAAGCTCTAATATCCAGAATTCATAAGGAAATTAAGGCAACAAAATAGTAGGTACTAGGCTTAATACCTGAGTGATGAAATGATCTATAAAACAAACACCCATATGACACAAGTTTACTTATGAAACAAACCTGTACTTGTACCCCTGAACTTAAAATAAAAGTTAAAAAAAAAACTCCATAAATGACCCCATTAAGAAGTGGGCAAAAGACATGAACAGACGCCTCTCAAAAGAGGACATTTACATGGCCAATAAATATATGAAAAATTTCTCAACATCACTAATCATCGGAGAAATGAAGACTAAAACCACAGTGAGATTTCATCTCATACCAAGCATAATGGCTATTATTAAAAAGCCAGGAAACAACAGATGTTAGCGAGGAAGCAGAGAAAAAGAGAAAACAAAATGACAGATGTTGGCAAAGATACACTGTTGGTGGGAATGTAAATTAGTATATCCTCTATGGAAAACAGTGTGGGGATTTCCTAAAGAGCTATAATTAGAACTACAAATCCTCTCTGCAATCCCACTATGGGTATCTGCTCAAAGAAAAAAAATGGTGTTTTAAAAAGACTCCTGCACTTGTACATTTATCAGAGCCCTATTCACAATAGCAAAGTCATAGAATCAACCTAAGTGTCCATCAGTGGTTGATTGCACAAAGAAAATGTGTTATATACATGCCATGGAATACTATTGAGCCATGAAAAAAAGAATGAAATTATGTTATTTGAAGCAACATGGATGGAACTGGAGGCCATTTTCATAAGTAAAATAACTCAGAGCGTCAAACACTGCATAGTCTTACTAAGTGGAAGCTAAAGAGTGGGTACACGTGGACATAAAGACAAAAATAATTGACTACAAATGGGAGGATACAGGGAGGGCAGTGAGGGTTGAAAAATTATCTGTTGGGTAAAATGTTAACTATTTGTGTGATGGGTTCAATAGAAGCCCAAATCTCACCGTTATGCAATACATCCATGTAACAAACCTGCACGTGTAACCCCCCAATCCAAAATAATAATAATAAAAAAGAAACTAACTTCCATGCTAAAGAATTTCTTCTCACAATAATGACACTAATCTGTTCAGGAAGGCACATCTGTCATTACCTAAACAGCTCTTAGTGATACCACATTTCAACACATTCACTTTGGGGGTCATGCTTTGAAAACAGGATCTTTGGAGGACACATTCAAACCATAGCAGGGACCTTGAGAGTTCAAGACGAGATCTGATGAAAGTTAAGTGATTAACTTCTAGTTCTAGGTGTCAGCGTCTTCATATATTTTACAGGAATTGACAGTATAGTTTGATCTTTCTAAAATGGTAATTCATTTTGCAATTTTCATATCTCTGGGGTAATGTGTAGTTGATTCCACAGAAGCGTGGGGAACCTTTATAGAAGTAGTTTTGATAAAAATTATTGTCTTCGAATATTTTTATTACACTTACTTGTCGCTTTTAATTAGTTTTATAGCTAACAAGAACTGTTTTAGATATGCAACAGGTCACAATTTGAATCTCATTCAGAAAATTTTTAGGCATTTTTCTCATGCAGCTATATTAAACCACAAAAACTCAGCAGATACATCTTCACCATAAATTAAAGACAAATCAACAGTTATCTGCCTCTAATTATTACACAGGTGATTATGCTGATTATGCTAAAGTTTTATTGTTTTGGTGATTTTTTTTTTTTTTGCAGGTGGGGTATTATGCATGTGTAAAATTTCTTTTCCTACTTTATTGTCAGATGTCCAACCTAAGGAATCTACTAGGTAAATGCAGCCCATTTCTAAATTGCTCAATGTGCTGCAATGCACCTCCCATTATAAGTCCAAAAGCATTATGTTAAAACATTTATATTGTTGTGAAATTATTGAAAACACTTGTATATCTTTATTCCACAATTATTTATTGAGCATTTATAAGCACTACACTGGATTGTAGAGATATAATGTGGAAAAAATCCAGCCAGAAATAGTTCTTGCCTTCATAAAATTTACAGACTAGTGGAGAGTAACACATTAAGTAAATACTTACAAAATAAAGTATAATTACATATTTATATAACTTCAATGATAGAAAACTTCAAGAATTAAGTTAAATTGGGAAATAATGGGAGACAAAGACAGGAAGACTTCTTTCTCTAAGTGACAAAGGAACTATGTGTTTAGTAGGAGAAGAGTGATGGGTAAAATATTTCAGTTAAAGAGACTAGCGCATGCAAAGATCTAGAAGTTTAAAGTTCTTAACATTTTGAAGAAAATGGAAAAAGTTTAGCCTAGGCTGATATCTACTGAGAGATGTGGAAGGCACTGCAAAATGAGGATGGTGAACAGGCAGGTTATTGTAAAATACATGAAGAAATTTTGATTGTATCTTAAGCTAACATTAATGATTTTTAGATAGGAAATGTATGATCTTATTTCCTGGCTTTGGGCAGAATGGAGACGAGCTATTTATGTCATTAGGAGATAGATATTCTAGGCAGGAAACAATAGCTACCTATAATGGAGTAATAATGTGAGAATTAAGATGTATATGTGGATTTGAGATTCATTGAGGATGAATCCTAGATTTTATGGTATGGACAGGCAAATCTTGGTGAAATTTATTAAGAAGAAAGACTTTAGCACATCTCTTGTAATCTCATACAGAACAAATAGATATCAGATAAAACTCTGAACTTTGATAATAAAAGATTTATCTTGCTTTCGAAGTCCTTTGGCTATGCATAAAAATGGACTGCACTGTAGGCCACGTACTAAACCCCATTGAATTCCCTAGAAGAAAAATTTTAAAAAAAATTGTTCTCAACATGTAAAGCGTACAACTAAAAATAATAATAGAAGTGAAAAGATCTCATGCACTTTTTTTAAAAAGGACATATTGTTGAAAATGTATAAAAATTAAATTTCAAAATTTATGTAAAAAGTTATAATGAAAATAAAATATATCATAATCATGGGGTAAAGCTAAAGCACTATCAAAGAAAAACATAGCGTTAAAGTAATTGGGTCAATAAAATAAAATGAGGTATTAATAAGTGCTCAATTCACAGCCTTCAATTAAAAACAACAAAGTAAACTAAAAAACCACAAAACAAATGGTATAAAAAATTAAAATCAGAAGTATAACATCAAATAATTGTTAAATGTTAAATATCAACAAAGATAATTCAGGAACAATTGAAAAATTATACATCATGACCAAGTGAAGTTAATTGTAGAATACAAGGGTACTGTGAGGTGAATATATTATAATTAATAAACTCCTCCATTGTAATAGAACAAAAAATAATTGATTATAGAACTACAAAAGATACTTGGCAAAATTCAGCATCCACTCAAGTAAAAGACAGTTAAAATAGAAGCTAATAATTTTTTAACAAGAAAACTATATTTTAACACATAATATGCCTCTGCTGAAAAGGCAATATCTTATTTAAAGAAGAAACATTAAATAATTTTCACCAAATACAGGAAGAAGGAAAGGAAACCCATTATTTCCATGGCCTTTTAACATTGTTTTAGAAGAAATTGCCAGACATCTAAAACAAATAATAACGTAAAAACCTAGAAGAAAAACAAAAAGTAAAAACGACTTTAGTTACAGGTGATACAATTAGATATTTGGAAACTCCAAAATAATCTAAGGAAAAGCTAATCCTTTTCACAATAAGAAAATGTAGCAAAGTAGAAGGTAATAAAATTAGCATACAAATCAATAGCCATTGTATATTCAAATGAAAATAATAATGGGATATATTATTTTCCATTATTATTAATTATTAATATTAATCTTCCATTAAAAATGAATATAATGGAAGAGAAAGTTTCATTTATGATAGAAAGGAAATAAAACACATATGGATAGCAAGAAATGTTCAAAACATACATGAGACTAAAATATAAAAGACTCTGAAGGACTCAGAAAAAAGTTTATCAAATGGAAAAATATATTACACTTATGAATAGGGGAAGGAAATGTCATAACGATGCCATTATTTTCTAGGTGGTATTACAGTTAATTCTAATAAAAAAACAACCTACATTATATGATACTAAGATGAACATCTATGTTATATAGTAGCCTGCAAATTATTTTACTTTTAACGATTAAACTTGAGAATTCAAAGAAAATCTGTTAGAGATGTGTTACTCCTGGCTCTGCCCAGGGACTAATAGGAGGGTACATCTCCACTCATCTCTGCTATTAGCAATACTTCAAGAGGGAAAATATGGAAAGCACTGCCTTCAGTACTTATTTTATTTCCTTCATCTTTCTGCTCCCTCATTTCCATTTCAAAGTAGACCCTTTCAGTTTTTCTTTCCCTGACCTGTGGGAAAAGGGATTTGTTTCCTCAGTGGATGAATTGCAGAGAAGCCTGAGACTATTAATTGAGTTAGTTAAGAGCAGACATGAGCAGAATGTTGTAACTAATACAGGAGATACTCAGGCAGCAAATAATCAGAAAAATGAAGACCCTGAAAGATTAAACCGAGGGAAATTTCTATTTACAGAGGGTTTACTTCTGGGCAGAGAGACAATAATCCCTTAGGGACTAATTTAGCCTTACATATCATCTGTGCATTTAAAGCTTACAGTGGCTTTATGTTTTTCCATTGTCCCCTCTAAGTGCATTTTTTCAAGTGTTCTGTGAATCACAGGAGAGGGAAAGTGTAGATACCCCCAAGTCACATCAGAGTTTCTTGATGATGAGAATTTCCAGCCACAGGAGTCATACAACAGCATGAGTGGTTTGGTTCGTGGTGATTTGTTTTAAATATAGCAAAAGAAATATTTTCATGAAATCAATCAACAGCTACAAAAATCAAGTGAAATTTTCTGTATATTTAATAAAGTAAAATTCTGGAGCGTACCAGCTGGAGGGGGATTTACATCTGGGTAGGAATGGATCCCGTCTGATTTCACCACTTCTGTGTATGAAAATTCCTGCCAATGCCTTCTGAATCCAATTTTTCGCTTCCACTGAGAGTAGTTAGGGAATACTGCCTCCCTCCTCATATTGTTGATTAATGGGAAAGAGATTTAGAGCACTACTGAGCATTGGAGAATGGTCAATGCAGCTGGAACTTGTTAAGTGAAATGGAAAGTGAAGGAATACATATGGGTCGTGGTTCAATCATGGCTGGAGAGAAGGAGCTGCCCTGGGCAGGTATACAAAAAATGTAATGTGTACTTAAGCTTTCATTTGATATATTTGTTTAGTGTGATCCTAAGCATAGATACCTATACCAAGGTATTTTAGTAGTATAATATTTATTCAAGAAAAGGGAATATAGGTGATTCACAAGAGCATGACCCTATTTCGTATATTTTAAAAATGAGGAAGTAATTCATTTCTAAAATCCTACGTTTCTCTCTTATATGTGATTCTTAACTTTCTATGAGATAATGTATACATTTATATAGTATAGAGATCCAAAGGCTAAATTTTATTTTGACTCTAAATCATTTAGTTGGACTCTGCGGTCTTTCATTATCATTGTATTAATTTAAATATTTTAAATGTCATTGTTTATACAGTTTTCCTTTAAGAGGTCTTACATTATTGTTGTATTGTTTTTTATCTCTCCAACTATCGTTAAAAGTTGTAGGCTGGGTGCGGTGGCTCACGCCTGTAATCCCAGCAATTTGAGAGGCTGAGACAGGTGGACCATCTGAGATCAGGAGTTTGAGACCAGACTGGCCAACATAGTAAAACTCCCTCTCCACTAAAATTAGCCAAGCGTGGTGGTGGTCTCCTGTAATCCCAGCTAGTCGAGAGGCTGAGGCAGGAGAATTGCTTGAACTCGCGAGGTGGAGGTTATAGTGAGTCGAGATCACTCCATTGCACTCCAGCCTGGGCGACAGAGTGAGACTCCATCCCCCACAAAAAAAATTAAAATAAATAAATAACATTTAAAAAGTGACAGAGAAACACTGTTTAATAAATGTTGAATGAATACATGATTTATGTAAAGATGAGTGACTACATGAAGAACAGACAAAAGAATGGAAGGGCAAGTGCTCTGCAATTGCCAGGTGCATTCTGTTTCCTTTGTTCTCATTACATATTTTATCTAAATATTGTCAGTGAGAATTTTGCAATGATTTTGTTCCTTCTATACTGATATTTTATTTTAAAGCAAAGACATGGTGCCAAGATATAGTAATCTTCCAAGTTGGATTCACCATCCAAAACTAGTTGCTATTGAGCTATTAAATCATAGAAAATAATAGATGCAGTATAACCCACTGTTATTTTCTTTAAATTATTCATTCAATGAATATTTAAGTGCTTACTGTGTCCCAGGTCCTCTCATGGTTATGCAAAGTGAAAAGGCTAACTTACTCTTCTTACTTTATGGAATATCATAGAAAACAATGCAAAACAAGCAGCTTCAAAATAACGGAGCTAGGGTGAGAGTGAGGCATAGAATTGGACCCTTCTAAAAGTAGTCAAATGATTTAAAGTCTCAGGTTAAATATTAAAATTAGGGCAGACAAATTTTAGGGAACGTGTTTCTAAAGATATTTACACTGGAAGAACTCTCTCTTCTCTCATCTCTATCTCAATTTCTATCTCTTATCTCTATTTTCATCTATCTTCAAGTGTTTCTTCTCTACCTGAAATTATCATCACTTCTATTTATATTAACTGAGATGTCATGAACAAAAAGTTACTGCTTCACAAAGGCATCATCTGTGGTGTCAGATAAGTGAATAAGGAACAAGGAGACATTTTTTCATACAAAACTGAGAACAATGAACCAATGGATGATGAGATAGTGTCAATGAAGTATGTCTGCAGAAAAGCCAGTCCTAGGGGTTCTCCTCCAGGACAACTGTTAGTCTCAGAATAAAGAGGTGGCACCAGTTCACTGTCAATAGTGCATGTAGAATATCTTAATATTAAAAACGGAAAAAAAATTTGCATTTTCAGCACTTGTTTACCAACATTGATATTTTAAATTAGCTACTCATTAAACTGAATGAAAATTCACTTATTCTTTAGGTTTGGTTAATTTCATTGTGTATGTTTCTATCCAGTTATCGAGCCAAGTGTAAAAAATTCCTAATTATATTTTAGAACATTCACCAGCTCTATTACTTAATTTTGACAATGAAATAATTTACAAAAGTTGAAAGGAAAGAAATGTTTCCTTAACACATTTCATTTATATTAAGGACTAAATCTAACATAACTTTAAATTTTTTATAATACAGTTATCAAAAATAACCTATTTCAAATAAATTGTATATGTGTTACAAAAGAAATTTTGCACACTCTTGTTCTCTAGATATAGACACAGACACACATATCTCTCACCCTCACATACATGAACAGATGTGGAAGAAAGAGTGGACAAGAGAAGAAAGGGGATTCAGAGAGAAAAAGGAGGAGAGAGAAGTAAAGGTAAAAGATGGAAACATAGAGTAGAGAGAATAATAATGCAAAATAGGAGAACTTGGATACTAGAAGGACTTGAGGATTTTTTTGGTCAAGCACCATCTCTCATTTTACAAGGAAGGAAAATGAGGCTCTGGAAGACTAAGTGGGTTTATCAGAGGACATGCAGTGAAGTACTGGCGGAGCCAGAGAAAGAAAGCTTTCTTATTTTTAGCTGAGTGTCCGGAATTCTTGGAAACCAGAGATGCATTTTTGTTATTCTGGCACTCTACTATGTAATTATTCCCTACTCAATTTATATTTTTTTTATTTTTCATAAGTCATTCAAAGTACTGTGAATTTTTGTCATTATTCAACCGAGTTTGACAATCCAACAGCTGTAGGAGACAGTCTTATTCAAATTGATAAAAACCTATTACCTCATTTTGTCAACATTTAAAAAGACATTATTTTCACCATATATGGGTGATAATTTTTTTAAATGTACAATAAACAAGTTTGTCCTTTTAAAAATGGTTTCTTATTAAGAATATTCAATAAACCTTTAAATAATTCTTACTTTTAAAAACTAAAAATTATTCATCCATATCTCTCTCTATTTACATTTTATTTCAAAGAATGTAATTAGATCTGAATAATTCTATCTTGACTAATAACCCTCACAACAAAATACTTTCAAGTTTTGTTGTTGTTTTTAACATGTTTGGTTGGATTTGCTTTCTTATCTTTATGTAACTTTATCTCCCAGGGATAAATATTAAGGAATAGTAGAGAAAAGTAATGTATTTTGCACCTGGCTACCATAATCTTTCCAATTTAAGGTGACATTTTCTCTTTCAGGTTTGAATTATGAGATGAGCACAGGGACAGTAGGCCAATAAGTGCATTTTTTCTGTTGTTATTGTCCTAAAAATCTCAATGAACTCATAGATATTTTAATCTGAAATTCTTGTAAGATCTGATATTGGAAGTGATCTGTTCGGTTATCAAAAATATTGCGTTAGTATATCCTATATCAGCAACCGTTTAACTCTTTGCTGACAGGTCTACAGCATCTTGAGAGTTTGCTTTAAAAATATATGCCTGGCCAGGTGCAGTGGCTCAGATCCGTAATCCCAGCACTTTGGGAGGTAGAGGTAGGCGGATCACCTGAGGTCAGGAGTTCGAGACCAGCCTGGTCAGCATGGTGAAACCCTGTCTCTACTAAAAAAACAAAAATTATCTGAGCGTCCGTGGTGCGGGACTGTAGTTCCAGCAACTCTGAAGGCTGAAGCACAAGAATCGCTTGAGCCCGGGAGGTGGAGGTTGCAGTGAGTCCAGATCACACCATTGCAACTCCAGCCTGGGTGAACAAGTGAAACTCTCAAAAAAAAAAAAAAAAAAAGATAGAGAGAGAGAGAGAGAGAAATGTATGCATACATGCCTATAAATTGGGAGAAATGCCACAGTTGCTATTAAGTTGTTATTATGTTGAAACCTCATGTTGTTTTAAGGATAGATTTTATAAACTGGTATATAAAACAGATATGAAGGAAGAAATATGCCCATTCTATTTCATAGTGATTAATAAAATCAGGTCTTCTATATGTGAATGGTAAGACACAAAGCAGCTCTGTAGGCAGGCAAGAGAAACAACTTGCACAGTCATTAAATCACATTTTATTTACATTTCTATTGATCATCATGATAGTTTTGTAGCTTCTATATAATTATATTCCACACATTTAAATGCCAGTATAAAAATAAAAAATCAGATAATTTCTGGAGCAATATTAGGAGAGCTAAATTTTACACTGAAGTATGTGTAATGTCAGAAATACTGAAGGCCCTGAATATATATTTCCTTTCAAATTTTCTAAATGCAGTTTATTCTAAATGCAGCAAAACATGTGATTGCCTGGGACAGCAGAGGTGTGAAAGGCTGCTAGCCCAGTACCAAGTATGCCTCTGTGCTCTACAAGAACTGTCTGATATGCTTAAATGATCAACTCAATAATTACTCGTTTTTGTTCTCTAATATTGTTCATGTCTTGTGCAAAATCATTAAAAAATGGTTACAGGACACATTCGGAAAGAACACTTTTCCTTACGCCAGTTTCTTGATGTTTCTTTTCACACTATTTATAATCTTTATAATGTCCTTTGACTTCAACAGATATTGTTTAAAACTGGGAAAAAAATGTTCATATACTGAGGATTATTCTGAGAAGTGTGTTATGTCAGTCTCAATGTAGGTTATTTAGCTAGTGGTGAAATTAGTTTTTCTAGTTTTCCTCATATATCTCAAATGTCCATGTTCTCTAAATAATGGTCAGAGAGAAATCAATTTTGTGTGTTTATTTATCTTTAGGGGATAACATTTTCAGAACACATGTCATTTAAAATTTTCTGTGAAAAATAAATGAAAATTTATACTAGGGATTCTCTGTAAAATAGTCCCATGACAATAAATTATTATACATTCTTAAAAGCATGGTTTTACTATGAATTACACGTACAACAGTAGATGCCAATAGAATAATTTGTGTTTTCTTTGATAAAATTATATATTTTTTACTAAAATATAAATGTTAGAAAGCTATTATAGAAATCATTAAATTATGAATAGGCAAAATATCAGTTGATGGATTATATAGTCCAAATGAGATATGGCATAAGGTATAAAATTCTAAATGCTGCCTCAAATTGTTTTATATTTTCTTTCTCAGTATTGACCTTTCCCCAGGTAATGCAAAATTATCTCCTCTTTTAAAGCACTTTTTAGTTTATAGAAGAGTCTTAGGAGTCAGGTGTATGCTTGGATTCAAATCCCAGATCACTTTCTAATAGCTGTGTGATCTTCTCAAATGTTTGCATTCTCCCCAGGCCTACATTTCCATATGTGGATAAAATGAACATTTTATTGTTTACTTCAAAGAAATAAGACGTGCAAATTAAATAACAAGATGTTTGATACATAGTAGGTGCTTAATCAGTGTTATACAATTATAGTTTCAAATGTACAATTTGTTATACAATTTGTTAGACAATTATAGTTTCAAATGTAAATATAAGTTCATGATTATTTATTCATCCCTTCTTTGAATTTTAATAGCTCTTTGATCCTATTACCCATTCTTAACAGTGATTGTATACATAAAATCCCAAACCATTTAGTCATTTCAGAAAATTACTCAGATGTCTTTGTTTGCAGCATGCTGATCAACAATTACCTAAATTTGATGGTATACTTTTGGTACCAAAAGAACCAGATTCTAAAATGAGGGCAAAGGTTGACAAATAACATTAAGTTGATCCCTAGACCTGTTGGATATTGAATCACTGATAGACTGACCTATAGGTAAATTTTGCATCCAGTTCTAAAATAGTTGTTCAAATTGTTGCACTAATGGTAATTCCTCACCTGTAGTCTGATGGAGAGATAGTGAGAAATAAGGCTGAAGTTAATTAGGAATCAGAACTTGAAGTTTCTTGTAAGTATGTTCTAATGAAGGTGATTAAGTTATGGGTTAAATTAATTCTGCTTTCCTCAGTTGGCCTAATTCTCTGAACAATGTTCTAATCCCACTGTATCTTTCTGTCATAGAGCAATCTACAAAACCTACTGCCAGGCATGGGAACCTGGAAGCTGGAAAAGGGAAGCGAGAGTTCATTTTGTAAGTACTCTGTCATATATACAATTTGAAAAATATTCCCTCCCAGATGTAAGTACTCTGTCATATATACAATTTGAAAAATATTTCCTACCAGTCTGTAGCTTTCCTTTTTACTTTATTTACAGTGATATTTTAGTAGCAGAAATTTTAAGTTTTAATGAAGCCAAGTTTATTATTTTTTTAAATATATTACCTTTTCATGTCCTGTTTAACAAATCCTTTCCTGAAGACATTGTACAATTTTTTCTATGTTTATTTCTGGATACTTTATCATTTTAATCTTACATTTAGATCTCACTGATTTTGAGTTAATTTTTGTTTTTGTTGTACTTGTATTTGATCAAAGATCACTTTTTTTTGCATGTTCATGTCCATTTTTTTCATAGAAAATATCTTCCTTTCTTGTCAACCTTGACATCTTTGTCAAAAATCAATTGACTATATATGTGAGGTTTCATTTTTTGAGTCAATTTTGTTCCATTGATCTGTGCCTCTATTTTTTGCTGTATTTTAATTAAAATTTTTGTTTTTAATTATTATGGGTTCATAATAATTAGGCATATATATTTATGGGGTACATGTGATGTTTTGATACAAGTATATAATGTGTCATTATCAACTCCTTTTTTTGCTATTTTTAATTAATTTTTTTGTTTTTAATTATGGGCTCATAATAATTAGGTACATATATTTATGGTGTACATGTGATGTTTTCATACAAGCATATAATGTATCATTATCAA
The DNA here is from genome assembly GCF_000001405.40 of Homo sapiens. NCBI lineage: Eukaryota > Metazoa > Chordata > Mammalia > Primates > Hominidae > Homo > Homo sapiens. The sequence goes on along the minus strand of NC_000011.10, from coordinate 24,118,310 downwards.
ATCCAGGTATTTGGGTATCTATTACATCTAGATACCATTTCTCATTTCTTTGTGTTAGGAACATTCCAATTCCACTCTTTGAATTATTGTAAAATATACAATAAATTATTATTATTGACTATAAGGTCTAGTATTTTATAACTTTTTTTACTACTCTCACACTTGATTGTTCTTAAAATAAAGTAGTATGTGTTCTCCAACTTTATTTTTTTTGAAAAGTTTAGAAAATTTGAGTTCCTTCATTTCACATATAAACTATAGAATTAGTTTACTTTTTAACATAAATTTTATTGTGTACATTTGAGGTTTACAACGTGATGTTATGAAATACATGTAGATAGAAAAATAGTTACTACAGGTTTAGCATCCCAAATCTGAAAATCCAAAATCTGAAATGTTCCAAAATTTGGAACTTTTTCCTTTCTCTCTTTTTTTTAAAGCCTATTTTTGGTTTTTTTTTTTTTTAACTTTATTTTTGGGATCTCACTGTACTGATCTGGTTGGTCTCAAACTCCTGGTCTCATATTATCCTCCCATCTCAGCCACCCAAAGTACTGGGATTACAGGCATGAGCCATTGAGCCTGGCTTTTTTCTCTCTTTTTAGGAATACAGTATTGCTGTATTGTCCAGGCTGTAGTGCAGTGGCCACTGACAGGCACGATCATAGCTCACTACATTCCTGAACTCTTGGGCTCAAGTGATTTTCTTGCTTCAGCTTCCTGATTGCCTGGGACTACAGACTCATGCCACTGCACCTGGTCACATCTGAAACTTTTAGTGTTAACACGACACTCAAAGGAAATTCTCATTTCGAGCATTTCCTATTTCAGATGATCAGATATAGGATGCTTAATCAGTATGTGTAATGCAAATATTCCAAAAAGCCAAAAAAATCAAAATCGGAAATGTTTCTGGTTGCAAGCATTTTGGGTACTCAACCTGTGTAGTAAAGCAGATTAGCATGTATGTCATCTTATAATTATTTTTATTATTTTGACAAGAGCAGCTAAAATCTAGTTATTTAACAAAAATCCCTAAAACAATGGTGTTATAAATTTTAGTCCTCATGTTGTACATTAGATCTCTACGACCGTGCATCTTATCTTTTTTTTTTTTATCGTTTGACCTACATTTCCAAATTTCCTCCCACTACCCACAGTAACCTCTACGCACGGTAACCGTTGTTTCATTCTCTATCTCTGTGTATTTGAGCTCTCTCTCTCTCTCTTTAATTCCAAATATAAGTGAAATCATGCAATAATTTTCTCCTCTTTTTGGCTTATTGCATTTAGCACAATGTCCTCCAGTTTCACGCATGCTGTGTCAAATGGCAAGATCTTCTTTTCTGAGGCTAAATAATGTTCATTTTCTATATATACCATGTGTTATTATCTATTTTTCCATCAATAAGCATTCAGGTTGTTTTCATATCTTGACTATTTTGAAGAATGTTGCAATGAACATGGGAGTGTAGATATATTTAGACGATGGTGGTTTCATCTGTTTTGGGATAAACCCAGAAGATAGATTGCTGGGTCATATGGTAATTCTATTTTAAATTTCCTTAGGAACCTCTATACTGTTTTCCATAATGGATATACTAGTATAAATTTCTGTCAACAGTGTACTAGAATTTCCTTTTTTTCTACGCTTTTGCCAACATTTATCTCTTGTCCCTTTGATAACAGCCAACAGGTGTGAAGTGATATCTTACAATTTTACTGAAATTTCAATTTGTATGCATTATATTTATCGGACAAATTGGAGGTAATTCACATATTAGTCATGTGAAATATTTTGATCTATCAACAGAGCATGTCTCTCCATTCACGTAAGCTTGATGGAGTCCATAGTATTACTCAGGTTACTGACTTGGGCATTGTGTTTTTTTTGTTTGTTCATTTGTTTGTTTTTGTTTTTCTACTGAGTATCCTTGTACTCCTTTTTTTACTTATATAACCTAGATTTTGTTTTAGATAGTAGTTAGCTCAACTATAGACTTCATTTCTAAGACTCCAATGTAGGTAGGTATAGCCAATTTCCATAGTTTTTACCAAAGATATGTATTAGATGTCTAGATGTAGTTTCAGAAAAAACTCTGGACTTCCCGATTTTTTTTTTTAAATAAAAGTAGTCATCAAGGCGATTTTACTTCGCCTTATATGCCTGCTTCCCTTCTTTGGGTGGGAATAATGAATGCTTGGTAAACACCAATTAGCATGTGACTTTGGAGAATAAGTCATTTTACTAAAAATCAAAAGGGGGAAAATAAGAGGAATATGGGTTCCTAATAAAATGATTGATTGTCTCAACCTAACTGACTTCTTTCTAATTCTTGTTACATGAAGCCACCTAAACCAATTGTCAAAGCCACTATGGAATATTTTCTGTTACAAGTAGCTAAAATCACCTTGGATACAATCTAGAGAATCATTGAAATCATTCATTAATATGTGAAAGAAAGAATCAGAAATAAATGACTAACATCATTCTATTATGCCATACCAAAGTAGGTATAAATGCCTTATGTATGGAAGTGTAATTTAGAATAATGGAGTCTATTGTTGCAGGTTTAACATTAGAGACCGAAATTGGAGTTCTGTTATTATACATAAAACTTCACACATTTTGGTTTTTGCTAGATATATATTTATCAAAGAAGAAAATCATTTCAGAAAGCATACATTACATTTTTAATACAACAAAATGCTATCTTAATTTGTTATTTTGGGGTGAATCACTTTGATGTATAGGTCTTATCTTCCTTGGAAGAGGAAATTATACACCTACCATATATTTGTTTTCTGCATATCATTGAGTTCTGTGAATTATAGAGCTCATTGTGAATCATTAATGTCTGTGCCTTAAGAATCAATCATTTACATTATTTTTCATCACATTTCAATTTCACTGTCACAATTTTGGAATGTATCATTTCAAAAGGACGTATTTGTACATCTTGCTGTCTATAACTTCATGCTTTCAAAGTATTACCTAACTTCTTATAAAATATGGGTTCTAAATATATCAGTTTACTTTTGCAATCTTGAATGTAATAATATTTTTGATAGAGAAAGTAAGGAGTGACAATTATAGAACTAGTCATAGAATGACATAAATAGAAACTCACATGAAGCAATATCAAATAATTTCCATGAATTCTATGTGGAAAACATGGGAATTAAATGCAGTCACCATCTAAATCTCCAGTTAAGTAAAAGTAAGGCTACCATAATATAATTCATGTTTAATATCAGGACAAAAATAAGGTATAGTGCCATTATATTTACTTTGTAAATTATTTAGTTTGACTTTGACTATAAACTTAATAATTTCAGTATAGAATGATGTCTCAGTTATTCTTAGAAGTGCTGATGTCTCAGTACCTTAGAAGTGCTTCTCATTCTTTAATGCTAAGCCACAATGATGTAAAAATATCCCCAGACTCCAAGTCATAACCACTTGCTTTTTCTCCTATAGTATTTTGGCTATATTTTCTTACTATCCTCTTATTGCATTTTTCCTTGTGCAATACTTAGTTGAGTGTAAGTTTTTCTTACTATGGAGTATGTTACTTCAAGGTAAGACCATGACCTCCTTCTCTTTCTCCCTTTCGTTTATACTTTCTTTTTTTCTTATTAAATACTTTTGCTGAGAGCATTTGATAGATTGTATTTTCTAGAAATCTACCATTATGCAAGGTGCAAATAATAATAATATGTATACAACTATGTGAACTGCTTAAAACTGTCATAAGCATCATTATTTTGAAATTGTTTTCTTCATAGAGTAGAATAAGAAAAGTATGAAATTATGTTAATGGTTTTTAGAATCAATAACTTCCATTGCTAGAGAGGACATAATTACTATTAAAGAAATTGAGGTAAAAACTATAGTATCCAAATTGAATTACAAATTTCACTTTGGACTCCACACTTTAAAACATGTATTTCTTCTACTTTTTCCCTCTGAGATGTCTTGGAAACAATGTCATTTCAGCAATAGTGAGCACCCCAACCTAACCATTTTCTTTGCTAATTCCTTCCACTAAAAGAAACCAGAATTGCCTAAGAGAAATGTGTAATTCTAGATGTGACTCTTCTATCAGCGCTATTTCAAAGGGTATGCCCTGGTCTAATTGTTCATCTTGTTCTTCCTCAGGCTCCAAGTCTAAGTGGATTATTTTGTTGTTAATGTTTTGTTTTGTTTTGCCTGCCTCTGTGGTGGTGTTTCCTCAACCCTAGAGCTAAAGCTGGTATTGAAGTACCTAAATAAGCAAACCATTTATTGTCTACTTAGGCACAGAGACAGAGAGAGCTTCTCTGATCTCAGATTTTCAGGTAAAAGAACCTGTCTCTTTTCCAACATTCATGTTTGAAAACACTTTATTGTACAAATCCCGTACCACCTTCACATGAGGGAGGTATGAGGAAGAGAAAATAGAAAATTCTTCTCTAGACTATCCTCTGATCACACGCACACACAGAATTTTTCAGAAGAAACTCACAGGCTTCTGTAAGACAAGCCATCATTGTAAAAACATAAAATGTGAATCTTCATCTTAGATCTGAGGTAAAGCAAAGTCCTCTTTCTACTACTGTTCTATTGCTTTCTGTAAATCTGAAGAAAAATACAATTTCATTTTTGTTCTCACTTTGGCAACCTGATCACCCAAAAATAATTGTAAACTCTTGATGGACTCATTTAGTTTATCTTATCAATGTGCCTATCCCTATATTTAATCCCTCCCCTCTGTGGTATTATTACAAAAGTGAAATTCGTTGGGAGACAGAAACATAAATTCAATCCAAGATTTTTCAAGAATTCTTTAGATACTCGTTCAAAACTTTTAGCTTTTTTTCCTCGCATTAAATGTGACATATATCTCTGACTACATTTCATAAATGTTCACTTTTCATATCATTGATCATTTTCCTATAGCATAATGACAAAAGCACGTGTGTATGCACCCTCCCTTGAGTGTCAGCCACAAGTAAACCCAAAGGAAAAAAGAAAGTTGCTGTCTGGATTTTCAAATTAACTCTCTTTACCTGCCTTTAATGTCTAACAGACAATTTCCTGAAGTATTAGAGAAGTGAAATGGAGATAAATCAGTCATGGCTAAAGAAGTAATGTTAGTTAAAACTAATGAGAAAGCTAATTGCAGTCATTTATCTTCATGTCAGGTACATTAATATACTATGGCTCTTCTTTGTGTTAAAGTGGTCAAAGTGTCTATGTGAATAAACGATTTATCAGGTTCTTGTATTGTTGAAATAAGGATGTTAAAACAGAACTTACACATTGTTAAGAAGATCCTCAACTCCATAGAAAATTAAATGCATAACTCCTCTTAATTTTTCATGTTTTAAGGTAAAACTTCATATTTCTAAACACTCTCCATTAGATACGTAATTGAACTACTTGGGTTACGTGATTTTGTGAAGCAAATTCTGTTTCAGGCTGTTAAAGTCATTTTACTCAGATACATTATTTCTCTCCTGTTGAAGTCCTTCATTTAGCATTTGAATGGGCATTGTGAGATAAAATTTAAGCTTTTAGTGTATTATATATTTTGTTTCATGCCTTTATGATACAGCAAAATCACATGCTTTAAAACATTTAATTTTTTTAAAACCTCATTTCTTTGAATATTGAATCACATTTCCTTCACAAATAAAATATTCCCCATTAGTATTTGCCTCAGCTGATTGAAAAATAAATTGAGTTTCATTACAGGTCATATAACGCAATGGTTCTCAATCTTAGCTGTGCTTTCAAATAAATTAAACTGAAAAATTTTTATTTTTAATTGGAAAACAGGTGCACAGAATGGATTAGCAGTAATCACTGGTACTAGATACAGGGTCATATTTGGCCTACACTTATTTGTTCACTTTGTTAACATAATGAACACTTGTGAACTCTTTACCCCTATATTATGTATATGTATATACATATACCTTTGTTAGTCTAATTCTGTTTCCTCCCCACAAAACCACCCCTCTGGGCGGTATATATTTTTCACATATGTATACATATATATATGCCTAAAAATGCATGTTTTTGTTTTATTTGCTTTTGAACTTTATAAAAAGATAGTTATACCCATATTTCCTTCTTATTAGATTATTAAATGGTATTAATGTTATTCAGGTAGCTGTAACTCATTTATGGTTACTAACAGAAACTATTCTGTTGCATAAATATAGTGAAATAAATATACCACATTATTTCCTCATATATGGACATTTTCAGTATCTTTTTGTTGTACTTTTTCCTTTTTCTTTTATTTTTTCACCTTTTCTTACTTTTTTTCTTCCTTTTATTTGTTATTGAGTAATACCACTACTCATTTTTCAATATATCTCTTTTTTACAACTTTCATTTGGGGCCATGCTTAGGAATTGAAATGCTTCTCATCAGAAAAACTTCCTTTATCATAGAAGAACTAGTGTAGAGTGAGTGGAATCAATGATGGTTGACAGAAGAGGAACCTAACCAGTATCAGTTATCATCTCAGGATAAACTACGGTAGCTAGATATAACTGATCATTCTAAATATTGTATTGAAAATTATTCTGCAGAAATTGTGAGTAATCACCACCTTGAGAAAACTCTAACAGGACAGAGTGAAGTTAATATAATAGGGGAGTGGGTCACAGAATTGCAGAGATAACTATAGAAGACTCAAACTTGTGACTGTCTTCGAAGGTCTGCTTTTCAGCTATTCTAGTCACATTTATTATATTTATTATACATGCAGAGATGCAGAATTGTCTGAGTTTGTGCTAATCTAGAGAAGTCCTTAGCCAAGAGTGTCTTGGATTTGGGACTAAATCTAAAACAAAATTTACAGCCAGAAGTCCCCAGCATGATGAAGCTGAGGGTAAGATTTTGCTGAAAATAAAAACTGTTTAGATTTCTCTCCTCTCTCCTGCTTTCTTCACTCCTCTAATAGTTTCTTATGGGAGCACTTCCTTCATGAATTACTTAACTCAAGTCCTCATTCTATTGTCAGTTTTTGAGAAACTCAACTTAGAGAAGCATCAAAAAAAAAAAAAAAAAAAAAGATCCAAAAATGCCAGAAACTACATTTTTCAAGTTCAGAATATATTGGTAAAATATTAATTCTGCTTCTTTATTCAATGCCCCTAAATGTAGAGAAACCTTCACCAAAATTCATGAACAGGGACTGAGAGCGGGTAGAAAAATGCATTGATAATGAAAGCTGTAGTGAACAGAAGTGAAAAGTCAACATTTCTCTTTAAAAGTTAAATTTGGCATATTCAAAATCAAAAGTTAGCTTTGTTTACAAATATGCTTATGCTCCGTGATAGTTTTGTTAGTGGCCTTTCCCAAACATTTTCTAAACCTGTAAAATATTTTTGTTAAATGGCTCACATTTAGCCCCCTTCTAGTTCCAATATTATTAGTTTCCCATGTTTAAATTGTTTTCATTATTGTACTTGAATTCTTATTTGTTTTCTATCTCCAGGCTTTTCTCTCCCACAATTCAATCTTCACCCAGCTCTGATCTTTTTATGTACCTTATAAAATTTAACATTTAAACCAGAAATATTTAGATTTAGTAAACTATTGTACCGTAGTGGCTTGAATGGTGCCTCCTGCCTCCACTCCAAGCAGATAAGTCGACCAAGAACCTGGAAATATAACCTTATTTGGAAAAGGTGTTTTTAGAGATATAACTATGTTAAGGATGAGACCACCTTGAGTTAGGGTGGGCCGTAAATGTAGTGGGAAGTGTCCTTGTAAGAGAAGAGTAGCAGAGAAACGTGGAGAAGAAGACCATGTGAAAACCTTTGTGAAGGTGAAGGAAGAAATAAGAACTATGCTTCTACAAGCCAAGGAATGCCTGGAACTACCAGAATCTAAAAAAGGCAAGAAAGGATGTTTTCTTAGAGATTTCATAGGAAATGTACCACTCTCAGCACCTTGATTTCAGACTTCTGACCTCCTTAAGTGCAAGAATGAAGTTCTGTTTTTTTAAGCCACGAAGTTTGTAGTAATTTGTACGGCTGCCCCAAGAAACTAATTTGAGTAGCTTAACATAAGGAAATACAATACGATTCTTAAAGAAACTATTTTGAAGAACAGAAAAATATTATGGAATAATATTAAAGAATACTAAAGGGATACAAATTAATTGATTTATCATATAACTGTGATCAGGCATGTGGAGCATAAAAAACCCATTTGTGTTACTATTTGTATTTGCTATGTAGTTAATTATAATGCAACATAACCTAGCCTATCCTAATTAATACAACCTCCAATAACACAGAACAATAAAATTTATAATTTAAAAAAAAGAAAGCTATTTTATATGATTAAATAGAATAAATAGAAACTATGAGTTCTGAGATTTCAAATATATAGACAATGTATGCAGATTAATTTTCTGGTATATTACATTAAAAGTCAACTAATTTTTCTTATTTTATGCTTTCTGTGAATCCATGTTGACTATCTCCAAGGACATTTATTTGCTTGTCTGTTAGTCCTTCTATGATATTTACCAGAATCACACTATTATGTAAACATAATTTATTATAATGCTATTTCTATAACTTATTGATTTGTTTATGTATTCATTATTTCATTAAATTTTTCACCAAACAACGAATTATTGCAGTTTTATCACATGTCAGGCACTGCTCTGGGCACTCAGGAAACAATAATAGCAAAGCTAATGATAACACTAATTATTAGTTGCTAAGGGCCTTCATTGTGTCAAGAAATAATCAAAGTACTGTATATGATTTAATAGTCATAAGAAATGAGATAAGTCAGTTATTTTCATTTTCAGATAAGAAAACAGACTCTGAAAGGTGGGAAGTATATTGAATGAGATCACTTATAAGAGGTAGTATAAGAATTCAAACTGGGATAAATCCAAAGTACACTCTGATTTTGATTTTTTTGTACTTTTTATCATTTCAACTTTTATTTTAAATGCAGGGGCTACATCTGCCAGTTTGTTACATGGGTATATTGTGTAATGCTGAGGTTTGGGATATGAATGATCCTGTCACCTAGGTAGTGAACGTTGTATTCAATACCTAGGTTTTCAACATTTAGCCGGCTACCTCCCAGCCTGCGCCCGTCTAGTAGTTCCCGGTGTCTATTGTTGCCATCTTTATGTCCATTAGTACCCAGTGTTTAGCTCCCACTTATAAGTGATAATGTGCAGTATGTGACTGTCAGTTCCAGCATTAATTCAGTTAGGATAATGGCTTCCAATTCTTTGTACAATCTACTGTTGATGAGCACCTGAGTTGATTCCACGGCTTCATTACTGTGAATAGTGCTGTGATGAACACATAGCATAGTGCCACAAGTGCATGTGTCTTTTTGCTAGATGATGTATTTCCTTTCGGATATTTACCCAGTAGTTCTGTTTTAACATCTTGGAGAAGTCTCTGAACTGCTTTGCAAAGTGGCTGAACTGATTTATCTTCTCCTTAATAGTGTATTAGCCTTCTCTTTTCTCCATAGCCTTGGCAAGATCTACTGTTTTCTGACTTTTTAATAGCCATTCTGACTGGTGTGAGATGGTATCTCATTGAGGTTTTGATTTCCATTGTTCTGATGATTAATGATCTTTAATTTTTTTCATGTGTGTTGGCTGCATAAATGTCTTCTTTTGAGAGATTCCGTTCACATCTTTTGCCCACTTTTAAATGGGCTATTTGCTTATTGCTTGTTGACTAAGTTCATTACGGACATTAGGAATTTGACCTTTGTTGGATGCAGACTTTATAAATATTTTCTCCCATTCTGTAAGTTGTCTGTTTTCTCTGTTGATGGTTTCTTTTGCTGTGCAGAAACTCTTTAGTTTCATTAGGTCCCACTTGTCAATTTTGGTTTGGTTGCAATTGCTTCTGAGGACTTAGGCATAAATTTTTTTTCCCAAGGACAATGTCCAGAAGGGTGTTTCCTAGGTTTTCTAGGATTCTTATAATTTGAGGTTTTACATTTAAATCTTTAAACCATCCTGAGCTAATTTGTGTGTATGAAGAAATGTCAGAGCCTAGTTTCCTTTTTCTGCATATGGCTAGCCAGCTATTCCAGCACCAGTTATCATACTGAATAGGGAGTTTTTTCCCCATTGCTAATTTTTGTCAACTTTGTCAAAGATCAGATGGCTGTAGGTATGTGGCTTTTGTATCTGGATTGTCTATTATGTTGCATGGACCTATGTCTATTTTTTTGGTCCCAGTACCATAGTGTTTTTGTTACTGTCACCTATAGTATAATTTAAAGTCAATATTGGGATGTATATTAGTCCATTCTCACACTGATATAAAGAATACTACCTGAGACTGGGTAATTATAAAGGAAAGAGGTTTAATTGACTCACAGTTTTGCAGCCTTAATAGGAAACATGGCTAGGATGCCTTAGGAAACTTACAATCATGGCTGAAGGCAAGGGGAAGCAGGCACTTTCCTGACAAGGTGACAGGAGAGAGTGTGTGCTAGAACAAGAAAGTGACAACTTTAAAACCATCAACTCTCATTAGAACTCACTCCCTATGAGGAAAACAGCATGGGGGCAACTGCCCCCCATGATCCAATCACCTCCCACCTGGTCTTTCCCTTGTCACATGGAGATTACAATTAAAGATGAGATTTGGGTGGGGACACAGAGCCAAACCATGTTATTCTGCTCCTGGCCCCTCCTAAATCTTATGTGCTCATATTTAAAAACACTAATATGCCTTCCCAACAGTCCCTCAAATTTTTAACTCCTTTCAGCATTAACTCAAAAGCCCGCAGTCCAAAGTCTCATCTGAAACAAGACAAGTCTCTTCTGCCTATGAGCCTGAAAAATCAAAAGCAAATTAGTTACTTCTTAGATACAATGGGGGTACAGGCATTGGGCAAATGTTCCCATTACAAATGGGAGAAATTGGACATAACAAAGGGACTGTAGGCCCCATGAAAGTCTGAAATCCAGCAGGGCAGTCATTAAGTGTCAAAGCTCCTGAGCAATCTTATTTGACTCCAGGTCTCACATCCTGCTCATGCTTATACAAGAGGTGAGCTACCATAGTGTTGGGCAGCATCACCCCTGTGGCTTTGCAGGCTACAGCCGCACTCCTCGCTGCTATTACAGACTGGGATTGAGTGTCTGCAGCTTTTCCAGGCACATGGTGCGAGCTGTCAGTGGATCTACCATTCTGGGGTCTGGAAGGCAGCATCCTTCTCACAGATTTCCTAGGCAGTGCTTCATTAGGGACTCCATCTGGGGGCTTCAACCCCACAATCCCCTTCTGCACTGCCCTGGCAGAAGTTCTCCATGAGGGCTCTGCTCCTGCATCCACTGAAATCTAAGCGGAGGTTCCCAAACCTCAATTCTTGTCTTCTGTGCACCCACACACCCAACACTACATCGAAGCCACCAAGGCTTGGGGCTTGCACCCTCTGAAGCAGTGGCCCAAGCTGTACCTTGGCCCCTTTTAGCCACAGCTGGAGCTGAAGCATCTGGGACACAGGGCACCAAGTCCCAAGGCTTCACAGAGCAGGGGGGCCCTGGGCCTGGCAGATAAAATCATTTTTCCTTCCTAGGTCTCCAGGCCTGTGATTGGAGAGGCTGCTGCCAAAATCTCTGACATGCCCTGGAAACATTTTCCTCGTTGTCTTAGTTATTAATGTTTGGCTCCTTTTTACATAAAATGTTCTGCAGCTGGCTTGAATTTCTCCTTAGAAAATAAATTTTTCTTTTCTATCACATCATCAAGCTGCCCTTATCCTCTGGTTCTCTTTTATACATAAGTTCCAATTCCAAATCATCTCTCTCAAGTTTGAAGTTCTACAGATCTCTAGGACAGGGGCAAAATGCTGCAGTCGCTTCGCTAAAGCATAGTAAGAGTGACCTTTGCTCCAGCTCCCAAGAAATTCCTCATGTCTATCTGAGATCACCTCAGCCTGTACTTCATTGTCCACATCATTATCCATATTTTGGTCAAAACCATTCAGTTAGTCTCTAGGAAGTTCCAAACTTTCCCACATCTTTCTTTCTTCTTCTGAGCCCTCCAAACTGTTCCAACCTCTACCAATTACAAAGTTCCAAAGTTTCTTCCACATTTACAGGTATCTTTATATCAGTACCCCACTCCTGGTACCAATTTACTATATTAGTCCATTCTCACACTTCAAAAAAGAATACTACCTGAGACTGGGTAATTGTAAAAGAAAAAAGCCTGATTGACTCACTGTTCCACAGGCTTCACAGGAATCTTGGATAGGAAGCCTCATGAAACTTACAATCATGGCAGAAGTCAAAGGGGAAGCAGTTACCCTCTTCACAAGGCAGCAGGAGAGAGTTTGTGTGAGCATGAGGAAATGCCATAATTTAAAACCATCAGTTCTTGTGAGAACTCACTCACTATCAGAAGAATAGCATGGGGGAACCACCCCCATGATCCAATTGCCTCCCACCTGGTCCCTCCCCTAACACATGGGGATTACGATTTGAGATGAGATTTGAGTGGGGACACAGAGTCAAACCATATCATGATGTCTGGCATTTTCCTTTTTGCTTAGGATTGCTTTGGCTATTGGGGCTCTTTTTGGTTCCATATGAAATTTGTAATCATTTTTTCTAATTCTTTGAAGAATTACATTGTTAGTTTTAAAGGAACAATGTTGAATATTCACTCTTTCAATTCATGAGCTTAGAATGTTTTTCCATTTGTTATTGTCATCTATGATTTTTTCAGCCATGTTTTGTAGTTCTCCTTGTAGAAATATTTCACATTCTGAGTTAGATGTATTCCTCGATAATTTATTTTTTGTTCGTGGTTATTGTAAATGGAATTGAATTCTTGATTTGGCTCTCAGATTGAATAGTATTTGTGCATAGAAATGGTACTAATTTTTGTACACCGATTTTGTATCCTGAAATTTTACCAAAATCCTTTATAATTTCCAGGAGCTTTTTGTTAGATTCTGTTGGGAATTTCAGGAAATGATATGAAATTTAGGAAATTTAATATCATTCATATTGAGAGATAGTTTGACGTTTTCTTTTCCTATTTGGATGTCTTTTATTTCTTTCTCTTGCCTGAATGTTCTGGCCATCCCTTCTAGTACTATGTTGAAAATGAGTGGGGAGAGTGGGCATCCTTATCTTGTTTCAGTTCTCAATGGGAATGCTTCCAGCTTTTGCCATTGGGTATAATGTTGGCTGTGGGTTTGTCAGAGATGAGTCTTATTATTTTATGTCCGTTCTTTCTATGCCTAATTTGTTGAAGTTTTTATATCATAAAGAAATTTTGGATATTATCAAAAGCTTTTATCACATCTATTGAGGTGATCATATTGTTTTTGTTTTTAGCTCTGAATCACATTTATTAATTTGTGTAGGTTCAACCAACCTTGCAGGAATAAAGTCTACTTGATTGTGGTGAATTAACTTTTTGATGTGGTGCTGAATTTGGTTTGTTAATATTTTCTTAAAAATGTTTGTGTCTAGGTTCATCAGGGATATTAGCCTGTAGTTCCTTTTCCGTTGTGTTTTTACCTGGTTGTGGCATCAGGGTAACTTTACTTCATAGAATAAATGAGGAAATGAGTCCATCCTTCTTGAATTTTTGGAATAGCTTCAGCAGAGTTGGCACCAGCACTTTTTTGTATGTCTGTGAATTCAGCTGTGAATACATTTGGGTTTGAGCTTTTTATGTTTGGCAGGTGTTTTCTTATTGATTCAATTTCTGGCCTCAATATTGGTATATTCAGGGTTTTAATTTCAGGAGGATGTGTCTTTTCAGAAATGTATCAGTTGTCTGTAGATTTTCTGGTTTGTGTTCTTAGAAGTGTTTATAATAGTATCTGAATTTTTTGTATTTCTGTGGGATTCGTTGTAATGTCACCTTGTCATTTCTGTTTGTGCTTACTTGGATGTTCTCTCTTTTTTTCTTTCTAAATCTGGCTATCACTCTATCAAACTTTGTTAACATTTTCAAAGAACAAACTTTTGTTTTCATTGATTCTTTGTATGAATTTCTATATCTCAATTTCATTAGGTTCTGCTCTGACTTTAGTTATTTCTTTATTTTCTAGGTTTGAGGTTAGTTTGCTCCTTTTTCCTACTTCCTCTAGATATAATATTAGATCGTTAATTTGAGGTACTGATTTATATGTTTATTCCACTGAAGTCTGAGAATGTTGTAACAATTTTAATATTTTTAAATATTCTGAGACTCACTTTTTGGCTAAGCATATGGTTAGTCCTGGAGTATATTCTTTGTGCAGTTGAGAAAAATGTGTATTCTGGGATTGATGGACAGAGTACTCTGTAGATGTCTATTAGGTACATTTGTTCAAGCATCAAACTTAAGTCCATATTTTCTTTGTTAGTTTTCTGCCTCAGTGATCTGTCTAATGCTGACAACAGGTTGTTGAAGTCCCCCACTATTACAGTGTGTGTGTCTAAGATTTTTTTTTCAGGTTCGGAAGTGGTTGTTTTATGAATCTGAGTACTCTAACATTGGGTGTGTATGGAGTTAGGATAATTAAGCATTCTTTTTGGATTGAATATTTTATCATTATGTAATGTTATTCTTTGTCCTTTTTTAGTGTTGTTGATGTTTGGTGTAATGTCTCTTTTATCTCACATAAAAAGAGTGACTTCCACTCTTTTTTGATTTTCATTTGTGTGAGAGATCTTTCTCCTATTCTTTGAACCTGTGAATATTATGATGTGTGATGTTGGTCTCTTGTAGACAGCAGATGTATGGTTGTTGTTTTTTTTTAAATCCAACTTGCAGCTCTGTGTCTTTTCAGTGGAGTATTTAGACCATTTATATTCATAGTTAATACTGATATGTGATGTTTTGATCCCATCATGATGTTTTTAGATGGTGGCTTTGTTGTTTCTATTGTATTGTTTCTTACAGGGTCAGTAGGCTATTTACCTAAGTGTGTTTTTGTGGTAGCAGATATCATTCTTCTGTTACTACGTTTAGCACTCCCTTAAGGATCTCTTGAAGAAGCTGGTCTAGTCATAAAAAAATTCCATTAACACTTACTTGCTGGAAAGATTTTATGTCTCCTTCACTTATGGAGTTTATAGTTTTAGTAAGATTAAGAAATTCTTAATTCCAATTTCTTGTCTTCAACAATGTTGAAAATAGGTTTTCAATCTCTCCTGACTTGCAAGCTTTGCTGAGAAGTCTGCTGTTAGCCAGAAGAAATTCCCTTTGTCCATGATCTGAGCTTTTTTTCTAGCTGCCTTTGATTTTTTTCTTTAATGTTGACTTTGGACAGTCTGGTGACTATATGCCTTAATGATGTTCATTTTGTATACTACATCACAAGTGTTCTCTGGATTTCTTGTCTCTGAATGTTTACCTCTCTAGCAAGATTAGAGAAACATTATTGAATTATTTCTTCAAACATATTTTCCAAGTTATTTACTTTCCTCCTTATCTCTTGAAAATGCCAATAATTCATAGGTTTGGGTCATTTTATATAATCCCATATTTCTTTAGTACTTTGTCCGTGTTTTAAATTTACTTTTATAATATTTCATCTGACCAAATTCAGAAGATCAGTCTTCAAGCTCTTAAATTATTTTTTCTGCTTGGTCTTATCTATTGATAAAGCTTTCAATTGTAGTTTGTAATTCCCTAAGAAAGTTTTTCAATTCCTGAATCTCTGATTGACTTAATTTTAATATGTTTATCCCTTCATTTCCTGGATTGCTTTAGAAGTTTCTTTGTATTGATTTTCAACATTTTCTTGAATTTTATTGAGCTTCCTTACAGTCCATTCTTTGAATTCTTTATCTGTCATTTCTGAGTTTCCATTTTGGTTAGAGGCCATTGTTGGATAGTTGGTGTGATCTTTTGGAAGTGTCATTATATTCAGATTTTTCATGGTACCAGAATTCTTGCACTGGTTTTCTAACATCCGGAGATGCTCGCACTTCTAAGTTGGAAAACTATTTTCATGTGAATAGTAGCTTTTCTTTTTTTTTTCTTTTTCTATTATATTACTGTTTTGATATTTCTTTAATTTTCCCTTTCCCTTCCTCCCTAGGAGAATGTGACTCTAAATAATGTCAGGTAGGGTCCTTTGGCTTTGCTTCTATAGACTTATGAATGTCTATTGTCAGGTTTTATATTGGGCTGTGCAGTTTGATCTAAAAGCCAGTATATGCCACTTATGGGTAAGAGGTGGCCAGTGTGGTTGGGTATATACTTGATCCTTATTTACTAGGAGAAGCTCTTTGTTGTCTCAGGCAATGGCCTGATATGTAGAGTGCACAGAGGTCTGAACTTCCTACTCATTCCAGGGGATGTAGGCTGCAAGATGGGCAGGACCAGATCTGGCAGGCCAACCTACAGATTATCTGATGGCAGGCAGAAGCACCAGAACTGAGGGAGAATCCAGTGGGCAGCCACCAAGCACCCAGAAGTGTGCCAAGGCATAGAGCTGGGAAACCTCCTTGGAGCCATGTTCTTTGAATAGCTGAGAAGCCTAAACTCCTAATCCCAGAGAGTAGGTGCTCCAGATGCTTGGAGATCTGCCTGTGCTTGGAGCTGAGAAGGTCTGCTTGCACCACAATCTCTGCATAGGAAGAATGGGTGACTTAGGTCTGCTGATCTGTGTAAGCAGATGTCTGAATGCTTGGAAATCTGGTTGGGCATGGAACAGAGAGTCCCACTGCACCTGGATTTCTGCACAGGGAGGGTGTGACAGCTCAGGCTGCTGATCTGGGCAAGTGAGTACTCCAAAAGCCTGGAGATATGCCTAAGCATGGAGCAGAGAGAGAACTTCTGAACCAGGATCTTTGCCCAAGAAGTGTAGATTGGCTCAGGCTGCCAATCTGGGTGAGCATGTGTTTTGAATGCCTATAGATCTTCCTGGGTATGAAGTGTAGGGGATCTCACTATACCACACTTTCTGCACAAGAAAAGTAGGGCTCTTCAAGCTTCTGGTTCAGACACGTGTGCTCTGAATGCCTGGGGTGCTGCCTGAGGGTGGAGTGGAGAGGTCTCTGTTGCACTGTGACCTGAGGGGAGCAGGCTGGAGCCTATAGCAATGACACACACAGACCTGTTCCTGGACACCAAACTGTCTCTGGCTGCAAATCTCATCACCCAGGAGAAACTGCAGCCTTAATAGCTTTCCTCTCACCCAAGTCCTGTGACAAGGGAGAGCATAATTCCAGTGTCTACTGCTGAAGTACTTTCTACAGTTCTGGTTATAGAGGCCCCAGCCCTGATCTAAATCAAGTGCCCCAGTCTTTGCCCCAAGACAGAAATGTATGATCACACTGCCAGGTCGCCACACTAAGAATGACTGATTTTGTATACACTTGAATTAAAAATGGCATCCTGGCCTCAGTCCTGGGTCTGAGAAAATGCCTGCAGCATTTCCTGGTATCTTTCCATCTCAGTCTCTCCAAGCCTCTGCCCGAGTTAGCTCCAGGGCTTGGGAGAAACAAAGTGCTCTTCCTTGGCCTAGGGTGCTCGGATCTCCATGGAAAAGTGAGTCACAGGAGGGGGCTCTCTGCCTCTCTCATGTACTGGCTCTTCACTCACTCTTATCAGCCACATGCCATCATAGGGGCAATTTTTCCATGCTCTTCTTTCTGGGATCTGGGGTATCCTTCATGACTCCAGTGGATTCACATTTTCTTTCTTGAATTAAAGCTCATAGAGTTTATCTTTTTGTACTATCTTGCTATTTCCAACAACTGAGGCATGCTAAAAATCTCTAATCTGCTATCTTGGAAAACATATGTCCTCTGCCCAGAATTATTTTGATGTATATCCTTTGTCATATTTTAATTACCACTAGTACCACTTTCCTCTCAAATGTGCTCTGATTTCTGAAGATATTTTAAGCTGTCACCCTAATATTGCTACATTGTGACTCATGGTCTTTGCTCAGAATGAAAAAAGGACCGGTACCAATATGTGCAAAGATATCTTTAGGTGATCAATGTGAAAATTAAATTGTATGTCCAATAGAGTTTCCTTTTTTTAGTCTTTATGGAAGACCAAATTTTAAAATAAAAAAGAGCTTTAGAAAATTATACTGTAGTTAGTAAGAAAAAAAATTACCTGTATGAAACTCATAGGACAATAAATATCTGAAAGGCAAAAATCAATGTTGTTTAAAACGCACACTATTATATTTCACACTGTTAATCACTTAAATCTTGTTTTTCCTTTCCATTACTATATTATGTAACAGTTCCCACATAGATGAGATCAGCTGGTAATAGGAAATACAGATATTGACTGCAGAGGACTATCCTCTGTAAATAACACTAACCAGTCTCTTTAAAACACTAGGTGGTTCTGTGTAAATATATTTTGTGGCCCAGATATTAGAGTGTTTATTTCCTTCAGAATATAAGTCAATTCTGTAGTAATGCCCTAAAATGAATAGGTATTTCAGAAAATATTATGAGATTTACATGAATGTGACATTTGGCTATTGGAATTTATTTTAAAGTAAATTTAACAGCTATTATATGCTCTTTAAAGACCAAGATGAAAGTCCAACTCTAAGAAAGAAAACTGAACTTGAAGAGCTGTAATGAAGGAATCAGACCTAAAGAGACTAAACTATTCTTGAACCTAATTTTGATGGTAAGTTCCTAGGCCTCTAGCCTGGGCCTGGTGCTATATATAATACATGAGCATTTGAGAGGTTTTCTGGGGAGAAAGTATGAATGCATTTTGCATGATCAAGGAAAATAAACTGTTTTGATCAGAGGGCAATCTGGCTAATTGTATTTCCCAATGATGGTCTCAACCATTTATCCTCCATACACTTCTTAAAATGTAATATTGATACTTTTTTACTGATATATGAGGTATCTCTTCTTTATATCTAAATATGGTAGGCCTATGACTGCAATGAATTGAACACTATATAACTGTTGAGGTTCAGTTCAAAAAAAAGTGGCAAAATGTACTCCTAGTCCTCCTGAGATGTTTCATGAGGAATCCAGCTACCACGCTGTTAGGAAGCCAAGTAGGCACATCACAAAACCACTTTTAAGTGTTTCTTTTATAGTCCCAGCCAAAGTCCCAGTCCACAACCAGCATGAGTGGCCAGACATGTGAGTGACCAAGCCTTCAGGTTGAGCTGTCTCTATTGAGACTTGCCCAGATTGCAGATTTGTGAGCAAAATACATATTGTTATTGTTTTAAGCCACTAGATTTCAGATTGGTGTTTTATGCAGCAATATATAAATTGAAAAAGATCATATAACCAAAACCATCTGGGCAATAAAGTAAATGATATGCCAGGAATTAAAAAAAAGATATTGATGTGATCAATTTATCTATATGAAAATGTCTTTGGGGAATGGTAAATTTGTAATCTTTGCTTTAAATATAGAATAAGTTTCTAAAGTGTTTTAATAATGAAAGCTCCCTTTCCTACAAGAAAACTACAATCACTAATATAAACTATTGGTCTTTAACTGTTTATTAGTAATAATCATGACCAATGTTTTAAACATATTATCTGGTAAGTGTTATAATTAACATATTACACAAATGAGTAAACATTTGAAAGTACATGATAACTTCCAAATCCAATCATTTGATCACTATGTATAATAGAAAGACAATACAGCTTATTGTTTGGCTAAATAGTGGAGAATATATTGGAGGACCCTGTGGAAGAGACTGATTAAAGAAAAAAAACTAATAAAGAAGCTATTTTTGAATGCTGAAGGATGTAAACAATAAAGAAGCAATAGATGTATTTCCAAGGGCAAACTATGATAGTTTTTCAAGAGCATAGTACATGAATACACAATGATATCATCACATAATAGAGTTCCTGAGCCAAAATGTAACTTACTTAACCTTTTCCAATGTATGTGCTTCCCAGAAAGTGATATCTAATTACCAAGCCAGATTGAGTGATCCTAGCCAATCGTCTATAATAACCTTGATTTTGGCTTGAGGATATTTACCAATACATCTCTCTTCAGTGTGCATTCCTCCATAAACCAGAAGGCTCTTCTTCATCAACAATGAGAAATAGTCTCATTATTAAGAGGTCCTTTGGGTTTCAGGTTGAGTACCCCACCTGCGAGTTGTAATCTCAGAGTCACAATTTGAATAGTATCCCTGAATTGAATTTGTGCTTTACCTGTACAGGGACTAAAATGCTCGGCCAGGGATATGTGCAGTGAACTGTATGAGATATGTCTCTCTATACTAATGAAAGTGTAATAAAATAATTTTTCACATGTCACTAATAAAACAGGTTTTGTTGCTTACAGCAAACCTGCTACAGTATATATATGTGTGTATATATGTGTGTGTGTGTATATATATATGTATATATATATATCATGCATCTTATAAAGTTGATTAATTGGAATTAGCAGAATTATAAGATAAAAACAAACACAAAATAATATTAGAGACATTTAAGCAGATTTTTTGTTTGATAAATACAGAACAACAACTACAAAAAAAAGAAGGAAAAAGAAAGGGAGGTAAGGAGGGAGGTAAGGAGAGAGGAAAGGTGGAAGGAAATCAGGAAAACTGTAGCTTAATTATCTGTATTTTGGTAGGAGAATGATTAACAATGACTTGGGAGTTATCAAGCTGGGTTTCTGTGCCAATTAAATTTTTATACTAAGCTGTGTCATCTTTGTAAAGCTTTTATCCTCTTTGCAATTCAATTTTTTTCTTTTGAGAGAATTACGTATCGTGAGTACTTTATTTGTATGGTGGTAGGAGAAGAAAAATAAAGTCAACAGGCTTTGGAATGGTAATACTATCATGTAGAATGGTAGTAGCTAAGTTACTTTGCCTTACTGTTTGAACTAAAATAAAAAACCTATTAACAAACTGGGAATAGGGTTTCAATCACATGCGTCATTATTACAAATATTAGCAAAATTATCTCAGTAATTATTTTACATTATATTTCTTTCAGTAGGTATTTTATTATTTTCATCTTTTTATCTGCTTTTTTTATTCATCTCTCCCTCTCCTCTGCCTCTGTATAAAGATTAATGATGAGAGAAAAGTTAATTAAAGAACAACTCACAAAATTGTGACTGCTTTTAACACCCAAAAGCAAATCATTATACAATCCTAGTAAATATGATGAATAATAAATCTAGGAAATGTGATTTTAGATAAAAATCAAAATAACGTCATGAAATACTTAGACTGATTTTGCATTTGTTTGGATCACAGTCTAAACCTGCACATCACAAAACAACATTGCAACATGGTCTTAATAAAATTATTCAAAAGGTTGCTGTTATTATAAGTCAATGACTCTGTCAAAGGGAATACTTAGAGTGATAACTTTCTCACTGATTTACTTAAGTAAAACATTACTGAATAATTATATGTTTTTTTTAAATATATACCACTCTCTTCCTCTTCCTTTTTACCTCTATCTCAAATGCAGTTCCTCCAAATGTTTCATGAAAGCATGCTTTCCTGGTAGACATTCTTTTTGCAGCCTTCTCCTGAGTGAATGCCCTTACCCCAATCCTCATCTTTGCCGAGCAGTGGTTCTTTCTCAAGGACATAAAATTTGCTATAAGGCTCTCCACAGAGAGTGGGGTTTGAATGGGGGGAGAGGTCTTAATTGCCATTCTCTAGATAGCACTTCTGTGATTTTTAATTTAAAATATAAAAAGCAGAGCTGGAGAAAGACCTGTTCAAGTCTTTTGCCCATTTTTAAATAGGATTACTTTGGTTTTTGCTATTGAGTTGTGTGAGTTCCTTATATGTTGTGAATATTAAATTCTAATCTGATACACAGTTTGAAATATTTTCTACCACTTCATAGGTTGCCATTTCATTTTAACTTTTCCTTTCCTGTGCAGAAGCCTTTTATTTTTATGCAGTCCCACTTGTCCTTTTTAGCTTTTGTTGCCTGTTAAGACACACAAATGATCAACAGGTGCTCAATATTGCCAATTATCAGGACAATGCAAATGAAAACCACAATGAGATATCCTGCCATACTTGTTAGAGTGGCTATTACTTAAAAAAACCAAAAGATAACAAGTGCTGGTGAGGATGCGGAGAAATTGGGACTCTTGTAAATTGTTTTTGGGAATATAAAATGATGCAGCCATTATGAAAAAATCATAAGAGAAGTTCTTCAAACATTTTAAAAATGGAAATACCATGAGATCTAGCAATCCCACTTCTGGGTATGTAACCAAAGGAAATAAAATCAGTATCTGTAAGAGATACCTCATTCCCATGCCATTACAGCATTATCCACAATAGCGAAGCTGTGGAAACAACTCATTTGTCCACAGAGAGATGAATGAATAAAGAAAATGTTGTGTATATAGACACACACATACATACACACACACTCACATACACGTGCATACATACACTATATGGGATATTATTCAGCCTTAAAAAGAATAGAATCTCTATCATATGGTACAACATATAAAATCCTGGAGGTTACTATGCTAGATGAAATCAGAAAGTCACAAAAAGACAAATACTACATGATCTAACTTACATGAGGTATCTAAAATTGTCAACATTATAGACTCAGTAGAATTGTGTTTGTCAGGAGTTGGGGAAAGGAGAAAATGGAGAGTTGTTATTCAAGAGTATAAAGTTTCAGTTTTGCCAGTTGAATAAGTTGTAGAGATCTGCCATACATAAGTGCTTATAGTATTGTACAATATGTATTGTGAACTTCAAAATTTGTTAAGAGGATATATCTGATGTTCTTGCCACAGTTTAAATAAAAGAAGAATAATGATAGAAAAATGCACACCAATATATACTACCTGAGGTTCCTTGAATTATTGAAGAAAACAATGTCAAATACAATTTATGTTTCTTAAAAAGCAGAACTGAGATGTGAATTCAGAGCTATCTCATTCTTCAGTCTACTTTCTTAATTAATGGGAGGGTCTTCCCTTTAGATGGTACAGCAAAATAGTAAACTGGTGGTGATAACACACTACACACTCTTTCCCACTTCAGTGCATTCTTTCCATGCTCTTCTCAGGCTAGAATGCCTTTGCAAATCCATTGCAACCCAATAGCTCTCAGTCATACTCTGAAATTTAGTGTATAAACCATTCCCTCCAGGAAATTTTTCCTGCCCCTCAATCTAATTGGAGGAAGTTTCCAACATTGTGTTTTCAAGGCTCCTTACGCATGCCCAAATCACTGTTCACCATAGGCTATGGTATACTACAAAAAGTGTACCTTTGTGTTTTTGTTACCTACAAGTGCACTGTATTATAAGTTAGAAACTGTAGCTTGTTTTT
The DNA here is from genome assembly GCF_000001405.40 of Homo sapiens. NCBI lineage: Eukaryota > Metazoa > Chordata > Mammalia > Primates > Hominidae > Homo > Homo sapiens. The sequence goes on along the minus strand of NC_000011.10, from coordinate 24,095,015 downwards.
CTTTGTTCCCACAATAAACAACACATGTTACTAAACTGGTATAAACTATTTACCCTCCTGTAGGCCAGAGTCTTGTTTCTTTCAAAGGTCTAGATGATGTCTTGTGTTATAGAGTTTAAAAGTTTGATAAGATAATGAAAATAAGATTACAAAACAGCTTTTCCATATGACTAAAAGTTTTAATGGAGTGTTTGTACACATGTCTGTCTTGTTATTACTCTGCGTCAGGTCGACTTGTTTCTTAGGGACTTCATTGTTGTTTGCAAGTTTTCCCCAGCTTTTTAAATAAATCATTGTGCATTTCTTTATATGTAAGTCTGCTTTTTGCAAATCTGAATTATCGTTAGTTTTCGCATGTGCACAATGGTTGCATTTCATCAGCCATTTTAGAATTTTTTTTCCAAAATTTAACAACGCAGTTCAATTGCATATTAAACTATAAGCATAGAATATTTGTTTTCATCATTTCTTTCATTATTAAAATACATTTTGCAAATAAAGTATGCAACTTTTTTTTAAGCTTCTAAGGTAGCACAGGATCAGACAAATCTCTTCAAATCATCCTTAGTGGTACTAAAACAATTGATAAATTAAATTAATGGTTAATATTCAATTATCTTCCATTTCTTGACTTAATCTTCTTGTTTAGAAGAAACTTCTTTCACTTATTCTACGTAAGAATCAAAATGGTTCAGTTGCTAATCCCTCAAGTCCAGTATAACTTTCCTTATTCCTGCCTTTCTTGCTGGGTCCACTTCTGTCCAGAGCATGCTGTCGCAATTTTTGCCTATTAAAATAATTTTCTTTCTTTGAGACTCAAATTTTCTTCATGTGAATTGTTTCCATCAACCAAACCTGATATGAACTGTTCCTCTCCCAAACTGTTGTAATTTCTGTTTTATTTGCTCATTATATTCTTCCATGTAATTTCTACAGATGCCTTTCCTTTACATGAAATAAAATACGTGTTTCCCCTAAACCACTTAATTTTCTAGCAAATTTTGTTTTGTTAGAAATTTTTTTTAAAGGAGGGAGGTGCTATTTTAATTCATACAAAGCTGGAGTTATTAGATATTTCTTCATGAAAAGTAACCTTTAAAGATTTTAGAAATCATATCATTTAAACATCAAAATATAGAATCTTACAAGCAATAAACAAAAATATTCCAGGTAGAGGGAATGGGACACAGAGAAAGTTGTGGCACTTGTTTAAGGAATATAGAGTGCTATGGTTTTGCTGGGGAGAGCCTGTGTTTGTGAGTCTACTTCAGTGTTCTGATTACTTGGCAATGTTTAAACTTAATCATTATTCCCTCAGAATTGCCTGAGGATCTCCCTGCCATGTGCATGCAGAGTATCCAGAGCACTCGTAATTGCCAAAAGGACAAACGCATGATTGCCTGGCCTGTGGAGCCAAGAAATCTGACATGATTGCTTGTCAGAGATTCCCTTGGAGCCTTTCCCTTTGCCTAAGTGTTATTCCTGTGGTGTCTGCATCTGCCTCTGATCCCATTTTGTTTGAGATTATTTAATTGTTCCACATGCTGGAAGTGTTTATTTATTCACCCACCAGACACCTGCACTTCTTTGATGCTGTCTTTTTGATTCTTTTATAAACAGGGAAAAGAAAATCACATTGTGGGTGAAACACATTTGATGTCCAGTGAAAATATTTAGCAATCACAGTAGATAACACATTGTTTTAATTTCACAGTCCATTGGAAACATTAGCTCATTAACCAACTAATTACGGGAGAGGAAAAGTGGTGATTTAGGATAGAGGATATTGTTCACTCTAGTCAGCATGCAGTAACAGAACCGGAAGATCTTTAACTGTTAAGCACAAGACAGATCTCTGCCTAACCTCCCTCAATGTCTGACCCTTTTAGATTAGTACTTCCCGCTTTCACTTTTGTGTCACAGGAAATAAAATAGTTTCCCTGATTAAAGGTGACAGGGTCAGTTTTATATTTCAGGTTAGTTTTGTGTCTTGAAAATTGAGGGGAATGATGCAGACAAATTCACTTTTTTTTTTCCCTCTTGCCCTCGTTCCTTAAGTATTTCCTAAGTGTTTACAAGGTGTGAGGCTTGAGTGAGAGTAGCCTCTGACTCTCATTTTGCTCTAGAAAGCAGAAATCTAAAGAAATGATTTACAGTGAAGTGTCATCATTGTAATGACAGTTCTGGACGATACAAAGAAGTGGGAAGATGAGAAGACAGTGAGGAAAGGCTTCCTGCAAAAGGTGATTATTTAAGTTACCCTCTTCATTTTGCTTTTTATATACAACATAAAATTATGAAAGAAATTGTGTGTTTTTCTGCGACTGTAACCCTATGAAAGGGAGTTTTAAAATAATAGTAATAATAACACATGTAGCTAATATTAATTGATTTTTTCTTATGTGCCTGGCACTGTTCTGTGGGTCTTGTATGAATTAACTTATTTAATCCTCACAATAGCGCTATGCAGCAAGTACTATTTTTATCATTTTTATTTTGCAATTGAAGAATTAGAAGCCCAGAGAGGTTATTTTCTCAAACATTTTCTCAAAATTAAGTGGCAGAATCAAAACTCAAACTCAGGCAATCTAATTCCCATGCCTTTGTTTTTAATTTATGTGAAATGGAAGTGAGATCTCTTTAAAAAAAAAAAAAAAGGATATAGACTTTTGCATTGGCATATATTTGTTCAGGGTCCAATTAGGAGACAGATAACAGCATTTTGAATAGGGAAATTTTAATGTAAATAATTATAAAGAGGGGTTAACTTAGTAAGAGGATTAAGGAGAACTCTAAAGAATATAGGAATGAATGACAGATGCAGGGCGCAGTGAATTCTAAATGTAGAATTTAGAATCTACATTTCCTTATATCATCAATGAGATAATCTAAGGAAAAACAGAGAACCTCTGCTCACACCAAGCCTAATAGATTTACCTTATTGGAGACACTGTGTCTGAAGTCCACTATATAGTAGAGAATTTCTCTGAGATGCCATAAATGAGCTGGTAAACAAACTACCTTCTAGGATGCAAGCAAAACTCACTGAGAAGGCACCTGTTGTGTGCTGCAGGTAAAACCTACTGAGATTATGGACTATGGATTTTCCCATGCACCACTAGCCAGGAAGCTGTAAGAAAAGATCCGGGTCAGTTAGAATAATCCATTCTACTTTCAGTGGTCCTTTAAGAGCTTAACTCTATGTCAGTTAGCAAAACTGAAATGTTTACAGTATCTAGCTACAGTACCATAAAAGCAGGGCAAAAATGGATGGATGTGTAGCCAAGTGGCAATAAACTGATAACTGATATATAGCAACTGAAGATTTTATAAGCCCTAACCATATAATAATATAATACCCAACCATATGCTATTCAACATAGCACGATACTTTATATAATACTTTATATAAAGCATGATACTTTATATATAAGCAAGACAATGATACTTTATATAAAAACTTAATGACAAATAATGTTTTGGTTTCCCCCTAGTGCCTAGATGGGCATGTTTACAAGTATACACCCAGGAGCACACACACACAAACACACACATATCAAGTATCAAATTATTTCAAACAAATGTTTTGTGCTCCTATTTACGTGACATAAGCATGTACTTTGTTTTTCTGTTGGGGAATCTAGCAATGAAGGCATCTCTTCTCCAGTTGCAAGATTTAGAATATAGATAAGCAATGCAATTCCTATAAAACATCTCTCCATTTACCTTTTCTTTCTTTCTTTTTCCTTTTTCTGTTTTCGTATCTAGGGGCTAAGTTATCTAGGGGCGTTTTCTATTATCAATCTTAATGCTTGAACTCAATTTAAATTGTTGCCTCCCCTATATCATAATCCAGTTGTTTTAAAACAAAATTCTGAAACTGAAGCATCATATTTGTGTAAATGTTGTCTTCTTTCACTCTTTTAAGAGTAAGGACCATAGGCTGTTTGTCTTGTTTTTCCCCCAGAGCAAATTCAGACAGGCTATAAAAAAGTTTACTTTTAAAAGCATATGGTTGACTTGTTCTTATCTACTCCATAGAACATCAATATCTCCCAACAATAACCCACAGACTCCAAAAGAACAAATTAACTCACAAAAGGATAGAAACACAAAAGTACAGAAACCCAGTTTTTTTTTCTGTCTTGTAGTTGATAACTTAGTCTTTAATTGGGATGTTTGGTCTTTCAAATTAGAAAAGCCTTCAAGTTTCTTGGTCATTCTGAAGGATATCATTATTTTTTTATCTTCAATTTATAGAAATGAACTATACCAGAAAAGAGTACTATACCAGCAAGTCTGAGGATGAGAGAGAAAACATAATTACAATTATCATGGTCTGTATTTATTACAGGAAGACTAGAATAAGTATGAATTTGTTCGAAGAATATACATTAATATGTTTTAATTTTTCTGGAGAGGTTTTAACATTTTAAAAGAAGGAATAATGAATTAATCACTGCTAAGTTTCTTCTAGCTCAATTTCTATGATTCTGTGACTGAACAATGGGATAACTAATTTTTTTTTAATGAGCTAATAACACAAACTAGATATTGATACTTCAGTTACTCAATAACATATAAAAAGTCTTAGGATACTGGAAAACCATATCCATGAGGTTGAGTTTAATATACTTCTGATTATACACAGAGATATTAAAAAATAGTATAAAATGTTTTTTGTTTTGGAAATTGAAGAATATAGCTTTTATTTCCAAATAGCAAAATTCCACATTCTATAGGACCAAAATTATACTTTAATGTTCAACAACCTTCCTCATGTTTTACAAATTTAGTCTACTAAGTAGATTATAGAGTTTTCAAAATTTTTTTTACCAATGCATAATCTCATGATTTAAATGCAATGTGTTATTACAAAGAGCATACATTATATTTTACAGAAGAAGGAATTGAAGTTTACAGATATTAAATGATTTGCCTAAGTTTATTTAGATGGTAAATGGTAGTTAATAATCAAACCTAGAATAAGTGATTCCATATTTTATAGTTTTCCCATCACATCAAACTGTCTCTCATTGCTTGCTTTTTTTTTTTCAATTCTTAAAGTTGCAGTACACAAAGGCAAAATAAAACTTTTCAGTCTATAGGTCTGAAATCCCTAAGAAGTATATTATTAATTTATTAAAGAGCATATAAAGATATGTTGTAAGAGACTAAAGTATTTCCAGGAATTCTTTAATGTTTATATAATGCAAATAACAGTTGTTATTGCAAAGGAAAAAATGTTTCCAATAAGAGACACCCCAACAAGCACCATATTAAGACACTTAATCTTTACTCCTTATTATTTCTTGAGTATTTCTAGGCTGAAAGTTTACTTTACACTAAGAGTGAGAATTCTTAATCCTTAGTAATCTGTAAACAATCAGCTTGTTTAATTTTAATTAATTCTTGAGCTGCCTCAAAAGTATTTTTATATTGTCACTTAGGATATTTTATAAAAATCAAATCAGACATTGGACTCTAGAATAAAAAAGAACTGTTTATTTGAGAAAGATTGTATTTTCTATTTAATTACCTGTGTTACATCTGGAAAGGATTTATTATTAAATTCATCCAGCATTGGAGAGAAAAACAGACCTCCATCTAAGCAAGATTATTTTGAGAGAAAAAAGTTAAAAAGATCTTAAGAAAAAGCACAGAGCCACTGCTCTAAAATGTAAACAGCCAAAAGGATAGAACGCTTTTCAACCATTTTGGTAGCAGAGTGAAAACCTACCTTCGACAAGCACCTGGCTTCAAGCTGCTAAACTACCTCCTGTTATGAAGATGTGAAAAGTTTTTTTGTGATTGAATATAAGGAATTAGCATACACAGATAGCCTCTTCAATCTCCATGTGAATTTAGGATGAACTATGTATGACATGGTGCTGTAAATTGTTCCTCTTGTGGACTAATTTTGGTGACCATCTTTCTGTCTCTGCAGTCTCTTAAGCAGATTGACTGTGATGCATGTCAGATTCAAGTTTAATTGTGTGATAAAACAGTTTTCTTTCTGTTCTAAAAAAAAAAAAAAAAAATCACCCAGCATTATGATGGGCATAACTTCTGGCTTTGGAAGTCTTAGTTTGGTAAAAGGTCATAAAATTTCAGTTTAATGTACCGTAATTCCATTATTTATTTATTTAGGGCATGCCATGACCCTCACCTAGTAAGGTCTTACGTCAAATTCATACTAAGCAGATGTCATGTAAATGCAACTGTGTAATTAAAATTGGGAGATATCCCTGAAAAGGAATAGAACTCAAAGACTATTTGAAGGAGCTGCTTAATTCAAAGAATGACATGAATATTGCTCTAGGCTGTCCTTGAAAAGTAAAAATAAATGCATACTCTTAGAGATAATTTTCTGTAGGATATAAAAGACCATATGGGATTATTTTTTCCTAGCAAGAGTTCTCATCCCATTCAAGATAAAGCTTTTCTAGGATTGATAAGATATAATTCTTATAGATATCTTTTTCTTTGGTTTGAACTTGATGTATATTACAAAGTTTAACTCTTTTGATCTCTCTGTTCTAGATTTGGAACTAGTGCATTGTAGTTTAGTAATAATTTTCCCATAGAGGTTCTAAAACACCACTTATGTTTTAATGGAAAAATTAACTACCTAAAAATAATTAACGATAGTTCATTCAGGACTTAGAAAATGCAAAATAAATAGTATATTGGTTGTAAATAGTAATAAAATTTTAGACAGCCATTTTAGAATTCTACGTCTAGTGTGCAGAAATATTTCAAAATAAAAATCACATTATAAATATGAAAGACATGAGTGTTAACAAAAAATTTCTTATTATTTTAAAATTATTAAAGAAATGTGTTATTTATAACCAGATGAAAGTGCACTAATCTGCTACTGAAATTTTGAGAAAAACATATGAGAAACTCAAAATACCTAAACAAATGATATATGCAAAACTGAATCATAAAATATCAGAGAATTTATCTAAAATATGACAAAATTAAAGTGTGATTCTTACATTTATTAAGATAAATTTCATTTTAGTCTGTATGACTCATACCTATTTTTTGTTAATCTTCAATATACAGCATGATGAATTGTCACAAAATGGAACCCATCTGCTCAAGTCACGAAGTAAAATTCTACCAGCATCCTCACACCTTCTCAAATAACTACCCTCCTTCATCTCCCACAAAGTAACTACTATTCTGATTTCTAATAGCATAGTTTTGTCTTTTCTTATTGTTTTTATAAATTGAATCCCACATTGAAAATATTCTGTATCTTTTTTACTCAACATTATGTGAGACCCATCCATATGCTGCTTCTCACTTTCACAACTGTGTGAATATACTATACATTGTATTCTACTTATCAGTGCTATGTAACAAAACTCCAAAAAACTCAGTAGGACAAAGCAATAATTTAATTACTTCTGATTCTGTGTGGTAGAGGAATAGGGACAGGTCACATTGAGGATAGTTTGTTTCTGCTGCACATATGTCTAGGGCCTCAGCAGGGAATACTTGAAGGTCAAGGGTGCATGCATAGCTGGGGCTGGAGCCCTTTGGAGGATTCTTCGCACATGTGCTTAACAGTTGATGCAGGTAGTCAGCTTGAACTCACATTGGGAAGTTGTCTAAAACATTATATGTGGTCTTTGGGCAGGCTACTTTGGGTTTCCACATGGCAGGGTGACTGGTTTCCATGAGTGATTTCCTGAGAAATCAAGTTGAATCTATGACATCTTTATGATCTAGCCTCAGAAGTCACACAGCATCACTTGCTCCGTACTTTATTTTCAAAGACAGCAACAAAAGAACAACCAGATTTTAAGAGAAGGATTTACAGAAAGCAACATTAGTTTAGAGGTGTGTCAAGATCATGTTGTAAGAAGGGCATGTGTGATAGAAGATACTTTTGCAGCTGTCTTTTGGAAATACAATCTGCCACATCCTGTATTCGAATGGACTATTATGAGTAGTGCTGTTATGAAGATTTTTATACATATCATCTGCTGTACAGTATATACATTTTTTGGTAAGGATAGCCTAAAAATGGAATTTCTGGTTCATAGCATATTTCAGATTGTGTTCTGAAAAACAGAGACTGGAACAAATATTCAAATATATTTTATTTAAGTAGGGAGTGCACTTTAAAAACTCTTACCAGGTAGTGAGGAAAGCAGAATAGGGGGGGGAGTAAAAGCCAATCTAGAATGTCATCACAAATTAAGTCATGCCTTGGACTCATGCACAGGAGGGTCTGAAGTATACATTGCATTGCAGAGTTGTCTGCCCCTCAAGTCAAGGGAGGCAGAATTTTGTAATATATAAGTTGATCACCTTCTGTGAGTTGTCCACTGCATGGAGTGTGGTGAGGGGACTGGCGGCAAGAAAGACCCTTTCTGCAGAGGTGTCTACTCTCAGGTAATGGCAGCTCTCTAAATAGAGAAGTGATTGAGAACCAGTAGGGAGCAATACTCACAGTATCTGGAGGGGGAGGAGGGGGTGGGCATTTACAGTCCCGACAGGGAGATCTAGGAGGAAGCACTAATTTTGTTTACCACGGAGCACTCTCTCCACTTGAATGTCACATTAAATATATTTTATTCACCACAGAATCTGGATTCTAGTTTGTCATACTTTCTAAAAAAAATTAATGAGAGGAGTGTGAGTGGTATGAACTACCAGGTCCTGCTGTGCAGTTGCTTCCAAGGCTCTGGCTATTGCTTATCTTCTCCTTCCTCCCCTACCCACTCTCAACCCCTTTTCCCCACTCCCTTGGCTAGAACTTCTAGTTTCCCTGGCTTGCCTGGTGTAGTCACCCGGGTGCTCATCTCTGAAGTGTCAAGGACCCCCATTATCATACACGTTACATTATGTTGCTACATTCACCAATTTTCACTTAAAACTGATCATGGGGATAAAAAGAGGTGTCTCTGTTGATAATGGTGGGAAACATATTCCTCCCTGCCTACATTATGCAGCTGAAGCCTTATCTCCTCCTGAGTGTCAGGGCTAATTATCCTTGTCAGTTTGGTAATTCCTTCATTTTTTTAATCTGCTGCTCTACTGACTCAAGTTGAGTGACGAGGCAATATCCAAAATTTTATGTTCAGTGGACTTCTTACTATTTTCCCTGGTGGAAGCACTCTCTTTTGAAAACCAAGATTTTCTGGCCAAATGATAAAAGTACAAATTCCCTGAGTCACTGGAAGTGATGGTAAGCCATGCCACTATTACTTACAGTCTTTTTTTCCTACACTTATGCAATCTACCTACTGAGTCAAAAGTTTCACTTAATGGCCACTGGTTAGGGAGTATAGCTGTATCCAGAAGAGTGTCTTATTTTTTATGGTGCCAATGTTAAGCTGATGCCTGAGCTTCATCTTTATGAGGCTATTCCACTACTGTAATAGGCCAGCATCTACTGGTAGGTGTGGTATGTTGATGAACCAGTGCATTTTATGGTTATTGATGGCATCTTTTATGCTATAAGGTATACTTTGTTCTGACGTGATGCTGTGTGGAATTCCATGTAAGTGAACCAGGTACTCAGAAAGCCCACAGATAGTGGTTCTACATGAAATGCAAATTAACACTTGAAGTATGTGTCAATTCTGGTCAGAATTGATGGCTAATCAAACTTTGCAGGATGGAAGGAGTCTGATGAAACCAACTTGACAGTAGGTTACTGGTAATCTTCTAAGGTATGGATCCAGACCTGGAGCTCAGCATTCATCACCACTGTTGACTTGCCAGACATTCAGCAGGGGCAGTTGCCAAATTATCTTTGGTGAGAGGGATTCCATGTGGTTGGGCTCATGTGTAACCTTCAACTCTGACATCATGGGTACTCCATTCACTATGCTCACTGTGTGCAGGTGAAATGGGAGTCTGGACCACCTGTTCCTGTGATTTAGTTGTCATGTTCTGGAAAAGCCCTGGCTGGGTTTCAGATGTACTATTTCTGTCACTGCCTGAGTAAAGATCATGGGAGTGGGTGGGACAAAACGTATGTGTATGTTCATATTTGGTAGATAATGCTTAGACCAATGTATAATCCAATTACAAGAGCATACGAGTCCTATATACTCCACCAAAATTCATCAAAAAGTCACCATACCTGGTTAGCCTTCTAATTTTAGTTACTGTGATTGGTGTTTAAAGGTAGTGCTTTTTGTTTTTATTATAGTTCTCTGTGGTTGATCATATTCTCTTTGGCCTTTTAAATAATCTGTTTTGTAATGGCCTTTTCATATCTCTTGACTATTTTTCTAATTGTATTCACTATCCCTTTTCACTGTTTTGTAAGTGTTATTGATATATTCTGAATACAAGTCCTTTGTCATTTAATTGTGTTGCGAAAAATCTTCTACCAATATGTAGCTTGCCTTTTCACTCTCTTAAAAATGCCTTTTAGTGAATAGCAGTTCTCAATTTTAATTTAGTGCATCTTGTCAATTCTTTTACATCCAGTTATTGTACTTTATCTTGTGCTTAGGAAACATTTGCCTACTCAAAATCATAATCTCCTTTACCTTTATTGTTTCTGTGGGCAAATTTTTATGCAAATACTTTATTGTTTTATTTTTCATATTCAGACCTACAGTCCACACGATTTCATCTATCTTAGAGACCTTTAAGTAGAGGCCACAAATCAATGAATTTGATCAGTAGTATATTTAGTATGCTCTTATTAATAAAATATTCCTCATTCTATTTTAACAGACTTTAATGGCAATGTAATTCAGCAATTTGTAGGCTAATTTGAATTGGTTATGATTTGTTGTGGCTACTTTCTGATAATATGTATTAAGGAAATCTGTTTGAGTAAGTTAGAAACCATCCTTTCACAATAGGATAGTCTTTCGGTAATAATAGGCAATCCATGCGTCATGTAATATGGATTTTCTTATATCTCATCCTACGTTCTCACTTTCAGGTAATGCTTTTAAGTTTATAGTATTGTAGGACTCTGTGTTGACTATACTCAATTTTTAGACAAAACAGAAACAAAAACACTAAAAAACAAAATTAAAACCTTGGCTTTCTTATTTTATAAATAAATGGGTCCTCTTGTTAGAAAATCTTCTTAGGTTATCAAAACCAATAATATTTTTAACATATCTTGACAATTCAAAAAATTTGTTAATTTGTTAACTAATGAAAACATGCAACATGGTATTATAAACATTTGGAATTTATTATTTTCAGAACTTTGTTTTAAACGTCACTGCTTTAGATGCTATTGCTTTTGTCAATTAAATACAGAAGGTTTATTAACAGTAGGATTATATGATTTCTTAACACTGAGGTTATGTATTTCTTATGATTGTTATGATTCCACAATTGTTAGTGGTAAGTACTGGAATCTCAAAGCAGCATGTTACAAAGACACTGTGTTGACTCTATGAGAATGAAGCAGGGACATCCTAAAATAGTGTCAGGGTACAGAGGGCTGTTTCTAAGAAATAAATGCCTTGAACTATTCCAGTCCTTTATCGTCTGTGACATCTACCTGTGTTTTCCTTTTTGCCTTCATACCATGTAGAACAACCTAGTCACTCTTACCTCCTCATATTTTACATTTTTCATAGTATAATCCTAATCTTTAATGAAAAATTATCATATGTACAAATCCTCTCTGGTAGCTTGAACCCAATGCTGGTATATGCCTTCCTAGCATTGTGAATGGCATTTTTATCCCTGATTTTAGTTCTAATCTTCTAGTTCTATGTTAAAAGAATTCCCTACCACCACACAATTCTGATAAATTATGACAGGACACTTGTGAGCTCTTCAGGCTTCTGTAGGGCTAATGCCCATTCCACTCACATAGGTACATGAGGAGTTTATTGCTCAGTAACATTTCTTGATCTAAAGTACCTGTCACTACTTGTCACATTGCATTTCAGACTAAAGATCAGCCTGCAGCCTTGACTCAAATGGAGCCTTGAGCCTCCTGAGAGTGGTTCTGTTTCATGCAGCTGCACTTCAGGCTTGTCTGTCCCAGGTTAGGGCTCTCCTGCCTCTTAGACTGCATTGCTCCAGGCGAGGCTGTCATTACAGTTGTTTCAGCTAAGTGAAGGAAAGGAGGCCTCAACAGGCAGTTTTTTTCAAAGCATGTAATTATAGACCCATTTTGAAAGTTAAATCTATTATTGGTTCTCTGCTTTACCCATTTTTATGTCAGACTTTGAAAGCATACTTATCAAATGTTCAGATTGCAGTATCCATCTGATATTATCAGACTCTAAAAATAATGTGATTAAAGACTAAATAAAAGAATGGTTAAATATGACAAAACTACAAAAATAATATTCCATAAAACTCAGGATCCAAGTGGCTACACTTTTGGATAATAGAAAGCTATAAGATAGCATAATATGCTACAAAAATAGTTCCACATTTTGATGTGTTTTTCATGTCAGTTCACATATAGATTATTGATTTTCTTACTTGCCAGCAAACCATATATAGAATGTGCCCAGTCAAGGACATGTCTAGGGCAGATGAAGGCCCTGGAAGCCATGAAGTGTGAGAAACAGTCAAAAGAAATAATGTTAAGATGAGATCATCCAGCGTGTATAATTTTGAATGGATATCTTAGCTGTTTTTAAACACTTAAAATATTTTTACATGCAATAAACAAAAGTGAATCAGTTGGCAGTGTTGCCAAGGAGTTAGATTTCATTATAAACACTAAAATCATGTATAAATGGTAGATAAAGAGTTGCTTTTGAAAAGTGGTTAAGAACTAGCTCATTGAGTACTATTAGAGAGAAACAGACCTGGAATAGTCAAAATACAACTTAAATTTTTGGTATGTAAGGGCTCTTTTAAATCTAAGATTCAAGCTACAATAAGACTTTTGAAATTTTAATTGGCAAGTTCTAGGTAAATGTAGTGTCCTAAAACTCTGTATATGCTTCTGATTCTAAATCTCACTAAAATTATAGTAAAGGAAAATTTTTTAGAGACAAATCCACCAAGAAAGAAAGGATAAAAAAAATGACAACAGAAACAAAATATTGGAGTACAAAGTAATAACAAATGATAGAAAAAAAAAGATAAGATAATTAGAAATCCATTTTGGGAGAGCTAGTATCTAAATAATAGGTGTTCAAGGGAGGGGGACAAAAAACAAAAATCAGAAATCATTAGTAGAATAACTGTAAAGATAATTGCAGACTGAAGAACTTCAATTTCTAACCTAAAATGCCCTAAAACAGGTCCAGAAACATACATATTTGATAGCTTAAATATATACAACAAAAAAATTTTTAAAGGATTGGATTGTATTTCTAGTTTTCTTTTAAAGAGTTGCGAGGTGTTTACAGATACTCTTGTATTTCTGCTATCACTAAACTAAGAAAATTCCCCAGTTATCCTGCTAATCCAAGAAAAATGAGGAAAATGTGGAACAGATATGAACCTAATCTGCAGCATATTGAAAACTATATTTTTCAGGTACTTTCAGAAAAGTATTTGTAGTGGGATATTCCATTTATTATTTGAGAAATTAGATGTTTCAATCATAAGAATGGTTAAAATGCTGTCTCAACTGCAGACAAGCAGGATGACTTTTCCTAATACTGGGTACATCAAAAGTATTCAGTAAGATCACTGTGATTCTTCATTGTATATTCTGGATAAATCACTTGCCATTACATTCACTATCTTGTTCTCATTAGCATTTTAATGTTCTCCATAGTCACGCCTCCTATGTTTGGGGAAAACTAACCAACTTCTTCTTCTAAGCCACTTGCCAGGGAAGGCACTGTTTTATTAATGAGGCTTTAATTAAAGAGACTCCCTACTATGCATACTTCTGAGCAGTTGTAAGGCACACAGGATTTGGGAATTTGATATGTTATTTATGCACTACTAAAGGCAAGAGGGGACAGGCAGTTCTGGCAAGAATTTTCAAGAACAGTTTTGAATTATTGATTTCTGATTATGAGTGAAGTAAGAAGAAACAGGTGTCAAAGGGGATGGACCTCAGACCCAGAAATCTGGAAAGTCTAGGTTTTAGGTTTCCTCTGGATGCTTATGAAAGTCATCTTTACCTTGACTCTCTGAGGTTGCTACAAAGATACTATTTCTGTCCAATTCTATAAATACTTTTATATGTCTCCTGGGAGCTATAGTGCACTGGTCTTCCTGGCAACCACAAGATAGTGAATATTAGAGTTTGATTTTGTCATGGAGTTAGTTTCTTAGTACTTTCATAGTCTTAACTTTAGCCCTGTTTGTCCTCTGTGTTTTGTGTATTCACAGAAGTTTTCTTAGGCATATCTAAGTTTTGGTATAACACATCTTAAGTTGAGGCTTTATTTTTCCATATGAAATATATCATGAATTAATTCACTTCTCCATGGAGTCCCTATACAAGAAAAGTTTTAGATCTTATAAATTGCTTTGTCAGTTTCAGAAAAGGATACAATATACCACTTTTATTTTCTTATTTATCAGTTTTTCTTTAGTTTTCATCCTCCCTTTGTCACAGTATAATACTCTTTTATGCTGATATTTTGTTGAAATTTCTTCTTTATTTTCCATAATACTGTTTTCTGTATACCTTGCTTTCTCTATATCCACTTTCTAATTTATTTCCATTTCCTCCCTATTTTACTTTCCATTTAAATGAAGTGCCATATGGAAAGGGGAAGAAAGACTTATCACTTTGAGGAACCTGCTATATGCCACACCTTACTGTATAGTAGACATTATTCCACTGCACAATAATAGAATTTTTTTAATGAACAGACTCAGAGGTTAAGTAGTACGTCTAACCACTGGGCAGTGATGGAGAAGCATCACCCGAATAAGGGTGAGGTACAGATCTAGTGAATGACAGCAAAAGTGAAGCAGACAACCCAGAAGATACTGCCCTTTCTCTTTAGATTTCAGGGAGATTTTAAAGTTTCAAGATTTTTTAAAATTAAGATGGTGATGGTTCTATAAAGAAACAGACAGATGTTTTTCCCTGACAAAAGATTATTGCATTCAGATGGAATTTCTAATGGATGAAGTATGAGGAAAGCATCAGCTAGCTGGGAGGATACTAAGCAGAGCTGTCCCAGAGATCACGGGTGCTTGTCAAGAGGAAGCATCTTTGAGCTCCCTTTGGTGATTATAAGTGACTGTCTGGTGGTTCATGAACTCTTTAAACAGGTAGACTCATTCTGTCACAAAATCGTGTAGAAAAGACATTCAGCTTCTTGCCATAGTTTGTCTTCTCTTCTGTCATCAATCCATGGTCCTTCTGACAACTGACCTTGTAACTTTTCTTCCCATTTTTTTTTCTTACTTTTCAGATTTTATACTCAGTCATACATCTTCAACTAAGATTTTTCCTTTCATACCTCAATCATGAGTATGTTCTCTTTTGTAACTGCTCAAGTCAGGATGCTTGATGCTCAGAAGTCAAAGCGTGGAAAGTGAGGTGTGGTAAAAGGAAAGCAGCTTTTTTTTGGTCAAATGCCTGCAGGTGGGAGAATGGCCAGGATCAAGCCTCAAAGGAACCATGAGAAAAATGTGTGGGAAAAATTTAGTAGTGAAAAGGAGGTGCAGATCTGTGTGTTGTGTTATGATGGTCATCTCACATAATTGCTTATCCAGAGGTCCAATTTGCACCATTCTGACTTCAGCCCAGTAGTGGGGGGCTAACTGTAACTCCCCTTGAGCTGGAGGATTCCACAGCTGGGTCTCTCTGCCTGGCATGTTTTGAAATTGGCCTTTATAATTTCTTTTCTTTTTTTTTTTTTTTTTTTTTTTTTTTTTGATGGTGTCTTACTCTGTAACCCAGGCTGGAGTGCAGTGGCACAATCTCAGCTCAGTACAGCCTTCAACTCCTGGGTTCAAGCTATTCTCCTGCCTCATCCCCCCGAGTAGCTGGGATTACAGGTGCGTGTCACCATGCCCAGCTAATTTTTGTATTTTTTGTAGTAAAGACGGGGTTTCACCTTGTTGGCCAGGCTGGTCTCCAACTCCTGACCTCAAGTGATCCACCTGCCTCGGCCTCCCAAAGTGCTGGGATTACAGGCGTGAGTCACTGCACCTGGCTGCCCTTGGAATTTCTAAGCAAGCACATAATTAGATAAGTAAGCACTATGCATGGATGTGCATAGTGTGCACAGAGTCTCACAGTACAAGGCCACATTTGAGATTAGGAAGGAAAGGAAAAAAAAGTTTCAAAATGCAATTCAAAGGTGAAATATTTGGTTATACTCTGAGCCCATACTGGTTGATTCCGGCCCAGAATCATGAAATAGATATTCAGTGAAAGCTCAGTGAATAATTCTCCTTAATGTGTTTGCTCTGGACTCCGAAGTATCAACAAGATGTAGAGATAAACCTCAGGCATTATCGGACTTCTAGTATCAGGCAGAAGTTGAAAAGCTAATAAGTGATGCTGATATTTCCTGTTAAACACTTTGCACAACATTGCAAGAAAAGTTTGTGGAAACAGTGTTGAAAAGTTAAAATATTCAAGAAGTAACATTTTCTTATTACATTGGATGGGGCTACAGCCCTTAACAAGTGATATGAACCTTTTTTTTGTGAAAGTGTACTGTACTAGGAAACTAAAGATTACTTAGCTATTAGTAAATGATTGAAAATATATTTTGAGCTTTCAATAACAAGGTCATATGGACACACATTTCACCAAAAGGTCAAACTTGTAAATGTTTCCAGACTGAATATTCTGTGACTATGTATCTAAAAACTGTAAACTTTCCACAGTGTTTATTCAGCTAAAGCAAAATAGACTCTTAAGGAATTAGGCTGTTATCATTCTGCTAGATTTCTGAGCTCGTCTACTGGTGTCTGCCCTGTGCATATGCCCTTTGCTGAAAGACGCTAGTAAGAATTTTTTTTTCCATAGTGTTTGTATGAATACACACATCCATAATTCATCAAAACAGCCATTTGGAAAATGAATAAAACATACCAACCACGCTTCTGAATCACAGAGTTTCAGGATTGCTTATTAAAATAACAGTTACTTCTTTCAAACAGGTGTGGATTGCAGTTCTAGTATATGAATTATTTTGGAAATAACTTTCTATATTTCTCATTTAAACCTTACATTTCTTTTCTAATGAGATAGGCATCTAGAAGTCTTTTAAAAGAATAACATTTCTTGACCAAACTGATCATTTATAGCTAAATATATTTCAATATATTAAAGGACACATCTACCATGGAAAAAGAAATGTACTGTGAATTAAATACAGAAACATTTTGAATAATATTATTTTACAAGTCTGTGGAATAATTTATAAAAGTGACTATATTATAGACAGGGAAAATTGAAAGTTTTTAGAAACAACACACAGAAGGGGAAGGTTCATTGTAGTTGTGGAACAGTCAATAAGTTTAAAGAGGAAAACTCAAATAAGAGAGACTCTATAATAAGATTCAAAGGACATTGTGGGTGTGGGTGTGTGTGTGTGTGTGTGTGTATGCATATATACACATGTATATGATAGTGATACACCAGAATTTATCTGGAAAGGGAAAATGTTATTTTCCAAATATTATGACTAATTAAAGCAGGTAGAAAAAAAAACACATGAAAGATTGTGGTATATTAAAAAAAATTGCTGGGCACGGTGGCTCATGCCTGTAATCCCACAACTTTGGGAGGCCGAGGCGGGTGGATCATGAGGACAGGAAATCGAGACCATCCTGGCTAACATGGTGAAACCCCGTCTCTACTAAAAGTACAAAAAAATTAGCCAGGCATGGTGGCACATGCCTGTAGTCCCAGCTATTAGGGAGGCTGAGGCAGGAGAATCTCTTGAACCCGGGAGTGGAGGTTGCAGTGAGCCGAGATCGTGCCACTGCACTCCAGCGTGGGTGACATAATGAGACTCTGTCTCCAAAAAAAAAAAAAAAAAAACTTTTTCATGGGGGCAGTCCCTGAATTTCCATGTGCCCTTGGACCTTAGACAACTCATTTTGCTTTTCATCAACACAAAATTGTTTGCACAATAGGATAATTGTGTTGCTATCAGTTCAATAAGTGCATTTTTCTTATATATACACATTAAGAAATATGATAACTTAGATACTCAGAGCATTGATAACATAGTAGCTAATGGAAACCATCCAAGATGGGCTATGCTTGAAAGTTGAGTTTCTCTTTTCTCTATGGGCAAATATTCCCTCAGAGAGTTCAGTAGAGGGAACACCCCTAAAATCTTTACACTTGCATTGTTTGGTTCAGTTTCATAAAAAGGGCCGACTCAGAATAACAGTCTAGGCTCGTAGAGATTTATTGTGACCTTTGTTTTTCACTGGAGGATGATACATAGAGAGGCCTATTGTATTTCAGGTTTTATAGAATCAGTTGTCAATTGAGTATCCTGTAGTAAAGCCCCTAGTAGCCCGATACATGAATACTTTTGACAAAACATCACTCTTTGTCATAAGATTGCTGAACAATTTAACTCTGCTTATAAAATGACAAAATCTTCAACAAATTTTAATTTCTAACAATTGACGATATACACATGTGCATTTGTGGATATATATGTAGATATGACTATCCGTGAAAATATTAACAAGTTGAATGAGGATAGAAAACTGCAGAATGTGAGGCAGGAGAATAGGGCCTGAAGCCAGTGAACCTAAGGACCTCCTAGACCTAAATCAAACGGAAATACTTAAGCTATGACAGGAAATATCCTCTTCATTTAGATAGGGCATAACCTAGTAGATGACTTTGTAACTTTAGTTCATTCTCTTCATTTATATAGGGTGTACATCAAGTAACTAATGGAAACCTCTTAAGGGTATTTAAACCCCAGAAAATTCTGTAACTGGGCCCTTGAGCTGCTTGCTTGGGCCCGCTCCTGCCCTGTGGAGTGTGCTTTCATTTTCAGTAAGTCTCCGCTTTTGTTGCTTCATTCTTTCCTTGCTTTGTTTTTGCATTTTCTCCAAATCTTTGCTCAAAACGCCAAGAATCTGGACATCCTCCATCGGTAACAAATATAGTTACCCAAAGAAGTCTAGTAAGAAAACACATCTTTTGAATTTCTTGATATTATGCCTCCTTTCTCAGGCTGTATCAATCACAGAGAAAAGAAGCTCTTAAACATTTAAGTTATATACTTTATGTTAACAGCGTACAGTAATGCATCCTAGAAAATGCAATTATTCAATGTTTTATGAAGACTTCTGTTGTCAAAGCACAGAAATTCAGTGTTAAAAAGGGTTTCAGAGTTTCTTCTAGTCCTCTCCTTACCTAGTCCACTTTGGTGTAGGACGCAGAACTCTATTGGGAGCCATAAGTTGTGCCTATGAATTGTGGTTTTTAGATTCATTCTAACCCTTAACTGGCTGTGCTCTTCATCCCAGAGAAACAAATTTTCATCACTTGGATAGCCAATTTTAGGAATTAATTTTTTTCTCTGCAAGTTCCAAGAATACTTCTATTTCTCTACTTGAAACCTTACTGTACAATCATTTAATCTCTTTGAAAATGAATATTAGGGCAGCTCTTTGTTTTAACTTAATTTTACCCTTGAAAGAGTTATAGTTAATCTCTTTCATTTGTATAATCGGTTAGCATGGTTTATGAGAATTTTAATGAGTTAAGTAATTAGGCACTTTGTGTTTTGTATTTACATGTTAGGAAAAGCTTCCTAAATCTAATTTTACTGCATATTATCCCTGTCACGTTTCCCACTAATGTTATTTACAAATAGTTGTATTTGTAGATGTACAGAAAAGCTCCACCTAGTTGGAGTTATGCATGTGAAATTGCATTCTCATTTCATTGTAGATTTTAAAAATTATACTTTAATTGTTGTAGCTACTCCTAAAATGTCATAACAATTTAGTTATTTGTAATATAGTAAGCTTTAAGCATATTCCTTATTTCAGATCCATCTGTATAATTAAAAACCATACAATTATTATTTAGAAATCATTTAATTATTGGAGGAATGACTTCTAATATTGCTCTTTAATGATTAAATTATTTGTTTCCAAATGAGAAAATAGATTGCAGATCATCATACTGGACCATTTTAGCTCTAACTGCACTTGTAGTTTAATGTTTGAAATCTCAGTGCAGCTGTAGATGGAAAAGAATAATTCTATGTTCCACACTGAAGATGACAAGGTAAGACTATAAAGAGCAAAGTTTCATTAATCATGATAATATTAGCTGATATCACACATAAACTTGAAATCTCAGTGGCATATTTGTAGGCTGTCATACAATATATATTAAATAAGTAAATAATAATTTAACATATGATGTCAACACATCTTTCGCATTTCAGCTGGCCTCATGTATCTGGTCAGTCAGAAACTATAGGCAACGATGTCATTCAGAGTCCACTAACACTTATTGCAACTGCTCAATATAATTTAAATCCTTGACTTCAAACAGGCAGTCCTGAGAAGAATATCCTCGTCTTTTTCACTTGTATCTTTACTATTATTGCTAATCATTCCATTATCCTTGTTTAAATAATTTTCCCTGACATTATTCATGTTTTCATTCACATTCAGTCAACTTAATTTATGGTGCTTTTGTGTTTCTTTAAACACTGTAAATGAAATTGTATATATTTAAGGAGTACAATGTGATGCTCTGATATACATATACATACTAAACTAATTAATACAGTCAAGCTAATTAACATATTCCTCTCTTCACTGCCTTTGAAGCTTTACCTTGGCAGTGATTTCTTCTCCCTCATTTTTTGCTGACTTATGGAGTTCTTCTCAATGTGTGTGTGTGTGTGTGTGTGTGTGTGTGTGTGTGTGTGTGTGTGTTTTTTTTTTTTTTTTCCATGAGCCAGCATCCTTGCATGTTCATGATAGGAGATGTTCCTGGTTGTCCAAAGTCATCATGACCACCATTCCTAATTCCCTTTCTTTGAAAACATTTTTTTTTTATACTTTAAGTTCTAGGGTACATGTGCACAATGTGCAGGTTCGTTAAATACATATACATGTGACATGTTGGTGTGCTGCACCCATTAACTCGTTATTTACATTAGGTATAGCTCCTAATGCGATCCCTCCCCCTCCCCCAACCCCACAACAGGCCTCGGTGTGTGATGTTCTCCTTCCTGTGTCTAAGTGTTCTCATTGTTCAATTCCCACCTATGAGTGAGAACATGCAGTGTTTGTTTTTTTTTGTCCCTGCGATAGTTTGCTGAGAATGATGGTTTCCAGCTTCAACCATGTCCCTGCAAAGGACATGAACTCATCCTTTTGTCTGGCTGCATAGTATTCCATGGTGTATATGTGCCAAATTTTCTTAATCCATTCTATCATTGATAGATATTTGGGTTGGTTCCAATCTTTGCTATTGTGAATAGTGCTGCAATAAACACGTGTGCATGTGTCTTTATAGCAGCATGATTTATAATCCTTTGGGTACATACCCAGTAATGGGATGGCTGGGTCAAATGGTATTTCTAGTTCTAGATCCTTGAGGAATCGCCACACTGACTTCCACAATGGTTGAACTAGTTTACAGTCCCACCAACAGTGTAAAAATGTTCCTATTTCTCCACATCCTCTCCAGCACCTGTTGTTTCCTGACTTTTTAATGATCGCCATTCTAACTGGTGTGACATGGTATCTCATTGTGGTTTTGATTTGCATTTCTCTGATGGCCAGTGATGAGCATTTTTCATGTGTCTGTTGGCTGCATAAATGTCTTCTTTTGAGAAGCATCTATTCATATCCTATGTCCACTTTTTGATGGGGTTGTTTTTTTCTTGTAAATTTGTTTGAGTTCATTGTAGATTCTGGATATTAGCCCTTTGTCAGATGAGTAGATTGCAAATATTTTCTCCCATTCTGTAGGTTGCCTGTTTACTCTTGTGGTAGTTTCTTTCACTTTGCAGAAGCTCTTTAGTTTAATGAGATCCCATTTGTCAATTTTGGCTTTTGTTGCCATTGCTTTTGGTGTTTTAGACATGAAGTCCTTGCCCATGCCTATGTCCTGAATGGTATTGCCTAGGTTTTCTTCTAGGGTTTTTATGGTTTTAGGTCTAACATTTAAGTCTTTAATCCATCTTGAATTAATTTTTTATAAGGTGTAAGGAAGGGATCCAGTTTCAGCTTTCTACATATGGCTAGTCAGTTTTCCCAGCACCATTTATTAAATAGGGAATCCTTTCCCCATTTCTTGTTTTTGTCAGGTTTGTCAAAGATCAGATGGTTGTAGATGTGTGGTATTATTTCTGAAGACTCTGTTCTGTTCCATTGGTCTGTATCTCTGTTTTGGTACCAGTACCATGCTCTTTTGGTTACTGTAGCCTTGCAGTATAGTTTGAAGTCAGGTAGCGTGATGCCTCAGCTTTGTTCTTTTGGCTTAGGATTGTCTTGGCAATGCAGGCTCTTTTTTGGTTCCATATGAACTTTAGGTTTTTCCAATTTTGTGAGGAAAGTCATTGGTAGCTTGATGGGGATGGCATTGAATATAAATTACCTTGTGCAGTGTGGCCACTTTCACGATATTGATTCTTCCTATCCATGAGCATGGAATGCTCTTCCATTTGTTTGTGCCCTCTTTTATTTCGTTGAGCAGTGGTTTGTAGTTCTCCTTGAAGAGGTCCTTCACATCCCTTGTAAGTTGGATTCCTAGGTATTTTATTCTCTTTGAAGCAATTGTGAATGGGAGTTCACTCATGATTTGCCTCTCTGTTTGTCTGTTATTGGTGTATAAGAATGCTTGTTATTTTTGCACTTTGATTTTGTATCCTGAGACTTTGCTGAAGTTACTTATCAGCTTAAGGAGATTTTGGACTGAGATGATGGGGTTTCCTAAATATACAATCATGTCATCTGCAAACAGGGACAATTTGACTTCCTCTTTCCCTAACTGAATGCCCTTTATTTCTTTCTCCTGCCTGATTGCCCTGACCAGAACTTCCAACACTATGTTGAATAGGAGTGGTGAGAGAGGGCATCCCTGTCTTGTGCCAGTTTTCAAAGGGAATGCTTCCAGTTTTTGCCCATTCAGTATGATATTGGCTGTGGGTTTGTCATAAATAGCTCTTATTATTTTGAGATATGTCCCATCAATACCTAATTGATTGAGAGTTTTTAGCATGAAGTGTTGTTGAATTTTGTCAAAGGCCTTTTCTGCATCTATTGAGATCATCATGTGGTTTTTGTCTTTGGTTCTGTTTCTATGCTGGATTACGTTTATTGATTTGCGTATGTTGAACTAGTCTTGCATCCTATGGATGAAGCCCACTTGGTCATGGTGGATAAGCTTTTTGATGTGCTGCTGGATTCGGTTTGCCAGTATTTTATTGAGGATTTTTGCATCGATGTTCTTCAGGGATTTTGGTCTACAATTCTCTTTTTTTTTGTTGTGTCTCTGCCAGGCTTTGGTATCAGGATGATGCTGGCCTCATAAAATGAGTTAGGGAGGATTCCGTCTTTTTGTATTGATTGGAATAGTTTCATAAGGAATGGTACCAGCTCCTCCTTGTACCTCTGGTAGAATTCGGCTGTGAATCTGTCTGGTCCTGGACTTTTTCTGGTTGGTAAGCTATGGATTATTGCCTCAATTTCAGAGCCTGTTATTTGTCTATTCAGAGATTCAACTTCTTGGTTTCAGGAAAGATCTAAAATTGACACCCTAACATCACAATTAAAAGAAATAGAGAAGCAAGAGCAAACACATTCTTGCCAGAAGGCAAGAAATAACTAAGATCAGAGCAGAACTGAAGGAGACAGAGACACAAAAAACCCTTCAAAAAATCAGTGGATCCAGGAGCTGGTTTTTTGAAATGATCAACAAAATTGATAGACCACTAGCAACACTAATAAAGAAGAAAAGAGAGAAGAATCAAATAGACGCAATAAAAAATGATAAAGGGGATATAACCACCGACACCACAAAAGTACAAACTACCATCAGAGAATACTATAAACACCTCTACGCAAATAAACTAGAAAATCTAGAAGAAAAGGATAAATTGCTGGACACATACACCCTCCCAAGAAAACATTTTTATGTTGGGACTGCCAAGACAGGAGTGTCTTCTTTCATCACTCATGCTGTGTGAAAACTCCTGCCATATCGATTATGTATTTCTTTCCTGCCATTCTAGCCATAGACCAGAAAATCACAGTTAAATGAAAACTGAAAAGAGCATTTATGCCTTATACATCCTATAGTAACATGATTCATATTGCGCTTTCTGTGCTAGTATTGTGTGAGACAAACTATTTACATACACATGAGGTTATTATTGACCAGCCTAGATGTTTGAGCAGCTCTGTTATCCCCCATTCTACTGAGTGGGAGAGTAAAACATTTTCATATGTATTTAGGAGTAAACCGAACAGATGGTACAAATTCATTTGCATAAAAATGAGGGGCCTTGTGTATACAAGTGAAGTACTAATTAGGTTCATAAAAAGGAATCAGCTCCAAGAATGAGGAGCTCCACAGCTTGATACTTGACCTTTTTAATTCTACTAGTTGCATTAGTTAATTTTGGCAACACCATTTCCTTTTCATTCCTACTCTTTGGCTATCTGGAGTAAATAAACACCGCTTATTAGGGATGTTGAAGCTTTACCTTGGCAGTAATTTCCTCCCCCTCCTTTTTTGCTGCCTTACCAATGCAGTTCATGATCTAAATGGTAAACATGTTTTCATTAAGAGAGTATTCTTCTTTAAATACATTAAATATTTTCATGTACTTAAATTCTTAAAAGAATACAAAAATCAGAACCTTTCTGAGATGTATTAAAATGAACATTAGTATATTGGTAAAAATAAATTTGAGACCATAATTTACCTGTTGAGTCAGCTGTCATATGGAATGACTGTTTAAGCAAAAAGGGTAATTGTTTTTATAGTTGAGTAATTTGAAAATTCACTATTATAGATAACTATATAGCAAAAGGTGATGTAAGGAATAAAATGCTATATAAAAACATGCTGGCCGGGTGCGGTGGCTCACACCTGTATTAACAGCACTTTGGGAGGCCGAGGCGGGCAGATTACGAGGTCAGGAGATCAAGACCATCCTGGCTAACACGGTGAAATCCCTTCTCTACTAAAAACACAAAAAATTAGATGGGCGTGGTGGTGGGTGCCTGTAGTCCCAGCTACTTGGGAGGCTGAGGCAGGACAATGGCCTGAACCCGGAAGGCAGAGCTTGTAGTGAGCCAAGATCGTGCCACTACACTCCAGCCTGGGTGACAGAGCGAGACTCCTTTTCAAAAAAATAATAATAAAATAAAATAAAATATGAATTTAAAAAAAAAACATGCTTAGGCTTCTCAACTAAAAAAAGAAAAAGAAACAAGGGGAAAAAAGCTACAGTTTCAGGCGCATGATATTTGAGTATTTGTTTTTCCCAAAACTCTGGAGAATAGAATCAGAAAGTTTGAACTGCCCTCAAGAAAACCTCCTTCATCTAAAATATGTTAAAATTTCAACAGTAGTAGAAACTTCTATTTTTGAAAATGTTCTTATATTTTGACCATTGTCCACAAGATTAGGTGAACTAGGAAGCCCTCATGGAACCAGACTAGAGGATTTTCTGGAAAGCAGTCCTAAGTAAATATCACATTTCATGATATTTTAAGAGAAAAAAACTTCATGGGGCAGCATATTAACAGCCTTGTACAATAAGCAAAAATCCCTTCTCTCAATAATACTCTCAGGAGAATCAATGAAAACAATGTGGATTTGGGAGATATAACAATGTACCTTCATTGTTTTAACATTCCCAGAGAAAAAGTATCAGGCATTATTCTGCTTTCTCTGTGGGTTAGCTAAGTACCAAGGCATTCAGAAAAAATATCTCACTGTGCTTCCAATCAGAATTGAAAGGAAGTAGATGACTCAATTAAAACTCAATTTTTAAAGGTAACATGAAGTTATAATTGTAATTAAATAAAGTGACAGTTTTTATATCTTTTTAAATTTTTATTTGAATAATGTAACAACTGATATGGCTTAAATTTCTTTTTACTATCTAGTATTAGAGAATAATTTGGAAGATGGAGATGCACAAAATGAAACAGAAAATCTTTAAGTTCAAGTATAATTAATCTAATAGTGGCTCATTTTAAAAAATTAGAATAACCAAATTATTATTTGTGGTAATAAAGTAATGTGCACACACATCTATTTCTTTTAAATTCAGTGAACATTTAATAGACACTTATTGTATGTCAGGCACTGATATTTTCAGCTATCATAAAAACATAATGTTCAATATAATAAGATGGGTACTATCATGGAGTTGTTCATGTTTATTACTCAGTATATGGTTTCTGAGCCAGCAGCAACTATTATCACCTGACGTCTACAAAATATGCAGAATCTAAGGTAACACCTGAAATCTACTGAATCAGAATACATAAGATCCCCAGGTGACCCATATGCATATTGAAGTTTGAAAATAATTGAAATAAAAGCTAATGAGGAATTTTACCCCCTTATTTACTTTTTGGTAGTTGTTTGCATTTCGTAATTCAGTAACTAAATTCCCTTTAGATGTCACCTGCATAAACTACAACTTGACCAACAGGTATTTCATAGGGACCCAGGTTAAGGTGAGAGTTCAGTGGGTGATTTAACATCAATTTGCGTGTTGGCTCTGTATTTGGCCTAGACCCTGGATAGAAGCCATGTTATTATACTTTCCTGTCTAGTGCCTATAAACAATTTGGAAAACATGTCCTGGACTGTTAAATTATGAGCTTCTGGAGAGGAGGCACTGTATCCTTTTTTTTTTTTTTTCCAGTCCAGAGAGTCCAGCATTTTACTTGGCTCAGAGTAGAAGTGCAATGAAAATGTATTAGATAAACCCACATATGCTTTCAGAGCCAGGTACAAATGGAGTTTTGAGACTGACGATGGTTTATTTATCATAAAGCTCTCCCTAAGGATTGCTTCTTTCATCTCTTTATCTCTGAAGTGTCTTATGATTCTATCTGAGATGAGCGAATAGGTACTATATTTTTCTCCTTGGTAGGCATCTAAATTTCAAACATTTGTCAAATAATTAGCCTGAGGGAATTGCAGCCAATCCTTTTCACTCATTTTATAATGATTATTTTTGAAAAATATTAAAACCTGCTTTAGTGACTTTTTAATATTTTCTCAGATTATGTAAGGGAAGATCAAATTTGGTACAGAAGCATGGCTTTACAATCACAAACTGAGCTTGGCATTACAGGAACTGGATATAATGTGAGATTGTTTTCTTCATTAATTTTTCCAGATGTCAATACATTATTTCAATACATGATTTTACAATCATATATTTTGTAAATACATGATTTTTAAAAAGTCTCTAGTGTCTTCTTTATAAATTTACTGTAAATACCTCTCTGTAATTTGCCCATAAATGCTTTTTAAAAGGGTTCTACATAGATTTCTATCTTGCTTTAAAGACATGATGATCAATAAATTGCTTCTTAAAGAAGCAGGTTTAAACCGTTTAGTTGTTTTGTCGTAAAACTGAGATAGGAGGTGGGACCCTACTTCAGAGGCGGAGTTCAAACACTGGACCAATTTGAGGATTAGTTAAAACAAGTCTGGAATGAAAGTAGTTTTCTACAAGACACATCCACTATTGTGCCATGTCAGTTTACCATTGCCATGAGAACACCTGGAAGTTACTACACTCATCCTAGAAATTAATGCACAAACCACCCCTTGATGTGAATATAATTAAAAATGGATATAAGTGCAGAATTGCTTCTCAGTGACTACTCTGGGCACACTGTCTATAGGGTAGCCCTGTTCTGTAGTACTTCTGTTGCTGCTGTACATGTCCATTTCAGTAATTCCACTGGTTCATGCTTGAATTCTTTCCTCGACGAAGCCAAGAACCTTCATGGGCTAAACTCCAGTTTGGGGGCTTGCCTATCCTGTACCAATACTATTAAAATATTCAATTTTTAGTTTTAATTTTTATGTGAAATACACACATTTTTTAAATTCCATAGGGGAAAGCATGCATTTATATATGCATAATATTAACGTGCATGAATGTATAACAAATATATATTATAAAATATACTATAACACTTTACCTTAATGTGTTATTATTAATGGAAGGAATAATAATCAGAAGGCTACTAAAATTGTTCAGATAAGAGGTGGTGACAGCCATTATGAGGACAAGGGTGGTAGAAATAAAAGAAGAGTTAGATTTGAGAACAAATTATAGCCTCTCTCCAGTACAATCAACTTCATATTAGCTGGGCCACATTTTATTTCTACTGATACGGTGCCTTCTGAGTGCTGATATTCTTTCTGTTTTGTGTTTCAACATGTGAAAAACAAAATTATAAAATATTTTCTGAAGAAAATTATTGTGGAACCAACATTATAAAATGTTTTTAGGAAAAAAAAAATTATTCATTATTTTTCTTCTGACATATTTGATTAGGTCCTAGAAATTGTGACCAGTTATTCTTTTTTTTCTTTTTTGAGACAGAGCTTCCCTCTGTCACCCAGCCTGGAGTGCAGTGGCACAATCTCAGCTCACTTCAACCTCCACCTCCGGGTTTCAAGCAACTCTCATACCTCAGCCCCCCAAGTACCTGGGATTATAGGCCTGTGCCACCATGCTCAGCTAATTTTTTGTATTTTAATAGAGGCGGGTTTCACTATGTTAGCCAGGCTGGTCTCAAACTCCTGGCCTCAAGTGATCTGCCCGCCTCAGCCTCCAGTTATTCTATTTTTATTACAAAAGTATTTGTTGTTTAAAGAGTTAAACAACAACAACAAAAAAACCCTCCAAACACATATATAACCCCAGACGTGACAATATCCTCGTATTTTAAACAATTCAAAATTTCTAAAATCTATAAGGACATTAGGCCAGAAATAATCTTTCTTCTCACTAAGGCCAAAAGAAGAAATGCCTTTTCATGAGAGAAATGTCATTTTCTACTTTCTTCACAGGCACCAATCAGTAATATAAATTATCTTGAGTTTCAAAGCAGAATATAATCAGTTGCACACAGGCTCAGAAAGCAAAGTATCAACCAAGCAACAATGAAATCAATAGTAATACCAGCCTCATTCAAAGCTCGAATAATCTCATGACAAGAAACATGTCCTTAAAAAGGAGAAGAAAGATATGGCTTTATAACAGAAGTTTTCAATTTTTGAGTTGGAATCATTAGAGTCAGGAGGTCTTCTGGTCTATTACTGTTTGTATCGTTTGAACGTGTCGTGCGGCCTGGATGCTTATGAATTGATATACTTATTATTCAAAGCTACATCTTTAAGCGTACCTCCATGTTCAGGAACCATACACATTAACTATCCTAATGCTCTTTGAGAACCACTTCCTCCTACACAAAATGTTCATATGTCTGTAAATGCACATGTTGTTCTCAGATCCCCTTATTTAGAGGAAAAAGCAATTCTGTAAGTGTCTATGAATGTGAAAAATTTTGAGAAATTATGAATTAATGAAGTAAGCAATGAATAAGGTATGCCATGAAAATATTACTAATTTCATGATGTAAAATTCTGATATTGAACTGTTTTATACAACCCAAACAGACAATTTTATGTTGTTTTATCTAATGTAATATTTTATATTAGCAATAAGCCAATATTATTAATGCCAATATGGAATTTTTATTTCAACTTAAATGCAAATCCATTTCTTTTTTGTGAATTGAAAGACTATTTGCAAATAAACTTATTTAGTTCTCTTTATGATAAAATCACTCGAAAGACTGATATAAAATGAATGATTATTTGTCTACCTTTCCAGTTTTATTTTCCGCCACTCTGGCTTTACTCCCTTCTGTAAGCATATCTGGGAAAAAGAAGTCTATGATTTTACTCATTTACTTTCTCGGTCTCTGGTGTCCTTCCTATACATTTACTGCAAGAGGTGGGAGACAGCCACCTAGAATTTTATCTCATTTATGAAGCTTTCTTAGAATTTTTCACTCAGAACTGATTACTCCATGCTATGCGCTTTCACACTAAAAATTAGTTTAACTGTGATTGGATGTACCTTATCTGCACCATTGCAGGGCAAGTTCCCTGAGGTGAAATGATCATGTCAATTCATTTGTTTATAACTTGCACAGTCAGTATATTGGCTGCATGAATGTACAAAAAACTGCTCATCGAATTGAATATTGCTACCGAACCACAGTGATATAGTGCATTCCAAACTGTAGCATCACTGTAGCACATCTCCTAAAGACAGCTTCTTATATTAGAAAATTTCAGTTATCTCCTAGTGTTTTTTGATTGCCCTACCACAGTTTTCCTACTGGTTTACCAGGCCTCCTGCTGAGATCATACAGGCAGGAGCTACACAACTTTCCAATTTGTGTCAGAAAAATGTTGAAATGTTGCCTTTTCTTTGGGGAACTAAACAGCAGGGGCTCTGAATAGTTACTCTGGTAACGGTTGCACAAAACTAAAAGAGTCTGACAAATTTGATTGGAGAGGTAAGACGGCTGAGTCTCACTCACGGGTGAACTGATACATCCCCCAGAGCCAAATGCTTTCCTCTTCTAGCTTAGAAACTTAAGGCTCTTTGTGAGGAGAAAGCTGTATCCTGACTCAGCCTAAAAGGATAATTACAACCACTCTAGCTGAATCAATCCATGCTGACTTAGTAAATGATGTGGCTTCTTCCTAGACATTCTTCCTGATGCTCCCCTTGCATCCGAAGAGACAGAAAAATTTTAATCATTCAAAGCTTACCCTGAAAAAAGCTTACTTTCTCAGCAACCGCTGCTAGCTGCTTTCAATTGCTCTTGCGTTCACAAGCAGTTCAAGTCCACAAGGTGACAAGATTTGAATTTTACATTTCACAGGAATTTTGAATTATAAAACTTCCAAAATCAATAACAATTCAGTCTTGTAGAGCTGGGTTGGAATTGTCTTCTTTCCAGAATGTCTAGAGAGTTGTGGAGAGAGGCAAAACATTATTAGATCCTTGAGAAAGTGCTGTAGAAACTTAATCTTGACAGTACATAAAACAGACTGGGCAATTACGTGATCTTTCTGTGAGAACTTCTTCTTGTCTTTACAAGATCAAATATGAAAATACTCACCTTCTTGCTAATTTCCAACTACCATTTGGTCATTAAATTTTACATAAGAACTCTATTTTAGGTTTTGTGAACTATAGTTACTTCCAAAGGTGTGGTGACTTTGTGATAATTTATTGATCTATACCTCTAAGATGATAAGTGCAGTTTTGTTTACTTATGAATCCGTAAGAATTTTAAACATGATATATCTCCTTTACATATAGATATGGGTACATAGATACACCATTTATAGTAACAAGGGATATATGTGATCTACAATAAATGAGAAACAAGTTGTAGAATAAGTATACAATTATCCCATTCTGGAAAATTCTATCTATCTCTCTATTTATCTACCTACCATGAAATGTTTAACAACCACTTCTTGGAGTGGTAATAAACACAATTTAGGAGGAGAGAGTTTTTCTCTATGTATCAAACAAATGAATTTGATAAAGGATGGATTTGGAATTATTCCAAAATAAGCCTAGCTTACCTTTTATAAATGCACAATATTCTAAACAAACAAAATTCTAAACAAACAAAAAA
Organism: Homo sapiens; assembly: GCF_000001405.40. Classification (NCBI taxonomy): domain Eukaryota; kingdom Metazoa; phylum Chordata; class Mammalia; order Primates; family Hominidae; genus Homo; species Homo sapiens. The sequence continues at coordinate 24,063,422 of NC_000011.10, read as the reverse complement.
ATGCCTCATTGATCTTCTCTATTCTGTTTCTTTCATTAGTTTCTGTTTTAAATTAGAACATACATATCATTATCTCTGCTTTTATTGTGTATTTAGTTTGCTTCTTTTTTTAGCTATTTAGATGGTCTTTTAGGTCATACATTTCTCATTCTTTTTCCCTAGAAATTGCATTTATAAGCTATATAAATTTCACTCTATGGATGTCATTGCCTGTATCCCACAAATTTCTTATTTTATAAATTTTACTTAAGTCTATATACTAAAAACTACAAAAATCATAACAGTAGGCCTCAATTAACTTTGTCATAGAAAACACAACCATGTAACTGGTACCAAGATGAAAAATCAAAGGTACCAGGATACCTTGGTATCTCTCCAAAAGCCCCTGGATCTTCTCTCAGTAACTTCCACTCACACCCAAGGGAGCAATACTATCCAAATTTTAAACTCTTTACATCAATTTTGCATGATTTAAATTATATACAAATGGAATCATACAGCATGTCCTTGTGAAAGGAAAATAAGAATTTGGGACTCCAATTCACTATGCCAAAAGAAAAACAATAAGCTGAAAGCTAAGTCATCAGAAAGGTGCCTTTCCTTTTCTAAGCAGATAGCTGCAGATACAAAGTTAAATATCGCCATAGGTAGCTACTCTATGTTCCCTTTACCTTATGTAAGATGCTGATTTATTGAGGATTCGATGAGTTGCAAGAGGTTTACATAATTGACTATTTCCCTGCCTGCTCCTTTTCTCTTTCAACGTTTCCCCTTTATTTAAATATTTAAATATTGAAGGCCTCGAAATCATCTTTATAAAAAGGCACAGATATGAGACTTTCTGTGATTCTATGTTTCTTTCTTTCAGGCATGTCCTTAACTTTGGCAAAATAAACTTCTAAATTGATTGAGACTTGTCTCAGATACATTTCAGTTTACATCTTATTTGTTCCTGGCTACTTTGGCTCAATATTATACTTGTGAGAGTCTTTGATATTATTCTGTATAGTTTAAGTTCATTTATTCTTGTTGATATGTACTATAGGAATGTATTAATATACTGCTATATTATGTTCATTCTGCTTTAGATGAGCATTACAGTATTTCCAGTTTGGGATATAAAAATAATTCTCCTGTGAGCACGTGTGTGTGTGTGTGTGTGTGTGTGTGTGTGTGTGTGTGTGTGAATGACCAAAAGTAGAGAGATATTTTCTATATATACTCAGAAATGGATCATATATTCAACTTTTTTAGATACTGGGAAATAGTATTCAAAAATGTTTACACCAATCTATACTTCCACAATCAATTTAGGAGAGCTGCAGTTGTTCTGTGTCCTGATATATGGGTAGTATTTTTAATTTTCAAGTTAGCCACAATGGTTTTAAATTACATTTTCCTGAAGGCTAATAATATGGAGCAATTTTTTTCTATTTATATTATCCATTTGCATAATCTATTTTTCGAATCACCTATTCATTTTTTTTACATTTTTCTTTTGTCTGTAATTTTCTTTTTGGTTTGTAGGTATTTTTTATATATTTTGGATATAAATCCTTTGTTTATTCATTGCAAATACATTGTTTTATGCTACAGCTTAATTATCACCTGCTTGATTATGCCTTAAATATACTTAGTATAAAAGAAAACATAATTGAAAATAAAAATTTAAACTTTTATCTCAGAAGTTAATACAAATCAGTCAATAAAAATAAATTAGAAAGTACAGAATAACAAATATTAAAAATCAATGAAATATTAAATAAAAACTGTTCTATATATGTATGGATAGATTGCTTGATAAGCCTAACTTTACAAAGATGACAGTAGAAAAATAGAAAAAATAGAAAATCTGAATTATCTGATTTCAGTTAAAAAAAGTAATTCATTCTTTTTTTTTTTTTTAAGGTGGAGTCTCACTCTCTTGCCCAGGCTGCAGTGAAAATGGCACGATCTTGGCTCACTGCAACCTCCGTCTCCCAGGTTCAAGTGATTCTTCTGCCTCAGCCTCCTGAGTAGCTTGGATTACAGGCACCTGCCATCGTGCCCGGCTAATTTTTGTACTTCTGTACAGATGGGGGTTTCACCATTTTGGCCAGGCTGGTCTCGAACTCCTGACCTCAGGTGATCCACCCGCCTTGGCCTCCCAAAGTAGCAATTCATTCTTTAAAACCTTCCGAAAATGGAAGATCAGATGATTTATTAGTAATTTATTAAATATTTTAAGAGAAAATGAAATAAGTCTTTCAGAAACTGTTCAAAGAAATACAAAAGAGGTAAACTTTCCAAGTTATTTTATGATGTCAAGAACAAAGTTGCTTTTAAAACTTGAAAAAGAAGTAAAAAAAAAAAAAAAATTGGGACAGATTTTTTTCTTAAATGCAGATGCAAAATTTCTGAATAAAAGGCAAATCAAATATGATAATATATTATTGACTAAAAGGGCTTATTTCAGGTATGCAAAGACAATTTATCATTACATTATAATGTAATTTGTCACAACAGTAAATTAATATGATTATTTTAATAAATATAGACTGAGCATGTAAAAAATTAACAATTCTTATAAGCAAGTTAAGCAAAATTGAAATTCAGGGAATTTTTTTTAACCATGCACACACATACACACACACACACACGAACAAATCAAACCAAACTAAACAAAAACCTAACTAAAGATTCAATGAACTTAATGGGGAAGCATTGAATATGCCTCCATGGTAAGGAATATTTGGCATCCTAAAAACTTAGTAGTCATAAATGTTTTTATTTAAAAAAATGCTGGGCCGGGCGCGGTGGCTCACACCTGTAATCCCAGCACTTTGGGAGGCTGAAGCAGGTGGATCACCTGAGGTCAGGAGTTCAAGACCAGCCTGGTCAACATAGTGAAACCCCATATCTACTAAAAATACAAAAAGTAGGGCATGGTGGTAGGTGCCTGTAATCCCAGCTACTCAGGAAGCTGAGGCAGGAGAATCACTTGAACCTGTGGCGGAGGTTACAGTGAGCCAAGATCGTGCCATTGCATTCTGGCCTGGGCGACAAGAGTAAAACTCCATCTCAAAAAAAAAAAAAAAAAAAAAAATGCTGACTAGCTCAATAATTTAGAGTATGTATGGTGGTCTACTGTTGAAGAAATATGACTTTGAAGGAAGGGCTTTTATTCTTAAGTCTAAGATGCTCTATAAAATACCACAATCAAATAATCAAAGATCAATTCTTGAGTACCTTGTATTAGTATTCTATGCTATGTAACAATTTACCACACACTGAGAAGCTTAAAACAGCATATTTTTTAAATCTCAGTTTTGTGAATGAGGATTCCAGGTGTGAATTAGCAGAATTCTTTTATCAGCATCTCACAAGGCTTAAATATAAGCGTCCACCAGGCTGAGTTTATTTCTGCAACTCTGAGTCCTCCTCCAAGATCATATGGTTATTTGTAGAATTCAGGTTCATGTGGTTGTAGGACAGGTCTTCACTTTCTCGTTGGCTGTCACCTAGAGGCTGATTTCAGCTTCTAAGGATCCCAGAGTTGCTTGCAGGTAGCCCTCTAATAAACACTTTCACAACATGGTAGCTTATTTTTTTCAAAGTAAGCAAAAGGATCTCAGTTCTCTATGGTCCTTTTGAGTAGGCACCCAGTCCAACTTTTAAGGACTTGTACCTATTTAAGTCAAGGTTACCCAGGATAATCTCCTTTTTGATTAATTCAAAATCAACATATATGAGACCTTAGTTTTATTTTCAAAATCTCTTCACTGTTGTCATATAACATAAGCTAGTCAGGGAAGTAAAATCCTCTCTTATTTGTAGGTCCTAAACACAGTCAATGAGAGGGAAATATACACCAAGGGGGCAAGAGACTTGGAGGCCACCTTAGAAGTCTGCCCACCACAACACCCAGAGCAATAGTTTCTCAGTTCCAATCTGTTCACCAGTAACTGTCTAGATACATATGAATCACCTGGATAAATGGGGTAAAATATATATTCTTGGTCTCATTCATGTATTCATCCTATTCATTTATTCAACCTGTTTAGGTTATTTATTTTTCTAAGTGAAAGAAATCAACATAGGCAAAATTCTCAATATTCTTTCTTTTAATAGAGGAAAGAGATAATATACCAGCAAATAAATAAGATACCATTATATATGGCTAAGTTTATGACATAAACAACCATCTACAGAGCTATCATTTTAGAAGACCTGAGATAGAGTTTTAGAATCACATTTGATAAAATAACAACAACCAAAAAAAAAAACCTGAACTGATAGCATTTAACAACGTGATCTGATTGGCATTTAGATTAAATGTCAGATAAAACGTGACCTGATTGGAATTTAGATTAGGAAAATATTATATTAGGATGCTGTTTCATGTACTAGGGAAAAACTTAAGTAAACTACACCCTTGAAATGCAGAAATTTAACAAGCTTTGTGACAGTTATGGGTAAAAGTAGAAATCATTGTGAATTTCTTTCTATCTTTATTAAGCACCCTGAACTTTGCTGTCACAAAACACCGCCAAGCCATTTTGTTACTATTGCTATTGACACACGGACTTTCTGAAGTTCTATCATATAACCAAGGGATAAAAGTAGTGTAGGTGTGTTTGGGTACCAATTCATTATTAAATATATAAACTATGATAAATCATTAGCTGCTTTTCTATGTTTACAATGAGTTGATGAATGTAAAATGTTTTGGTGCATAGCAGATGGTAAGCACTAGCTGAAACCACATGGATTTACAACCACCTGTAATTTATATAAGCTTTTGTTGTTGGTGGTGGTGGTGTTCTTGTTGTTCTTGTTGTGGTTGTTGTTGTTTTGTTTTGACAGGGTCTTTGTCACCCAGGCTGGAGTGCAGTGGCAGGATCTCGGTTCACTGCAACCTCTGCCTCCCAGGTTCGAGCAATTCTCGTGCCTCAGCTTCCTGAGTAGCGGGGATTACAGGCGCCTGCCACCATGCCCAACCAACTTTTGTATTTTCAGTAGAGACGGGGTTTCACTGTGTTGGCCAGGCTGGTCTTGAACTCCTGATCTCAAGTGATCTTCCTGCTTCGGTCTCCCAAGTGTTATGATTACAGGTGTGAGCCACCTCACCTGGCCAATTTATGTAAACTTGAGCAAATTATATAACCTCCCTAAGCCTTGGTTTCCTCACCAGAAACATGGGATAATAAAAAAAAAAGCATGATCCCTTGAGAAATAACAATTCACTATTGTCAGTATTCAGAGGGAGAGGAAACGATTTATATTATGAAGTGAATGTATTTTGAAAAGGCATTACTACATACATGTGCATGAACATACATATTCATTGAGAAAGTATAGCTCATGGCCATTTGCTCTCAACCAGTGATGAAATATGTATTCATTTGGCTAGTTTACAGTATTGACTAATATGAATAATATTGATGTTGCACATACCTAGAAGTGGAAGTACTGTGTAATAGTCATAATTCTATATTACTACTAGATGAACTAACTCAAAATTCAGGTAGCAATGTGGGAATGTTCTGTGGTATCTCATTGGAATTTTAAAGATTCTCTTGGTAACTAAATATACTGAAATATTTTCATAATATATGTTTTCATATTCAGATGTTTTCATCTATTGGGATGGCATTTATGCTTCACCTTTTTTCAATATTTTATTATTAATGTTTTCAAATGTAAGCAAAGGTTAACAGATTTTGACAGTGATATCAAAGGTAGCCATTACTTAGATATGGTCATGAACATTTTACTGTATTTGCTTTATCATATTACGTCTCTATCCTTTCACCCCACAACTATTAATCTATTCTTTTTATTTTTTGTATTGAAAACTAAATAAGACATCGGTATCATATTCACTTTTCAAGATTATTTTTGATGATTATAAAGTTTTACAGTTAAAGTTTATTCATCATTTGAACAATACTTTCTGTTTCTCTTCTTTTTTTTTTTTTTTTCTGGGACAGAGTCTCCCTCTGTCACCCAGGCTGTATCATGTTTTTATCAATCACTTACCCATCTTATTTTGCTACATTTAAGGCAATATGTTTTTAACTGCCTTGAAAATTTTCTCTTTGGGTTTTTATTTTCAGCGTGTTTATTATAATGGATCTGAATATTGATTTCTTTGAATTCACACTGCTTGACTATATTGTTGATTTATGAATACCTGGCTTGAAGTATTTCATATGTTTTGGAAAATTATTGTCATATACCTCTTCACATAATGCTCCTACCTCATTTTCTTTATTCTTCTTTTTAGACACTGTAATTACACTTGACGGAGCCCTTTGTCTGTAAGATCACTGTTCCTTTTTGATTTTTTTCTGTCTTTTTTGCCCAATATATATTTTAACCTGGCTGTGTTCTTATGACTTACTTCGTAGCTCACTGCTCCTCTGCTTTGTTGTCTCTAGTTTGCTTTTAAACTTATCTTTGTTAAATCTTTAATTTCAGCTGTCACATTTTTTTCAATTTTATGTCTTCAGTTATTTTTTAAAAATCTCTTCTTTGAGGGAAATTTCTCAACTGTACTTTATATTTTCTTAACCTATTTAACTATAGATGTTTGAATGTTTATTTCTTAAAACTGTAGTAACTAGCTCATCTGTGTATGTGTTTCGTTTGTCTTTTTTCTTAATTTAGTTTGTTTTTGTTGCATTTAGAAATTTATAATGGGAAAGAAGATATCATTTATAAAAATTGTGGAGGTCTGAAGTGGGTCAAGAGTGAGGTCAGGTCACATAATCCAATAAGAAAAAAAAAAAGAACAAGTTGTAGAATTTGTAGTTGGTGACAGTCATTATAGAGTCAATAACTACCTCCTGTTTGCACTCTCCAATTGCGGACCTGCTGTATCTGCTAGAAACTCTCATTCTTGGTGGGCCTTCAATTTCACTTTTACAATACTAAAATCCACTTCTAAAGTCTACTCTGTCTTTTACCAGCCTTTTACCTGTGTCTTGGTCTCTGGTGCAGCTTAAGACTTCAGCAAGTTTCTCAAATGGAAGAAGCTGCAGTCCTGAGCTGACTTATTTATACTTTCTTTCTCTGGCAATCTTGGAAATCCTGGCTATCTTGGTAGCCCCAAACTCTTCTTATTCTTTATCCAGGCTGTAAGATGGCCAAAAGCTATGCTAGCTTCTCTGCTTCCTAGCTGAAATTTTCTCCCTGAAATCCTGCCAGCATCTCTCCCTTTTCTAATACTTGGCCAAATCCCCAAGCTTTCAAAATGCCATTTTCCATTACTGCAGTTGCCTTTTCTCAGGGATCTTCCATCCACAAACTCTGATTGTGTTGAAAGCTTCCTGTGATCTTAAAACATTATATATACATAATATTTGGTACTATATTCAGCTTCTTTTTTCTTCTTAAAATGTTGATTTTCTGCAGGTAAATTTATTATAATTAAAATTGGGAAACTAGGGATTTAATTTATATAAAAAATACGAGTTTAAGGCCAGGCACAGTGGTACAAGCATGTAATCCTAGCACTTTGGGAGGCGGAGGCGTGTGGCTCACCTGAGGTTAGGAGTTCAAGACCAGCCTGGCAAACATGGCGAAACCCCATCTTCTACTAAAAATACAAAAATTAGCTGGACGTGGTGGCGCATGCCTCCCAGCTACTTGGGAGGCTGAGGCAGGAGAATCACTTTAACCCGTGATTTATGTTAGATAGTTCCTTTTCTTTCTGCTCCATGAACTCCAACTATACAGATAGGATGGAAGCCAAAAGCTGAATGAGATATTTTCACTCAGTTTTTGGCAAGTGACAAAGTGCAGGAGTTAGAAAAGAATGGTGGTTATGTGGCCCTGGCACTGCAGGATCTCAGTGGAATACAACTTGACTTTTGCTATCAATCCCTGTTGTTGGTGGTGGCAGTCATAGTAGCTTTTTGTTTTATGTTTTGATTGGGTAGTACTAGGGACCAGAACCCTTAGCAATGGCATTAGGGCTGTTGTGCAAGTTGTGAGTATCACGCAGAATTCAAGTGGCTTTTTGGACAGAAGGCACGGAAGAGAGCTTCTGACAACAAATTTATAATAAGGATGTTGATAAGCACTTGTAAGATACAATTTGGGACTCCAGCAGGCTAGTTGGGAGATGTAACGGCGTAAGAGGCAGCAATGCAATGGCATAATAGGTAGCAAGTTTTGGTGAAATTTGCTAATATGAAGAGATATTCAGTTTAAACATTTTTAATTTTAATTTTTCACATTCTAACTTAAAATCTATTTCATTCAAGCAGTATATTTCAAAAGACCTTGATGACTTTTTATCACAACCTTTTCCCCATTGAATATCATAGAATTTGTTTCATACGTTTCTCAGATTGTAATTTCTGTCTACATGACTAGCCCACACAATTTGGGGGATGCAGTTTATACTATTTCCCTATTGTTGCTATAGTAAGTTACCAATAAACTGATTTAAAACAACACAAATATATTATCTTAAGTTCTATAGATCAGATGTATCATTCGGTTAAAACCAAGGTGTCAGTAGGACTGTCCCTTTTGTAGGCTTTAAATGGATATGAGATTCCTTATCTTTTCCAGCTTTCAGATGCTACCTTTTTTATTCTTTGGCCCATGGCCATGCATTATCTGACCTCTGCTCATATCACATATCACATTTCTTTCTGTGACTCTGATCTTTAATAATTTGGATGAGTCCAATTTGGACTCATCCAAATTAGTAAAGATTTTTTTTATCTCAAGGTATTAATCACATCTACAACATATCTATCTTTTTTTCATATATAGTTGCTTATTCACATATATTAGCCATTAGGACAACATTGGGAGGTCATTATTTTACCTACAATAGTGAGTATATGTTTTATGTTCCTCCTAAATAACCTAATATACAATTCTGAAAAGAATCAAGTGTACAGAAAATAGTTGTCTTATTAAAATAATCTTTAAAGCTTAGTAGATAATTGAAAAATTCTTGGAAAATTTTCACCGAAATAGACTAACGGTTGACATGTCATAAGCACTGAATCCCAGAAAAAATATGAGTAGTCACCAATGACCATTTAACATAAAAATGTGTGGGTTATATTTGACATACTGAGAAATAATATCTCTAGGAGGGTCTGTAAAATGAGCACATAAAATATGTTCAAAGAAAGAAGATTTCCAGTTGAGAATAGTAAGATTTTATTACTTGTCCATATAGATCTTAATATACTCTGGGCTAAATGATATACTTCTAGCAGGATGATCTATATAATCAGGATGATCCTTATTATATTTCTTTATTGATCCATTCTGTATAATTTTCAGCTAGAAGTAGTGTAAAATCTCTGGAACATGTTCAATCGTATAAATATATATACATAAAATATTCATTTCAATCCTATGTTTAAATACACTTTATGCTTTTTAAATTAAATTACTTTTTCCACTCACCATCTGGCTTCTTAAAAGAGGTAATTTACAGCAAAGAGCCAGCACTATTTTTCAAAAAGAGAACATATTTTACTCATCTAGTTACCTCCTAAGACTGGGACCATTAATTTAACAGCACATTTACATGGATTTTTTGTTGTCGTTTAACAAATTAGACTATTAACATTGGAACTACAAACGTTGCAAACAGCAGATGGTGATATAGAAAATCCTCATTTCCCTTAACAATTTTAAGATTTGGTATTCAATATCTCCCAGTGTCAAAAATATAGTAATAAGGACAAAAATAATAATTATTTATTAAAACAGATTTCATTTGAATGGGAACACATACCTGTATATAAATGTGAAAAGGATATTTATGATGTCAGATTTTTATTTCCTTGTTCAAATCAGATTTTAATTTTATTGAAGCCAGTAAATTTTTTTTTTTCAGAACACAGCCTCCACTGTTTCAGTAATTAACTAGTATGGTGATAATAGTGGTATTGCTTATTGCCAGAACACCTGGTTAATATTTTTTTCATTTTCCTTTAAAATACTTATTGAGTCAGCTTTTCAGAGTGGTAGATTGACATTGTATAGAGGAATTAAATTGTACTATGGAGGAAAAATAATGCCAGTGATAAAACTAACAGCTCTTGTAATGATTGAAAAATAATCTTCCAGCCTGTGAAGTGTTTGCCTATACAGTTTAATTAAAACCTCACGACAAATCAAATGAATCAAATATTAAAATCTCCATTTCAGAGATAAGCGTGCTGAGGTAAAGGGAGGTTATCTGTCCAAAATGATCCTGGTTTTGTATTGTTTTGTTTAAATTTTAAAATAGTCAGATTTATAAATTATAAACAAAAGATATTCTTAGCATTTCCCTCAGCTTGACTAAACTTTGGACAACCTTTTTCATGACTGTATGCCCCTGACTTCCTTTTTTCTTAGAGCATTTGCTTTATAAAACCTGCGATTGTACATTATTTCTCTTCCCTGTAAAATGTAATGTTTCTAAAAGCCTTTTTCCAGTTTTACAATTAAGGACTATCTTTCTCAAGGAAGTCATTCTTTTGAAACATAATAACTAGGGATGACAGTACCCCTATCTCCCACTCTCTGAAGGATGGTAGGAGCCTATGTTTGGTGGGTGACTTCATCCATGATGTACAACTATCACCTGCAATGAAGATACAAGAAAGTTTAATCTTCCTTTTGGTGAGGCCAATTAGCAAACAATGCAGTGGGCCTACAGTTCTCCCTGCCCAGCTCTCAGAAACCCTTCTGCTCTTTGTTTCAGTGGAGTTGAGTTCAGACTGTGTGTTGTCCCTATCTCCCATTGCTATACCCTTAAATAAAGTGTTCATTTCCTGTTTAACTTTGCCTAGTGCAATTTTTGCATTGATACTGTTAAGGCTCAGTTTATTAATAAAAAAGCCCATACAACCTTTCCAGTATGATTATATTATAGAAAAATTATCTTGCTTCAAAAAAATTAAGACACCTGTATATCTCACTGTTTTGAAGGTAAACATCAAAAATATTTTGGACTGGGTCATAGAATTAGATGACTTCTTCCCCATAAATTATAGAAAAATATTTTCTCAAAGCTGTGTATTTCTATATGTAATGATGTGTGTGCGTGTTTGTGTGTGTGTGTTTCAATCCCCAAATACATTGTAAAATTTTGTTTATTAACATTAGTGACATCCTTGCTTCTATTCAACAACCTAATGCCTTTCTTTTAGTGTGTCTGTACATACACACACGCAAATCAAATAACTTTGCAGATATAGGTTTGGCATAGATACTAAAATTACAACAGAGATAAAATAGAGAATAATGCATGTTCTTACCATGTGACAAGCAATTTTAACTATTTTAAAAATTCATTTATTTTTCCCAACAAACCAATCACTAACTCACAATTTAAAGATTAACCTATATTGTGCATTATGGGTGAAGAAATTGAGGCACAGGGAATTTTCTAATCCATTTAGAAAGTAGTTAAACCAAAGCAGATAAATGTTAGTAAATTCCTCAAGTTTAAAAAATCAATAAGTGATGCAACTAGAATTTGAAATCCCAGTCAGTTTACCTTCAGGATCTGTCATGCTGTCACCTCTCTTTAATCTACATACACAACACTTTCACCAAGCACAGTGCAGAGAGGAAAAACCTTACTGAGAAGTGCATGCATCTTATTCTTGAATTTGTATGCTTATGCAACCATAATACTCCATGATTATATTACAAGATCAAATAATGCAAAATAAATTGCAGACAACCCTGAAAAATAAATTCTAAACTGAATTTACCTATGGAGAGAATTAAACTCCTAGTAAGAAAGCAAGAACATAATGAAAGTTTTGCAGGAGTTCAGCCACTCCCTTGTGAAGCAGATACTGAAAGGTAGTCGCTGCTCAACTAATTTGTTTCAGAAAAACAATTCTAAATTGGGTTTTATAATATTCTTGCACAGAGGCCACAGTGAAAACAACTCAAATTGCATAAAACACTTCTTAATTACGATTATCTCAGTGGATTATATTTCATGGCCTCTTGAGCCCATAGATAATTTAACAACAACAACAAAAATTAACAATATGGGTAATTTTCACTGGAGTAGTCAGAAATATGATTTCTCTCATCAGTTGGGTCAAGTAAAGTGAATGATGAAAGACAGGATTCCTCATTCAATCTAAGTGATGCATAACTGTAGGATGCAGGAGACAGGACTCAAATGTTTCACATTAGGAAGTGAAAACACTGAGTTTCAGCTGGCAGTTTATGAAATATGTCTCAATGGTGATATGCCACACCCACCCATCTTTGAAATAGCAAATGGCATCATAATTGAGAATGCTATGTAAAATAGTGTCTTAATAAGTTCTGGCTGCTATAACAGAATACCATAGATTGGGTGGCTTAAACAACATTTGTTTCACATGGTTCTGGAGGCTGGGAAGTCCAAGTCAAGGTGCCAGCAAATCTTGCATCTGTGAGAGAATTCTTCCTGGTTTGCACACAGCTGTCTTCCCATTGTATCTTCACATGACTGAAAAAGAAATCATATATCTTGTGTTTCTTATTGTGTTTCAATGATCCCATTGATGAGTTCTCCACCTTTATAAACTAATCACCTTCCAAAGGCCTCCTCTTCTAATACCATTACTTTGATGGTTAGGATTCTAACATATGAATTTTGGGAAGACACAGTTGCTCCATGACAAATAAGTACCAGTCTACTCTATAGCAGTTGTCAGAATATCCTTAAGATGATACAATCATTAGAGAAAACTACTCTCTAAGAACTAAATAGATAAAACAGAAGTTATTGAAAGGAAACTGGCTATGTGTGTCAAAACTGTTTAAGGAAAAAATTGAAAAAAACGGGGATATAAGTACAGCCTGGGAAAGTAGATTTGCACAAGAAGGTCTAACATTCCCTACGGCCTAAGTCATGATCTGGTTATAGTTGTTGGAAGCTCTAGGGAAATACATATTTTTACAATTAGAGCTGTTGGTGGAATGGACTACCCCAAAAGATAAATAATTTGTCCTGCAAGGTAGCCAAGCCTCACTTTGCAAATTAAAGATATCATATATGGCTGAAAATTTAGGTGGAACTGTATGACTGATTTGTAATATCACACCCATGCCTTGGATTCTAGGAGGATGAGATAAGTGTAACTGCTGTAGGTAGAGAGTTTCTTACTTTTATGCCTTGAAAGGAAAAGAAATTAACATAGGGGATATGGTCATATAAATTGTTAAGATAAAAATCAAAGGAAAAACTAATGATGGTAAAGCAGATACAGTAGTAGTGAGGTAAAATTGGTGTTTCCTCTAAGAAAAGGTCAACTGAAGGAGTCCTCAAGGCTGGGCTTTAAGAAAACAATAATGAATTAATTCTTTTTAATTTCAACTTTTATTTTAGATGCAGGGGGTACATTTGCAGGTGTGTTCCATGGGTATATTGTGTGGTGCTGAGGTTTGGGGCATGGATCCTTTCATTCAGGCAGCGAGCATAGTACCCAAAGGGCAGTTTTTCAATCCACACTTCTCTTCCCCTCTCCTTTAGTAGTCCCCAGTGCCTCTTGTTCCCATCTTTATGTTTGTGTGTGCTCAATATTTAGCTCCTGCTTATAGATGAGAACGTGTAGCATTTGGTTTTCTGTTCCTGCATTAATTTGCTTAGGATTGCGGTCTTTCAAAAGCTGGACTTTAACTTAATGAATTTTCGAAAGCTCTAATGATTCTCATCCTTGTATCAAAAAAGGTTGACTAGAATCCCCTCTACCTACACACTCACAAACATAGACTTTATATAAGCTTTTTGGAAGGCAAAATAGCAAGAAGATACATTCTTGGTGAGTAAAGGATTAGAGCAAATTCGGGGATGTGGAATAGTCTAAATTTAATTTTCTAATTTAGTTACTTTCTTCTTTTGGTACCATGTTTCTTTTAATTTTATAATCTAGATAATTTTTTTCAGTGAGTTTAACAAACTTCTTACATCTCATCCCATTGTCTGAGATTTAAACTAGTCATATCTGTAGAGGTCAACTCTATTTTCTTTACTTCTAATTTTTTTGTGTAACATCTCACTATCTTTTATGTACTATTTACAAACAACAACAGAAAATATGGAGTCCAACACCAGAAACCCATTTAATGGCTGTGGTAATGCAAATGATTACTTCCATTACTTTTCTCCTGAAGGAAATATCTCATTCTTTCTGATAGACATATATTGTGAATAAGGGAGATAAATACTTTTATCACTCAGTTTTTTAATATATTTTTTAATCAAGTTACAGTAAAAATCTAAAGTGCATCATAGACCCTCAGGAACCTTTACTAAGGTAAGTTACTAAGGTGATTGTATTGCACTCTTGGCCTAATTTTTTTAAGTGAAATTTATTTTCTACAGAAATTGCTTAGCTGGATAAAACCACACCCTCATCTTCCTGCTAAGTCCTTGCATTTATATTTTGTTGAGAATGATAAAACCATTTCTCTTCCTTAGTGCTTCATGAAGGTTTTATTTCAGCCAATTTGTTTCAAAACTCACATTGAGTTTTGTATTATATGACTTGCTGAACTATGCAAAATGACGCAGGGTAAATTTATAAATCCAATTACCTTCCAGTATTTTTCTTTTCATTTAAAATTCAGTAATGACATATCAAGAATTACAATATGAATGGGCACATAGGGTTACACAGAAGAGCTCACTGGTTAGCATGGGAGGAGAAATGATTAAATATAAGCTCTTTCCTGGCCATTACAGTAGTATATAAACACAGAGAAGAGGAAGTAACCATAACAAGGTGAGTAGAGGGTATGGCAAAGAAAACTTCTAGAAAGAGAAACAATCTTTTGAGCTGAGGCTTTAAATGCAGGGATAGAATCAGAGAAGGGTGACTTTGGCAGAGGGGGAAGCAAATTTGAAGGCACAATGAAAATGTATAGCATGCTTAGAAAATAGTTTGAATTGAAAACTTCTTAAAATATAACATTTGGTATTTTTAAATCCAATCTAATTTAATGCCATAGATGGTTCACTTGTAATAGTATGTGTACTTCACATTTCTGATCAGAAAGGGAAGAATGAGGCAGACCCAGGGAACATATGGCAGAAAAACAATATTTGGAGTTATTTCCATAATGTTTTTCAGAAGCCCTAAATTGAGTTTAATGTCAAAGATTAGAGGGTAGGGCAAGGTCCTCTAGCCCAGGGTATTTCTTTTTCTGTTGCTTTCCTCTTGTTGGAGAACAACAGAATTAGAGAATCTCTTCCCCAGGAGCAAATCTTAGGTGTCTCAAATAATTTGTCTGATGTGGCAATTAACTTCATTCTTGATTGTTTTAATTTTATTACATTTACAATCAACAATTGGATGTTTACAGTTTGCTTATATTAAGTATTCTCTATTTGTACTCAGATCTCAGCTTTGCCATTCATTAAAAATTATGCCAGGTCACTAAGCACTAGTTTCTTCAGAAAAAAAAATGGGAATATGGGAATACAATAAGTCATCTATTCTGAGACATCTCTGACTATAAGACATTATATCCTTAATGTACATCTAAGGAAAAAAATGTCAACTAAACTTTATCCTTAACAAATTTCTTATTTTGTACTTATTAAAAGAGTTCCTTTAATCCATATTAGATAGAAGTTTTATTACTATAACACACTTGTTTATACATAAAAAGGAAAATGCAAGCAAGATATTGACTAAATATCCTTAAATATTTTCATATTCAGAGTCTGGGGCTTCAGTGCAATTTTCAATTCATTAAATGAGGGCTTAGACATTAACTGGAGAAAGGATTATAATGCAAGGTCATACAGGAGATTCAGAAGACAGTAAAAAGATGGTTGATAAAGGCCTATTGACAGAGAAGAGAGGACTCTGAGTCTGAACAGAAACTTTGGTGACTGAATTAAAGGAAATTCATATGACAGAGTTATACTCAACAGCATAAGGCTAAAAAAGAAACACACAATAACAAAAACAAACAAAAAGATGAAACTCATCTGCTTATGAATTGTTCATCTGCTACACGTCATCTAAATCTGCTTAAATCTGCCTGGACACTTTCCGGTGGATCCCAAATACCAAATGTGTCATTGGAGAAGACTTTTGATCCTCTTCTTTCATTTTCTTTCTCCTTTTCTTCTCTCCTTCCCAGTAATAGAGAAGTAGGAAGATGAGGATAAAATTGTAACTAAAGTTGAAAATTTTCTCTTTTTTTTCTTTTCTTCCTTAGAAAACCATAAAGTTAGTTTATATGGGATAGGGAAGGCAAAGAAGAGTTTAATTCTTAGGAAATTTTGGTTAAAATTAGGAATCACCTATAATATTTGGCTTAACAAGGTTAGAGTTAGCATCTGACAATGATCACTTACTCTGTGTCATACATTCTTCTATGTGAACAATTTTATGGCATTAGTACTACTATAGTTATCCTCTTTGAAAGATTAGCAAACTGAAATATAAATTGTTTTGCCCAAGACCTTCTAGCTACTAAATTATTAACCAAGATGCTAATCTAAGCAGCATGATTCCATGTACTAAGTGACTCATCCCATTTACAAAATGATTTCAATGGTATAAATAGGACACAATGTACTACTTAACATAGGAAAATGGAGCTTTGTATAATTGTTAAATGTTCAAATAAATAAAAAATATGCCCTTTTAAGCTCTAAATGTTACAATTCTAATACTACGTGTGTATGCCAAGAAATTTCCAAATTTACCATCAAAAATAATTCCCATAATACCTGTAGTTGAAAGCTTATTTTGTTTTTATGTAACTAGTTACTATTTAGAATCACATCAGATATGGTTTGGCTCTGTGTATGCTCTCAATTCTTATGTCGAATTGCAATCCTCAATGTTGGAGGAGGGACCTGGTGGGAGGTGACTGGATCGTGGGGGCAGACATCCCCCTTGATCTTCTCATGATAATGAGTGAGTTCTCAGGAGATCTGCTTGCTTAAAAGTGTGTAGTACTTTCCCCTTCACTCTCTTGCTCTCACTCTATCATGTGAAGATGTGCCTGCTTCTCCTTTGCCTTCCACAATAATTGTAAGTTTTCTGAGGCCTCCCCAGCCATGCTTCTTGTACAGCCTGTGGAACTGTGAGTCAATTAAACCTCTTTTCTTCATAAATTATCTAGTTTCAGGTAGTTCCTTATAGGAATAAGAGAAAAGACTACCACAACACCCTTCTCTGGAAAATTAGATATGGTATAACAGTAACCTTTGTGGGAGTAGGTAGAAAGTCATGTGAAATTTAATAGATTTCATGATAGGCTTAACTCTAGTGTTTTGTTTGTTTGTTTGTTCGTTTTTTTCTAAGTTCAGGAACATTGTTAGTCAATATTTTGTAACCCAGAACTGCCTTCTCATTGTCTATGTTGCTAGGCTTTTAATAATGATTTAATGCCATTATGATGTCTTGCAAGTTATCAAATAAAGTTTTAGGACAGGAATTAACTTTTATCTTGAGGATCATATTTTTGCTGTATCTTCACAGAATGGAAGAGGTGAAAGAGCTGTCTCAGGCCACTTTTATTATGTCACTATTCCCATTCATCAGGGCTCCATTTTCATGACCTAATTATCTCCCAAAGGCCACCTCCTAATACAGTAAATTACCTTTGGGGATAGTTTTTCAACTTCTGAATTTTGGGGAAGGTGGAACAAATTGTTCTACCATAGCACTTGGGGATTATATTTAACATACTAAAGCAATAACACACTAATTTGAAGTTATACCAGTTTAACTTTAATAATATACAAAAACTCTATTCCTTTAACAATTGTACCCCCACCCCTTTTGTTGTTATTGTCACAACATTATACCTTTATATATTGTGTGATCAAAAACTTAAACTAATAATTCTTTCATATCCATTAGTTTCTTAAGTTATATTGGAAATATGGAATTTCAAACCAATTGTAATAATACTAAGTTTTAGACTAATAATTTTCTTTTTAAAATGTAATAATCTCCTACATCATGCAGAAAACTAAAAGTGCAATTAGAAACCATAATACTAGCCTTTATAATTACCCATGTATTTACACATACTGAATTCTTTATTATTATTATTTTTTTTTTTTTGTAAAACTTCAAGTTACTATCTAGTCTTCTTTTATTTCATTCTCCAGGACTCCTTTGAGATTTTCTTACAGGAAAGGTTTAGTGGCAATAAACTCTCTTAGCTTTTGTTTACCTGGGAATGTCTTAAGTTTTTCTCTCAGTTTTGAAGGCTAGTTTTGCTGGGTATATAATTCCTGATTGACAATCTTTTTACATTAGCATTTTGGGTATATTGGCATACTGCCTTCCGGCCTACACAATTGTCAATAACACATTTGCTGATAATGTTATCTACAATTCCTTGTATGTGAATTGTTTCTCTCTCACTGTTTTCAAGATTCTTTGTCTTTGGGAATTTTGATTATAATGTGTTTCAGTGTGGATCTCTTTGAGTTCGTTTTACTTGGATTTCATTGATTTTCTTGGATGTTTATGTTTAGGCCTTTCATCCAGTTTGGGATGTCTACAGCCCTTATTTCTTCAATATTGTCTCTACCCACTTCCTCCTCTCTTTTTCTTGTAGGATATGCACAATGTGTATGTTGGTCTGCTTAATGTTGTCTCACAGGTCCCTTAGGCTCTATTCATTTCCTTCATACTTTTTAGGATTTTTGTTCCTCAGACTCAGTAATTCACATTATCTTATCTTCAAGTTCATCTTCTTCTGTCTACTTAAAATTGTCTTTGAATCTCTCTGTTATGAATGCCATTTCAGTTATTATACTATTTGCTTCTAAAATTTTGGGGTTTTTTTAGATTTTCTATCTCTTCATTGATGTCCATTTGGTTCATATATCATTTTCCTGACTTTCCCTCATCTTTCTTTAGTTCTTTGAGCATCTTTAAGATAGTTGTTTTAAAATCTTTGTCTGGTAGATCTGTCATCATGTCTTTTTCAAGAATAGTTTTGGTTCATTTATATTTATTCCTTGAATGAGTTATACTTTCCAGTTCCTTTGTATCACTTGTGATTATTTGTTAAAAACTAGACATTTAAATCTAATTATTTGCTAACTCTGGAAATTAGATTCCCACCCCTTCCCTAGAGTTTGCTTTTTTTTTTTTTTAATTGTTGTAATATGTTTCTGTGCCAAAGATCAGCATGGGGTATAAACTTAAAGTCTTTTCAGGTTCTTTTAAAGGCTGCATCATTCTCTGGGAATGTGGACTTACTTTGTAATTTTCTGAATTAAAGACTAGTTGCCCTACTCTTTAATGTCTCAATCCGAAAAGGCAGAAAAGAGGGAAATGAAGGGGTGAAAAAAAGGGTGATGGCCCTTTAAATCGCCTGCAAGTCAATACCTCTGAAACAAAGGAGGGGGCGGGGGGCTGCCATAATACCAGGAAGTGTAAAAACAATGGCCATGTGCTTCTTTGTCTGTACCTCTGTGATCAGACACAGCAATCATTGATCCAGGCACAGATCCCTGATATTTGGAGGAGAGATTCCTTTTGTTTTTCCCCACTCTGGCTCCTGCAAACTGTGTGCAAGCTGTTGCATGGACACATGTTCAGCTGCCTACCATAGGGCTAGGGGTGGGTAATGGGTAGCTACCACTGTTCTGAATTGAGATTGACAAAAATCAGCAGCAGCTTACCTTCCAAGCCTTTGCCTCCTGAGTTCCAAATATTTACATCAGAAATATTTTGCCAGTACAATTGTTGTCTAGGTGGGTAAACAAATCCTGGTGCTTCTGATGCTGCCGTCTTCCCAGAATACCCTCCTCCACATACTTCTTAAGCAAATCTAAAAGCAAAACCAAATTTATTTTATATACATTTTTTAAAATTTAGTACACATTTTTTTGCTGTTTTTGCTTTGATATGCTCACGTCTGCTCATTAGAAATATTAATTTTAAGAGGATAAATTTTACGTTTTTAAAAACATTTCATAAATACAAGAAACAGGGAAAAGATCTCGTGTCTAAACCTCTTGCATTTATAACACTACACCATGAATAATCAAACGGATTAGTACCTTATCCAAAAGTGCTGTGAATCTCTATTGTCATCTAGCACCATCAATTGAATTGTCAGGATGAAACTTTGTTCAAATGGTGATATTATCGCCTATAAGCTCCTGAAGTATCTGTGGCAAGGTTGTAAAAAATCAATTACCTGGGAATTACAATTTTTATAAACACTTTCTTCTTCCAAGATGAGTCAAGAAGCTCTCCTAAGAAATTATTACAGCACAAAATTGGTGAAAATATGCCATACTCTGAGGAAATTGTTACGTCTTCTTTCCCTCAAATCCCAAGTAACCTTTCAAAACAATTATTTTAGCATGTTTTAACTTCTGTTTATTTTTGTACAAATCTTTTCTTACAAACAGAACATGAGCTCTTTGATATTAAGACCAAATCTAACTTATAAAAATATCTGTTGAAAAGAATAAAATATTTCATGCAAGGATACTGAATTAAATTTTTTGGATAATAAATTTAAAAAGCAGCATTTTTATATATAACAATATGAAGTTCTAAGGCAAACTTTAAGCTTCCAATATCATTAACATAATTTATGTATAAAAGATATAGTTAATTTAAAAAAGTAGATTAAATGAATGGTCATTTATTAATGAATTTATTAACTTATTTAAGGAGTACTAGAGTCTCATATGTTAAACACATTGTGCTAGCCCTAGGTCCATTAAAACTAAAATGAACAATATTCTTGCTGTGAGTACAAAAGATATGAGAAAAATATATACCCTCACCAAAAAAAATTGGAGAAGAAATGTCTATAATCCTTTTATTTGAAAATTACTATCAAGTGTCCTCTATATGTTGGGATGTGGAACAGAAAATGTAGCCTCTTCCAAGTAGAAGAGTCTCATGAATAATTTTAGTTGGCATGAGCAATATTCTGTCTTTGCCAGTTTGTAATTTTCCAGGTTCTCAAGAAATAGTTCAAATAGTTACAGGGTTCAATTGATGGCATTAAGCAAAGGTATGCTATAAATTAGTACAGAAATTCTAAGGAAATGCTTCTTATCAATTGGGAATTGGTCTTGGAAATTTACATATGAACTAATCATAGTCTTTATATAGAAATTTTACCACAACCAAAACAAACTTACAGGGGTGAGGATAAATTGCTTATCTTTTCCTTTTTCTTCTTTACAAATAACAAAGTTAAACAAACTCACTAACATTAAGTCTGAAGGGTGCCATTTCCTTGTATGCCAATCTCTCCTTTCTTGGATCAAAAACTAAAGAGAATTAAATTACAGTGGAAAATTGTTATGGAAAATGAAACACAGATGTTCACTGACAGACACAGAGATTAACAGAAGCAAATCTATAAATATAAATTGAGTTACTTCTAAAAAAAAAGAAATAAACATTAACCTAAAGTAGAAGATAAACAATTTTAAAACTTCAAAAACTAAGTATATATAGAGTGATATTACAAAGCTAAAACTAAGCAGTAAGAAATTAAAATTTTGAAAAATGACAGAACAATATTGTGATAAATCTGTTTAAATATATATAATGGTACATTTTATGAAGAAAGAGGGAAGAAGAAATACTATTAGGAATAATTTAAAAATTTTAAACAGAAATATATCTAATATTTCTAGAAAAATAAATTACCAAATGAAGAAATAAAGTGCTATGGAGGAAATACAATATGGAATTATTTTAAAACTTATCAAGAATTATCCAGTAATGGCCAACTATAAGCCTACAAGATTTTAATGCTGAATTCTGCCAAACTTTTAAAGTGAATATAATCGTTATGCTGTATAGACTATTAAAAAGATATGCAAAAACTACCTCAATACTCTGTAACAGTGCAGTTGTATTCCCAACATACCTAACTTTATGCAAAAATACATTATTAAATACAACTGTTTCAGTGAGAAAGTACGGGGCTCTGGGCTTGACAATTCAGATTTTATTCTATAAAAACAATATTTTCCTGCAGACATTTTAGTAAAAAGTTGAATTTTTGTAGTAGTTTTCTGTGTATAACAACAAAGTTAAGGCATCCTTCACTGAATTTATACTTGATTTCTTTACATTTTACCCAAGTAACAGACTTTCTTTTTTTATCATAAGCTGTTTTATCTTCAGCATTGCCATTCTTAAACACTGTCCATATTTATACCAACTTCCAACCTGTATTGCTAACTGCTATGGTGAACAAAACTTAAAGCCCATCGAACAAAACAATAGAAATGGAGTTAGTACATAATTAATCCCCTTATGTCTGTTTTTTAAATTTTCAACGGTTAGACCCTCCCTGTTTTATGTATAATGCATAATAGTCTACTTAATGGATTAAAAAATTGTCTTTAATCCCAGCATTTTGGGAGGCCAAGATGGGTGGATCACTTGAGGTCAGGAGTTCAAGAACAGCCTGGACAACATGGTGAAACCCTGTCTCTACTAAAAATACAAAAATTAGCAGGGTGTAGTGTATGCCCCTATAATCTCAGCTACTCAGGAGGCTGAGGTGGGAGAATCACTTGAGCCCAGGAGGTGGAGGTTGCAGTGAGCTGAGATCATTCCACTACACTCCAACCTGGGCAACAGAGTGAGACTCCGTCTAAAAAAAAAAAAAAAAAAAAAAAAAAAAAATTGTTACCTAAATTTTTAGTTATGTATTAGTTATTCAAGTTATGTAAAATAATGTTGTAAGTTTAGAGAGATTTGCTAATACTGACAGAAACCTGAAATCCACAACAAAATAATTCTAATTTTTAATATGCAATTCAAATAAGAGCACTTTTTTTCTTTTTACCAAATACCTAACATTTCTTATTAGCAAATGACCCAGATTGTTTTGTGTTTCTAAAAATACGAATCTAGCTGACTAGCTGCTGAGAGCACAGTGGCCTGGAGGAGACATGACTGATATCAGAAAGATATCAGTTTCAATTGGCTTAGAGGATGCTTAGACTAGAGAAGAAAACAAGTTGACAGGTTATGGACATATTTTAAAGATCCATGTACTAAACTTCTACTGAATAACGGAGACGAGGATGGGAGGAAATAAGAATGACTTCTAAGTTTCTCGTTTCTGACTGGTGTCATTTTCTAACATTGGAAACATGAAGAGAACTAGATTGTATAAATTGTATTTTCTTTGTTTTCCATGTCTTCACAGTGAACATAAGTGATCTTTAAATCATAAATAAATAATAATAAAGAGTTTGCCTGCTTATTTTATCTGTTTATACTGAATATAATTTTTATAAATACCAGTTGTTTATGATTTCTGTTATGCATATTTCAGATATAAGCCTGGTATGGTTAGGCTTTCTGTCCCCACCCAAATGTCATTTTGAATTGTAATCCCCAGGTATTGAAAGAGAGACCTGGTGGGAGGTGATTGGATCCTGGGGACAGTTTCTCCATGCTGTTCTCATGACGTGAGTGAGTTCTCATGAGATCTGATGACTTTATGAGGGAGTTTTCCCCGCTCTATCTTGCACGGTCACTCTTCTGTCTGTCTCCACTGCTGCCCTGTGAAGAAGGTGACTGCTTCCTCTTCTGCCCTGACTGTAAGTTTCCTGAGGCCTCCCAGCCATGTGGAACTATGAGTCAATTAAACCTTCTTTATAAATTACCCAGTCTCGGTACTTTAGGTTTTCTCATATGGAGAATATCATGAATTTGGTCTCAGATCATGGCTTTGTGTGGGTAACATAAGTTAAAATCTCAATATCCTCACCTATAAAGCAGGTTAATAATGCCTAGGTCACTAAATTAGTATAATAATTAAAATTTTAAACATATCATACATACATCATAGATTATCATTATGTATAACAGATGCTCAAAAATCTTAGTTCCTTTTCTTCCTCCCCAATACCTGACACAGAATTGAAATAGTTAGTATAGATGTATTTCTTTTGGTTAAATAGTGCCCTCTTTAAAAATTCAAGAATGCATTAGAAAATTATTAACATTCTTTACAGTTAAGAAAGAAATATATATTTGTTTTATTGGTATATAGGAGAAATATATAGGACATACTAGAGCCCAGAGTAGCTGAGAAACTAGACAAAAAACAATAAAATACTTTTTGAAATATAAGGTACATGAGACAGATATTCAAAGAAAACCTTCCTAGCTTGGTAGTCTAAATTATCCTCTCTTTCTTTTCTATTATTGCTATATACTCACTACACTAATTACCTGTTTACTTAACAATATATTGCATGTCAACTGCTTCATTTTCACAGAGTTTGATTTTGGGTAAATTACTGTCTTAAGATATCCGTTAAGTCAGTCATTACACATTGGCTACAGCTTTTAGATTTCAATTTTTAAAATTAATCATGAAAATTAATTAAATTGATTATCCTAAAATGTCTAATAAATAAAAAGTCTATTACAATTGATATTTTATTTAATGGACATCACACCTTTAAGAACCATATGTAATTATAAGTATGATTATAAGAACTGCAAGTTATACTTTTCTTACATTGATATTAGTTATCGCAAATAAGCATAATTATTTGTTCATGAAGAGAAGTTTTAAAATGTGAATATATTTTAATACTAATGTTTATTTCATTTGGGCCTGTATCTATTCTGTGCCTCTCTGATCATCCAGTGTTGAATGTTCTTCCCAGATTTATATTTCTTGTTGTAAAATTTATATTGCATTTTTTAGAATAGTATGAGTTTTAAGACTTTGTTTCTTTTTTAGAATACTGAAAAGTTGCAAAGGATTCTGTACTGGAGACCAGCACTCTAATTTCTTCTCTATACATAATTCAGTATTTATATGGTTTGGATTTTTGTCCCTGCCCAAATCTCATGTCTAATTATAATTTCCAGTGTTGCAGATGGGGCCTGGTAGGAGGTGATAGGATCATGGGGGTGGACTCCCCTCTTGGTGCTTTTCTGGTGATAGTGAGTGAATTCTCCTGAGATCCGGTTGCTTAAAAGTGTGTGGCATCTCCACCCTCTCTCTCTTGCTCCTGCTCTGGACATATAAAATGTGCCTGCTTTCATTTAGCCTTCCAACATGATTGTAAATTTCCTGAGTCTTCCCCAGAAGAAGCAGCTGCTATGCTTCACTGAGCCAATTAAATCTATTTTCTTTATAAATTACCTAGTGATATGGTTGGGCTGTGTCCCCACCCTAATCTCATCTTTAACTTTAGTTCCCATAATCCCCTCATGTAATGAGAGGGACCTGGTGGTAGGTAATTGAATCATGGGTGTGGTTACCCCCATGCTGCTGATCTCCTGATAGGGAGTAAGTTCTTATGAGATGTGATAGTTTTATAAGATGCTTTTCCCCCTTTGCTCATTCTTCTCCTTCCTGCTGCCATGTAAGGAAGGATGTGTTTGCTTCCCCTTCCACCATGATTGTAAGTTTTCTGAGGCCTCACCAGCCATGCTGAACTGTGAGTCAATTGTCTCGGGTATGTCTTTATTAGCAGTGTGAGAATAAACTAATACACCCAGTCTTAAGTATTTATTTATAGTAGTGGCAGAACAGACTAATATAGATATGAAACACTATTGTATTAGTCCATTTTCATGCTGCTGATAAAGACATACCTGAGACTGGGCAATTTACAAAAGAAAGAGGTTTAATGGATATATTAGGATTCTCTAGAGGAACAGAACTAACAGGATAGATATGTGTATACAAAGGGGAGTTTATTAAGGAGTATTAACTCACATGATCACAAGGTCCCAAAATGGGCCATCTGCAAGCTTAGGAGCAAGGAAGCCAGTCTGAGTCCCAAAGCTGAAGTACCTGGAGTCCGATGTTCCAGGGCAGGAAGCATCCAGCACAGAAGAAGGATGTAGGCCGGGAGGCTAAGCCAGTCTAGTCTTTACACATTCGTCTGCTTGCTTTTATCCTAGCCACACTGACAGCTGATTAGATTGTGCCCACCCAGATTAAGGGTGGGCCTTCCTCATTCAGCCTACTGACTCAAATGATAATCTCCTTTGGCAGCACCCTCACAGACACACCCAGGACCAATACTTTGCATCCTTTAATCCAATCAATATGACAATCATATTAACCATCACAATGAACTTTCAGTTCCACATGGCTGGGAAGGCCCACAATCATGGCAGAAGGCAAGGAGGAGCAAGTCACATCTTACATGGATGGCAGTAGGCAAAGAGAGAAAACTTGTGCAGGGAAATTTCCCTTTTTAAAACCATCAGAGCTCACGAGACTTATTCACTATCAGGAGAACAGCAGAGAAATGACCCATCCTCATGATTCAATTACCTCCCACTGGGTCCCTCCCATAACATGTAGGAATTGTGGGAGTTACAATTCAAGATGAGACTTGGGTAGGGGCACAGTCAAACCATATCATTCCACCCCTGGCCCCTATCAAATTTCATGTCCTCACATTTCAAAACTAATCATGCCTTCCCAACATTCCCCCAAAGTCTTAACTCACTTTAGCATTAACACAAAAGTCAACAGTCCAAAGTCTCATCTGAGACAAGCAAGTCCCTTCCACCTATGAGCCTGTAAAATTGAAAGCAAGTTAGTTACTTCCTAGATACAACGGGGGTACAGGCATTGAGTAAATACAGCCATTCCAAATGGGTTGGCCAATTTCTATTGGCCAAAAGAAAGAGGCTACAGGCCCCTTGTATGTCCAACATTCTGCATGGCAGTCAAATCTTAAAGCCCCAAAATGATCTTTGACTCCATATCTCACATCCAGGTCACACTGATGCAAGTGGCGGGTTCCATGGTCTTGGGCAGCTTCAGCCTTGTGGCTTTGCAGGGTACAACCTCCCTTCTGGCTTTTCTCACAGGCTGACATTGATTGTCTGCAGCTTTTCCAGGTGCAAGGTGCAAGCTGTTAGTGGATCTGCCATTCTGGGGTCTGGAGGACGGTGGCTCAATGGGGATTCTATGTGATGACTTCAAACCCACATTTCTTTTCTGCACTGCCCTAACAGAGGTTTTCCATGATCACCTTGCCTCTGCAGCTAACTTCTGTCTGGGCATCCAGGCATTTTCATTCTCTTCTGAAATCTAGGTGGAGGTTCCCAAACTTCAATTCTTGACTTCTGTACATTCATAGGTTCAACACCACATGAAAGCTGAGAAGGCTTGGGACTTGCACCCTCAGAAGCCATGGTCCAAGCTCTATATTGGCCCTTTCAGCCATGGCTAGAGCCTCTGGGATGCAAGGCATCAAGTTTTTAGGCTGCACATGACCCACAAAACCATTTTTTCCTCCTAGGCCTCTGGGCATTTGATGGCAGGGGCTGCTGTGAAGACCTCTGACATGCCCTGAAGACATTTTTCCCATTTTCTTGGGGATTAACATTTGGCTCCTTGTTACTTGTGCAAATTTCTGCAGCCAGCTTGAATTTCTCCTCAGAAAAGTGTTTTTCTTCTTTATAGTACCATCAAGCTGCAAATTATCCAAACTTTTATGTTCTATTTTCCTTATAAAACTGAAT
The DNA here is from genome assembly GCF_000001405.40 of Homo sapiens. Classification (NCBI taxonomy): domain Eukaryota; kingdom Metazoa; phylum Chordata; class Mammalia; order Primates; family Hominidae; genus Homo; species Homo sapiens. The sequence goes on along the minus strand of NC_000011.10, from coordinate 24,035,952 downwards.
GCTTTTAACAGCACCCAAGTCACCTCTTGAATGCTTTCCTGCTTAGAAATTTCTCCCACCTTATACCCTAAATCATCTTCCTTAAGTTCAAAATTCCAAAACCTCTAGGGCGGAGGCAAAATGCCATCAGTCTCTTTGGGAAAACATAACAAGAGTTAACTTTGCTCCAGTTCCCAACAAGTTCCTCATCTCCATCTGATACCATCTCAGCCTGGATATCATTGTCCATGTCATTATCAGCATTTTGGCCAAAACCATTTAACAATTTTCTAGAAAGTTCCAAACTTTCCCACATTTTCCTGTCTTCTTCTGAACCCTCCAAACTGTTCCAACCTCTGCCTGCTACCCAGTTCCAAAGTTGCTTCCACATTTTTGGGTATCTTTTCAGCAGTGCCCCACTCTAGTGGTACCAATTTCCCATATTAATTCATTTTCACACTGCTGTTAAAGACATACCCAAGACTGGGAACCAGACGGCTTCTTTAAGTGGGTCCCTGATCCCATTCCTCCTGACTGGGTGAGACCTTCCAACAGGTGTCTTCAGATACCTTCTACAGGAGTGCTTGAACAGATATGAGGTCGGTGTCCCCCTGAGATAGAGCTCCTAGAGGAAGGAGCAGGCAGTCAATTTTGCTGTTTTACAGCCTTCACAGGTGATTTTAAAAATCACCAAAATTGTCTTATAATGTTTTGAGAAAGTTAGTGAATTTGTATTGGGCTGCATTAAAAGCCATCCTGGATATATTTGTCCAGGAGGGAGTGGGGAAAGATGGTCAATTAGAAACAACTGCAGTCACCGGCTCTCACAGAGAAAAATGAAAATGGTGAATGAATTCTGCACTTTCAGCTGAGGTATCCAGGTTATCACATTGGGACTGATGAGGTAGACAGTTCAACCCACAAAGAATGAGGAGGAGTGGGGGTGGGGGTGGAGGGGTGATGACAGGAGGGACCCAGGTGACTGGTGTCTGAAGTAGACTCCCAGCAAATTGCAGCCCTATGAAAGAGTGGCCTGTTAAAAGAAAAACAAACAGAAAGTGACAACAACATCAACAAAAAAGACTCCATTCAAAGGTCAACAATCTCAAAGATCAAAAGGTAGATAAGTCCACAAAGATGAGAAAAAAATCAAAGCAAAAGCATTGAAAAATCAAAATGTCAAAGTGCCTCTTCTCTACCAAATGACCACAACACCTCTCCAGCAAGGGCACAGAACCGGGCTAAGACTCAGGTGGCAGAATTGACAAAAGTGGGCTTCAGAATGTGGGTAGTAACAAACTTCGCTGTGCTAAAGGAGCATGTTCTAACCCAATGCAAAGAAGCTAAGATTTATAGTAAAACAATGCAGGAGCTGATAACCAGAATAGCCAGTTTAGAGAGGAACATAACTGACCTGCTGGAGCTACAAGTCACAGCACGAGAACTTCAGAGTACAATCATAAGTATCAATGGCACAACAGACCAAACAAAAGAAAAAGTCAGCATGAAGACTATCTTTCTGAAATAAGACAGGCAGACAAGAATAGACAATAAATAATTAAATGAATAAACAAACCCTCTGAGAAATATGGGATTATGTAAAAAGAATAAACCTGTAGCTGATTGGGATACCTGAAAAAGATGGGGAGGAGAGAATCAAGTTGGACAATGTATTTCAGGATATCATCCAGGACTACTTCCCAAACCCAGTAAGACAGGCCAACATTCAAATTCGGGAAATGCAGATAACTCCAGTAAGATACTCCATGAGAAGATCTACACCAAGACACATAATCATCAGCTTCTCTAAGGTCAATATAAAAGAAAAAAATGCTAAGAGCAGCCAGAGATAAAGGCCAGTTCACCTACAAAGGGAAGCCCATTAGACTAACACTGGACCTCCCAGCAGAAACCCTACAAGCCAGAAGAGATTGTGGGCCAATATTCAACATTAAAGAAGAGAATTTCCAACCCAGACTTTTATATCCAGCCAAACTAAGCTTCAAAGCAAAGGAGAAATAAGATCCTTTACAGACAAGCAAATGTTGAGGGAATTCATCACCACCAGGCCTGCCTTTTAAGAGCTGCTGAAGGAAGCACTAATTGTGGAAAGGAAAAACCATTATCAGCCACTGCCAAAACACACTGAAGTATACAGACCAGTGACTCTATGAAGCAACCATATAAACAATTCTACAAAATAACCAGCTAGCATCATGATGACAGAATTAAATTCACACAAAACAATACTAACCTAAGTGTAAATGTACTAAATGCCTCAATTAAAAGACACAGAATGGCAAACTGGATAAAGAACCAAGACCCATTGATATGCTGTCTTTAAAAGACCTATCTCATGTGTAAAGACACACAAAGATTCAAAATAAAGGGATGGAGGAAACTTTACCAAGCAAACAGAAAACAGAATAAAGCATGGGTAGGTAGCAATCCTAGTTTCTGACAAAATACACTTTAAACCAACAACAATTTAAAAAGACAAAGAAGGCCATTATATAATATAAAGGGTTCCATTTAACAAGAATATCTAACTATCATAAATACATATGCACCCAATACAGGAGCACCCAGATTCATAAAGCAAATTCTTAGAAACCTACAAAGACACTTAAGGTCAAACACAATAACAGAGACTTTAATACCCCTCTGACAGTATTAGACAGATTACTGAGATAGAAAAATAACAGATATTCAGGACCTGAACTCAGCTCTGCATTAAGTGTACTGGATAGACATCTATGGAACTCTTCACCCCAAACCAACAGAATATACATTCTTCTTATCTCCACATGGCACTTATTCTATAGTGATCACATAGTAGGAAGTAAAACACTCTTCAGCAAATGCAAAAGAACTGGAATCATCACAATCAAATGTCTCAGACTACAGTGCAATCAAATTGGTACTCAAGATTAAGAAACTCAAAACCACACAACTACATGGAAATTGAACAACCTGCTGTTGAATGACTCCTGAGTAAATAATGAAATTAAAACAGAAACGAATAAGTTCTTTGAAACCAATGAGAACAAAGAGGCAATGCACCAGAATCTCTGGAATACAGCTATAGCAGTGTTAAGAGGGAAATTTAGCACTAAATGCTCACATCAGAAAGCTAGCAATATCTCCAATTGACACACTAACATCACAATTAAAGGAGCTAGAGAGGCAAGAGCAAATTAATGCAAAAGCTTGCAAAACACAAGGAATAACTAAGATCAGAGAAGAATTGAAGGAGATAGAGACACACAAAACCCACCAAAAAATCAACAAATCCAGGAGCTGGTTTTTTGAAAAAATTAACCTACCTCAATAATAAGAGACATATATGAAAAATCCACAGCAAACATCATGCTGAATGGACAAAAACTGGAAGCATTCACCTTGAAAACCAGCACAAGACAAAGATGCCCTCTTTCACCACTCCTATTCAACATACTGTTGGAAGTTCTGGCCAGGCAATCAGGCAAGAGAAAGAAATAAAGTGTACTCAAATAGGATGAGAGGACGTCAGATTATCTTTGCAGATGACACGATCCTATATCTAGAAAACCTGATCATCTCAGCCCAAAAGCTTCTTAACCTGGTAAGCTACTTCAGCAGTCTCAGGATAAAAAAATCAATGTGCAAAAATTGCTAGCATTTCTATACACCAATGACAGGCAAACAGAACCAAATCATGAATGAACTCCTATTCACAATTGCTATAAAGAGAATAAAATACCTCGGAATACAGCTAACAAGGGAAGAGAAGGACCTCTTCAAGGAGAACTACAAAGCACTGTTCAAGGAAATCAGAGAGGACACAAACAAATGGAAAAACAGTCCATGCTCATCTATGTTCACTATCGTGAACATGGCCATACTGCCCAAAGTAATTTATAGATTTTATGCTATTCCTATTAAACTACCATTGATGTTCTTCACAGTATTAGAAAAACTATTTCAAACTTCATATGAAACCAAAAAAAAAAAAAAAAAAAAAGAGTCCAAATAGCCAAGACAATCCTAAGCAAAAGGAACAAAGCTGGAGGCATCATGCTACCATACTTCAAACTGTATAACAAGGCTAGAGTAACCAAAACAGCTTGATACTGGTACAAAAATAGACAAATAGACCAATGGAACAGAATAGAAAACTCAGAAATAAGACCATGTACCTACAACCATCTGATCGTCAACAGACATTGCAAAACATGCAATGGGGAAAAAACTGCCTGTTTAATAAATCATGCTGGGTGAACCGGCTGTTCATATGCAAAAAAAAAAAATGAAAACTGGACCCATTCCTTACACTTTATACAAACTTTAACTTGAAATGGATTAAATATTTAGATGAATAATTCAATACAATAAAAATCCTAGAAGAAAATCTAGACAATAGTACCCAGGTCATGGGCATGGGCAAAAATTTCATCATGAAAACATTAAAAGCAATTGCAAGAAAAGCAAAAATTGACAAATGGGATCTAATTAAACAAAAGAGCTTTTGCACAGCAAAAGAAACTATCATCAAAGTGAACAGACAATCTGCAGAATAAGAGAAAATGTTGGCAATCTATCCATCTGACAAAGGTCTAATATCCAGAGTCTACAAGGAACTTAAACACATTTACAAGAAAAAAGAGACAACCCCATTAACAAGTGGGCAAAGGACACCAACAGACACATCTCAAAAGAAGACATTTATACTGCCAACAAACATATGAAGAAAAGCTCAACATTATGGTTCATTAGAGAAATGCAAATCTAAACCATGGTGAGATAACATCTCACACCAGTCAGAATGGTGATAATTAAAAAGTCATGAAACAACAGATGCTGATGAGGTTGCAGAAAAAAAGGAACACTTTTACACCACTGCTGAGAGTGTAAGTTAATTCAAACATTGTGCAAGACAGTGTGGTAATTTCTTAAAGACCTAGAGGCAGAAATGCCATTCAATCCAGCAATCCCATTACTGGGTATATATCCAAGGGAATATAAATTGTTCTATTGTAAAGATACTTGCATACTTATGTTAATTCCAGAACTATTCACAATGGTAAAGACATAGAATCAACCCAAATGCCCATCCATGATAGACTGGATAAAGAAAATGTGGTACAATACACCATGGAATTCTGTGCAGCCATAAAATGGAACAAGATCATGTCCTTTGCAGGGACATGGATGGAGCTAGAAGTCATTATCGTCAGCAAACTAATGCAGGAACAGAAAACCAAGCACCAAAAGTTCTCACTTGTAAGTGGGAGCTTGTTGATGAGAACTTATGTCCTAGCACTCAGAAGGATAAATTGATATTATCTACAATACTTTTTTTGACAATACCAGCTCCCTTAGTCTCAATCAGTGGCAGGAGAATGATCCCTGAATCAATGTCTAATTTTCACATGCTGGTTTTGTCAACTGTCTTGGTTATATCCACAGGGGCTTTGCACATTCTAATCTCTGCCAAGAATGCTCTTTTTTCTCCTTTTCAACTATCTGCAATAAGCACCTCTATATTTTAGCTGTAGCATCATGTTCTTTTTACAAACATTCCCCTATCCCTACAAATAAATCAAATTCCCTGTAACCCAGAGCACTATATATCATACCTTTTTGAAAGAGTCATAGTTCTAATTGATATTCAAGTGTGGTTATTTGTTTGAAGTTTAGCTCTCTCTTTAGATTATAAATTCCATGTGTAGAAGAGGACATCTGTTTTGTTCCTTCTACCATGGGCATGGCTAAAATATAGCCACCCAAATAGTTCTTAAATAGCATGAATGAATCATCTGTAAATGTAGCAAAATAGCTAACCTTGGTGTGCTGAATGTCATGTCATTACAAAGGATTTTATCCCATGTAGATTCATTGTCTCTGTTTTTTTCTTTTCCGGTATAAAGAAAAATAGAATGGCTAAATAAACAGCCTGAACGCCCACTTGTAAGCTTATTATGGTTCTTCCCTTGTAACATTTAGATTCTATCAACCTGAAATCTATTTTATCCTTAGAATTTTGCAAAATTAATCATCTACAAATGGCCTAAATACCTGTGTAAACTTCTGTATACTCCAAGGACACTCCATATTTTCCTTTTATTACAAAACCCAGCATATTAAGAAATGATGACTCAAAACTACTGAGCAATGACATTGACTAATCTTTTTTTTTTCCCCCAATAATCCCTCTAAAATTTTTTCCAAGGATATTTTTGCTCAAAATAAATGTGCAAAGACATGAGCAGGAACTGGACATGATATAATAAATGTGCTAGGACATAAGGAATAGCTAATGTGCAGAGGAAGCAGGAGTATGTGGGTAAATGTCCTTGCTCTCCAGCCCATGATGAAGATTAGATCACGTGAACACAGCCCTCATCGGCTAAGGGCAGGCCTCAGCCTTCCTACTCCACCATAATCGTTAGCATTTTCCTTGGTTCAGTCAGGAAGATCCATGGATTTGGAATCAGAAAAGCCAAAAAAAAGTCAAGTCACATTTTTTCCCTCTGGTCTACTCATCAAGCTGTGTCAATTGCTGCTGCCGCTGCTGCAAGTGTCTTATAGAAACATTGCTCTATAGAGTAAAGCCATCCTGAAATGACAGAACAGTTTATAGTGAGTCTCAGAAACAGTTTTGTTGGTTTGTCATCTTTAGGTTCCAGTTATGATATTCCTATTCTAATGTGCTTCAAAGTAATCTTTTTTTGTAAATTTTTTTATTTTTATTTTTTGAGACAGAGTTTCACTCTGGTTGCCCAGGCTGGAGTTCGGTGGTGCAATCATCTCGACTCACCGCAACCTCCACCTCCCTGGTTCAAGCCATTATCCTGCCTCAGCCTCCTGAGTAGCTGGGATTACAGGTGCCCACCATCATACCGAGCTAATTTTTTTGTATTTTTAATAGAGACGGAGTTTCACTATATTGGCCAGGCTGGTCTCAAACTCCTGACCTCAAGTGATCCACCCGCCTTGGCTTCCCAAAGTGTTGGGATTACAGGTGTGAGCCACTGCACCTGGCTGTCTTCAAAGTAATCCTTCAGGCTAGGTAGAAAAAATATTACCTTAGCTTTTGTCTTTCTCTTTATTATTTCTCATTGTGTTGATGGAGGGGTTGCCAAATTCTTTCTCCTTTATCCTCCAAATCCCAAGTCTATCATGCTATACATTTTTTGAAATGTAATTATAGTGGGTACAGCTATGCAACCAGAACTTGTATATTAGATTGGGCTCTGCTTGACATCTCTCAGAAATTCAGAGTTAGTGACGAAGAAAACAATCTGTGAGCTAAAGCAAAGAGACATAAATCATAACATTAGCTACATAGGAGGTCTATGAATTTAGGTGGTAGGTTTCACCTAATTACTAAACTTTAGAGACTGAGAAATAAAGAGGCAGGAACCACAATAAAGGTGTGAGCAATAGTTGATGATAATCAAGTCTAAGAGTACGGCAACAAAAATAGGGTGTCATCAGTATCCTACTCTGATTTTCTGAGATCTCGTGTCCAAACATGTTTAATTGAAACTACTAGTTGTTACATTAAATATATTATTGACTTTCTAAGTTTTTAGATACTGAAGATCTGCAGCTGCTGTGATCCGAATGTTTGCGTCTGCTAAAAATTTATATCTTGAAACCTAATCATGAAATCACCAAGGTGATGGTATTAGGTGGAGCCTTTGATATTTGTTCCTTTATAAAAGAGCACAGAAGTCTCCCTTGTCCCTTCTACCATGTGAAGATACAGCAACAGGGTACACTCTGTGAACCAGAAAGTGGACCCTACCAGACACAGAATCTTCTGGCTCCTTGATTTTGGACTTCCTAGACTTCAAAACTGAGAAATTATTACTCTTTATAAGCTGCCCAGTTTATGGCACTTTATTATAGCATATCAAACAAACTGAGACAGTAGCTATGACATATTCATTTAATTCAAATACATTTAGTTAAATTTAATTTGGTACAACAATAATAAACTAGTGTACTAGATAACAAAGTTTAGAAACAACATGAGCTACTGGAAACAGAAATAAAAAGCCAGGTTATTTTGGCATGCGGACATCTACCACAGATAAACACAATAATTAGCATAGCATAGCATACATCCCATCTAGTGGGTGCATAATTAGACATGAATCATCAAATTAGTGAATGAGTATTAGACCATGTGTTTTGCTTTGGTAGATTTGCATCAAAACTAGCTAGTTTCACTAGCTGTGAAACTTCTATCTTATTTTATATTACTTTTGTGAAGACACAATAATTTGCAGCTGGGTTGAAAGGGTGTGAATTTATTAGTAAATAAATTTTACTAATTTATGAATTTATTAGTAAATTAACACCTGTAATTTCAAAGGGAAAAAGTTAACTTTCTGATTGTGGCATACATAAAATATACTGCTTTTGTAAGTGTAAGATTTTGTACTCACACTTCTTCTGAATTGGTTTATTATAGTGACTTGAAGCTGAGGAATGAACATGTAGACATAAAGAGGATTTTTGTGTCATATTCTATATTAAGTATCTCATAGAGATATAATAAGCTGCTAATTAGAAAGTAAAGTCATCAAATAAGAGTAATATTTTAACTTATTTTGAGAAACCTCCATACTCTTGCCCGTAGTAGCTGTACAAACATACGCTCTCACCAACAGTGTGAGCATTTTCCTTTCTCTGCATCCTCGCCAGCATCCATTATTTTTTATCTGTTTGATAAGCCATTTTAGTAGTGGTGAGATGATAGCTCATTGTGATTATGATTTGCATTTTTCTGATGATTAGTGATGTTGAGCATTTTTCACGTACCTGTTGGCCATATCTTCTTTTGAGAAATGTTCATTCAAATCATTTGCCCATTTTTCAATGTGGATTTTTTGGGTTTTCTTGCTATTGGGTTATTGGTTCATTCAGATCATTTGCCCATTTTTCAATGTGGATTTTTTGGGTTTTCTTGCTATTGGGTTATTTGAGTTCCTTATATACTCTGGTTATTAATTGCTTGTCAGTTGAATACTTTGCATTCTCCCATTTTTTTAGATTGTCCACTCACTTTGTTAAGTTTTACCTTTCTTGAACAGAAGCTTTTTTGCTTGATTTGATCCCATTTCTCCATTTTTGCTTTGATTGCCTGTACTTTTGAGGTCCTATCAAGAAACCTTTGCCCAGTGTCCTGGAGCATTTTGTCAATATTGTTATCTAGTAGTTTCATTGTTTTACATTTTATATTTACTTCTTTAATCCGTTTTGATTTAATATTGTATATTGTGAGATATAGGGATCTAGTTTTATTTTTCTGCATATGAATATGTGGTTTTCCATAGGATCCAGTGGTTCCACTGATGGATATATATTCACAAGAAAGAAAATCAGTATAATGAAGAGCTATCTGCTCTCTCATGTTTATTGCCGCACTGTTCATAATAGCTAAAAATATAGACTCAATCTTGCAGCGGGATAATTAAGGAATCAGAGAGACCAAGGGGTTGAGGAGGAATTATTTAATTATTTAGGTGCGCCGACCCAGTCGGATTAACATCCAAAGGACTGAGCCCCGAACAGAGTCAAGCTACCTTTTAAGCTTTTTGTGGGGCAGGGGGAGATTAGTGCAGGGGAAAGCGTATCACAGAAGGGAGAAACAAAGACAGTTATTCAATTAAGACATGCATTACATTATTTCTTACTTTTCAAGGAACAACATGTTTTATGACCTGAGATTATCTGTTTAGTGACTTTGCAGCTTCACAGCTAGAGAAACAGAGTCTTCGCAATGCCTGGGAAAGGGAGAGATAAGGCTCACTAGCCACAGAAAAACAGAAAGTCAATTTTTAAAGGACTTCAGCTCTTTCTCTTCCTCAGGGGGAATTGGCTTTTCTTACACACAAGTTCTTGCTTACACATTTTTAAATTTCTTTTAATTCCTGTTCCAACCTGTGTCCATAAACTGATGAATTAATGAAGAAAAGTTGGTGCATATACACAATGAAATGTTATCCAGCCATAAAAATTGAAATCCTGTTATTTGCAACAATGTGAATGAGACTGGAAGACATTATATCAGGTGAAATAAACCAGGCACAGAAAGACAAATATTGCCTGTTTTCCCTCATATGTGGGAGATAAAAACTTAATTTTATGGAGGTAGAGAGAATTACGGTTACCAGAACCTGGAAATATAGTTGGGAGGTGGGATACGAGGAGTTGGCTAATGGATACAAAAAGTATAGTTAGATAGAAGGAATGAGATTTAGTGTTTGGTAGAAAATAGAGCAACTATACTTGACAATAATTTGTTGTATATTTCAAAATTACTAGAAGAGTAGAACTGAAATGTTCCCAACACAAATAAATGATAAATATTTGAGGTGACAGAAATACTAATTACCCATATTTGGTCATTATAAATTGTATACTTGTATCAAAATATCACATGCACCCCATAAATATGTACAACTATGTATCCATAAAAATTAAATATTTAAAGTTTAAAAAAAAAAACTATGTGGAATAGGAGTGGTGAGAGAGGGCATCTTTGTCTTGTGCCAGTTTACAAGGGGAATGCTTCTCCTTGAAGGGGAGTCCTTCCAGCTTTTGCCCATTCAGTATGATATTGGCTGTGAGTTTGTTGTATATAGCTCATACCATTTTGAGGTATGTTCCTTCAATAACTAGTTTATTGAGAGTTTTAAACATGAAGCAATGTTGAATTTTATCAAAGATCTTTTCTGCAACTATTGAGATAATCATGTGGTTTTCATCTTTAGTTCTGTTTATGTGACGGATTATATTTATTGATTTGCATATGTTGAACAAATCTTGCGTCCCAGGGATGAAGCCAATTTCATGATGGGGGATACATTTTTTAATATGCTGCTGGATTTGGTTTGCCAGTATTTGTTTGAGGATTTTTGCATCGATGTTCATTAGGGATGTTGGCCTGAAGTTTTCTATTTTGTTGTATCTCTGCAGGTTTTGGTATCAGGATGATGCTGGCCTCATAAAATGAGTAAGGGAGGAGTCCCTCCTTTACAGTTGTGGGGAATCGTTTCAGTAGAAGTGGTACCAGCTCTTCTTTGTAGCACTGGTAAAATTTAGCTGTAAATTGGTCTCGTCCTGGGCTTATTTTGTTGGTAGGTAATTTATTATTGGCTCAATTTCAGAACATATTATTGGTCTCTTCAGGGATTCAATTTTTTCCTGGTTCAGCCTTGGGAGGGTATATATTTGTCCAGGAAATTGTCTATTTCTTCTATATTTTCTACTTTATGTGCATAGAGGTATTTATAGTATTCTCTGATGGTTGTTTTTATTTCCATGGGGTCAGAGATTATATCCCCCTTATCATTTCTGATTGTGTCTATTTGATACTTCTCTCTTTTCTTCTTTATTTGTCTAGCTAGCAATCTAGCAATCTATTTTATCATTTTTTTTTTCAAAAAGCCAACTCCTGGATTTGTTGATTTTTTGAAGGTTTTTTTTTTTCTGTTTCCTTCAGCTTGGCTCTGATCTTGGTTATTTCTTGTCTTCTGCTAGCTTTAGGGTTTGTTTGCTTTTGTTTCTCTTGTTCTTTTAGTTGAGACACTAGGTTGGTAAATTGAGCTCTTTCCAGCTTTTTGATGTGGGGACTTAGTGCTATAAATTTCCCTCTTAACACTGCTTTAGCCATGTCCCAGAGACTCTGGTATGTTGCCTCTTTGTTTACATTAGTTTCAAAGAACTTCTTGATTTCTGCCTTAATTTCATAATTACCCAAGAGTCACTCAGGAGTAGGTTGTTCAACTTCCATGTAGTTGTGTGGTTTTGAGTCAATTTCTTAAACTTGAGATCTAATTTGATTGTGTTGTGGTCTGAGAGCTGTTTTTTATGATGTCAGTTCGTTTGCATTTGCTGAGGAGTGTTTTATTTCCTATTATGTTATCAATTTTAGAGTAAGTGTTGTGTGGTGATGAGAAGAATGTATATTCTGTTGTTTTTGAGTGAAGAGTTCTGTAGATCTATCCAGTCCACTTGATCCAGAGCTGAGTTCAGGTCCTGAATATCTTCGCTAATTCTCAGTCTCAATGATCTGTCTAATATTGTCTAAGGGGTGCTAAGGTCTCCCACTATTATTGTGTGGGAGTCTAAATCTCTTTGTAGGTCTCTAAGAACTTCCTTTATAAATCTAGGTGCTCTGGTATTGGATGCATATATATTTAGGATAGTTAGCATTTTTTTTTTTTTTTGAGATGGAGTCTCACTCTGTCGCCCAGGCTGGAGTGCAGTGGTGCGATCTCAGCTCACTGCAAGCTCCGCCTCCTGGGTTCACACCATTCTCCTGCCTCAGCCTCCCAAGTAGCTGGGACTACAGGTGCCCGCCCCCATGCCCGGCTAATTTTTTTGCATTTTTTAGTAGAGACGGAGTTTCACCTTGTTAGCCAGGATGGTCTCGATCTCTTGACTTTGTGATCCACCCATCTTGGCCTCCCAAAGTACTGGGATTACAGGCATGAGCCACTGCGTCCGGCCAGCACTTCTTAATGAATTGAACCATTTACTATTATGTAATGCCCTTCTTTATCATTTTTTATCTTTGTTGGTTTAAAGTGTGTGTTGTCAGAAACTAGGATTGCTACCCCTGCTTGCTTTATTCTGTTTTCCATTTGCTTGGTAAATTTTCCTCCATCCCTTTATTTTGAGCCTATGTGTGTCTTTGCATGTGAGATGGTTCTCTTGAAGACAGCACACCAATGGGGCTTGAGTCTTTATCCAGCTTGCCATTCTGTGTCTTTTAATTGGGGCATTTAGCCCACTTATCTTTAAGGTAAGTATTGCTATTTGTGAATTTGATCCTGCCATCATGACGCTAGCTGGAAATCCTGGCCAGGGCAATCTTGCAAGAGGAAGGTTAAAGAGTATTGAAATAAGAAGAGAGGAAGTCAAATTATCTTTGTATGCAGATGATATGATCTTATATCTAGAAAACCCCATCATCTCAGCCTAAAAACTCCTTAAGATGACAAGCAACTTCAGCAAAATCTCAAGATATAAACTCAATTTGCCAAAATAACTAGCATTCCTTCCTATTCATCAACAACAGGCATGCAAAGAGCCAAATCATGAATGAACTCTCATTCACAATGACTACAAAAAGAATAAAATACATGGGAATACAGCTAACAAGGAAAGTGAAGGCCTCTTTAAGGAGAACTACAAACAACTGCTGAAGGAAATTAGAGAGGATGCAAACAAATGGAGACATATTCCATGTTCATGGATAGGAAGAATCAACATCATGAAAGTGGCCATACTGACCAAAGTAATTTATAGATTCAATGCTGTTCCCATTAAACTACCACTTACATTCTTCACAGAATTAGAAAAAAAAAAACTGTTTAAAAATTCATATGGAGGAAAAAAAAAAGACTGAATAGCAAAGTCAGTCCTAAGCAAAAAGAATAAAGTTAGAGCCATCACACTACCCAACTTCATACCAAGGGTAAAATAATCAGAACAGGATGGTACTGGTACAAAAACAGACACATAACAGAATAGATAACCCAGAAATAAGACCTCACACCTATGGCCATCTGATCTTTGACAAACCTGACAAAGCAAGCAATGGAGAAAGGATTCTCTATTTAATAAATGGTGCTGGGAGAACCAGCTATCCACATGCAGAAAATTGAAGTTGGAATACTTCCTTACACCATATACAAAAATAAACTCAAGACAGGTTAAAAACTTAAATGTAAAACCCCAAATGATAAAAACCCTAGAAGAAAATCTAGGCAGTACCATTAAGGATATAGGCATGGGCAGGGCAAAGATTTCATGACAAAAATGCCAAAGCAATTGCAATAAAAGCAAAAATTGACATTTGGGATCTAATTAAATGAAAGAGCTTCTGCACAGTGAAATAATTGTTAATCAGAATAAACAGACAACCTAGAGAATGGGAGAAAATTTTTGCAATCTATTTATCTGACATTGGTCAAATATCCAGATTCAATACGGAACTTAAACAAATTTACAAGAAAAAAAAACAACCTCATTAATAAGTGGGCAAAGAACATGAACAGACACTTCTCAAAAGAAGACATACATGCAGCCAACGAATATATTTAAAAAATTTCAACATCACTGATCATCAGAGAAATGCAAATCAAACCCAAAATGAGATACCATCTCACACCGATCAGAATGACTATTATTAAAAAGTCAAAAAACAACAGATACTGGTGAGGTTGTGGGAAAAAAAAATAACACTTTAACACTGTTGTTGAGAGTGTAAATTAGTTCAACCATTGCAGAAGTTGACAGTGTGGTGATTCTTCAAAGACCTAGAGGCAGAACTATCATTTGACTCAGAAATCCTGTTACTGGGTATATACTCAAAGGAATATAAATCATTCTATTATAAAGATAAATGCACGTATATACTCAAAGGAATATACATCATTCTATTATAAAGATACATGCATGTGTATGTTCATTGCAGCACTATTTACAATAGCAAAGTCATGGGATCAACCTAAGTGCCCATCAATGATAGATTGGATAAAGAAAATGTGATACATATATACCATGGAATACTACGAAGCCATAAAAAGGAATAAGATCATGTCCTTTGCAGTGACATGGGGGGAGTTGGAAGCCATTATTCTTAACTAACTAACACAGTAACAGGAAAACAAATACCACATGTTCTCATTTACAAGTGGGAGCTGATTGATGAGAACACATGGACAAGTGGGGGTAAACAACACACACTAAGCACCTGTCAGAAGGCATCGGGAGAGGGAAAATATCAGGAAGTATAGCTAATGGATGCTGGGCTTAATACCTGGTGATGGGATGGTCTGCACAGTAAACCACCATGGCACATCTTTACCTGTGTAAGAAACCTATACATGCTGCACATTTACCACTGAACTTAAAAGCTGAAAGAAGAAAAAATTAAAAACCACAAAAGCATTTTTATAACATTCCAACTCTTACTTAAATATGTTCTATTAACTTTTTCTTAAATTTACTATTTTATCTGTTACTTATCTTGTCGTTAGTAAGCTCATCCTAAAGTGGCAGAGAGAAAGATATTGTTCTGGAAAATGTTTGATGAGGGCTGACAGCAACAAATTGCAGCTGTTCGTGTAATTCACGTATGTCTGAAGGATACTGTTTTCCACATGAGAAAAATGATTACGATTGATCTTAGAAGTTGTCATCAGCACCAAAAGACTCATCTCTTAGGTCAAACAGAGCTGAACCTAGTTTTGAACACTATTATCCAAAAAGGCAGGGCATTCAGCATGACTGGAATCTACACAACATTCCTCACTAAGACCTGATGGTTATTTTAGTTTCACTTATATTGAACAAAAATACAAGAAATTCTAGATTTTAAAGTTATCACTGTGACAGCATTGTTTTCATTTTTAAATATGTATTTATTGTAAAAATAATTTTCCACTGTAAACAGCTGAAGCAATACAGAAGTGTGCCCTACTAACTCTGTACATTACTTTCTTGAGTCACCATTACCATTGTAGTTAATGTTTTTCCAGACATTTTCCAGTGCACACATGCACACACAAACCCTCACATATACTCTTGTTATTTTTAAAGCACATATTATATATATATGCTTATGAAAAATGTATTTTTCTTTTAAATGTTTCAAGTACTTGTATGTCAGACCACATAAATCTATTACATTTATTTTAATAGGATCTTGATGGGTTTGAAAATCCTATCTGTGTTCTTATCCTGTGACCTACTGGATGACAGTAGGTCATCCTATGCCTATAGGAGGTAAGAATTCAGAATTCATACCACTACTTTAACTAGGGAACCCACGCCTATAGCTTTTTTTTTTTTTTTTGGTGCAATAGAAAGTTTCATATAATTGTATTTAAGTCAAGAGTTTTATTTCTAGCAGCTGATGGTAAACCTTGACTTACTAGAACAAAATTACTTTCAGAAAAATAATATGTGGAGAAATACAGTAAGTTTAGATTTGGGGGGGTATATATGTTTGAATTAAGGCCTTCTCTCATTATTTTTATAGGCTTTTTTTTTAAGACAAAAATTTACTTTACAGAAATCAGGAGGCAGTGTTCTTTGGAGACCCAATTCATTTATTTTCCTATGTGAAAATTGATGCTAAAATTACACCTCGATACTTTTTACACTTAAGTTGTATCTTCTGGGAATGATATATGAAAAATGAAAACATAAATATGAAAGTCTTGATAAAATAGGGGTTTGCTAATTTTAGCTCCCTTATATGAGAATTTTTATCAATCAGCAATTTTCATTTTATTTTAAAATGAGGTCATTTTCTGTGTCTCAGGGGAACAAATTATTTAATAACTATAGTGTCATTAGCTGGATCCCATGGATAATGTTGACAGATTTATAACAGATAATCTATTTAACCCTGTCATCTCTCAACATCCTGGGGGCATCTTTTCTCCACTTTTTCACAAGCATTGTTTCCTCTTTTGAAGCCAATTTTCTGCCTTACCACTTTCACTTCTGTTGCTTCCATGGTGCTGTTAATATTTTTAGGTCAACTGGACACTTTCACTGGATCTATTGTAATTGGACATTTTGACTATGATCCCGAATATTGGCCAGGCTTTCTTTTTGTTCACTTTTCTATTCAATTTTATTAAGAAAATTTTACAATTATTCTCAGAGCTGAAGTAAGTATGTGTGATGAAACCGTCATTCACTTCTAAGCAATGTTCCTCCTGACCATGGATAATCCTGGGTCTTACATATGGGCCCTCGCCCCTGGCTTCTTCATTTATCTGGATAGGTAATTAACCTTCTGTGTCTATGTCTTCCTATCTCTTTCCTCCAGCAATCCCAGGGCATCGTTTGTCTGCCATCTTTGCTCAGAAAAGTTAATCTCAATGTTTCAGTTTCCTAACTTTCAGCCCTTATGTCCTCATCACTATTTCACTAGCTGGCCTGGGAAGGAGTGTGGCAAGTGGGAAGAACAAGAACTGCACTTTCAGTGTGTGTATATTTTTCAATTTTATTTATAAAATAACTTTAGGAAGATAACAAAATACACGTATATTACAATAATGTAAAAAATAGATGTGAATATCTGGGCAAATGGTAAAATAGGACCAGAGTAATAATAATGTCTGAATTGTTACTTAAACACATAAAAGCATGTAATAAAATTTTACTCAACATGTATGTGTGTGCATATGTGTGTGCACATGTGTGTATATGTGTGTGATATATGAACCCATGATTTTTATTTACAATGAGACAGAAGTAGATAGCTCCATTATGTACATCCTACAGAGAGATCATGGAATAAGAGCTTCTGCCTAGTAGATGTGTGGAAATGATACACATGCTGAGAACAACATATAAATTACCAACACCAGGAAATATGTCTTTCTTGGTAAGGCCGAAGCCTAGTGGCATAGGGATGCAAGGTAATTCATAACCTTATCTCATAACTGGACTACCTAACCTGCTTTAGTTCTTGTCACCTTTCCTTTTGCTGCCTACACTACTCCCTTATTATTCCCATCCAATGTATGTTTATATGCTCTATACACACTATCATAATGCATTTCATTTATATAGATTTCTCTAAGTTGCTAGACCAGCTTATGACTTACTTAATGGTTAGGACTTTATCTTACTCATTTTTGTACATGCAAGGTCTAGCACAAAGTAAGAGTTCAGTAACTATTTTAAATATAAGAGACATACCACTGTGATTTACTCTGTACCTCCCTAACATTGTTCTTATAATAATATATTTACTGGAAATGTACACTGCAATATGTATTCCTTAAATTTGGCACATTGATTTTCTAATCTTTGATAATATTATCTTGTAGCAGGCTAAAGAAAAGTGAGAGAAATGCTTAAGTAGTGCTCTACTAAATTATAATGTTTAAAATGCGTATGTCATGGTGCTTTATAAGTTGCTGAGGATAAACTTGGATTTGATCCTTATGTAGACTCAGAATACAAGCTTAATGCCAAGTGAATAAAGTAGAAAATAAAAAGGTATAAACAGTAATGTGCTTGCAGTTACACTTTTCAAGGTAATCACGCATAAAGACCATTATCAATTTCCCAGTTCTTACTGGGAACTCGATTCCCATGGCTCATCTAAATTGCCATGAAAAAAATGCTGCATTTAGGCATGACAGTTTTTATCACTTTATTTCCCCTTATATAGGGGTATTATAACTATATCATTGCCATTTCCTGGGGAATATCTCAGAAATATTGTCTTTCCTCTTTTTGAGTCAGGTTCTGCCTGTCACCGAGACTGGAGTGCAGTGGTGCATTTACTGCTTTCTGCAGCCTTGACCTCCTAAGCTCAAGGGATCCTCCCACCTCAGCCTCCTGAATAGCTGAGGCTACAGACACATGCCACCATGCCCAGCTAATTTTTAAATCTTTTTTTGTAGAGACAAGGTCTTGCTATTCTCATGCTGTTCTCAAACTCCTGAGCTCAAGCAATCCTCCCGTCTTGGCCTCCCAAAGTGCTAAATTGCAGGCATGAACCACCACACTCAGCCTATTTTCTTAATTTTCTATGCTTCTGTAACATATTAGCACAAACTTACTGGCTAAAAACAACATGAATTTTTAATCTTACTGCTTTTCAGGTCGAAAGTCTGACAAAAGTTTCATGAAGTAAAATCATGGTGCCAGCATGGCTGAGTTCCTTTTTGGACAGTGTAAGACAAAACCCATTTACTTACCTTTTCCAGCTTCTAGAAGATGCCCACATTTGTCAGCTAGCAGTCCCCTTCCTACATCTCAAAGCCAGAAACATTGCATCTTTCTGCTTCTTATTCCTAGAAGTTTATTCCTAGAAGTTTATTCTAGGAATAAGAGGTATGTTTTACATCTAAAGCTTAATTAATGTAACACATGATATTAATAGAATAAAATAAACCACATGATAATCTCAATTAGCACTGAATATTAAAAAATCCATTATTTTCCCAACAGATTTTAAACAATTCTCTTTCATACATGCTATGTTCTAATCCAAGAATTTCCATTGTATGTAAAAGTTTCTCTCACCTTTTAAATGACTCTTGTCACAATAAGATATTTTTATTAAAAGAAAAGCCAGACACAAACAGGCAAATCTTTAATCCCTAATACAGTTTTCCCAAGAAAATGATGTTTCCATAACTTCTAACATACAGTAATTTAGAATTACCCTACTATGTTTTGACTATCAAGTATTGTATGTAGGCTTGATGTATCTGAGAGTAGAACATATTCAGCAAAATCATAAGGCTAGAAATAGAATTTCTTATATAATCCTAGCCAAGATATCAGATAATAAGCCTTTGATACATTTTAGAATTCCAACTTTTTGTAATTTTAACTTACGAAACTAAACTAAATAGAAAATTTTGAATGAGAAATTGATTGTTGTGCCATATGTTTACCGTATTTAGGTAAACAATCCAATTATTCAGAGAGCCTCCTTTGACAAAATAGTACTTGAGACAATCTTATTTTCTCGAATTCTAAAAATTGCTATGCTCAAACCCACACTCATATTTTATTGAAATCCCCTTTTTTATGTACATTAATTTTTACTTGCCCCTTTCAAAATTAATATTTATTCTCTATAGTAGCTCTAGAGTAATACAATGAAAATTAAATATTTAAATTATGCAAAAGAGCTTATGAAAACTTCTGCCCTACTTCTTACCACCACATCCCTTTCTATTTCAATGGCCTCCACCTTCGTGCAGATTATAGCTATTTCTTTCATAGAATTGTGATAATGTTATTTCTTAAATGATTTGTGTTGGAGCTTTAGATATTGTATGTTGACTGCCTGGCATGATATATAAGGATTTATCTCTCTTGGGTAAGCAGCCCACCTACTCTACTCAAAAGAGATAGGTAGTACTTATCTTTTATTTTTTTAACTTAGATTTTTGTTTTGCTCAGGATTTCTACTTTTACAATGTTTTCATATTCTAATTATGGAATGCTGTACATATCAACAAATGTAAATTAAACATTTATAAAATGTTTAAAGAACCTGCATCCTTCAACAAGCTTAATGAATTGACACCATCAGAGTTTAATTTTTTGACGTTTTAAAAATCTCTATTGACATATAATTAACATAGCAAAAAAACCCTACTTATTTAAAGTACAGAATTCAATAGTTTCCAGTATATTCACACATCATCACCACAATCAATTTTAGATCACTTTAATCTCAGCAAAGAGAAACCCCGTAACCATTAGCTGTGATTCCCCAATTTCTCCCATAACCACTCTGCTACCAGCCCTGGGATACTATGAACCTTCTTTGTCTCTACAAATTTGCCTGTTTTGGACAACTAATATAAATGGAATCATATAGCCTGTGGATTCTTTCATTTAGCATGTTTTCAAGGTTTATCTGTCACAGCATGTATGAATACTTCATTCTGTTGTACTGCAAAATCATATTACATTGTAAGGATACACTACATTTTATTTATGCATTCATCAGTTGATGGAGATGTGTATTTTTCGACTTTTGGGCTCATATAAATAACATTGCTATAGAAATTTTTGTCCAAGTATGTTTGTGGACATAGTATTTCCTTATTCTTGGCTATATACCTAAGAGTGGAATGGCTGGGTCATATGGGAGCCCTATCTTTAACAATTTAAAGAACCTCCGAATTATTTTCCATAAAGACTGCACTGTTTTACATTCCAGACAGGAATGAATAAGGCTTTCAGTTTCTCCATATCTTTGTCAACACTTGTTATTTTCTTTTCTATTATAGTCATTCTAATAAGTGTGATGTGGTATTGCATTTCCCAAATGGATAATGACAATACATATCATTTCATGTGCATATTCGTCATTTTTATACCTTCTTGGAAGAAATTTCTGTAAATATGCCTTGTTCATATGTTAAAATGGGTTACTGATCTAACCTACTTGGAATAGTTTTTCATATACCTGAGGTACAAATATCTATTTGGATATATGATTGGCAAACAGTTTGTCCTATTCTTTGGGCAATCTTTTTGCTCTTTGACAATGTTCTTTGATGCACAAAAGTCTGTTATTTTCATGAAATGAAACTTACCTATTTTTA
The DNA here is from genome assembly GCF_000001405.40 of Homo sapiens. Lineage (NCBI taxonomy): Eukaryota > Metazoa > Chordata > Mammalia > Primates > Hominidae > Homo > Homo sapiens. The sequence continues at coordinate 24,014,857 of NC_000011.10, read as the reverse complement.
ATTTTGCCACTTGAGCTTCAGTGTTGAATAAAGTGTTAGTTTTTACATTTCGATCAATAGTTCTTTTTTTTTAAGTTTCATTTTGTTTTTAATTGACACATAATAACTTTACATATTCGTGGTGTATACTGTGATGTTTTGATACATGCATATACATTGTATAGTCAAATCAGAGTAATTAGCTCATTCATTACTTCAAATATTTGTCATTTCTTTGTGATGAGAATACTCAAAATCCTCTCTTCTAGCTGTTTTGAAATACCTACTACATTATTGTAAACTATAGTCATCCTGCTGTTAATAGGACATCAGAACTTATTCCTCCTAATCTAGCTGTAAGTTTGTACTGGTTGACTATTGACTAACCTATCCCCAACCCCCAGTGCTCCTTACCTTCCTCAGCCTGTGGTAACCAATATTCAACTCTCTACTTTTATGAGATGCACACTTTTAGATTTTACATTAGTGAGTTCATGCTGTAGGTGTCTGGATTAGGTCATTCTTGCATTGCTATAAGGGAATACCTGAGACTGGGTAATTTATAAAGAAAAGAGTTTTAATTGGCTTATGGGTCTTTAGGCTGTACAAGGCATGGTGCTGGCATCTGCTCAGCTTTGGGGGAGGTCTCAGGGAGCTTTTACTCATGGGAGAATGTGAAGTGGGGACAGGCATATGGGCAAAAGCAGAGAAAAGTGAGAATGGGGGAAGTGTGATACATTTTGAACAACCAGATTGTATGAGAGCTCACTAATGGGAGGAGATAGCATCGAGCCATGAGGGATCTGCCTCCATGACTCAAACACCTCCCACCAGGCATCACCTTGAACACTGGAGATTACAATTCAACATGAGATTTGGTTGGTGACAAATATATAAACTATATCATTTTGCTCCTGCCCCCTCCCAAGCCTCATATCCCTCTCACATTATAAAATATAATTTGCCTTCCCAATAGTCCTCCAAAATCTTAACTAATTTCAGCATTAACTCAAATGTCCCAGGTCTAAGTCCAAAGTCTCATCTGAAGATGAGTTCCTTCCACCTATGAGCCTGTAAAATCAAAAACAAGTTATCCACTTCCAAGATACAATGGGAATATAGGCAAGGTGAACATTCCCATTATAAAAGGGACAAATGAGTAAAAAGAAAGAGGCTACACAGGCCTCATGTAAGTTCAAAACCCAGCAGGGCAGTCATTAAATCTGAAAGCTCCAAAATAATCCTTGACTCCATGTCTGGCATCCCGGCATAAGGGGTGGGCTTTCAAGGCGTTGGGCAGCCCCAGTTCTGTGCCTTTCCGAGGCACAGCCCATGCGGCTGCTGTTTCATGGGTTGAAGTTGAGTGCCTGAGACTTTTTCAGGCACTAGATGCAAGCTGTTTGTGGATCTACCATTCTGGGGTCTGGAGGACAGCAGGCCCTTCCCACACTTCCACAAGGAAGTGCCTCAGTGAAGACTCCATGTGGGGCCTCCTACTCCGTATATCCTTTTGGAACTGCCCTAGTAGAGATTCTCTGTGAGGGCTCCTCCACTGTGGCCTGGGCACCCAGCCTTTCTCATATCTACATCCTCTCAATTCTAGGTGAAAGCTGCCAAGCCTCCTTCGCTCTTCCACCTTGCATGCATACAAGGCTTAACACCATGTCGAAGCCACCAAGGCTTATGGCTTGTGCCCTCTGCAGCAGTAGCCCAAGCTGTAACTGGGCTCCTTTGAGCCATGGCTGGAGTTGGAGCAGTGGGGAAGCTGGGAACAACCTCCTGAGGTGGTGCAGGGTTTTGGCATTCTGGATCTGGCCCATAAAACCATTTTTTTTTCTCATAGGCCACTGGAACTGAAATGGGAGGAGCAGATTAGAAGACTTCTGAAATTCTTTTCAGACCTTTTGCCCATTGTCTTGGATATTAGCAATCAGCTCCCTTTTAGTTCTGCAATTTTCTCTAGCAAGTGGTTGTTCTACAGCTCACCTGAATTCCTCTTCCCCACAAAAACTTTGTTTCTCTGCCACATGGCCAGGCTACAAATTTTCTTTTTTTTTTTTTTTTTGAGACGGAGTCTCGCTCTGTCGCCCAGACTGGAGTGCAGTGGCGGGATCTCGGCTCACTGCAAGCTCCGCCTCCCGGGTTCACGCCATTCTCCTGCCTCAGCCTCCCAAGTAGCTGGGACTACAGGCGCCCGCCACTACGCCCGGCTAATTTTTTGTATTTTTAGTAGAGACGGGGTTTCACCGTTTTAGCTGGGATGGTCTCGATCTCCTGACCTTGTGATCCGCCCGCCTCGGCCTACCAAAGTGCTGGGATTACAGGCGTGAGCCACCGCGCCCGGCCCCAAATTTTCTAAACCTGTATGCTCTGCTTCCTGCTTAAATATAAATTCCAAATTTAAGTCATTCCTTTTCTCCCATATCTGAGCATAGGTTGTCAGAAGCAGCAGCAGTTAGAAATTTCTTCTGCCAGATACCTAAATCATCATTCTGAAGTTCAAACTGCCACAGATCCCTAGAGCAGGGGCACAATGCAGCCAAGTTCTTTGCTAAGGTATAACATGCATGACCTTTGCCCCAGTTCCCAATAAGTTCCTGAATTTCATTTGAGACTTCATCAGCCAGGACTTCAGTGTCCATATTACTATCAGCATTTTGGTCATAACCACTTTACAAGTCTCTAAGGAGTTCCAAATGTTCCCTCCTCATTCTGTCTTCTGCTGAGCCCTCCAATTTTTTCCAAACTCTTCCTGTTACCCAGTTCCAAAGCTGCTTCCACATTTTCAAGCATCTTCATATAAATACTCCACTCCCAGTACAAATTTTCTGTATTTGGCCATTCTCGCATTGCTATACAGGAATACCTGAGACTGGGTAATTTATAAAGAAAAGAGGCTTAATTGGCTTATTGGTCTTTAGGCTTTAGGTCTCATAGTTCTGTAGGCTTTATAAACACGGCTCTGACATCTTTTCAGCTTGTGGAGAGGCCTCAGGGGACTTTTACTCATGGTATAAGGTAAAGTAGTGACAGCCATATCAAATGGTGAAAGCAGGAGCAAGAGAGAGTGGGGGAGATGCCACACACGTTAAACAACCAGATCTTGTGAGAAGTCACTATTGAGAGCCTGGCACCAATTCACGAAGAATCCATTCCCATAACCCATAAACCTCCCACCAGGCCCTACCTTCAACACTGGAGATTACATTTCAGCATGAGATATGGGTAAGGACAAATATCCAAACTTTATTAGTGTCCCTCTCTGCTTGATTTATTTCACTTATCGTAGCATCCTCAAGATTCATTCATGCTGTCACAAGTGGTAGAATTTTATTATTTCATCCTAAATATATTCTATCTTTTCAAATCCATGTATTTGTTAAGGAACATGGGTTGATTTCATATCTTTGCTATTGTAAATAGTGCTGCAATGAAGATGAGAGTGCAGATATCTCTTCAACATACTGATTTCATTTCCTCTCGCTATACACCTGCTATTGTACGTAGGGGCTATCTGCAGGGCAAAAATAAGTTATTTTTTGTGCACTGGTCTTTAGATCACTTAGCAAAAGGAACAAAGCTGGAGACATTACATTATGTGACTTCAAACTATGCTACATAGCAGTTGTAACCGAAAGAGCATAATATTGGCATAAAAACAGACACATAATAGAACAGTCATAACAAGTATAGACCATTCTACTCAAAATAGAAAAAAGAAAAGCAGTACTAGAAGTCACTCATGTATAGTAATTTCAAATGCATCATTTAAACATTTTCTTAATTAGAGCTCAGACTCATACTTGGGAATGATTTGTAATGGTTCTTGGCTTCACTCTATGGATTCCGGGTTCTTCTCACTGAGCCATCCTTTCTTTTCCATAAAAAATAGCAAGAGTATGAACAAGAGTATGAAGCTGAGCCAGTTCTTGCCAAAAATAAACCTAGGGTTCAAAAGTGTTTTCTGACTTTTATACTTCCTCTGTCATTTTTTGTTCTACTTGTTGCTGTTTTGCCAATACAATTTTTTTAAAAAAGGTGATTCCCATGAACATTGTGATTCTCTCAATTAGACATCCACAAATCTCTTCAAAGTAAGCCTTTTCAGTCTTAGGTTTTATATAAAGTTGCTATAAAACAATGTCCTTAAGACTTGTATATTTCTATGGTTTTAAGAGAGAATATTTGCAAGACATGCCCATAAGATCCTGAGATGGAGATGTGTCTGTTTGTGCCACTTGTTTAAATCTTTATGAGATATTAACAAAAGATTATATAGTTGTATACTTGTCCCACACCATATTTAAACCATTTCTGTTTTTTTGGTTTTTTGTTTTTTTTTTTTTTTGGGGACGGAGTCTTGCTCTGTTGCCCAGGCTGGAGTGCAGTGGCGCCATCTTGGCTCACTACAAGCTCCGCCTCCCGGGTTCACACCATTCTCCTGTCTTAGCCTCCCAGCGCCCGCCACCGCACCCGGCTAATTTTTTGTATTTTTAGTAGAGACAGGGTTTCACCATGTTAGCCAGGATGGTCTCGATCTCCTGACCTCGTGACCCACCTGCCTTGGCCTCCAAAAGTGCTGGAATTACAGTCGTGAGCCACCACGCCCGGCCTAAACCATTTCTCTTGACAACACTCTGGATTTTATTTCTGGCCAGATACCATTTATCAATTTTACCATCAAGAATAAGATAATCAAAATAATAATCAGTTTTATATTAGACTTATGAAGATTCTTGCACCTTTGAAATTAGCAGCTATCTCACTAGTTTATTTCTCCTCTCTCATATTTTATTATAGACATACAAGAAGACAACCAACACCTTCAACAGTCTGCCTGAGCATCTCTTTAGGTAGACCACTTAGGTTAATAGGTACATTTCTATTCTATTTTCCCTGTCACTGCAGGTAACAGGGTAGCTAAACATTTTGTCTCTGTAGGACAAGAATCTATTTCCAATAGTTTCTAGTACCTTTTTCCTCAGTTTTCTTTAAGCTTCCATTGACAGCTTCCTCGAGGGTCATCAAGCTTTTGCTACTAGTTTCTTCAAGGCCCTTCTAATTTTTCTCTGCTTCCTTGTCCTAACATTACTTCTACATGTTTATGTTTTTGTTATGGCATTACTCCTCTGTCAGATATCAAGATATTTTCCAGTTATTATTGCTGTGTAACATACCACCACAGAACTTAGTGGCAAAACAAATACGTATTTATTACTCGTCATAGTTCTAAGAACTGGTTGGTTTAGCTAGGTGATTTTTGCTTAAATTCTCTCAGGCAGTTGCAGTGAGACCATGGCCGTGCCTTAAATCTTCTGAAGCCTCTCTGAATTACCCATCAATTGCCTAAAACTTAGAAAATCAAACAATTGAGGACAGGAAAAACTGGGACTTCCTGAACACTTCTTTCTGGCTTTATCTGGTCTTTTTCTATAGTCTCTTCAAAGCCAGACAGAAACTACATCAGTTTTTACACCCTAATATCAAAAGGCATAAAAAACATCATTTCCATCACATTGTAATTGTTGAAGCAGTCATAAGGCTTGTCCACGTGCCATACAAAGAGAAATTGGCATTATAAATAGGTATTATAGGTACTATCTCTTGATTAGGAAGTGGCAAAATTCTCAAAAAGCATAAAGGACCAAAAATATTGCTGGGATATTTTTCAAAACTACTATATACTATACATCTAATTTTCCAAATCACATATTATTGTCAAAGATTTTACCTAAAACCTTTTTTCTTGAGTCATTCCCCTTCTTTTTGAAGAGCACAATTCAGAAGTATCTTTTTTTGCATTTTTGGTTCTCTATTTTGTTGTATTCATCTATAAGTCTAGCCTGAGCTCAAGTGATCCATCTGTTTCAGCCTCCCAAAGAGCTGAGATTACAGGCATGAGCCACCATGCCCGGCTTTATATTTCTCTTCAATTGTAATGATTTCATATTATTTCATAATACTTTCTACTCCTTTATTTCTTAGTCATATTAAGCGTATTTTTTTTTTTTTTTTGAGACAGAATCTCACTCTGTTGCCCAGGTTGGAGTGCAGTGGCGCAATCTGGGATCACTGCAACCTCTGTCTCCCGGGTTCAAAGGATTCTCCTGCCTCTGCCTCCTGAGTAGCTGGGACTACAGGCTTGTGCCACCAAGCCCGGCTAATTTTTGTATGTTTAGTAGAGACAGCTTTCACCATATTGGTCAGACTGGTCCTGATCTCCTGACCCCATGATCCGCCTGCCTCGGCCTCCCAAAGTGCTGGGATTACAGGCATGAGCCACCGCGCCTGGCCAATGTATTTAAGTTTGATAACTGATGAGGTAAAGTCACCCATTTTGCCGGTCTGGTTCAACAGTGTTTTGGTTTTGCTGTCTCTCATGACTTATTTATTTCAGGGTTTAATGAAATTTTTCTGTAATATCATTTCTGTGGAATTATATTAGAGAGAAAGCATATTTGTTTCTGTTGTGCTTCTACAACATTGACTATCCATGCAAGGTTAACTTAATTTTCTGCAGGAAACTAAGTTGTTTTTGTTTTTGTTGTTTTTTTTTTTGTTTTGTTTTTAATGGAAGAAAGGGAGGGTACAAAGATGACATGAATTCTAGACTGAAACCTACTTGACGGGAGGTCTGAGTTTAGGAACCTTCAGGTAGCTCTCCCCCTCTCCCTCTCCTCTTTTACTTTTCCTTCTTGCCTTCTCCTTCTTCTCTATTATACCCACTATGGATGTCACTGTATTATCCATCTCCGCTTTATTTTAGTTGCCTCAAATTTTATTTTAGTTGCCTCAAATCTGACCACCATCTTTTTAGCCTCAGATTTTGTGTCTTTCTACCTAAAGGCACAGACTCTCCTGCCTGCATTATAAGCAGCCTGGGTTCAGTGGCTCATCCACAGTAAGTGTCCATCACTGTGTTAAAGTGTCTTTTGGAAACACTCAGACTCTAGGATCAGCGAAGGCCCCGAAGCCAAAATCTGGATGCAGTTTTAGCTTGCACCCCTAGAGGAAATCTATTTTGTGAAATTTGCCTTTCTTGGAATGCCATCTTAGGCATGCATTTGAAAAGCAATGTTTCCTATTATATGTTGCTTTTTTAGAGATGCTATATTAGAAATGGTTTATCTGAACATACATTTGCTTAACAACTAGAAGCACCATTTTGTTATTTGTTCCTTGTCTTAATCTGTTTTAATTCTAAAATTAATGAGTGTTCTCTCTAATAATTGTAACTCCTACCAATCATATATATATACGTATATATGGCAGAAAGCAATGTGGCAGAAACATGTGGCAGAAAGCAATGCATTTAATGACATCAAGGTAGTATTGATTACTGAAATAAACTATATTCGTCTTCACTGGGCCCCTTAAGACTAAACAAGAACTTTGGAGGTGCAGAATGTGGAGAATAACTGAGATGTCTGGAATGTCACTATATCTTAGCTTGTAATCTCCACATTCTACACCTCCAAATTTTTGTTTATTCTGAAGGGGCCCAATGAAGACCAATATAGTTTCTTTCTGTAACCAGTACTACTACCTTGAGGTCATTAAAAGCAGTGCTTTCTGCCACATATTTTCCTGCAGCCATGGAATGTGGCCCTATTTTTTCATTTCTCTCTATTTTTACCCTCTACTCCTATTCTGGTAGCTCTATTTAGTTTCTAACATTTTAGCCTGCTGTTTATGCTGACTCTCTTACTTCATGCAGCATTATCATTACCGATTGAATTAGAGTAGTGCGCCTTCATTCATTTTGCATTTTGTTTGTTTGTTTTCCTTAAGGCCAAGCTATTTGTTTGGATAATGTACTTTTCTCACATTCAGATTTATGAGTATTCTCTAGTGCAAGAAAAATGAAGTAAATGAGAGTTCATCTGTTCAAACAAATTTGGCTCACCTCCCTCTCCTTAAGTACCGTCATTCCACCCAGGAAGTATCTTCGTTGATTCCTATTTCTCAGTAAAGCTTTTTATTTCATATGGCTCATCTTCCCTGAGTTTTCCTTAGATATTTAATTTGATATAAGGGCTGGAGATGAATTTTGTGTAATTGCCTTACCCTAAACACTAGCAGAAATAACAATCACCTTGAATTTCATCTGATAAGGTGTGATATGTTTAATTTAATCTTTCCTTTCAAATTTGACAAAGTTTTCTGTAGCAATAGAATGTTGCCATTCCAGCCATCTCAGTTATTTCTATTATTAATTCCTTAGTTTTAAGAGGGCAAATTTTCAATATCTTCCTGGTTATGAGTTTTCCTCAGGAAAAAAACATGCAATTTGATTTTTAAATTCCTACCGATTTTCCTCCATTTAATAACTTTGGCTCTCAGTAACCCAGTGACAGTTCAATTAGGATCCACTCTCTTATTTCCATCTTGAATAGCAGTTGGCTTTAAATACGCCTAATTTTCTTGCCTATGTTTAACCTCCCTTTAACCACTAAGATACTTATATTTTAAAAATACCTATTGATTCTGCAGATCAACTGACCCCTCTCTCCTTCCTTCTTTCTTCCCTTCCTTGTTCTCTCTTTCCTGTTATCACACTCACTAATTAGTATTGTTTTATATTCTGAAACTAAAGCTTTTTTTTTTACAGTAAATTGTTTGAATTCATGAGCAAACCTGCTTCCTAGAAAGAGAGTTACATGCACAAATATTACATCCTCCTTTTAGATTTTATGTTTATAATTTCAATCAGGTTTCCTTTAATCAAAGAAACTTAATCATATTTTATAAAATAAGAGTAGTTGGTTCCCTTTATCAACTCACTGACATAATCTATGCCTTTTGTGTTACTGAAATTGTAATCAGTTCTAAAATATACAATGTTGGTCAGGGCTTAGGGTGTTTTATTCTCTTTCCTTGAATTTGTACCTTGGTTAAAATAATGAAAACTTCCATCCTCTTGGTAACATTGGGAAGAGCACTTCTATTTTTATTTCTTGCTTTCTCACTTGTATTTATCTAATTATTAAATCTGTGGGAAAAAATGATAGTTTAGCCTACTTTAGAGTGTATCTTTTAGTATCATCCTATTTTTCAACCTGAAATTATTTTTGATGGTCCATGAAATAAGTCCACTGGGAGTTTCTCACAGCAGGAGCCAGCATTTTCTTCTCCTGTCTTATGTGTGAATGGGAATACAATTTGAATTCAGAGGAGAAGCTGTCTAAAGTCCATTCTGCCCCTGAGTCATGTCATGTTCTGCAGTTCAATTATAACAGCAAACATTTTGATCCTTATATTCTTCCTGTGCTCAATTTGGCATCTATCAAAACCCCCATAGATCTCTTCTAGGAATAATACAATCCTTCATATTTGCTTATCATTGAATGTCTACATATTACTTTAAAAGTCTGTTATCTTTATGAAATTTTATAATCAGTTCAGTAGGTAATCAAGTAGTTAAAACTGCTTTAAAGTGAAGGGAACTGAAACTTGAGGTGAAATAACATACCAAAGTTTGCATAGGTGATAAATTGCAGAGCTGAGGCAAGTACCAAGGTCTGCCAATATAAAATTACACTCCAGGAAAATTACAAACCCCTAAAATGCATTTAGGTAATTGAGCTGAAGAGGGTGGTGTATTAGGTTTGGGAATCTGAACATTCACAGTTGATTCTGCAGTGGTAACTGTCAAGATGTTTGACACTTTAGCCATTATTAAGTTCTCTTACCTCCAGGGATCCCAGAGCTCTGTGTCTCTTTAGAACAAGGACACTCATGCAAATGACCCACTTAAGGAAACTTTTGACCATCATGTTTACAGAAAATGTGAAGAAGTTTAAGCAGCAAAGTGTGAACTAATTACCACTTTTGGTGCCTGAGCAGCTAAGAGTCTTTCACAGTGTTAATGAGGTTTGATCATTCCTTCTTTGTTATTTGTCTTGCTTGTTCTATTAGCAGGCCTTTTTTTGCTCATATTAGAGAGGCTCGGAAATTGCTGATGAAACACCTATCCATTATGGTAGAAGTACTTTCATGATTCAACTTCTGGCTGTGTAATTTTGCTTTCATGTTACTCCATCCAGCTCAATAATAAGAAAAGTCATGATAGCATTTTATTCAAGGCCAGGTGTTGGAACAAAGCCAACATAATGGTGGAAATGGATTTTGTCATGGGTCACTGATATAAAAAGACCCAGGTATGCTTTTCTCATTATTAAAGGCAACTGGTATCAATTTATTCCAAAAAAGGATATATGATAATTAGCGGACTGAAGATGACCAGAACTGCACACAGAGATGAGGGTTCGCTATGATAAATTAATTGGCCAAAGTGAAGTTATTTTTTCACTTTCTTTGAGAACTTTTATTTTTCATGGTTTAGTGTTTAGAAATGTATCATTGTCAAGACAGTTGTGCAAAGCATCTGCTGTGTAAATAGGGCAGAGTTGAATATGTGAAAGCAAATTGGAAACCCAATTCAGTTACAGAAATTGGCTCTCTGCAATTGTGGGAGCTAAGAAGTCACTGTAGGGCTTTTATCTGATGCTGGAGCTTGAAGTTCACAGAGCAGCCAATCAGGAATCAACTATAGATGCAAAGTTGAGGAGATCAAGGCCATGTTGGAAACCATAAGCATGACCTGAAATCCCACAACAACAAACCAAAACTCATGTTACTTATTGTCTGTGTTCTTGGTGGCAAGGCTATCTTGCAGAAGTTGGCACCATTTGTTAAAGCCAAATATATATATCTGGCTGAAGATTCATGGAAGTCAATGAGCATCAGGGGACAGGCAGGGGCCCTTGCAAACTCAGTTGATGCTTTATGCTAATGCAGGTAAGTCAGACAATTGGCGAAAAAGTGTGAGCTACAAAAATGCCTACTGTTTCTTTTCTACCCTCCAAGTCTCCCATGAATCCTAATGTTATATTGTTTTTATTTTTTTGTTATTAAGTTTTTGAGAGTTCTTTTTATATTCTGCATACATTTTCTTTGTCAGCAGTAAAAAAAAACTATTCTCATAAGTTCTGGGAAAATATTATCTTAATATATCTTATACATGACTGAAGTTTTAATTTTAAATACATATAAATTATCATTTTTAATGTATAAATTGTGCTTTCCATATCATTTCTAAGAACATTTTGCTTAGCTCAAGGTCACAAAAGTGTTCTCCTATATCTTCTTCAGGAAATTTCACAATTTTTGTTTCTTAACTTTTATAATTTTTTAGTTGTAATAAAATATACATAACATAAATATCACAATTTTAATTATTTGTAAGTGTACAATTAAGTGCAAAAAAGTACATTCACAATGTTGTGCAACCATCCACAGTAGCATCCATCCATCTCCAGAAATCTTTTCTCATCTTTTCTCATATTGAAACTCTGTATTCATTAAATGGTGACTCCCCATTTTTCCATTCCAAAAATTCCTGAAAGTCACCGTTTTACTTTTTGTCTCTATACATTTGATTAATCCAAGTACCTCATACAAGTAGAATCCTACAGTATAATTTGTGTCTGAAATTCCACTCAGAAAAATGTCCTCAAGATTCCTCCATATTGTAGCATGTGTCAGAATTTCTTTCCTTGTTAAGGCAGATTTACATTGCCTGTATGTATGTGTATACCACACTTTGTTACTCCATTCACCTGTCCGTATACACCTGATTGCCTCTTCCTTTTGTCTATTGTGAATAATGCTTCTATGAACATGGGTGTAGAAACATCTATTTGAGACCCTGATTTTAATTATTTGGGGTATATAATTAGAAGTGGAATTGTTGGGTCATATGGTAATAGTATTTTTAATTTCTCGAGGAACCACCATACTGTTTTCCACAGTGGCTATACAATTTTACATTCCCAGCAACAGTACACAAGGGTTCCAAATTTTCCACATCATCTTCAATACTTGCTATCTTCTGGTTGTTTTCATTATTGCTTAGTTTCTTGTTTGCGTTTCTTGTGTAATTTTTTTGCTTGTTTTTTTAAAGTAGCAATCATAATGGATGTGAGATGGTATACACTTTTATTTTTACATTTAGGCTTATGATTGATTTTGAGTTAAATTTTATATGTGTATTAGTCTGTTTTCACACTGCTGATAAAAACATACTTGAGGCTGGGTAATTTATAAAGAATAAGAGATTTAATGGACTCAGTTCCATGTGGCTGGGGAGGCTTCACAATCATGGTAGAAGGCATGTCTTACATGGCAGCAGGCAAGAGAGAAAATGAGAAGAGAAAAGGGTTTCTCCTTATAAAACCATCAGATGTCCTGAGACTTATTCACTACCACGAGAACAGTATGAGGGAAACTGCCCCCATGATTCAATTATCTCCCACTGGGTCCCTCCCACAACATGTGAGAGTTATGGGAGCTACATATCAAGATGAGATTTGGGTGGGGACATAGCCAAACCATGTCAATATGGGACAAAGTTTTTAATTTTGCATGTATATATCCATTAGTCCAAATGCCATGTGTGTTTTTTCAATCTTTTCTCTATTGAATTGCCTCTTCATGCTTGTCAAAATTACATGTTCTTTTTTTTGTGAATCTGTTTCTGTACTTTTTTTATTTTTCTTTGATTAATATGTCTATCATTTCACCAATTACCCATAGTCTTGATTTCTGTAGCTTTAGAATAGCATTGCAAGCAATCAGTACAAATCCTTCAAATCTCTTCCTTTAAAAGCCATTTAAACTATTCTAATTTCTTTCCCTTTCCATGTAGATTCTAAAATAAGGTTGTTGATATTTACCAAACATATTGATGAAATTTTAATTGAGATTAGAGTGACTTTATAGGTCAGTTTGAGGAAAATCAATGTCTTAACACTGATATTTTCTTTTTTTGGTTTTCTTTTTTTTTCTAACTTTATTTTAGTTTTAGTGTCTTTTCATATTCTTTGCCTGTTTTTTAACAGGGTTCTTTGTTTACCTGTTAATTTGCTGAAGTTTCTTTTAGATTCTGGATATTAGACCTTTCTCAGTTGCATCGTTTGTAAGTTTTTTTCTCCCATTCTGCTGGTCATCTATTTACTTTGTTGACACCTTCATTTGCTTTGCAGAAGCTTTTCAGTTTCATTAGGTCCCACTTGTCAATTTTTGATTTTGTTGCAATTGTTTTCGGAGTCTTGATCATGAAATATTTGCCATAGCCGAGTCCAGAATGGTATTTGCTAGGTTTTCTTCTAGAATTTTTTAAGTTTCAGATTTTCATTTACGTTTTTAATCCATCTTGAGTTGATTTTTGTATATGGTAAAATAAAGGGGTTCAGTTTCAATTTTCTGCATATGGCTAGTCAGTTATTCCAGCACCATTTATTGAATAGAGAGTCCTTTCCACATTTTTCTTTATTGTCAGCTTTGTTGCAGGTAAGATTTTTGTAGGTGTGCAGCTTTATTTCTGAGTGTACTATTTTGTTCCATTTGTCTATGTATCTGTTTTTGGACCAGCGTCATGTTTTGGTACTGTGGACTTATAGTGTAGTTCAAAGTCAGATAATGGGATGCATCTGGGTTTCCTCTTTTTGATTAGGATTCCTTTAGCTATTGGGGCTCTTATTTGATTCAACATAAATTTTAGAACAGTTTTTCTACATATGTGAAAAATGACAGTATTTTGATAGAAATAGTATTGAACTTGTAAATTGCTTTGGGTAGTATGGCCATTTTTAAAATACTGTTTCTTTCTATCCATGACCATGGAATGTTTTTTCGATTTGTTTGTGTCTGATTTCTTTCAGCAGTGTTTTGTAATTCTTCTCATAGAGCTCTTTCATCCCCCTGGTTAGCTGTTGATATGGTTTGGCTGTGTCCCACCCTAATCTCATCTTGAATTATAGCTCCCATAATTTGCATGTGTCATGGGAGTGATGGGGTGGGAGGTAATTTAATCGTGGGGGTGGATTTTTCCCATGCTGTTCTCATGATAGTTAATAAGTCTCATGGGATCTCATGGTTTCATAAAGGGCAGTTTCTCTGCACATGCTCTCTTGGCTGCCACCATGTAAGACGTGCCTTTGCTCCTCCTTCCCCTTCCAACAAGATTTTGAGGCTTCCTTAGCCATGTGGAACTGTGAGTCCATTAAACCTCTTTTCCTTATGAATTACTCAGTCTCAGGCACTTTTTTATAGCAGTATGAAAATGGACTAATACAGTAAATTGGTACCAGTAGATTGGGATACTGCTATTAAGAAACCTGAAAATGTGGAAGCGACTTTGGAACTTGATAAGAGTCAGAGGTTGGAATGGTTTGGAGGGTTCAGAAGAAGACAATAAGATGTCATAAAGTTTGGCGCTTCCAAGAGACTTGTCAAATAATTTGACCAAAAAGTCCAGGCTGAGGTGGTCTCAGAAGGAGATGAGGAATTTACTGGGAACTGGAGCAAAGGTGATTCTTGATATGCTTTAGCAAAGAGACTGGTGGCATTTTGCCCCTGTCTTAGAGATCTGTGGAACTTTGAACTTGAGAGAGATGATTTAGGGTATCTAGTGGAAAAAAAAAAATGTGTCAGCAGCAAAAAATTCAAGATATAACTTGAGTGCTCTTAAAAGCATTCAGTTTTATGTATTCACAAAGATATGGTTTGGAATTGAAACTTATGTTTAAAAGGGAAGCAGAGCATAAAAGTTCAAAAAATGTGCAGCCTGACAATGTGATAGAAAAGAAAAACCCATTTTCTGAGGAGAAGTTAAAGCCAGCTGCAGAAATTTGCATAAGTAACAAGCAGCAAAATGTTAATCACCAAGACAATGGGAAAATATATCCAGGGCATGTCAGAAATATTCACAGCAGCCCCTCTCATTACAGTCCCAAAAACCTCAGTAGAAAAAATGGTTTCATGGGTGGACCCAGGGCCTTGCTTATTTGTGCAGTCTCAGGACTTGGTGCCCTGTGTCCCAGCCATGGCTAAAACGAGTCAAGGTACAGCTCAGGCCATTATTTCAGAAGATACAAGCCCCAAGCCTTGGCAGCTTACCAATAGTGTTGGGCCTGTGGGTACACAGAAGTCAAAAATTGAGGTTTGGGAACCTCTGCCTAGATTTCAGAGGATGTATGAAAATGCCTGGATGACCAGGCAGAAGTTGGCTGCAGGGGCAGGGCCCTCATGGAGAACCTCTGCTAGGGAAGTTCAGAAGGGAAATGTGAGGTGGGAGCCCCCACACAGAGTCCCACTGGGGCACTGCCCAGTGGAGCTGTGAGAAGAGGGCCACCATCCTCCAGACCCCAGAATTTTAGATCCACTGACAACACAATGCATCTGAAAAAGCCGCAGATACTCAAAGCCAGCCTGTGAAAGCAGTGAGGAGGAGGGCTATACTCTACAAAGCCACAGGGGTGGAGCTACCCAAGACCATGGGAACCTACCTCTTGCATCAGCATGACCTGAACGTGAGGCATGGAGTCAAAGGAGATCATTTTGAAACTTTAAGATTTGACTGTCCTGTTGACTTGCAAGGGCCCTGTATCCCCTTGGTTTTGGCCAATTTCTCCCATTTCAAATAGATCTATTTACCCAATGCCTGCACCCCCATAGTATCTAGGAAGAATCTAACTTGCTTTTGATTTTGCAGTCTCATAGGTGGAAGAGACTTGCCTTGTCTCACATGAGACATTGAACTTGGACTTTTGGGTTAATGCGGAAATGAGTTAAGATTTTGTGGGACTGTTGGGAAGGCATGATTGGTTTTGAAATGTGAGAACATGAGATTTGGGAGGGACTGAGGTGGAATTATATGGTATGGCTGTGTCTCCACCCAAACCTCATCCTGAAATGTAGCTCTCATAATCCCCACGTGTTATGGAAGTGACCTGGTGGTATGTAATTGAATCATGTGGGTGGGGTTTTCCCATGCTGTTCCCATGATAGTGAGTAAGTCTCATCAGTTCTGATGGTTTTGTAAAGGGCAGTTCCCCTGCACATGCTTTCTTGCCTGCCACCATGTAAGATGTGCCTTTGTTCTTCCTTTGCCTTCCAATATGAATGTGAGGCCTCCTTAGCCATGTGGAACTGTGAGTCCATTAAATCTCTTTTACTTTATAAATTACCTAGTCCCATGTATTTCTTTATAGTGTATGAAAATGGACTAATATAGCTATATTCCTATTTTTTTCTTTTGTGGCTATTGTGAATGGGATTGCATTCTTGATTTTGCTCTCATCTTGATCATTATTATTCTATAGAAATGTTACTGATTTTGTTTTCTGAAACATTGCTGGAGTTGTTTATTGATTCTAGGAGCCTTTGGGCAGAGACTATAAAGTTTCCTAGTTATAGAATTATATCATCTATAAAGAGAGATAGCTTGACATTCTCTCTTCCTATTTGAAGGCCTTTTATTTCCTTCTTTGGCCTGATTGCTCTGGCTAGGACTAGAAGTAGTGAAAGAGTTGTGATTACACTGAGCATCTATATCTTCTTCCTGTTCTCAAGGGGAATGCTTCCAGCTTTTGCCTATTTAGTATGATGTTGGCTGTGGGTTTGTTGTATATGGCTGTAATTATATTAAGATATCTTCTTTCATGACAGAGCTTGTTGAGAGTTTATAAATGAAAGGATGTTGAATTTTATTGAAAGACCTTTCTATATCTATTGGGATGATTATGTGATTTTTGTTTTTCATTCTTTTTATATGCTGAATCACATTTATTAAACTGTTTATGTTGAACAAGTCTTGCATCCCAGGAAGAAAGTCTACTTGATCATGGTGCATTAGCTTTTTGATGTGCTGCTGGATTTGCTTTGATAGTGTTTCATTGAGGATTTTTCCATCTACCTTCATCATGGATATTGGCTTGAAGTTTTCTTTTTATGGCATCTTTGCCAAGGTTAGGTATCAAAATGATACTAGCCTCATGGAATCAGAAAGGATTCCATCCTCCTTGATTTTTTAGGATAGTTTCAGTAGGACTCGTGCCCGTTCTTCTTTATGTGTTTGATAGAATTCAGCTGTGAATCACTCTGGTCCAGGGCTTTTTGGTAGGTTTTTTTGTTTGTTTGGTTTTTTTATGTTCAATTTCAAACTCATTTTTTTATTTTAATTTTAATTTTTTAATTTTTTATTTTTTTGAAATGGAGCCTTCCTCTGTTGCCCAGGCTGAAATGCAGGGGCACAATCTCAGCTCACTGCAACCTCTGCCTCCCAGATTCAAGTGATTCTCCTGCCTCAGCCTCCAAGTAGCTGTACAGGCATGCACCACCACACCTGACTAATTTTTTTTTTTTTTTTTGTATTTTTAGTAGAGGCATGGTTTCACCATGTTGGTCCCTCTGGTCTTGAACTCCTGACCTCAGGAGTTCAAAATGATCTGCCTCCCTCAGCCTCCCACAGTGCTGGGATTACAGGTGTGAGTCATCGCACCTGGCCTCAAACTCATTATTGATCTGTTCAGGGTTAAAGTTTCTTCCTGATTCAGTCTTGAGAGGCTGTATGTTTCCAGGAATTAATCTATTTATTCTAGATTTTCTTATTTGTGTGCTTAGAGTTGTTTGTTCATAATAGTCTCTGAGTCTTTTTTCTATGTTGATTTTTGTGGGATTGGTAGTAAGATCCCCATTGTCATTTCTGGTTGTGTTTATTAGAATTTCCTCTTATTTTTTATTTATTAGTCTAGCTAATGATCCATCAATCATCTTTATTCTTTCAAATGACAAATTTTGGGTTTTTTTGAAATTTGTATGACTTTTCTCATCACTTCATTCAATTCAGCTCTGATTTTGGTTATTTCTTTTCTTCTGCTAGCTTTAGGATTAGTTGTTCTCGTTTTCTAGTTCCTCTAGGTGCGATATTAGGTTGATCACTTGAGAACTTTCTAATTTTTTGATGTGGGCATTTAGTGCTATAAATTTTCCTCCTAACACTGCTTTAGCTGTGTCTCAGAGATTCTACTATGTTGCATCTTTTTTTTAATTTGTTTCAAATAATTTCTTGATTTCTACCTAAATTTCATTCTTTACCCAAAAATCATTCAGGATCAGACTGTTTAATTTACACGTAATTGTAGGGTTTTGAGAGATCTTCTTGGTATTGGTTTCTGTTTTTATTGCACTGTGGTCTGAAAGTGTGGTTGGTATGATTTTAGTTTTTTTTAAATTTGTTGATAATTGAATTATGGCCAAGCATGTGGTTGATTTTAGAGTATGTGCCATTTGCAGATAAGAAGAATATTTATTCTGTTGTTGTTGAGTGTAGGGTTCTGTAGATGTCTGTTAGATCTATTTAGTCAAGTGTTGAGTTTAGGTGCCAAATATCTTTACTAGTTTTATGCTTCACTGATCTGTCTAATGGTATCAGTGGGGTGTTAAAATTTTGCACTCTAAGTATCTAAGTATCTTATAGGTCTCTAAGAACCTGTTTTACAAATCTGGGTGCTCCAGTGCCAGGGGCATGTATATTTATGACAGTTAAGTCTTCTTGAAGAATTGAACTACTTATCATTATATTATATCCTTCTGTCCTTCTTTGTCTTTTTTGATCATTTTTGGTTTAAAGTTTGTTTTGTCTGAAATGAGACTAACAAATCTTTTTTGTTTTCTGTTTCCTTGATAGTTGTTTATCCATTTTTTTTTTTTTTACTTTGAGCCTATGAGTGTCATTTGCATATGAGCTGAGTCTCTTGAGGATAGCACATATTTAAGTCTTGCTTCTTGATCTACCTAGCCACTCTGTGCCTTTTAAGGGGGGTGTTTAGCCTATTTATGTTTGAGGTTAATACTGGTATGTGCAGATTTGATCCAGTCATTATGTTGTAAGCTGACTGTTATGTAGGCTTGATTGTGTAGTTTGCTTTACAATCTCAATGGTCTATGTACTTCAGTATGTTTTTGAGGTGAAAGGTAATGATCTTTCATTTCCATGTTTAGAACTTTCTTAACAATGACTCATAGGGCAGGTCTGGTGGTAATGATTTCCCTCAACATTTGCTTATCTGAAAAGGATTTTATTTCTCTTTTGCTTGTGAAGCTTAGTTTGGCTATGTATAAAATTCTTTATTGGATGTCTTTTAAAAAAAATGCTGAATACAACCACCCATTTTATTTTGGCTTGTAGCGTTTCTGATGAAAGGTTCACTGTTAGCGTGGTGGAGTTCCCTATGTAGGTAACCTACCCATTCTCTCAAGCTGTCTGTAATATTTTTTCTTTAGCATTGACTTTAGAGAATTTGATGACTATGTGTCTTGGGATTGTCAATCTTTTATCATATTTCTCAGGGATTCTCTGAATTTCTGGAATGTGAGAGTCTACCTCTCATGAGGTTAGGGAAATTTCTGTGGACCATATCTTCAGATACATTTTACAAGTTATTTGGTCTCTCTCCTTCTCTCTCAGGGATGCCAATGAGTTGTATGTTTGGTCTCTTTATATAATCCCATATTTCCAAGACATTTTGTTCACTTACAAATTTTTTTCTCTTTATTTTTGTCTGATTGAGTTGATTCAAAGGGTCTTCAAGATCTGAGATTGTTTCCTCAGCTTGGTCCATGCTGGTGTTAATAATTCCAGTTGTATTATGCAATTTTTGTTGTGAGTTTTTCAGCTCTATCAGATCAGTTTTGTTCTTTCCTAAAAACGCTGTTTTGTCTTTCATGTCTGGAACTGTGTTATTAAATTCCTTAGATTTCTTGAGTTGGATTTCAGCACTTTCTTTAATGTCAATGATCTTCATTGCCATCCAGATTCTGAATTCTATGGCGTCATTTCAGCCATTTCATTCATGTTAAGAATCATTGTGGGGAAACCAGTGTGGTGTATGGAGGTCAGAAGACACTCTGGCTTTTAGAGTCGCCACAGTTCTTATGCTGGTTCTTTTTCATGTGTGTGAGCTGATGTTCTTTTAACTGTAATTATAAATTGAGTACAGTCATTTGGCTTCATTTCTGGATGTTTTCAGAGGGCAAAGGTTTTTTGCAGGGTCTTTATTGTGGCTGAAATCTTGATGTTGTTTTTCACAGGAAGGGATATTAGCAAATTATTTTTGGTGTTATAGTTTGAGATTTAATTCAGTAGATGGTGCTTAAATGTAATAGGCAGTAGGTAGGCTCTTACTCAGCTTCGTGGTTCCTATGTGTAATACTTTCTTGCATTTGCAACTGTGCTACTTCTCAGTGCTCTGAAAGTGTGGGCTCCTCTTCCATTCAAGCCTGGCACTCAGGCTGCACACTGCAGCTCTTGGGTGATCTCAGGCTTTTTGTTCCCTCCCCATCTTGGGGGCAGCAGGGTCAGTAACCTGGACAGTGGCAATGGCAGAGGGGCTGTCAGTTGCTTCTGGCTCCACCTTAGAGAGACACAAATCCACTGCCAGTGGGGATGTTCAACCAGAGGTAGGGCAGTTGCACTGCGGGATCCAAACCAGGGGACTTGCCTGGTGAAGAGCAGGGTCCAGGGACTCACAAATTAAAGAGTCTGGCCTCCCCTCTGTATGGTAGCTATAGCATGCTAGAGGTATAAGCAAAGTGATCAGGGTCTTTCTTTATTTCCCAGTCCAAGGGCAGCAAGGGTGGGTATTGCTGCAGTGACAATGACAGAGATCCTGTCAGAGTTCTCTGGGAATTTCACCCCAGAGTATTGCAGAGCCATCACTGACTGAAGTGATCAGGTGGGGCTAGAGCAGCTGCACTAGGGGCCCAGGTTGGGAGGTCCTGCCCAGTGAGGAACAGCAGGCACAGGGACCTACAAAGAAAAGAGACTGGCCACTTTTCTGTATGCAGCACGCTGGAGGCCCAAGAAAGTTCTTGGGCTCTTTGCTTCCTTCCCTGCCTGAGGGCAGCAAGGGCAGGGGCCTCAGCAGTGCAAACACTGCAGGCCTATCAGTTACCTCTGGGAGCTCTGTCCTTGAGAAATGCAGAGCTCCAACCAACTCAAATGCTCAGGTAGGGGTAGGGTGGCCACCCTGGGGTCCAAGGACAGTGGGCCTTGCCTGGTGAGGTACAGCAGAGGCAAGGCCTTTCTTCTGTCTGCTCCTTGGCAACATGGATGCAGCTCCTATCCTGGGGGTATGTGAGAGAGCCTAGCCTTGCTTGTTGGCAGAGCTATAGCAGCTGGTGCTGGGGTGCTTAAGGATCTAAGACCCTTGGGGTTCCACATGATCCTAGGCAGCAGCTCTGCCCAGACTCCATGCAGCTCTCTGTGTCGGTCTGGAGGCCCCAGGGGTGAGGGTAGCGGGATTTCCTGTGCCCAGGATTGCAAAGGTCCTTGGCAGAAGTGTAAATCCCCCAGGGCTCTCACTCACTCACCCTTTCCCTGTGATGGGAAACCTTCCTTGCTTATGCACCAATCCTAGGGAGGTGGCTGTCTTGCCTTGCTCTTTCCTGCTCTTTGTTAGCTGCTATTGCTTCCTTGGTGCATCCCAACATGGCCTAGTCAATGATCCACTTAAAAAGCTACTGTTTACTCGCCACTCTCTCTCTCCTTTCTCTCCTTTCTCTCTGTGAGAGTGGTGTGCACTAGATGCTTCTAGTTAGCCATCTTGGCACCTCGCTGATCCTTTCAATACATGGATACTATTTATCTCTCAATTGTTTAAGCCTTATTTTTTCTGTAAGACTTGCATAATTTTTACCATACAAATCTATAAAATACTTGTTAATGTAATATCCAAGGATTTTTTGGGGGGGTACTATTATAAGTGGTACTGTTTCATTATTATCTCAATTTCCAGTTGAAATAAAATTGAAATACCAGCAACCAGCTAGTATACAGAAGTTAAATTGATTTTAATATATTGGTCTTTTATTATGTGATTTTCCACAGCAGTTACCAGACTTTAGAGCTTTTTTGTGGATTCGTTTGGATTTTCTATGTAGACAATAACCAATAACAACATCTACAAAAAGAAAGAGTTTTATATTTTCTTTTCTAGTTTATTTTATTTCCTATTCTACTAGCTAATTTCTGATACTAGGTTGAATAGGAATGATGAGAGAAGAATATGTTTCTGAAGCATCTCTTGCTCCTTTGTTGCTCATTTGGAAGTAGTGGTACTTTTCCTAAGGAGAATTTAGATGGTACTGTTTCCAAGTTACTTGTTCCACAAATACTTTTTCCAAATTACTTGTCCATTGGGATTTGGGAAAGTGGAGTTATAACATGGTCAAAAGATAAAAGCCAAGAGAAAGGAAAAATATGAAAGAATATGAGTCCTATAAAAAAAGACAGGAAAACTAATCAAATAAGGACATGAACAAACCGGATGTCATCAATCTCAAACAGGATAAGGCTGTTGATATTTTCTCCATATACTATGCACAAAATGGTATATAAGGCAGAAAATTCTAAAAGTACTGATGTTGTCTTGTTTTATTTGAGAGCAGTTGATCTCTTTCGGATGTTATTAGACAAGACCATACTCTTGTGGATTGATAATGCTTTTTTTTTTTTTTCTCTGAAAAAGTGGGTATTTTACTGTTAACAATGGTATCTAGGAAAGGGTCAGGGTCCAAGATGTTACAACTAAGGAAAGCGGCTGTAAAAGGCAGGCATGGAGACACTCTTCTGTAAAGCATTGTCACCACCATTGCTATTGGGAATGGGGAAAAAGCTGACAAATGTTACAAGGAAACGGCCCTGCTCTCAATAGAATCCCCACGGAAGTAGGGTTGGACATGCAGGATTTATTAGAAATGTTAAATTATTTCTATTTTATGTTGTACTTCTCTTTGCTTGTATCTAAATCTATAATACTGTTTTACCACAATTTGCCATCTGGTCTCAGCTGTTATTACAGGCGTTAAAAACAAAGATCATTGAGCATAGTTGATACAAACAGTAGCAGCCGGAGGGAGGATGCATGTCCACAAACTTAAGAAGGCAGCTAATGAAAAGAGCAGAGACCTTTGGAAAAAGTGGACAGAGGCCATTTCGAACAGAGGACCCCTTACCGAGGACAGGTTTGTAACATGAGAGGATCCTCTTATTAGTCCAGTATGTACTTAACAACAGTGACTTTAGGAACAAATAAGTAAACAGAAAAACAGGACTCCCCACAGTAAAACAGAAGGAAGGAATGGAGTAACACAAATTTGGTTTATTAACAAAAGGAAAACCTTAAACTGATGAAATAAGGGTACCAGATTCATATTATAAAAAGTTGACTCACTCTAGAATTATTCATTTAAAATGGTAATTTGTGTGCCAAAATGGAAGTAAGATAACTGAAGCATGAACAAAGAATTAAAAACAAAACACATAAAATTAATGTAATATTTTGGGAGAATAGAAGCAAATGTATTAAATTTTTCAACTGTCATTAAACGGGAAAGTATTTTGAATTTAAAGGGGACTACATTAGACGTTGTGTCTGAGCCAATTTGTGTTCTTTATGACGCTTCTTTGGGCCTGTGATTCCCGGGATCTAGACAAACTATCTAAAGGCTCAGCATTTGTTCCTGATAATGAACAGAGCAGCCGGCTGTCTACTGGGTGCTTGTTTGAAACTACTTGGATTCACAATTGCAGTGCCTATGGGATATTACACGCTGAGTTTGTGCTTGCCAGTTATATTTAATCTGTCTGAAAATGAGATCATAAAAGGAATTTCCTGATTAGTCTTGTATGGCAAATCATATTCTTGGATTGCTCTCAAAGCAGCTGCAATCATGTTTAGAAAAATGATGAAAACTCCTCCTCTTCCCACCACCAGCATACATTCAGAGGGATAACTTCTATGGCAGCTCTTCATGTTTTCATTCATCAAATATTTGTTAAGTGCTTATGGTGGTGTGCTGACCACTTGGAATACAGAAGGACATATTTTCCTTTGTCAGTAAGTCCAGTCCAGAGATCAGAGAGAGAAGCAAATAGATAATTACAATGCAACCATCAGCAAAGCTACTTGACTATTGGCAGCCACAGGGTACTGTTTAATCCCACCGAGATGCTACCATTATACATCCCTATCACAAAAGAGGCTTTGCATCTATAATAAGGATGGTGAGAGGGAGGCTGTTTTCAGTGGAAAAAAAAAGGTGATGCTTCTGAGTGATAGAGTTTTTTGTTTTTTTTTTTTTTACTTTACACAATATTTGTTTAATAGGTGTAATTGTGCCAAGGGGAAGTGCAAGATTTTCTCTGAGAGACAGCATAGGCATTAAACAGATATTATAGAGTAGCAATGGGAAATAAAGGTCTGTCAGGCACCATTCATCTCCCTAACAAACACCCAGGGCATACATCACTAATGGAGCCCACATAGGCACTTTCCCCTTCTCAATAAACTGTTCCAAGCTGTCACTACCAGCCATCAGGCCCCTGTGTGAAACAACATTCATATATTCTCTTAGAGTAACTCTGTTTCTTGTACAGTGGAGAGAGTCTGTTTCAGTTTGCAATCTCCCTGAAATGTTCGGAGAGATGGATGACAACACTATTGCAACAAGCCCTGGGGCTGTTTTTTTGTTTGACTTTTAAGTATTTGTAGGGGCTATATTTTGAAGTACAACACAGTATCTTGTCATTCTATCCTAGCTGACTGAACTTAAGGGTGAACTTCAAATAAATTCTACTTTTCTTTTGATATTTTTCAGCTAAAAAGTAGGGTTATAGTATTCTTGTCTGCATATATAAGGATTTCCAATCCTCTATTTTTTTAACATCTGTAATTACATTTGATAGGTTAGGTATATGTCATTTTCTCAGAGACATTTTCCTTGGTCACTATATGTGGTGAAATCATATTCTTGATCTTTTGCCCTAATGTATTTTTCTTAATAGAATATGACATTCTATACATTTATTTATTTAATTATGCATTTTCTCTCTCTTCCACTAGAATATAAGCTTTAAAAAAGCAGAAAATTATGTCTGTCTTATTTACCATGCAACCTCAGTGCCTAGGATCACACTTTTCAAATATTTAATGCTTAATTGAAATAGGAAATAATCCTGAGAGACAGGCTTGGCTAAATCTACACTTTGTAGACGAGAAAGCAAAATCATAAGAGTGTCTTGACTTGCTTGAAAGTACACACCTAGCTGGTGAACAGCACCATCCCTTCCCCTTTTCTGCCTTCTTTCTGGGTTCCTCCAAAGCTTAAGGGTACATAGGACTTGATTATTTGTTCTCATTCAATGTGTTGTTAAGGAGATACAACCAGAAAGTCTCTAATAAAACTTGACATTTATTTAAAGAAACTGTTTGATACACAGAGAAATCTGAAAATAATGGAGTCATTAATTTTTAAAAAAAGAGTAACAATTTTATGGCTAGCCATAACATGAGGGGTTTGGACAAGAATCTATACAATTTATTAAAGTTTCTCTCTTTAGAAAGCTCAACAGCTCAGAAAACTATTAAAACAAATTTCAGAGGCTTTCTTTATGGTTGATAACTTGCCAGTTAAATCTCCCAAATTATTTCAGTTCATCTTTTATTTGCACAACACCTACTATCACAGTATCCATTTAATTGACATAATCCTTAATGAGCATTTAAGAAAGGGATGAAATTAGATTTAAATTATTTTCTTACTTTTAATTACCTTATTTTGTCGATGCAAGTTTATCCCAAGTTTTCCTGCTTTCAAATAATTATGATTTCCTTTGGAAATAATTCTAGATTTTAATGTTAAAGTTGCTACCGTCTATAAAATATTAAAACAAGGAAAGAGGGCTTTTACATATGTTTGAGATCTCTTTAGATTTGCCCATGTCTACTTTTATGATTATATAAAGAATGCCATATTTTTTCTAGTTGCCTCAAGTGCATAAATATGATGAAGTGAATAAAGAACTTGACAAGAGTTTTTGAATGTTTGGCTTTATCTGAACTCTCAAGAATTCTGTTGATTAAAAGCAGAATCTAAAGTTTTTATATCTGCTATTTTAATGCAGCAAACGTGAAATAATCTGAAGTAGAACATAAAAGAGAGTTCACCATCTCACAGATATCTACTCTGGCCAAACTCAATAGCCACACAGCTTTTTTCTTCTAAAGCTTTTCAAAACACAAAGCTATCACAATATAGGCTTAAGCTCATTGGAATGGCACCCAGATGTATTTTTTACCCAGAGCTTTTTCAGTTTCATTTACTTTCTTAGACCCTTGAGAGATGAGAAAACCACCAATGAGGCTAAAACATCTCCATTATATTCATTTCCATCCTTTCTTTTGAACACTCAGAGAGGGTAGCAAATTGCTTGGTGGTGAATCATTTCCCAACTATCCCCTGTGCACTACTCTTCAAACAATTGTACACGCTCTATTTACAGTGAGTGCTGGCTTCCAAATTTTTAGAATAGCATACTTGTTGAAGGAACCTGAGAGTCCTTGTTCTTATACATTGATTTCAACAGAGTCCCAAAACAAATCTGTGAAGTCAGCAAAATTTATACAAAGTTTTTCTTTCTCTAGTATAGATTGAACTATGCTCCTTCATGGAATGGTGGATATAACCTAAAACTTTACTTGGCAAAATGTTTGACCTTCCACTACCTGGGTTTAGAGGCTACTGCAACTATGTAATAGGCATGAAAATCTGCACAAATTGCTGACTCTCTCTGTGCAACCTCTTTCTTTTTTATGAAATGGGAATAAGAGTAATAATGTTTACGCTTTAAGACAGTTGTGAAATTCAAATTATTTAAGAAATACAAAGTGCTTGGAATAATGACTTGCATTCTGTGCCTTTATGTAAGGATTTGCAATTATTATTACTTACTGTACACACACACACATTCTTTTACTACCATCCGCATGAATTTCATTTGTTTTGCTCCTTTTAAAAAATGTTCCATTTCTCCTATTTTATGAGTAATTAATTTGACATACTAATTATACAAATGGATTTCTGGGTAGAGGCTTAATGCTTGAGCCATTAAACCTTCAATGGTTCTCAGTGATTGACAGATTTCAAATTTCTTAGCTTAACTTTCAGAAGCTTCCACAAAGTTGTTTCCATTTATTCCTGTGTTGGGCTGGAATGCAGTGGCACAATCATAGCTCACTGCAGCCTTGCACTCCTGGGCTGAAGCAAGCCCCCCACCTCAACTCCCCAAGTACCTGGGACTACAGGTGTGTGTCACCACACATGGCTAATTTTTTATTTTTATTTTTTGTAGACACAGAATCTTGCTATGTTGCCCAGGATGGCCTAAATCTTGTGGCCTCAAGAGATCTTCCCGTCTTGGCCTCCCAAAGGTCTGGGACTATGGTCATGTGCCACCACACTCAGCCATAACTCACTTTCTAACCAAACAAACTCTGTCTTCTCTGAGGAGCTCCTTCACATCATAATATATATATATATATATATATATATAGCTTATTATTTTCTCTCTCATCAGTATCTGTCTTTTTTTTTCTATCCTTAAGTACACAACTTAAATTTCACTTTGGTCATAAAGATTTCTGAAAACCTTCCAGTAAGTCTCACTATTTTTATTTTTTAGCATATTTACCTTTTGCTCCCCTTTTGTCTCCCTCTCATTCTCTTTCTTAGTATATATCTTATCTTTTTCTTACCTTTTGGATGAAGGAATTATACATATTGAAATCTATAAATCTTAAGTATACAGTTTGATAAATTTTGATCAGTGTATATACCTCTGTGACCCATACTTCTATCAATTTATATATTTCCATTATTCTAAAAAGAAAATTGTCTCGAGCACCTTGTAAATACCCAGGCAAACTCTATTCTAAAATTCATCACTCTGTCTAGTTTTTCCTGTTCAGGACTTCATAAGAAGATTTGTATGTTGGTTGTGAATTAAAGTACTACAAATATAGACTGATTATCTAGGGATGATGCAGCACAATGTTTACACATTCTAGATATGGAATTGATAAGCAGTTGCGTTTGAAAAACGGCAACATTTAGTAAAATAGAGAAAGTTAAATAACAGTGTTCTAGTTAAAATACCTCCAGGGGAAAGGACTGACTTCTTAAAATTAACAGTGTTTAATTAAATTTTAAGTTTTTTACAACGTTACATATTATTATAGATCCTCTTTAGTTGCACCAAACTATTTGATGTATCTTTGCCCCGCACAGACTTTATGATGGTAGTAATTGAGGAAAGAAGTGTCCAGATCAGCAACTTGTACTAGAAAATAGATGGGAAGTACAAGAGGCAAAACACACAGAAATGAGATGGGAGGTGCAGAAGGCAAAATCCAAAACTATTGTCAAGAACTTATCAGAAGCAAAGAATTAGAGGAACATAATCTCCTCCATTTATGAATTGTTAGAAATGATTTTTAGCATCATTTGATCTTCGACAAAGCTGACAAAAGCAATGGGGAAAGGACTTTTTATTCAATAAATGGTGCTCAGATAAGTGGCTAATCACATGCAGAAGATTGAAACTGGACCCCTTCCTTACACCATATACAAAAATCAGCCCAAGATGGATTAAAGACTTATGTGGAAAACCCAAAACTATAAAAACCCTGGAAGACAATCTAGGCAATACTATCCTGAACACAGGAATGGGCAAAGATTTCACGACACAGATGCCAAAAGCGATTACAACAAAAGCAAAAATTAACAAATAGGATCTAAAACTAAAGTTTTTCTGCATGATAAAAGAAACTATTGACAGAATAAATGGACAACATACAGAATGGGAGACGATATATGCAAACTATGCATATGACAAAAGTCTAATATCCAGCATCAATAAGGAACTTAAACAAATTAACAAGAGAAAAACAACCCTGTTAAAAAGTGGGCAAGGAACATAAACAGATACTTCTCTAAAGAAGGGAGACATACGTGCAGCCAACAAGCATATAAAGAAATTTCAATATCACTGATAATCAGAGAAATGCAAATCAATACCAAAATGAATACCATCTCATACCAATCAGAATGGTTATTACTAAAAAGTCAAAAAATAACAGATGCTGGCGAGGTTGCAGAGAAAAGGGAACATTATACACTGTTGATAGGAGTGTAAATTAGTTCCACCACTGTGGAAAGCAGTAGGGTGACTCCTCAGAGAGCTAACAGAACTACCATTTGATCCAGCAATCCTGTTACTGGGTATATACGCAGGGGAATATGAAACATTCTACCCTAAAGACACATGTATGCCGATGTTCACCGCAGCACTGTTCACAATAGCAAACATGTGGAATCAACCTAAATGTCCATCAATGACAGATTGGATAAATAAAATGTGGTACATACACATCATGAAATACTACGCAGCCATAAAAAGAACCGAGATTATGTATTTTGCAGCAACACAGATGGAGCTGGAGGCCATTGTCTTTAGCAAACTAATACAGGAACAGAAAACCAAATTCCACATGTTCTCACTTATAAGCAGGAGCTAAATGATGATAACTCATGGACACAAGTAAGAGAACAACAGACACTGGGGCCTACTTTAGGGTGGAGGTTGGGAAGAGGGAGAGGAGCAGATAAGATAACTACTGGGTACTTGGCTTAGTACCTGGGTGATGAAATAATCTGTACAACAAACTCCTGTGACACAATTTTATCTATATAACAAACATGCACTTATACCCCGAACCTAAAATAAAAGTTAAAAAAATAAATAAAATTAGAAAAAATAATTTTTAGTTTTCTACTATATAAGGTATCACGCTTTTAAACAAATTTCAATAAATATCAGAGATGTAGATGCCCCACACTGCGGGGATTAGTAATACCCAAGTAACTGACAACTGATATACCTCAAAAAAGAATATCTTCACTAACTGAGTCATATTTATCCTCAACCTGTTCATACAGTTCCATAGTTTTCTGTATTTTTCCAGAATTTTTACCCTAGACCACTTTAGGCTACCTTTGCTTTCTCTGGTAGATTATTACTTACACCGACCTATTGAATCTGGCTTGGATAGCACAGAACCAGGCATCGTGTGGTCCCTCTCTAAGTTTTTGAGCTGAGTTATATTATAAATGTTAAGTGTTGAAGACAATGACTTCACTTAATAGTTGAGATTTTATCAGATAGGACAAACTAACATTTTAAACAGGCATTTCTCCTTTAGTTTTCATCATACATACTCTCTACTTAGGTATCAGAGCTTACCCTACATTTCATGTATGCCTGCATTCACCCGGGAGTCATGAAAGATAAACTCAAAGCCATAAGAAAAAATAAGCTGAGCCCAGTGAGTAATTCATCTGGCTTTCTGTTCAATGTCCACCAAAGGATGCCCAGGGAATTCTGAGCCAATAACTTTTACAGTGTTGAGAGACAACTGTGTCAATTACCACAAACTAGCAGCTTGAAACAATGCTTATTCACTGTCTCACAGCTTTTTAGTTCAGAATTGCAGGTGGACTCACCTGGTTCTCTGTTCAGGCCCTAATACAAGGTTAAGGTGTTGCCTGGGCTGGGACCTTGAGGCTCTGTGGAAGAATATATTTCTATGCTCAGTCAGGTTTCTGCAGAATTCAATTGCATTTTCTTGCCAAGTGTTGGCCTGGGACTTCTTTCATTTTCTTGAGTCTGCTCCAGGTCCTTGCTCTGTGGCCCACTCCAGCTTAGCAAAAGAGATACTGCCTCATATTAAATTTGTCCATTCTCCCCGACTTTCCGTTCTGTCAACCAAAGAAAAAGGCCCTGATTCTAAAGAGCTCATGTGATCAAATAAAGCCCATTCAGATAGCCTCCCTATGCTAAGGTCCACAAATTAGGAAATTTAATTATATCTGAAAATCAGTTTTGCTGTGTTACCTGACAAATATCACTGGAATAACACCAAAAGAATTGTGTTTACTACAAGTATATTCAAAAGGCCAAGTTCTATAACTTAGTCCACATAGCACTTATTGATAATAAATTGGTACTATTTATTTAATATCTATGAGTAATTGGCCTTTGCAAAAACATCATGTGAAAATACAGGGAATTTTCAAATCTCACTTGGTTAAGTGTTTGGTGTGCTGTTGGAATAAAAGGAGTAAAAAAAGGCCAAGTTCTATAACTTAGTCCACATAGCACTTATTGATAATAATTTGGTACTATTTATTTAATATCTACAAGTGATTGGCCTTTGCAAAAACATTATGTGAAAATACAGGAAATTTTCAAATCTCTCTTGGTAAGTGTTTGGTGTGCTGTTGGAATAACAGGAGTAAAAAATATTTTACATTTACAACTGCATAGTCTACATCCCTGGAGATCACATATATTCTGATTATAGCTACTAATCACTTGGTTTGATTTTTAAATCAAGGTTCCATAAAAACGTAAACATACCTAAATATTAATTTAAAAATCAAACCAAGTGATCACTATCTATAGTGACTACATACAATGTATACATGACTACATTCAAATACTCCACTTTTTTGGTATAAACTTACAGGGTACAATTGTAATTTTGTTACATGGATGTAATGCTTAATGGTGAATCTGAGCTTTTATTGTATCCATCACCCAAATAATGTACATTGTACCCATTCAGTAATTTGTTATTCATCCTCCTCCTACCTGCCCACCCTTCTGAGTCTCCATTGTCTATTATTCTATACTCTATGTCCATGTGTACACATGATTTAGCTTCCTCTTATAAGGGAGAGCATGCAGCATTTGTCTTTCTGTTAAGCTAACGGCCTCCAGTTCCATCCATGTTGCTGCAAAAGACATGATATTATCCTTTTTATGGCTGCATAGTATTCCATTTTGTATATATACCATATTTTCTTCATTCATCTGTTGATGGACACTTAGGTTATTTGCCATTGTAAATAGTGCTGTAGTAAACATATGAATGCAGGCATCTTTTTGATAATGATAATTTTGTTTTCCTTTGGGCAGATACCCAATAATGGGATTGCTGGATCAAATGGTAGTTCTATTTTTAGTTATTTGAGAAATCTCCATACTGCTTTTTATAGAGGTTGTACTAATTTATATTCCCACCAGCAGTGTATAAGTGCTCCTTTTTCCCTACCTCCTTGTCAAAATCTGTTACTTTTTGTCTTTTTAATAATAGCCATTCTGAGTATTGTAAGATGACATCTAATTGTGTTTTTATTTCCATTTCTCTGATGATTAGTGATGTTGAGCATTCTTTCATATGCTTTTTGGCCATTTGTATGTCTTTTGAAAAATTTCTATTCATGTCTTTTGCCCACTTTTTAATGGGATTCTTTGTTTTGTTGTTGAGTACTCCATTTTGGAGTTCATGAATATATATACTTTTAGAGGTGTGATTTAAGCCCAATGTTATGAATACATCATTAAGTGTTTTTTTCTTTATTACATGCTTCATTTTTAATGCATTTTCTATTTTGAGTATCCACTATAGACTACAGAGTTAACTTTGAATGTTTTCATGATCCTTCAACCAAAACCACTCACAAATGACAAATATATAATTCAACTGAGAAAACTCGTGAAACAATTCAAGTTCAATGCTCAAAAGAAATATGAAAGGAAACCAAAAAACGTTGAGCCAAAGTGACATTATTATGTAGATATTTAAGTTCAGAAATAACTCAGTAGGCTGAGGCAGGAGTTCAAGGCTACAGTGAGATATGACTATGCCACTGCACTCTAGTCTAGGCAATAGGGTGAAACCTCACAAACCCTGCTTCCTCATATATATGTGTGTGTATATACATATATCCGATATACAAAAGAATTATGTTTACTACAACTATCTTCAAAAGGCCAAGTTATATGACGTAGCCCACATTGTACTTATTCAAGTTGGTGTGTGTATACATTTTACATATGTAGTATATGTAAAATAACTGCAGTTATCATAATAATAATTGTTACTATTATGATACATGTCCTTGGGCTAGTTGTATAAATTACCTGATCCTCAATTTTCATATGTGTGAAATAGGAATTATAAAACACATTTGGCAAAGTTTGTGTCATATTCAGAGATAAGGTGTGTGAAATGTTTGATATGTTGCAATTACTCAACAAATAAGAGGTATCAGAGGGTTTTATTACTAGCTGTATTTTAAGCATTATTTGGAAGAAGAATTAACCAGTATTAGATACAGTTTAATGGAAAAATTATACTTGTAATGATTTTCTATCATTGTAATCGTGACAAAATCTAATATTTGGTATTTTACGTCATCCAGAGCAAATATGAGTACATTTACTCTGCTTCTCACCTTGAGCCATAGATTGACAATTTTTCATCTAAGAAGCAGCATGATCAAAACTAAGCTTAAAATATATATCTTATTTGGTGAAATTCATTTGGAAATGATTTACTATCTTAGAAACTTCTTGTATCTGGGAGGTTGATACTGATTTGACTTTGTTAGCACCTGTTAATATACATTATTGTGTACTTGGATGCCATGTTTCTTTTTTTTTTTTTTCTGTCTTTCCATATGTAGATTCATAACATTTCTCTATAAATATAGGTTTTCACTGGGGTCATAATAACAGGTTCAAGCATGGCCTGATCTGTAATGTAGCTTATACTTTAGTTTCCTTTTCCAGGTCAGTATTTACATTAGTGGAAAATTTCACAGAGTGAACCACTTAACATAATACATTTGAAACAGTGTTTGAAAGCATTTGAGTTTCCTATATTCAAGGCTTCTGATACTGTTGACATGTGTCATCCAACTATTTCCTGGATATTGTGTTTTTCTTTTTTTTTGACTTTATTTTTACCTCCTGGTGTTAGGACATACTACCTCCAGTGAACAGTCTAACAATCTCTTCATTTTATTTCAGGGTTAGCTTCTCTGGAAACAATACCCTGTCTCTTTGGGTGGTTATGCTTTCCTTAAACTGTTTTGTCCTTGAGAAACTACATTTCTGTCCCATTTCTATATTATTTCACCTCTATCTATCCATCTAATAAGTATAATACAAAGTGTTATATATAATTCTTTGATAAAGTATTATACACAATTATTTGATATACATATACATATCAAATAATTCCCTAGGGACCCTCCGATATACTTATATATATTTCCACATTTTAAGTCAAACTTAAAATACAAAAATATACTTTAAGTCAAACTATCATAAACACATTCTATCAACATGATAGTTATCTGTGAATCTCATCAGTCTGGAGTTGATAGGTTTATAATATAATTTCTCCTACCATACAGGAGTTCCAGGAGCCACCATAGGTAACAAGGTAACTGTACAAAAGTTGGTCTCTTTATACCTTGCAGGAACAGAACAATGACCAAAATATTAAGGGCCTCTCAGATTCTAAATGACTACTTAAAAAGGCGAGAGTGATGAAAAATTTAAAATAAAGAATGAGAAAACTGAAAGAACTAGTTCAACCAAATATATTTATTGAGAGTAAAAGCTCTAAGGCACGTGGTAGCAGAACATTTTAGTACAAAGTAGGAGTATGAACCGAGAGGCAATAATTGTCACTTAAATTCCAAGAATATACACTACTAATGCCAATTACTGCAACAGCGGTTATGGAAATTTTTCACTTCAAAATTATAGCTCTGCACACTGTAGAATGTGTGAGGATAATTTGCTACTTTCCTTCACTCACACCCCCTCTCTCTTAACCCCTTCTTAACCGTTTCCAAGTAGGCTTCTCTTGAGAAGGGGTCATTTTTGGTGTTACTTATGGTCTCAAGATGGCCACATTTGGTTGCAGAGTTAAATAGGGCAAGAATTCTTGTTCTTGAAAATACCTCCTGTTCAATGAGAATATAATTCTTATGACTTAAATCAGTGCATTGAGCTGTCATTCAAGTATGAAATCCTAGGAGATGCTGGAAGAAAGATAGGTCAATGACTCAAAAAAGAATCTGGAGCCTTTCACTGAAGATTTTGAATTTAGGATACTGTATGGCTTTTGTAGAATATACTATTTCTAACAAACTAGCAGCAGGAGCCACCTCAGAAACTTCTGGTGAGAAAAAAAAAAGCTCTACAAAATGTTTTTAGAGCTAAAAATATTCTGTCATTTTAAACTAACAACAGCCATATGTCAGAGACTGTGTGTCCAACCAATAGATCTGAGAGTTGTAGCATTAAACATATTAGAAACAATGGAGGGAAAGCAAAAAATACTAACATCAGATATGGCAGCGTAACATCACCACAGACTGCACAGACATAAAAGGATATTAAAGACATGTCTTAAACAATTTTATGCAAGTCAATTGGACAACTTATATGAAATGGGCACACTCCTTACACTCCTTTAAAGGCACAAACTACCAAAGCTCAGTGTCCAGAGAAACAGAACCAATAAAATGTGTGTGTTTATTTATATATTTATTTACTTATTCCTTATCAGGTTTTGGCCCCATATGTACAAAGTGAGTTGACAAACTGGAGACCTGGCTGTCAGGCAGGAGGTAATCTCTCTTACTTGAGAGAGTGTCAATCTTGTTATCCTTCTATTCATGTCTTCAACTGATTGTATGAGGTCCACCCACATCAGAGAGGGCAGTTTGTGTTAATCAACCAATTTCAATGTTACTCTCTTCCCCAAACACCCTCACAGAAACACCCAGAATAATGTTTGAACAAATATCGAGGCACCCGGTGGCCTTGTCAGATTGACGCATAAAATTAACCAACATACACACTCAAGAAGAAATAAAGAAATTGAGTAGCCTAATTACATGACTATTATTAACCTAATTATTTTGTTAACCTGTTAACAAAATTGAATTTTAGTTATAAACCTTTCCACCAGGAATCCTCTGTACTCATATGGTTCACTGGTAAATTCTACTGGATACTAAGGAATAAAGTAGAACTAATTTTACACAAGCTCTTTCAGAAAGTTGAAAAAGCAGTAATACTTATGAACTCATTCTAAGAGAATGACATTACTCTGAGAACAAAACTAAGATATTAAAAGAAATGAAAATTGGAGACCAATGCTCCACATGAGTATGGATGCAAAATTTCTTTTAGAAAATCATATACCATATATACCACTGTACTTAAGATAGATAATCCACCAATTCAAAGTAGGTTTTTTTCACAGAAATTTAAATTAACATTAGAAATTTAATAAATGTGATTCGTTACATTCACAGACAAAAAATAAAAATCATATGATCATCTCAACATATGGATAAAAAAAGAACTTGATCAAATCTAAAATCACTGAAGAAAATTCTTAGCAAACTAGAAACGAATAAAACAATTTTTTCAACCCAATCTTTGGCAAACTGACAGCTTATATCATTATATCATATTACTTATGAGCAGTAGAATGCTTTCCTCCTAAGATCAGGAATAAGGCAAAGATGTCCATTTTTGCCTTTTTTTTTTTTTTTAAGACAGAGTTTTGCTCTTATTGCCCAAGCTGGAGTGCAATGGCGCAATCTCGGCTCACTGCAACCTCCGCCTCCCAGGTTCAAGCGATTCTCCTCTCTCAGCCTCCCAAGTAGCTGGGATCACAGGCATGCACCACCACGCCTGGCCAATTTTTTGTATTTAGTAGAGATAGGGTTTCACCATGTTGGTCAGGCTGGTCATGAACTCCTGACCTCAGGTGATCCACCCGCCTTGGCCTCCCAAAGTGCTGGCCCCTTTTTTGCCATTTTTGTTTAGCATCATACATGAGGTTCTAGTAGTGCAACATGGCGAGAAGAAGAAATGAAAGATTTCCAAGTTGGAAAGAAAAAATGTAAACTGTTTTTATTCATGGACTAAATAACCAACTCTTCAGAAAATTCATTGCAATTTACAAAAATGCTAGTATAACTAACTAGTAAGTTTATCATGGTCATAGTGTACAAAAATTAATATCTAAAAATTATATTTCTAGATAGTAGCAAGGAATGAATACATTAAAATTTTTAAATATGTTGTAATAGTATAAAATATGATATATTTAGGTACAAATCTGAAAAATGATGTTCAAGGCCTATACCTAAAAGCTATAAAACCTAAAACAAATGAAGAAATGTACCATGCATTTAAATATGCACAAGCCCAGCATGATGATTCATGCCGGTAATCCCAGCACTTTGGGGTGAAGGCAGGAGGATCACTTGAGCTCAAGAGTTTGAGGACAGCCTGGGCAACATGGTGAGACCTCATCTTCACTAAAAATAAATAAATTTAGTCAGGCATAGTGGCGCACGCCTGTAGCCCCAGTTACTCAGAAGGCTGAGGTGGGAGGATCACCTGAGCCTGAGAGACGGAGGCTGTAGTGAGCCATGATCGCATCACTGCACTCCAGCCTGGGTGACAGAGAAAGATCTTGTCTCAAAATAAATAAATAATTCATAAATATGCACAATTCATTGTATGTCAATCATTCCTGAATAAAGCGCTAAAATATTATGAACAAGTAAACACATTTTTAAGGCCTCCTCAAGGGCTTTGGAAAAGTTCTGTTAAAGTGACACCTTCTGAAACTTTACTTCTTTAGATTGACTATAAACCTATAATGCTAAAGAGATACATCTAGACCTCTACGGACCAGTGTCTTAGTCCTCAGATAAGACTAGGGTTAGCACATAAAGCCTTTCAAAGGCAGGGACCTTCTAATGTTTGTGGCTGCACCTTGGCATCTATAACTGTGAGATCAGAGAGATATTAGAATGATTGATTGAAAGCATCAGCTCATCTTTCATAATCATAAGTGCTTAGCTATAAGAACTTACCTACTCATTATGAAAGAAACTCCTACAAAATAATATGTAGTTAAATGATTTGTCAAATCATAGATATGGGAAAAATAAGAGATACAATTCTATTTGTTTCTATACTACTATTGAAAGATTCCTGAGGCAACTGTGAAAATGAGCTTAGTTTTAAGTTAGGAAAAATGTCTCATGCTAGAAATATGTTTAGAGTAAGTCAATGAATTCCTTTGAGAATTAGGGTTTCAAAAGAAGGAAAAATATCTAAAAAGTCTATCAGAATTATTTTCTCTTTTTTCCCCTTTTACAGCCACCAGTAAAATTAGGAAGTCATGAAACTAAAGTTCTTGACATCTTCAAAAAATTATGAGGTAGGGAATCTTATCCACAGAAAGCAGTGAAGAATATTAAGGCTTAGAAAGAACAACTTGCTCAGGTCTTGGCATGAGAATGGTAGAGTTAACACTTAACTGAGATCATGCTGTTTCAAAATCTGTGATCATTCCTTCTATCATAAACAGAAGTGATAGACAAAATGTCTGGGATTTTCCTTTCCATTCTGTGGTAACTGACTTCTACTCTTAGCTTAGTTATAATTTATAGTAACAACTTATACATGGGGCTGTTCTTTCTGATGTAGCTTTTAGGAAGGGGCATTCACTTATTAGGAAGGTACAGAACATTAATTTTTTAAAATATGCATCAGGCAGTCAGTTCTGATGACTTTCATATGTGAATAAAAGGTTTTCATCACTTGGGCTGTGGTAAATGGAATGTTTCACATTGTGACAGAATATGGATGAAGAAAAGGGAAGGCAGATAGCAAGCAGGGAAGAACGAAGATCCTTCCTAGAGAAATTAAGTGACTCAAAGGAAGTTCAAGAAGTACAAGAGAAAAAGGAGAGTGATGAAAGGAGGATCTGAGAAGGTTGGACACATTCACAAGTCTTGAAGAAGGTTATCATAAAAAATTAACAAATACAGTTTACTGGCATGAGATCTATCAGTGACTAACGTGTGCTTTTTTTCTTCTCCAACTATTGAGAAAAGCAGAAGTAAAGAGCCAAAGAGAAACTTATACTTCTTTTTTTTTTTTAAATTTTATTATTATTATACTTTAAGTTTTAGGGTACATGTGCACAACGTGCAGGTTTGTTACATATGTATACATGTGCCATGTTGGTGTGCTGCTCCCATTAACCTGTCATTTAGCATTAGGTGTATCTCCTAATGCTATCCCTCCCCACTCCCCTCACCCCACAACAGTCCTCGGTGTGTGATGTTCCCCTTCCTGTGTCCATGTGTTCTCATTGTTCAATATAAGATACTTTAATGATCACACCAGCATCAATACTCAAAGGGACTAGTGAGACCAAGAAAAATCAAGGGACCATGAAAGGCAGAGCTCCAGCATGACTTATACATTCGCTATCTATTGACTTTATGCTCACAGGACTTTCACTCCTGCATCAAGAGGCCTAAGTTCTCATCTACTTAGGGATTATTCTGTATAGGTGAAGAAACTGAGGTCAAGGGGCATACCCAAGTTAAGAAACTCATACATTCCTGGTTCTTTTTCCACTGTACCACACTGCTTTTTATTCATATCCAGATATAGCTTGTATTTGGCTTCATTTTAATGTGTGTGTAAATGCATCATTTTTACAAAGAGTGTCACCTATAGAAAATTGATCCCATCAGTTTGTCTTAGTTACTTTGATTCTATATGCAAAATACAATGCAAATAAGGGTGGCAATGGTATAATTCCACTTAAGCATTCACTCTCCCTCATTTCCTTCAAGCATTTCAACTTGTTCGAGAATAAGCTTTGTAACTTATTGCGAGCAGCCTGAGAAACCCCAGAGAAGAGGATGGGTGGATCGACTACACATTGAGTAATAGATGGGAAAAATTTTCTGTATGTGATACTTCAAATGACATTCCTCTATTTCCATATTGTAAATCTTTTAAATATTACATCGCCATTTAAAAGCCGTCTAGAAGGTATTCTTGATATAAATTTTGAACAAATATATATACATACCAGCCTCCTGTCACAGTTTTACCACTCATTTGCTGTGTGACATTCTTGTTTAATGTCTCTGTGCTGTAAGTTTCATTTAGGATAATGAAACAAAAGATCTCTTTTATCTCATCCAGGTTTGACATTTTGTCATCTAGTACAGGAAGATATTCGGCCACTTTCTGTTGACTTACAACCACCTGGAAACCCAGCTTTCTCACTGCCACTGCCCACATTCTGTCCCTAAGTTCTGTTACTCCGTCCACCCCCTTTCACCCAACCCAGCACCTTTAGGCAGAAACAGATGTAGCAGAGACTTTATTCTACACTATGACCAGGGCTGGGACCCTTTGTACATGAAACTTGTGATATGTGTTATTAATTTTTGCTAATTTATTTAATGACTTTTCAAGTCAGTGAGGAGGCAGATCACAATGATCTAACTGCCAAACAAGGATATATGCCTTCAGAGTGTGCTTGAAGACCTTTAAAGAAATTAGTTTCCATTTATGGTGAAGGTATTTAAAGAAAGGCCCTCATCATCATCATTGGCAATATTGCCAGAAAACCAAGAAAATATGTTATGTGTAATCTTTGGAAAATAATAGATAAAACCATAAGAAATCAGGAATGAAACTATTTTTGGGAATAGAATGCTACTGTGTTTTTTAAAAAATTCTCCAAATATTTAGTCTCATCTGTTTTCACAAAATATCTAACAGGGTGTCCCATCATTTTGGCCTGCAAGATAAAGTCTGAATGTTGCATCCTTTACTTTTATTTAATGTTATTAATTCAATGAACATTTATTGAGATCCAGTATTTACAGACATCATACTAAATAGTAGAGACACAAGCTTGAGTAAAGTAGACTTACTTCAACTTTAATCTATAGCAAAAGAGGCAGGGACTCTAAGTAGAAAGTTACCAAACTCAATTAGGGTCCAAACAAAGGATTGTATAAGGTGTCACTGAGGACAGAGAATAGGTGGCAACTAATTTTGCCTGAGCGACAAGGACAATTTAACAAAGAAATTGGTCTTGTCAAACAAGAGATTTTTTTCCATTAAGAGTGGGAATTTCCTTGGAGGGAAGGGCAGAGGGCACATTCCAGACAGAATAACCAGAGTAGGCATGTGGAGACAAGAGAGCTGATAGAACATTTAGAGAACACACCATAATTTGATGCTGTTGGAGCATAAGTTTGTTCAAAAGAAATCGCATGGAGAAGCTAAGTAAGACGGGTACAATGTTGCAAAAAGACTTGTAAGTCAACCTAAGGAATATGGTGACCCATGCTAATATTTCCAGACCATCTTTTGGATATATACTTTTATACTTTTATGTTTGTCCAGTGTCTGGCCCCTAGCCTCCCTCCTCCCTTTTTCCTCATAAATTCCTGGTTCTCTTTCCACTGCAATAATTTATTTCATAAAGTAATTATAATTTTATTTTGAAGAACTAATTCCCTCTCATATTGAATCATTATAATTTTACTAGAGATGATTGCATCTTTTAGATTCAGGAATGAGAATGTAACTTACATCTGCAAGGCTGTGTATTCCTTTCCCAGACTACAACAACTAGTCGAGGAATAGATGTTACTGTGAAAGGAAAATACGTCTCAGGATCCCAAAATCACTAAGCCAAAGGGGAAAAGTCAAGTTGGGAACTGGGTCACACAAACCTGCCTCCCATTTGATTCCTAAATAAGACAGCTACAAAGATAAAAAAACTACATAGCTCCCTCACAATTTTCCCACAAGGAACTTTCTTGTGGGCCCCAAGTTCTTTACTCTAAAGCAGTCCTATTCAATTTCACCCTGGCAATGTAAATTGATAGCTTTATTCACAAGTGCAGGACAAAGGACAGAACTCAAAGTCATTCATCTGTTCACCTGAGACAAACGCATATCTGATTATGTAAAAATGCAGATTCATGCCAGACAAAGGCATGAGTGACTATTTACTCGCCCCCTACTTGAAAATTGTGTATTTAGTAAAAGGCTGATCAAAGACTCAACAGAATGCAACCCTTTGTCTCTTATCTCCCCACACATTTTTTAAATTTCTTTCTCTTCCCCCAATATACACCCTTTCCCATTCAAATATTTAAGCTCTCAAAATCATCTTTGGATAAAGGCCTCCAGGGCATGTGGTCCTTAATTTTGGCAAAAAAAAAAAAAAAAAAAGTCCTAAAATACTTGAGACTCACTCACTTCGGTCATTTTCATTGATTTACATTACCTATGTTGATTCACTAAAAACACATCTCAGAAACATTGCCATAATGATTGAAAGAACTGCCACTACAGCCAGAGTATAATCTGAAACCAAAATGCCATTTAAATTTTCAGTTTGTAAGGCAGTACAAAAAAAAAATCCCATTTTGCATAATTTAATTTGAATTTAGATTATTTCATTTGCAGCCAAAATATTTAGACAAAAAGCAACAATTTAATATGTTTATGTTTCATAATGTGAGGTATGGTTATATTTTATATCTAGATCACTGACATTTTGATGTCAGTTTATGGTAGAGATTGAAGTGAGAGAGAATGCAGGGAGAAAGGTCAGAAAGATTGGCTTGAAAATCTACAGTAAAAGAAAAATGGTAAGACTCTAAATTAATGTAGTGATCCTGGAAATGGAGTCTGCAAGTCTGGCCTATTTTATTCCACCTCGAATCACCAGGTCC
The DNA here is from genome assembly GCF_000001405.40 of Homo sapiens. NCBI lineage: Eukaryota > Metazoa > Chordata > Mammalia > Primates > Hominidae > Homo > Homo sapiens. The sequence goes on along the minus strand of NC_000011.10, from coordinate 23,972,665 downwards.
AGACTCAGAGCCTAACACATAGTGTGTGCCCAATATATAGTTAATGAGTAGAAAAATTCAACATAGAAACACTGATAAGAAAGAAGTATGGGCTGTGGTGAAGGAAGAAGGGCAATTTAGCAAAATGTTTATATATCTAGCTAGAGCAACTGGCAGAATGGTAGTAGCTTTACATAAAATAGGAGGAAATGATGAAGAGAAGCTAATAAATATGGAATTAAGATGCAGTAGTGACAAATAAAAAAAATCAGTTTTGCACATTTGGAGATGTGATAGGCAGAATTTTGAAATGGTCCCCAAGATTCTTGCCCTCTGGTGGATACAACCTATATAATCCATGCCCTTGGGTATAGGCAGGACCTGGAAATCTGATAGGATGTTACTCTTAAGAGTAACTGGAAGGGATTCTGAAAATGTAATGTCCCAAATCGTCAGCTGATAATGAGTTAATCCAAAGAGACATTATACTGTGGGGCCTAGCCTACCAAGATAATGGAAAAGCCTGTGAAGAGGAATGGAGCTTTGGCAGAAGACAGGCAAAGACTCCCTCACTGCTTTTGAAGAAGTAAGCTACTGTATAGTGAGAAATCCCTGTTACTATATATTGAGTAATTTCTATGGACCAGGCTCTGAGCTTGAACTTGAAGAGTCAAGAAAGAATAAAATAGGCCAGCCTCCATTTCTAGGATCACTTAATTAAACTAAGCCCTTATTATCATTTCCCTAAGTACCGCATTTTCATAATATTTATTTTATGTAAACTTTCATCTTTTATTGTATAATGTAATTAATAAAAAATATTAAATTTACTACTAAAATTTGAGTCCCTTGAGGTCAATATTTGTGCATCCTTCCTCTTGGTATCTCTGATTTCCTCATAAATTCATAGGACTTTGAACATACTCAGTAAATATTCATTAAAGAATGAAACTTGGAAATTTGAAATTGAGTTTTAATAAACATCTTTGAGAGAAATATACTTAACCCATTGTATTACTCTAGTCTCACATTGCTATAAAGAAATATCTGAGACTGGGTAATTTATAAAGAAAAGAAGTTTAATTCGCTCGCTGTTCCACAGGCTGTACAGCAAGCATGGTGCTGGCATCTGAGCAGCTTCTGTGGAGGGCCTACAGAAACTTACAATCATGGCAGAAGTCGAAGGAAGAGCAGGCATGCCACATAGCTGGAGCCAGGAGCAAGAGAGGGGAGGCATGAGGTGCTACATGTGCTACACACTTTTAAATGACCAGACCTCATGAAAACTCACTCACTATCACAAAGACAGTACCAAGGGAGTTGAAACTAAACTATTCATGAGGAACCACCCCCATGATCAAATCACCACCCACCAGGCCCCACCTTCAACAATGGTGATTCCATTTCAATATGAGATTTGGGCAGGGACACACATTCAAACTATATCACTAATTATATATACACACACTTACAAAGGTATGTATATGTATGTATGTATCACACTTCACACTTCTATGTTCAGGCTTCCAAATTTATCTAGGATATAAATACTTCTCACTACCTTAAGCAACTGCTCCTGCTGCCTAATCCATATTTTGTCAACACTCACCTCTGCATGCCAAAAGTTACTTAATGTGAACAACATGAATCTCTAGCTGGGGATGTTTTTTTCTACTCTAGGAGCATTCTTGACCAGCAGGAGAGTAAGCTAGATATGTTTCTTCAAGCAACCTTCAACCACTGATTGATAGAAAATAGAGAGAAATATTTCCTTGCTTCCTCCCCTTTGGCTGGAATTACTATGAAAAATGTTCTACACTGTCTCCCAGAGGTCTGCAGAGGAACTGGTATCAAATGCCCACAGGCAAGGGTCCCTGGTTAGATGATGAATTCTATATTGACTTCCACCCTTTCTTATCTATTCTAATCCCGTCTGTGTTTTCCTTCTACTTGCCCTGTGCTACTTGCCTCAAAATTTGCTTTCAGTGAAACACAAAGACTCCACCTCTTCTACTACAATCTATTAATTGTCCAACCCAATCATTATTTTATCTCTTGCCTAGATTGTTAAAAATAACTACGATGATTTTCTTTGTTTTTCTCTTCATAGCCCCTACAGATTTTTTTAATTTCTGCAGCCAGAATGTTTCTTATGAACTTTTCAAATTGTGTCACTGCTCTGATCAAAATATAACAATGACCTCTCACTTATTTATATTAAAAGACCTGGAAGACCCTACATGATCTTATTCTCAGTATCATCTATGACCTTTATTCCTTCTCTTCTCTCTTTTGTTTACTTTTCTATAACTGTATTACCATACTTGCTGTTCTTCCAACATAGCAGGTTACATTCTTCCCCAAAGCAATTCAGCTAAGTATTTTGTACTTGCTATTTCTATCCTCTGAAATATTTTCCTATTTATATCTACATGGCTCTTTTCCTTGCTTATTTTATGTTTTATGCAAATGTTATACTCTCCTATCATAATTACAATTTTCTGATTTAGGTGTCCCCATGGTGCTTGCCATCTTCTAACCTGCTTCAAAATGTATGTCTCCAGGGCTCTCTCCAATTCCAGAACTAAATATCCATCTTCTTTACTTTTCCATGTGGATATCTAATAGACATTTCAACTCACCATGTCCCAAAACTGAACTGCTAATCTTACCTCCAAACCTATTTTACCTACTCAGCGGATGTCAATTTTACACTTATATTTCCTCTCTTTCTCACATCAAAAACCTGTAGGTTAACCTTACTTCTCCTCTTTCGTTAAAAATCAGGTCCAGTCTAAAAAAGTTAAATTTGCTCATTCTTTAAAATATATTCAGAAATGCAAAACTTACCAGCATATCCAACATGCATGAAACAACAGTTCAAGCCACCATGTTCTCTCACCTGGATTGTGCTATAACCTCTCTCTGTGTTTTGTTTGTTTGCTTTTGCTTCCACTGTCAAAAGAGAACAGCCAGAGTGATGACTTTAAGATGTTAAGTCCAGGACTGTTTCACTCCACTGCTCAAAAATCTTCAGTGTCTCTTACTTTTACTCACAAAACCCTAGAAATAGCTCACAAGATCTGATATTACCAGGTTTCTCATTATCCTTTCTAATACTTTAGCAACTTTGGTCTAGCTGCTACCACTTCTTGGAATACTCTACCATTTACTATTTGTTTGACAAAATCCCTCACCTTCTTTAAGTAATATCCACTGTGAATACCATATTTGTTTCTGCAAAATGTGCCTACACTTAGCAATACCAAGCCACCTAAGCCCCCTCATCCTGTTCTCTAAGATTAAAAAAAAAAAAAAATCTCTTCTTTTGTAGAGGACTTATCTCTTAGCAATTATTATAATTTTCTTTTTAACTTTTTAAAATGTTTCTCCTCTCTTGTGGAATATAAAATCTACATGAAATTTAGAATATTTATTTTATTATTTGAGGTATTCCAAGTAAGTAGAACAGTGTTTGGTACATAGAAGGAGTAGAAAAGATATAATGAATAAATAACTTTGTTATATTTCATGTGTTCATTTGTTTAGTGTTTGTCTCCACCTATGAAGCCTGACACATCGCATAATATATACATTATAGTCTGTGAGAATGAGGTCCCTAGTAAGGATATATACAGAGACTCTGATGTCTGGCAAAATAGAAACTACAAAAAGATAAAGATTATTTTCCATTCCGTTCTCTGCTGCATTTTCAGGCCAGACAAAAATACCTGATATATAGTGAGCATTCAATAAATTATTGTTTGTTAAATGAATGAATAAGATCATCCATTATAAAATTTTAGAAGGATACAATTGGATGGAGGTATATATATATATAGCAGATTTTTAAAAAACTTGATCACATCTGCCAATTCAATTTTTCCATATAAGTAACATAGTCACAGATTGCAGGGGAACTGAATATCTTTTGCGGGATGATTATTCAACTTACCATGATTGTTAATGCTTATTTACACAAGACAGAGCTTGCAAAATTGAGGTTTGGGAAAGCTATTGTCTGCAAAGGAGACAATTGAGTTTCCTTTGCAATTTTCTCTTTAATACACAACCTCTTGAAAATATATGGCATTAAGATTCACTAGAATCTGAGTAGGATGAACAGGCCTCAGCAAGCATGTTGTTAATTTCCTTAGAGAAAAATAGCAAAGAAAATCAGGTGTGAATGCTTGAGCTCTGTGAAGCTTATTTTTATTTTTTCTCTGTCTCACCTCTAGTGACTAAAACAGCTACCTATTTCAAAGGCTGCCAGTTAGGAGGTGGAATGAAAGTGTAAAAATGTATCTTTTATTTATATTAGCAAAACATCCAAAAGATTCAACCCAAGGGGATCACTTGTGGAGGACCGAGGTGAGGGAGGCTAAGTTGCGGCCCTGAGATGTGGGAAAGGAGCCACGGGCACAGTGTGGCTATTAAAATAATGTCCCAATGTCATAGCAGACGTTCTGAAAGAGGAGAGGAAGTTGAAAAGAGAAAGGCGTGGCAGACACTCTGGGGAGAGATAGGAGACAAGAATATATATAAGTTTGATAAATCCATGTGATGTTAGAATATCATTTTATATGTGGGAAGCATGAAAATGTACTATTGTTCTTCTAATGCAAATTCTAAAAGGCACAGCTCAGGGAAATTTTTATGAGATGAGAATTAGGGGTTTTAAAAAAGGTTGAGAACACTTCTCCAGAGAATGTTGATGCTTAATCAATTAATTAATGCAGAAATAAGTAATTTCATGAAAATCTGCTATGCTTGATTACATTTTTCTTCTCTTAATTTTTCAATATATTAGGAAAGTTATAATGCATCATTTAAAATAAAACAGCATTGCTCCGCACAATCTCTGTGACAAGTTCAGTGCAAAATGTTTTCATGTTAGAGAAAAGCATTAAAGTGGAAAAAAGGCACAAGTGCATCTTTGAAATTATTTGTGTTAATCCTGTGCACCATGCAGCTTGCACTTCACATACTAAATGTTGATTATATGAATGTAGTCAGTTAAAGGAATAAGGAAAGAAACTGTGTATACATGTTTAAAATACATATCTAAGGCAGGTTTACTGAAGTATAAATTATATAGGTGACAGTTAGCTCTTCTAGGAGCACAGTGCTATGAATCTGGTAAAATATGTGCAGTTATGTAAACACTATGACTGAAAAGTCATAGCATATTTCCACCATCCCCTAAGGAGTTCCCTCATGCCCCTTCCTGATGAACCTACTCCTTTCCCCTGTACTCCTAGAAGCTGCTGATCTGTTTTTTGTTTTTTGTTTTTTTGTTTTTTTTGTTTTTTTTGTTTTTTTTTTTTTTGAGACGGAGTCTCGCTCTGTCGCCCAGGCTGGAGTGCAGTGGCGGGATCTCGGCTCACTGCAAGCTCCGCCTCCCGGGTTCACGCCATTCTCCTGCCTCAGCCTCCCAAGTAGCTGGGACTACAGGCGCCCGCCACTACGCCCGGCTAATTTTTTGTATTTTTAGTAGAGACGGGGTTTCACCGTTTTAGCCGGGATGGTCTCGATCTCCTGACCTCGTGATCCGCCCGCCTCGGCCTCCCAAAGTGCTGGGATTACAGGCGTGAGCCACCGCGCCCGGCCGCTGATCTGTTTTATGCTCCAATGCTTCAACCTTTTCTAGAATGTCCTATAAATAAAATCATATAGCATACAGCTTTTGAGTCTTATTTCTTTTACTTAATGCTTTTTTCTATGAAACATGTCATTGTGTAACAGTTTATTTTTATTGTTGAGTAGTATTCTAAAGTTTAGTAAAGCTTTGCAACTTGTTAAAAAATTGACATGCAATAAACTTCATATACTTAAAAATACAATTAGGTAAGTTTGACATAAATATCTACCCATGAAAAATATCACACAATCTAGATTGTGGACATGCATATCATCCTGAAAAATTTCTCTATGCCCCTTTGTAATCCTCTTTCTTTTCCAATCCCATCTTCAAGCAACAACTATCTCCTTTCACGACAGAGAAGCCTGTATTTCAGGAATTTTGTATACATGGAATTAAATAGCATATGGTCTTTTTGACTGGCATCTTTCACTAAACATGATTATTTTTAGATTCATTCATCTTGGTACATATCAAGCTTATTCATTTTATTACACCGTATAATTTCTAGTATTCCATTTTGTGTGTGTATCATGATTTGTGTATCCATTTACCTGTTGATAAGCAGGGTATTTTCAATTTTTGGTTAATACAAATAAAGATGCTGTGAACATTTATGTACACGCTTATATAGAGACATTTTCTTTCACGTCTTAAATACTTAAATGTAGATTGACTGGATCATATGGTAGGAAAACATTTAACTTTTAAGAAACTGTCAAACTGTTTTCCAAAGTGGTAGTATGATTTTACATATCATCCATTAGTGTATGAGAGTTCTAGTTGCTCCATATTCTTGACAAAACAAGATAGAGTAAGACTTTAAAATTTTACTCATTCTAGTAAGTGTGTAGAAACATCGAGTTGTGGTTTTAATTTGCAATACTGAGATGATTAACAGTATTAATCATCTTTTTAATGTGCTTGTTATCTGTATAACTTCTTTTATTAAGTGTCTATCAAAATCTTTTGCTTATTTTAAAATTGAACATTTTTTGTTGCTTTTGATCATGATGTATTATCCTATTTATATTTTCATCTAAAATGATTTTCTTTCTACTTGAGAAAAAACATCCTTTAACATTTCTTATTATGTGGATAGGCTTTTGGTAAATTCTTTCATTTTTGTATGTCAAAAATATTTATAATTCTAATGTATCGACACAATTGCTCAATAGCTACACATTTTATTTCAGTTTTTTTTCTAGTGCTTCAAATATACATTTTAATGGACAACCATCTACTTTCAGGTAATGTTATGACACATATAAATGCAAGGAATTTTCAATACTATACATCAAATGCAACCACCTATTTTCTATTTTATTATATGCTTTACTTTCCCATATGTTATAAACCTCACATTTCCTTGTCAATAGTTTTACTTTCGACTATCAACTATCTTTAAGATTAATTAAAATAGTGAAAATATATATTGTATATTTGCATTTAATTTCACTGTTCTTGGAACACTTCATTTCTTTATGTAAATTTTAATCTCTGGTGTCATAAACCTTCTGCCTGAAAACTTTTCTTTACCATTTCTTGTAGCACAGGCATGCTACTAATCAATGTTTTTTGCTTTTGTTTTTCTGAAAAAGTCTTCATTTCACTTTTATTTTTAAAATGTGTTTTCTATGGATGTAGAATTCTGAGTTGGTAGTATTTTTCTTTCTGTACTTTAAGGCCGTTATTCCACTGCAAACTGGTTAGTTTATAATGAGAAATCTGCTGTAATATATAACTTTCCTTCATTTAGGTAATTTGTCTTTTTTCTTTGGCAGCCCTCAAGATTCTATTTTACCTTTCATTTTCAACTATTTAACTATGACATATATAGCTAGTTGTGTGTGTGTGTTTGTGTGCGTGTGTGTGTTTGTGTGTGTGTGTATGTATGTGCATGCATGCATGTGCGGTGGTCATTGTAGTGATAGTAGTAGTGGTGGTAGTCTCATTTGGATTAGCTGTAGAGTTGAAATAGCTGAAAAAAGAATGCTCACATTTAGGTTGTTTCTATCTTGAATATATATGATTAATGCTGTGATAAACATCCTCGTAAAGATTTTTCCGTAACCAAATAGATATATTTCTATTGAGCATATATCTAAGAGTAAAATTTCTGGGGTATATGTTTGTGTATCTTCAGTAATAATAGATAAAGCTAAGCAGTTTTCAAAAAAAGAGAAAACACTGAAATACAAAAAGAAAAACAGAAAGCAAAAACAAAACAAAACATCAGAACAAAGCATTAAAGAAGCCGTGATACAGTACCAAATTGGTATTTAGTATTTATGTCACTTGGGATTCTTTGAATTTTTGAAACTCTGGTTTGATTATCTTTTATAATTTTTGGAAGATTTTTATTCACTATCTCTTAAAATATTTCTTCTGTCCTATTCTCACTCTTCTCTTTCTGGCACCCCAATTAAATGTACATTAGATAATTTTATATTGTCCCACAGTTATTAAGTGGTTTATTCTAGTGTTTGCTTTGCACTTGTTTTCCACTTTTCTCCTTGTATTTCAGTAGAGTAATTTCAATTTTCTTAACAATTATTTTCTGAACTGTTTCAGCTCTACTGCTGATCCCACTTAATTAATTCTTTATCTTTTAAATCACATTTCCTATTTCTTGTAAATTCCTTAAACTCACTCTGATAATTTTCTTCTGTTAAAAATTATTTCTTCTTTTTCCAAAGAACATATTTTGTACTAGAAAACTTTATATATTGAACATAGTTATTTTAAAGAGCCCATCTGATGATTCCAACATTTGGGGTGTCTCTCAGCCAAGTTCTGACTACTGTTTGGTTTTGGACAATGTTGTTTGGTGCTCGAATCAAATGACTTGAGTGTGACCTGACATATAATAAACTATAATTTTTTTCTTTGTCCTTAGTCTCTCCTACCTGGATGATAATTTTGAAAAGGACCAATAGTAAAATTAGAAATGAACTGACAAATTTCCAAATATGCCATCTTTCCCTTTTGATGCTTGGGATCATTATAAGGCAAAATGGCTTATAATGTCTAGCTATCTACATAATTTTTGTTGCATTATTCTCATGATGGTGGAATTATTATGTCTTTGTTAAAGGGATATTCCTATAGAACTTAAATAATTTATAGCATGCTCTCTGAAAATAACACTACCACTCGTTAGGAAAACTACATATACCATGTCCTACCAGACTTATAAATTCATATTTTTTCACCTTGTCATAATGCTCCAATATATTTATTAAAGTCCAGATAGTTCCAGTTATAAAGAGAAGAGATGACGTCTTGATCTTACAAGGAAAAGGCTGAGAGAGACCAATAGAACCACTCCTAATATTTGCAATTCCAAGGGTAAGTATACAGCTACCCATACCATGTTTGTAAACGTTTAAAAGTTTATAAATCAAGCTATGTCTTTGTTGTACCTCAATTCCTTTTCATAGCCTTGGAGTTGTTTCCTGTAAATCACCTTCAGGAGCAAATGCAATTGTGAGGTAAACCCTACGAACTGCCAATTTGAGTGGCAGCTCAGACCTGCTGTAGTGTGACTGGCTGGATCCCTTAATCAGCCCTAAAACTCCTAAGAAGTGGTGGCACCTACCCAAGTCTAGTAAATGAAATGTTCTCTAACTTGATCAAGTTTCTTAGAGTGATATGGCAAGCAGGTTTTTCACTATCATACCTTATTTTTCTAGTTCGGCAATTCCAGGTAGTTCTTATCATATCCCAAAAGTACAAAAGAGAAAATTACATGGCAGAACAAACGTGAAAGGTTTTAATGACACAGGCCTAGAAGTGGCAAACATCACTTTTGCTTACCTTACACTGGTTCATTTTTAGCCATATAGCTACAATTAACTTAAGGATAAAAATTGTTGTTTTGCTATGTTCTGGGAAAATTATAAAATAGGATTTGGTCAAAACATATTAATTTCTACCACATCATGTCTTTCTGATCACCAAATACTGACTTTTCCCCTCTTACCATATGAACAATTGTATTCATCCTTTTAGCAACATGATAGCATAAATAACCGCCTCTAGCTCAAAGTCTAAGATGTGTGTCTGATGCAGTCTTCCCCTGTAGGTCTATTTGTGCTTGCTAATTCTTTTGCAAATCATGAAAGAAAAGACAATGAGTTAACCTTCTGTACACACACCCACACTGCACACACATATGCAGATGTGGAGCTGGGATGATAGTTTCACCATGGGATAATAGCAACCATTTCTCCCATACAAGGATAGAGAGAGAGAGAGAGAGAGAGAGAGAGAGAGAGAAAATAGGAAACATCCAGGCATAGATTATAAAGCCTTTCATTGGGCACATAGAACTTTAGACCCTGATTATGTTGTGATATCTCTGGGGTATTGATTTTCTTCCCGGAAGCTTTTATGGCCTGTGGCATTTACCTGAGTTCTTGTCCTGCGTCCAGGAGGAATGAGGTACCTAGACGTAGACGAGCGAACGGTGAAGAACACAAAGAGGAGATTTATTTAGTGTTAGAACAGCCCAGAGGAGACCACAATGGGTAGATCCCCTCTGTTGGCAGGCAGTCCTCCTGTGGAGTGTTCAACTCTCAGCAGAGAGGTGGCCCTGAAGAGGGTAGCTCCTCTCTGCAGGTGGTTCAGACATCTCTGCAGGTCTCGGAAGCTCTCAGCAGAGAGGGTAGCTCCTCTCTGCAGCTGGTGGTCCCGTTGTCTCTCCATCCTCTCAGTCCTCTCTCCTGCTCTGGCTGAAGCCAGGGCTTTTATGGACCTCAGAGGGGAGAAAATGTGTGCTGATTGGTCCATGGGAAGAGGCACCACGAGTCCCCACTGTGGTGCACGGGACTGGCAGCCCGGCCCCCAGCCTTCAGGCCAAGGACGCAAGCTGCGGAGATGCCCATGTCCTGCATCTGGGAGGGGCAGCCTTAGCTGCACCGGGGATCTCCCACCCCGCCAACTAGGAAGGGGTGGAGCTCCTGCTTGTTTCCGGCTCCTGCTCGCTCTGTGGAGCAGGAGGCCGAGTTCTACAGCCCAGGTGGGGTGGTTGCAGCTGAACCTAGGAAGACAAATCCTACCTGATCCTGGCGCTTCCAAGAGCACAGGGAGGCTCCCATCCACAGATGCAATTTGGGTGGCTGTAGCCTCACCCAGGAGGGCGGTGCTCCTGCCTGCTGCACAGAGCAAGAGGCCCGGGTCTGCAGCCCTGGTTTGGGCGGCTGCAGCGGCAACAGGGAAGCTCTCGTCCCAATTCAGAAGGGGTGGGACTCCCACCAGCTCCATGGAGTGTGCAGCCCCTGCTATGCCTCCCTGCTGCAGCCTGTGTGATGGCGGCAGCGGCTGCCATCAATTATGCTGAGTCGGGAATTTCCTTGTCCATTCTTCATTCTGGCTCTTGAATCTCCCATCTGTGTAATAGATTACCAAGCTCTGCTTTTATCGCTCTTACTGATGTTCCATCTCACCTATTTCAGAGTCAGTGTTGGAGAACACTACACAAGTGAGTGAATAATTTCATTAAGGGTCACTGAGATAGCATGAAACTTCAATTAGTTCACATTATGAGATGAGGAGGATTAGTTGGAAGACTGAGTTGAAAGGCAGGAATTATATTTAAAACTCAGCCTAAGTTTTGTTCCCATCATACTCTCTGAAACAACAGATTACTTGAGGTTTCACTAGAAAAAAAGGCTTTGGAAAAGAGAAGTGAATGAAATTGTTGAGTAGTTTTATGACACGAAGCTTTTACTTTTATATTCAAAGGCAAGCTTTGCCATTCAAACTATTTCTTCTGAAGGCACGTGGTATCATCACAAAAAGCTTTCACATGAAATCTACCTGCAGCCCACATTGAAAAAACAGAAATATTTAACATTCTAAATTTCACCATTAGACCAAAGACAAGGGTCTTTGGGATGCTATACATCTTATAGCTTCATTCCAATACTAAGAACCGGTTCTTGTCAGTTACTAGGTTTAATTTTAGAAATTGATGAGTAAGCTTTTGGATATAACAAATTCAAAGGGATATAGAGGATAATCAATTCAAAACTCCTCATTCCAGGCACAAGGATAATTAAGACCAGAGAGACTAGGTGATTTTCCCAAGGTTACCTAATTAATTAATGGGAGAATTTTTAATTTTAGATCTCTCTTTCCAGGAAAATGATTATCTAACACAATTCTATTGCTTGGCTCTTTTACGTCAGAATATACTCTCCTCTCAAATTTTCTGTAGTGATAAAGGAACTGTTTTTGTCAGCCAGGCAGCATCTTTTCTCACCAAATTGAGAAGAGCACAGTTTTAATATCAAGTAGTGGCACAGCTCTAGAAATTCATTATTGCTGTCTTTGTCGCAAATTTTTATGCAGAGAAGAGCTGTCATGGTTTGACAGCTGATGAAGTTCTTTAAAAATAGATTTTGATGGCATACAGATTTTCAATATTTTTATGGTGATAATTTTCCAAATTACGCAGGTAAAAAGGAGTTATTCAATGTATTACTTATAATATACTACAGTGTGGTCAAGCACCGAAAACAGGTCTTTCTGCTCATTTAGGTGTTTCATATGCATGTCTAAATAAAAGTTTGTTTCTAATGTGAGAGTGATTGACATCTTTGTCTAATTACATTTAGTTCTTGAATTCTATGGTTGCCTATAATATAATCTAGTCATAAATCTGAATTCATCTAATTATACAAAAATAACTTTCCAATAACAGGAAAAATCATAAAAATCTAACAGCAACAGTGTTCTTTTTTTGATCATTTTTTCATACAAAAATAATATTCTAGGAACTTTTCTAGCTATATTCTAAGTACTGTTAAAAGTCATGAAATACAAAACAAACAGGATAGAACCTTTGCCTTTGAAACTCAGAGTCTAGCATAAAGGAGGTGTGTGCCTAGCACTATGGGAGCAGAGAGCAGGAAGTGATGCTTGACCTGATTCCTGAAAAACATGAACAGAAATGAAAAGCGTGGTAAAGTAGGAAACATGCTTCATTCTTCTCAGTTTTTCTGAATTATCTGAGATAAATTTCCACCTCTTATGAAAAGCTTTCTATATGGACCACCTACCTACCACACCTACATACTCTGCCTATTCATTGCTAAAGATGAACTTTTGATGCTTCAATCTAAAGGCAACCTTGCCACTTGAACACTAGATTCATTCACTATTCAAGGACAATGACAAGCACTTCTCCTGTCTCTACTTTAATGATTACTTTTTACTCTGCATACAGGTCATTTTTATCAGCTTAGAGACATAGGCCAAAATAGGTACAAATGTGTGTTTTTATATGAGGGGATGCTTGGTAACAACAGCAACAAAATCCTGGTAGCTTATTTCACCTCTTGTGAGTCACATCTACCTCGCAATGCTAGAGGGATTTTGTATTTAAATGCTAATTTTCCACAGAATGATACTATCAACAAAGAGAGGTATGCAAGAATGAAATGCAGACCGCCTTGAATTTATACTTGTCCTTTAGTCGTGATTAAGCTCCATGCATAATAAATGGCTCTTAAAGACACATTTATAGTTTTTACTACATACAAAATATGTGAGGCTGAAAGATTTGAGACACAATAGGTGTCTTCAACTGAGAAAATAAGAAAGAAAGGGAACCAGAATGAATGTAGGTTATAGTTAATATTATTACACATCTGGGGTTATAGATCATAGCAGGAGGTTTGGATTCTAATGACTGATTTTTCCCAACTCTTGGATAACTTCTCGGAGTGTTCTTGGAGCACAGGAAACAATACTCCAAAGTGAAGGCATCAGACTCAACTCAGGAGCCAAGTTTATCTGCAAACTTCTTCTGCCCTCCTTTCTCTGACCTCTCATTCTTTCCCAAGGCTACCCATAAAAACTAGAGTCTTGCTTTTCCAAGGTGGATTATAGAAACCAGAGCTCCTTTTCTCCAAAGCCAATGATAAAACCTAGAAATATTATTCTACCTTTCCTCCACCTTTTTGTGTAAGAAGAACTGGTCACAAAGAAATTTACTAATCTACCTTGTTTGATAGTGGGTCATAAGATCCACATTCCAGGAAGTGTCCTGCCCCATACCCAGGAGGGACAAATGCCACACAGAGAGACCAAGAAGAATCTGAACAGGTAGGCCATGCTGAGTTTCCCCATTCATTCTATTAGCATTAAAGCATTCCCTTTTTGCAGTCACAGTTCTACATGACTGCAGAATTCTTCACTGAAACTAATCATAAAAAAATTGTTAGTTTTCTCTGTATCTTTGGGTGTTCATTCTGAAGGTTCCCATGTCACCATAAAATCAGGATCACATAAATTTGTTATGCTTTTCTCTTGTTAACCTGTCTTTTGGTATAGGGGTGTCAGCTGTGACCCTTATGATGGGTCTCTACATCGCATATCTACAATGCCTTTCATATATGGGACCAGGAATAAGAATACTGAACTGAGGATAGACGGTGTTTAGAAAAACAGTAGTGTTTTGATGTATACCTGTTTTTAGTTTGTTTTGACCCTCAACTTAATGTCTATAGGCAGTTTTATAGTCATGTCAATGTCACATAGATTCTGAGTAACAATGATTAGTGACTACAGCATGCTTTCCACAATGTGCAAGGATTGTACTAAGTACACAGTTCTCTCACTTTAACATTAGGTCCGTTTTTAGAGAGTGTCATTCAGTGACATGTAACCATCATTCCTAATATACAGATCAGATAAGTTAGCCTCTAAAACATTTGTCACATTTGCACTGGCTTAAGCCCTATCCCAGAAAGGTATAATTTATTTATTTATTTTAATTAGCAGCCCATGCAGCAATTTAATTGCTATATATTTGCAGGAATGTAATGAAGATTAATGCTTGTTTATCAGATGCTTACTCACTGTGTGTTAGATGCTAATGTAGGAATTGTAGATATTAAAATGGCTCAAATATTATTACTTATTTAAATGAATTTACTGTCATGTGGAATAACACAAATAATGTACATTATTAAAAATTATATATGGCAGTAATATGCGTACGTTATAGGCTTGATAAAATGCTGATGGGATGTTTACTCTCTATGGAGCTGTAACAGAGAACTTAATTCAGAAGAAAGAATATAAGCTGGGTCATGAAGAATGTGTTTACTTTTATCAAGTTTATAAAGAACAGAATTTTAGCTTTATTTCAGACTAAGCTAAAAGGAGCTTGCAGTTGACTTAATTCAGCTTCTTCATTTTAATTATAATGAAACAGCCAGAGTGGTTGTGGGACATAGGGAAATTATGAGGATTTTGAGATAGAAGCTGATTGCAACCCAGAAATATTCGTGGATTAATCATCTTTCTGTTATATAAATTGTACACCTCTGAATGTAAGAAAGGATGCTGACAGTTTTTTTTTTTTTTTTGAACCTCACTGTTTGTTTCTTTCCTGATGACTGTTCACTTCTTTACTAACAAAACTATCACTTTATTTTCTTTTTGTGTCCACTCCTATGTGGCTGGGGGTAAATTCTGATAAGCGGAAATTCCTTTATGCTTCATAACAGTTACTTTGAGGAGAAATATGTGATGCAATTCTGCTCAATATGATGTGACAGAAAGACTTGTGAGGATGGCTGTTCTGTAAAGCTTTTATTCCGGATAAAAGTATGGCATGTCAGTCTGGGTTCCATCAGAGGAAAAGAACAAAACGAGCAAAATATACAAATGAGATTTATTGTAAAGAATTGGGTTACGTAATTGTAAGGGTTGTCTAAGGAAGTAAAAAATGTATAGGGAAGGCTGTCAGGAAATACAGGCTGGAATCTCTCGGTCAGGAGCTGATTCTGCAGTTTGCAGGTAGAATTTCTTCCTTCCTCAGGGAATATTCATGGTCATTCTGAAGGCCTTTCAGGTAATTGGATGAATCTCACTGATTATTCCTGATAATCTCCATTACATAACTTATTGTAGATGCTAGTCACTTGTACAAAATACCTTCAGGGAAACACCTAGGTTAGTGTTTGACCATAAAACTGAGTACTATAGCCCTGTTAAATTGACACATAAAACTGACCATCATATATGGGGGCTAAAAGGTTTTCTGATGAAAGTATTCTTGCAAGGCCTGGAATTTTGTTAGTTCTCTTGGAGCCATTGGGTGAGTTAAACTGATACACCAAACGTGTCAAGAAAGAAAGATGGAAAGAAACTGGGTCCTTGATGACATTGTTAGGCTACTGACTTAATTAATCCTGCGGCTGCCTTTATATGATGGTAAAAATGATTTTCTTTTCAAGCAAAGTGAGTCAGAATTTAGTGTTGCTTGTGGCTAAGAGCATCCTGTTACACTGTACTCCATGTCATGCAGTAGGAACAAGCTCAAAAATAAGTATTAAATCACAAAAATTTGTAAAATCACTAAGTTCTTGCATTATTTTTTTTCTAATGAACTTTATCGGTGAATGAAAATGGTCTCAGCTTAATTTAAAAATTCCACCCAACTTTCTGGTCTCATTTGTTTAATTGTAAAATACTATCATGATTTGTGGTAAGTTATTTCATCAGTGAACAATGATTTGAGCTCCCTTATTAACTACAATATTCGCCTTTGGGACTATCTTAATTAGTGAAGTCCAAAGACACTCCTATCGGCATGTGGATTGAGTTTGAAATTAAAAGTAAAAGTTAAGAAGGGTGTTAAACATTAGTAAATGAGGAGACAGTAAGTGCTTGTCTGCTGAGAATTACCCTGCAGGCTACCCTGCAGGTGATGGTCTTCACTAAAGAAAAAGAGAAATCTGCTGGACATCAAAAGACCAGTTATCTACAACTGGAACTGCAGTAGACAGAAAGAATGATGCAAAATCGACCTGTGACTCAAATATACATGTAGACCTATATACATTATATCCATATACTTACATGTAATCTAGGCTCATATCCGGGCTGACAGATGTGTTACTGAAAAAAATTACTCAAAATTTTTAACAGTGGTTATCTCTTGGTGTGTGGAATATATTTTATATATTATATTCTTCTTTATCCTTGTCCATATTTTCTGTAATAGTAGTTAATATTATAATGTGTAAATATTATTTAAGTGAAAACTCATGATGGGAACTGATACTCAGCATGCTGTAGATTTCCCAAATATGTCCAAATATTTTTTTATTAATAGTTCAGATACTGGAATCAGAATTAGGTAACAATTCTGGATCTACTACCTATTAACCAAGGAACACTGAGCTAGTTACTTTGCTATACCTCAGTTTTCTCATTTATAAAATAGAATAATAATGACAACTTGCTCATATTGTTGTAGTGAGGCCATGAGATAATGCACGTAAACTACATAGTAAAGGCTCAACAAATAGTAGACATTTTCTTGGTGTTGCCATTGTTCCTTGTGTTATAAATGAATTCCATAGAGAATAGGGTCATTTCTGTAAAAAATACACATGCTTAAAATCTAAAGTTGTAAGCACTGCAGCAGAATGTTAATGCAGTATGTTTCCAGGAACACTAAACCCCTCTATAATACCTAGACTTCGTTCTCCACTTGACGCATAACCATAGTTATTATCATAAACCTAATCACAAGGGCCCAGGTACATTAGTTGGGATCTATAATGAGAAACCTTCCCTCTCTGAGCTGCAGCTTGTCAATTCTCATAATTAGCTAAGTGACTAGTATCTCAGGTCCTTTGTACTTCTAAAATCCTTATTTCTACAGTTTTTCCCAGTTTAATAAGAAAAAAAGAAAACAGTAACAACTCTGAATGGAGAATAAAATTGCAGGTGAGAGAATCAACACATTTCTAAGTATTTATCAAGCAGCTGCCATTCAGGAAATCCTTTTCTATATAAAAAGGGGAGTGCACATGCCAATATTCCCCCTTTTACCGCAATAATGTAAAACTATCCCCTCAACACACACACACACACACACACACACACACACACACGTTATAGGCCGAGTTCTTATTATTTGAATTGTATCAGCTGGTAAAAGAATTGTAGATCTCTACACAAAATGACATTTGTGCTTTGTTTTTAGTAGTTTTCTGTGGCAAATATGGAGCAGTTTACACTGTCAGAAGAAATAGAATTGTGCTTATGTTTCACATCCTACATAGTTTATCTCACTGGTTTCATGTTGGTGCCAGGTGTGGGTGATGGCAGTCTGTCATGCTGCACTGACACAAGCTATTGACTACTGAGACATTCACAAAAGTATTCAATACTTAATAACACTGTCCTGATTTGACTTGCAGGAAATTTATATGTATACAAATTTTGTGCAGTAGAAACGAGAGGGATTTTTTAGACACTTGGGCTAAGGTATAAGCCTAGATAAACTTAAGTAACTTTAACTGTGATTTGGCTTCTGTGAGCCTAGTTTTTTTAGTTTTTTTTCTATAAGTATAATGCTGACCAACTTTTAAAACTGTGAGGCTACAATAAGTAACTTAAAAAGAGCCTCTAACATGCTTCTGAGACATCATCAAAACATGTTGACTTTCTTTTCTTTCTCAATTGCTTGTATTACTTAGCAGCCTAATACGTACATGCATACACATAAGCATGTAGAGCTATTGCTACATTTAAGTATGTGTTATACTTTGGGGCTTTTTGTATGGTTATTTTAAATTTTCCAAACAAAGCATTCTCAGATCTTTGGAATACCAAAGTGAAAAACAGACAGTAGATGGTGAGTTCAGAGAACATATGTTCCAGTGAAAATTATAAAACTTTCATTTTTTTGTAACTCAAAAATGTTGAATACTGGCAATTGTATATGGTTCCATCTAATTAATTACATAGCCTATGATATCTGTGTTTGTAAAAAGCTGCAAGTTAGAGAAAAAGCATGCTCTGCTCTGTCAAAAATTGACAACTTTCAGATAGACAGCAGATGGGAAAGAAAGAAGTTCTTCTCAGGATTAGAATAATGCCTGAGCCACAACAAGACTATTTAGAGTAGATCAAGCTAAGTACAGCATGCCTGGTGTTCTCAGATCAGTTCAAGACAAAAATCTACTCACCATATATTCCAGTTTTAGCGGAAAAAAATGACTTGGCCCTTACCAGTAGCTACTTTAACTCCTTTTATTCATTATGGCCTACTTGTGATCAAGTGTTGATCACCAAATACTTGGTATTTCTGGACAGTGAAAACTCACTATGATGTTTTTTGTCATAAATAATATTTCTCCTACCAGGATAGATATTCTATTAAGGTATGCTCATTGGAGTCCATTGTTTCATATAATCAAGTTGTTTGCTACAATTTCCAGAAAAATGGGAATGCTCAAGCATCAATATGGTGTTATTTGTTGAGTCCTTTATGTTGCCAATGGAATCATGCTTATGGCTTTTGTTTGGTGAAAATCTTGAATTCTCTGATGCGTTAAGTGAAAATTATGTCGAGCTCAAATACTGTGTCTGACACTTCTAGCTAATGAGAAAATCTGTCAGAAAAAGCAGTAGTTCCAGGCTGAAGGTGCGCTATGCTATAACAAAGGATTTGCTTTTAGAAAATCAAATGTCAAACCAGTTTGCAACTAACTGGGTCTTGGACAATTACCTTAACTGCTTCATTTTCTCATTCAATATGACATCTCTAATATTGTTTATAAATGATAAAGTGTGGGTGGGTGCAGTGGCTTATACCTGTAATCCCATTGCTTTGGGAGGCTGAGGCAGGAGGATCACTTGAGGCCAAAACTTAAAGACCAGCTTGGGCAACATAACAAAACCATGTTTCTAAAAAAAGAAATAAATAAAATAAAATAGAATAAATAGTAAAGTAAGGTCCATACGCTTATTTGGTTCGACAAAATAGGTGTCTACCATGTGTCAAGCCCTGGGCCCACTTTTGGAGATATATCGAAGAAGAGAGTAGGAGCCTTGCTTGCAAAGTCCCTTCATTTAGTGAGAAAAATGGTAAGAAATAATTTCACTTCAATTATTTGGTAGGAGCTGGTGCAATAGAAAATATTCATATAACCTTTTCCATGTGTTGGGGCCTTTGCTAAAGGCTTTACTAGCCTATTACTGGTGCAGCGTAGGTGAGCCCCCAAACTGGGGCTTAGCCTTGGAGAGTTCTTGGCTTTGCCTAGATAATAATTCAAGGGTGAGCCGGTGGTGTCACACAGTAACTTTCACTGAAGCAGCAACAGAGGCACTGCTCCTTGCAGAGCAGGGCTATGCTGTATGAAGTGTGCCCAGACTTGCAGCTCAGAGGCAGTTGTTCAGTCATATTTATTTCTACTTTTAATTATATGCAAATGAAGGCGCATATTATGGAGAAACATCTAGAAATAGGGTGGTAACTTCGAGGTGGTCAGGTTGTTGCCATAGAGATGTCTACTTTTGGATGTTGCCATGGCAATGGTAAACTGACATGGCACTGATGGACATGTCTTATTGAGAGATGCTTTTGCCTATCTCTTCCTTGTTTCAGTTAGTTCTCAATCTGGTCCGGTGTCTGAGTCCCACCTCCAGAGTTGAGTCTGCCTCCTATCTCATTACCATGAAATCTTCACAAGAACCGTATGAATTAAGCAGCATTTTAAACTTCATTTTGAAGATAAGAATAGTTTATTGGAGAGGTTAAGGTAATTTTGTATGAGAGAGGGGAATTGAATCCTTATGCATGTATCTTCATAGCCCTAGTCTTAACCACTGCTACTATGCTAAGATACAAGAATGAACAGCCTACTAGGGAGTCAAAAGTAGCTCACCTAATATATCCTTGGGGTTGAGGAGACTCTAGAATATATTAATGGAGAAAATAACTGAGTTTTGTTTTGGAGAATAAGTAGAAGTTACTTAAGCAATATAGAAGGGGAGGAAGGAGAATTACAAGCCCAGGCAAAACATTTGGAAAGTCTTAGAACTTTTGAAATAGCATATGGTTTCTTTTAGGGATCCCAATCCATCATATTGTTGTTGTTGTTGTTACTAGAACATCCTTTGTGAAAAAAAAGTAGTGGTTCATAAAGAAAAAAAACGAAGCAAGGCCCAAATGATGGAGGACATTGTAAGCTGAGCTATGAAATTTATTTTTGCTCAAAAGATAGTGAGAGTCCACTGAAGTGTTATAAACTAGGGAGTAATTTGGTCAGACTTTCTTTTTAAATATAGCATCTTCTAGAGGAGACAATGCAAAGGACATTGCAATAGTTTAAGTATTGGCAAATGAAGGTTCCGTGCCTGGGACACAAAATAAGAATGATAAGGACAGAAAAAATATGAGAACTACTGAAGATGTAAACTCAGCTGAACTTGGTAATTGCTAGGGAGATGCTACAGGCATCCCCTATTATCCACAGATTTGCTTTCTCAGGTTTCAGTTAACCAAGTCTGAAAATACTGAATGGAAAACTCCAGAAATAAACAATTTATAAGTTTTAAATAGCACCTCTTCTGAATAGCACGATGAAATCTTTAGCCGTCCCAGTCTGACCTGCTCTGCACATATCTACACTGTATAGGCTACTCAACTGTTAGTCACTTAATAGCTGTCTCAACTATCAGATTTTTAAAAAGCCATGATATATATGGGGTCCAATACTATTCATGTTTTCGGACATCTATTGGGGGTCTTGAAACATATCTCCCACAGATAAGTGGGGACTACTACATTACAAGTTCCATATTTTTTGCTTAGGTAACAGATAGACTGCATAGTGATATTAGTCATAGAGATATAAATACAGAAAATGGTCACTTTTACCAGATTGTTGTTATTGAGAGTCCAGATTCCAGAACAAGTGAACAAACTATACACCCCACTGGGTAATACTGAATATGAAAAGATCACATTTATCTATTCCTATTTATCCATATATCCCTATTTGCAAATATTTATTACATATAAAGTTTCAGGTAGTGAGGTTTCAGTCTAATAAATGTCATGTTCTTGGTAACCACTTGATGCCAAAAGAGCCTAATTGAGCTTTCTACCTCAATTTTGGTAATTAGGAGGTTATACTTTAATCAATATTTTTCATATAATGTTACCTTATTTCTTATGCTAGACTCTGAATTTCTGAAGAGAAATGACTGTCTTACTAATTTGCTAGTCTAGCTAAAATTTTCACACTTGGAATAGAAAGATTTCCAAATCAGATTTTCTTTTGATTGATTGAAAGTAAAAAGTAAGCTAAATTAATCATTAAGTTTCTTTTTTATGGAACATTGAACACTGAGTTTTCTATATATATGCTTGGGTGAAAAAATAATCCACAAAAATTATCATAAATATTTCAGCTACATTGCAATCATCAGTCATCTGATCATGTTAAGAAAAACAATTTCAGCTAATATCCTTTTAACATGTATTTTATCAATCTCATCCTTTGTCAGTTAAGCTCACTTCTTCTGGAACTCTCTGCATTGACATCAATAGGTGAGTGAATCCTGCTGGGTGGATTAAAATCCCCAGTTTTATACAGATACCACAGAAAATAGTTATCTTTACCCATTTCTGTTAACGAACAGACAGAGTTAGGGAATTTAAATGCCATATTAGAAAATCAGTAAGTGGTAAAACATAAACTAAAGCAGTGATCTTTGATTATTCATCAAGGCTTTTACATATTTCTTGTCCATTTCTTGTATTAACCCTAGAAGAAATAAGGGTAAAATGGCAATTATCATCATTTTAGCAATTAGAAAATTGCAGTTTAGAGGGCATCAGATGCCCCAATGACGTTTATGATGTGCTAGTATTTTATGTTGTTTCTGGAAATTACCTTTCAGTTGAGACTAAGTGACATGGTTTTGCTGTGTCCCCACTCCAATCTCAAATTGTAATCGGAATTGCATTCCTCATATCTAGAGGGAGGGACCTGATGGGCGGTGACTGGATTATGGGGGTGGTTTCCCCCATGCTGTTCTCATGATGGTAAGTTCTCACGACATATGGTTGTGTGATAAGTATCTGCCACTTCCCCCTTATCTCTCTCTCTCTCTGTCCCTTTCTCTCTCCTGCTGCCATATAAGACATGCCTGGCTTTCCTTTCCTTTCCACCATGATTGTAAGTTTCCTGAGACCTCTCTAGCCGTATGGAACTATTAGTTATTTAAACTTTTGTTTATAAATTATCCAGTCTCAGGTATTCTTTATAGCAGTGTGAAAATGGACTAATACACCAAATTTATTTGTGTTTGTGCTCAAACTACAATAATAGTTTACTATTTTTTCCTAACCAAACACATTAGAATGTAGCATTAGTTTTAGATTTCTGTTATGTATGTAATCCCTTACAAACAAACACACCCTAGGAAATGTTGAAAGACCCTCAAACTCTCCTTTTGGTACCTGTTTTTCTTCCTTTATGCTATAACCCTGGTTTCTAGAGCCTACTTCTTAGCATTTGAGAAAGGTTTATTTGTTCATTCATCTATTTCATTTTTATTTCACAATGCCAATTACTGAGCTAAGTGGCAAAGTAAAGATCTCTGAGGCAGCAAAATATCTGGGGAGTAAAATTATGTTCATAAAATGACACAATATGATAAGTGCAATAAATGAAATAAACACAAAGTGCAAAGGAAGTGCGAAGGAAGCAGAGAGGAGTGAGCTATTGACATTGCCTGGAAGATGGATATTTCAGTTAAGACAAACGTCAATTATTATATTTGAATGTTCATTTTAGACTTAGATTTTGGCTGAATGTTAGAGAAGACTTGATTTTAAGACATCAGTCAGAAGAGGCAACCTGAACACTATGAACATACATTCATAGTGTATGTTACATACATTCATTTTCATTTAACAAGCTAATCATACAGTCAGCTCAACACTGAAACAGCGATGTGAACCAACAGAAAGGAAGGCATGCACTACCTTGTTGTAAAACGTAGTCACATTGCAACACTACCTTGATGTGAAACATTACTGCTTTTGCATCCCGTTTGCTTTCAATTGTGGCATCAAAGTGATCCTTTGCTTGGATATGTTCTTCAATTACACAATGCAAGGTGGTGGAAGTGACCTTGTGTCATTAGTGTGCAGCCAGCTCTGTACTCTCCAGAGAGACTAGAGGAAAAAAAAATACTGTTTTCTGATGTTCCATTTCAGACTGGATTTTTTATGCTAATTAGAGTTCTGAGCAATTTAGAAATGCTTTACATTCTGTTGGCTTGATATTACATCATCCTTATAAGTACTTTCATTTTTCTAGTAAACTAAGATTAGACTTACACATGCTATTTGTATGTAAATCATATTTTCGTAAACATTCTTACAATTTCATAGTTTCCAGTATATGTGCGTAGCAGCCAGTTATCAGGAAATAGGTGGCCTAAGGAACACTGGTTTTTCATTGAGTAAAGCTACCTCTATAAACAATAAGTGATTATCTTTTAGCGAAACAGCCTTAGGCACTAGCAACCTGATTAAAAGTTCAATATGTATATACGTGTGTATGTGTGTTTACTTACAAACTGCTTCCTTGACCACCAGAAATAATTAAGGGTAAGACAATTTTGTATAACTTAAAAATTACATATATCACAGGGAAGGAGAACAGATGTTAAGAGATGATTCTACAGGACAGATGAACAGTTGGAATCAGCATGAGCTAATGAGTCAGGTTACCTGAATTTGGATTCTTTTTCTTTCATTTACTTGCTGTGAATCTAGGAGTGAAGTATTTCACATGGTAAACCTTGTTGATGTCACTTTGTAGAATGGTTAATGACTAAAAGATGAAACCATTGAGTTTTGTGGCATTTAAGTAGATAATGTATGTACATTATGTATGCACATAGCAGGCATTCAATACGTAATACTAAAGAGTCAGAAAAATTAGTAATAACTTTAAATATGTCATTGTGAAAATGAATGACTTTAAAGAGTTCAAGCCTCTGCAAAGAGGCATGGACATAATGGAGTGGGGTGGTTCAGAGTGCCTTTCTCAATTTTTTTCAAACAATAATACCTAATGATGAAAAAATTCAGAAAACTGGAAACTTCTGTGCACTGCTTGTCCAAATGTAAATGGTAACAAATATTTTGGAGATAAGTAGGCAATGTGTATTTATTTAAAAGACTAAAGATTCAAAACCATGACCCTCTTCATTCCAGATTCCTGACAGATGACAATAATATTCATTCTAGCTAATTTATGCCAAAGAAAATTTATTAAAGAGTATTCATTTACAGAATCCTATGAAGGGCTAAGGAACCTAACTTTGATGCCATAAATCCTGGTACAATCCAGTTGGGAAACATGCCCACAACACTGAAGAACTGTACCACTGCTGCTGCTGCACATCACTCAATAACCATGATGCTGGGGGCATCATGGTTAATGTTTCACATCAAGGTAGTGTTGCAAAGTGACTACATTTTACAACAAGGTAGTGCATGCCTTCCTTTCTGTTGGTTCACATCGCTGTTTCAGTGTTGAGCTGACTGTATGATTAGCTTGTTAAATGAAATGTAAAGAAAAAATCAGTCACAGCTACTACAGGGAACTAAACACCACTACCACTCTGCTTATAAAATAGCTGATCTCCCAGCCAGCATCCACCACCTCAGTTTCACACTTTGATCTTCACATTCTACAAAAATGATTTTACTTCATGGAAACTGATAAGATATAGAACCCTGCAATCTGGTCAATTGAGTTTCTCAAATACCATAGTTCATAAGGAAATCTAGAAGGGAGTCAGAGTTAGTGTTTAGTGAGCAAATCTGTACTATCTTCCTCATTATTTATACTTCTCTTCTGTAACCTCAAGGGAGAAACAAAAATGAAGGAATTACATATAATGTACAAGTAAAGATCTTTATCATAGCATGGCTTCAGGTAATAAAAATTTTGAGATAATATAAACAACAAGGATTTGGTTAAATAAATTATGTTTCATTTTATACAGGAAACTATTACTTAACCAACTAAAATGATGTTGGTGAGGATCATTTAATGGGATGCATATATATGTAAAATATATTGTTAAATGGGGAAAAGACTGTAAAACAAGTATAGAAAGATGTTTTCTGGTGAACACATGAATGTATATATAAAGAGTAGAAGTTAACAAGTCATGATCAAATTTATAAAGTTATAAAAATATTTCACCATTTTGGAATTTATATTTTCTGTATATACACATATACACATAATAAATATGAATTGATTTTGTTACTTTCATAAGAAACAATATCAATAAAAGTACTAAAATGTAGTTTATATTTTAAAAATTGTGTGTTCTCCATTAACTTTAAATGAAAAATAAAACAGAGAAAAAATTATTATATTTTTGAGGTAATGACTGCTGAAAACTTTCACAAATATTTCCTTGTACAATTTCAAGTTAAAATTTAATTTATACAAAGTGATTAATATCTCCAAGACTGTGAAAATTTTGCTTATTTAGTATAATATCAATTTCTCTGCAAACAGTGATTAATTTTAGTAAATTGTACTTAGAATATTTGCATTTTTAGTATTTTTACCTTGTTTCTCTATTTAAAAACAAAATAAGTATACATTTCAACAGGCAGTAAAATTTATTTCGAAAAACTTTTGCTATAAGACAAATCGAAGAAACTACTATATGATTAGTCCTTCAAACATAAACAAGTAACAAAATGGAGAAAATATGGGAAACTACTGTTTTCAGACCTTGGACAACAGTCAGCTTAGAGAAGACAAAAGAGATACAAATAATTTAAGAACTATGATCACCTGACTTTCTGCCTTAAGATATTTCCCAGGCCCTTGTGCAAGGAAATGGGAATTCAACCTGAGAACAACAATTGTAAGAACAGTAACTTTGCTCAGATTATACAACAGAGATCACAAGACAGGGAAGCTGATGCAGATGGATTTTACAGAGCAGAGGACAAAGAGTAGGAGCCTACATAGAGAAAGAGCATCAGAAAACTGAGTGAGGTCATCCTGAATTGTTGATTACATAATAAGTTACACATGTATAGTATGTGAATTCATGAAGCTTGACAACCACCATCTAGGAAAGGAACACTACAGTGTGATGTAAACTGAACAACTACAAGACCCTGCAAAGGGCTGGGAGATGCTTGCTTGTCAACTGATATGCTGAAAACCTGGAACAGTCAGTAGACATAAAAAAAATACTAACACACAAAAGAAAAACAAGGCTTTAGGCTTTAAGAGTTATGTGAGCCAATCCTCAGGGCCAAACTAGCCCTTGAGTAAAGGCTTCTCTAGATCTCCCTTAACATAGCTTAAAAAACAAATTTTTAAAGATACACACACACACACAGATGAAAAGATAATGTCATCCCTATACAAACTCAGAAAACAGAGGGGGAACTTTTTCAAGCTTATTTTATGTAACCAAAATTATTTTGATACCAAAAGCACACAAAGACATTACACAAAAACAAAATTGCTAACTAATATTTCTCATGAATTTATGCATGTAATTTTGTAATGAAATCCAGCAATATTGAAATAGTACAGTCCATGAGGACCAACAGTGGTTTATGCTAAGGATACTAAGATTGGTTTAATTTTTGAAAATTAATCAATGTATTTTATCATATGTAATGGGTTGAAGAGTGTCCCCCAAAAATACATGCTCATCCATAACCTCAGTATATGACAGTTAATGGATGCTGGGCTTAATACCTTGGTGATGAGATGATCTATGCAGCAAGCCACTATGGCAGATGTTTACCATGTAACAAACCTGCACATCTTGCACATGTACCCTAAAATAAAGAACAAATATAATTGTCATTTTTTGTATTTTAAAAAAAGAAAGGAAGATTGAATTAAAGATGTCAAGGTGAAATAATCCTGGATTTATTATAGGATGGGCCCTAAATTCAATGATTCACGTTACTAGAATAAGAGAAGGGAGAGGGAGATGTAGACACACACCAGACACACAGAAAAGTAGGTCATGTGAGAACAGAAGCACAGACTGGAGTTATGCTTCTGTAAGCCAAGAGACCCCAGGAGCTGCCAGAAACTGGAAGAAGCAAGAAAAAGTTCTCCCCTAGAGCCTTTGGAGGAAATGTTGTCTTGCCAACACTTTGATTTCAGACCTCTGGCCTCCACAACTGTGAGAGACTAATCTTCCTTGTTTTAAGCCACCAAATTGTCATAATTTGCTGCTGCAGCCGTAGAAAAATAATACACCATTAAAAAAAACAGACTAAAGAAGAAAAGAATACTTGATTATTTCAATAGACAGAAAATATGAACAAAGTAACCACGCATCCGTAATAAAAACTATCAGCAAATTTGGAAAACAAGGAGACTTCCTCAATCTGATGATAGATGTCTATAAGATCCTATAGCTTACATAATGCTTAATAATGGAAGGCTCAACAGTTTCCCCCAAATTTAGCAAAAAGTTAAGATATCTACACTCACCACTTCAATGTTTCACTGTGTGTACGACAGGCAAAACAAACTCATATTGATTTGAACATAAGAATTAAAACTTTCTTTTCACAGATAATGTGTCTTGATTGTTTAAAACTTTAAAAAATCTGAAGAACAAAACAAATATAACTAATAAGTAAATTAGAAGAGATGTTGCTGTTTCGAGGTGCTCAAAGCTGTACAGAAGAAAAAAAAAAGAAAAAAACTGGAAACTGTCAACAAGGGGTATCCTTCTTACAGCTTTTATTTATATGGCCTAACTGAACTGACATATTATGGTGACAATTTGTTTTGAGTCACTTTTTTTTCAGCTTGCTTATTAACGACAAATATTAAGTTACTAGAAAACCTAATTCAATATTTTTCAAATGCCTAAAGATAAACTTCTGATTAAATGTTTTATTGCCACCAAAGATACAGTTATTTTATTTTTTTCAACATGTAACACTTTCAGTACAGAAATTGCTTTTAGAAACATTACAGTAGCACTGATTCTAAGGATTCAAAATTGGTCGGGCATGGTGGCTCACACCTGTAATCCCAGCACGTTGGGAGGCTGAGGTGAGTGGATCACTTGAGGTTAGGGGTTTGAGACCAGCATGGGCAATATAGTGAAATCCTGTATCTACCAAAAATACAAAAAAAATTGTGATGCATGGTGACACACGCCTGTGGTCCCAGCTACTCAGGAGGCTGAGGTGAGAGGATCTCTTAAGCCTGGGAGCTGGCAGTTGAAGTGAGCCGAGATCATGCCACTGCACGCCAAACTGGGTGACAGAGTGAGACCCATCTTAAGAAAAGAAGAAAAGGAAAAAAATTCAAAATGGTTGACATTTTATACTTTTTCCAATTGTGATAATTTAGTATTTTATAATAAAATTATAGATGTAATGAAAGATCTATTCTGGAATTTTAATATGCAAATTTGTATGTTAGAGCTTAATTATAGATCATTGAAAATTTGTCAGTTTACATATAAATCTGTATGTTAGAAATAAGTGTCCAGGATCCCATCCTTAAGCTATGTGATCAATATGGTTCAGTAAAGACAGATTGGTAATAACCAGGTTTAATTCCAAATATTTGAGCTATGATAAAATATAAAACTCAGGACATACTATAATAAAAATCTCAGCTTTGGAGTATGATACATAGTAACTACCAGAAGTGATTGGGAACTTTCTACAGAACAAATCATTGTAGTTTTGTGTGTCCATGAGTAAGTGAGTTGACAAGAAAACATAACTCTTAGGAAAAAAAAAAAATCAGTGTTTCTACCATGAAGCTCTAGGGAACCACATATTTCCCAGGAGAAGACAGGAACAACATTTCTTTGACCTCTGTAGGATATTTTATGTTTTATGACAAAGACCAATGACTCTAGTTTTTTTTCCTTCAATACATTATTTGCCAGAAAGTGGTAAATAAATAAGACTATAAAAAGGATCCACTTTTGTTGTTGTTGTTGTTGTTGTTGTTTAGATGGAGTCTCACTCTGTCACCCAGGCTGGAGTGCAGTGGTGTGATCTCGGCTCACTGCAACCTCTGCCTCCTGAATTCAAGCAATTCTCTGCCTCAGCCTCCAGAGTACCTGAGATTACAGGTCCCCGCCACCACACCTGGCTAATTTTTTGTACTTTTAGTACAGATAGGGTTTCACCATCTTGGCCAGGCTGGTTTTCAACTCCTGACCTCATGATCCACCCACCTTGGCCTCCCAAAGTGCTGGGGTTACAGGCATGGGCCACCGAGTCTGGCTAAAATAGATCTACTTTTAACAATTTTTTTTTGCAATCCAGTGTACAAGACACCTACTTAGGCAAAGAATTTCAAACATGTATTAGTGAGGTGACAGCGTGCTGGCAGTCCTCACAGCCCTGGCTCGCTCTCGGCTCCTCCTCTGCCTGGGCTCCCAATTTGGCAGCACTTGAGGATCCCTTCAGCCCACCGCTGCACTGTGGGACCCCCTTTCTGGGCTAGCCAAGGCTGGAGCCCAGTCCCTCAGCTTGCAGGGAGGTGTGGAGGGAGAGTCGCAAGTGGGAACCGGGGCTGTGCGCGGCGCTTGCGGACCAGCTGGAGTTCTGGGTGGGCGTGGGCTTGGCGGGCCCGCACTAGGAGCAGCCGGCCGGCCCTGCCGGCCCTGGGCAATGACGGGCTTAGCACCCAGGCCAGAGGCTGTGGAGGATGTACTGGGTCCCCCAGCAGTGCCAGCCCACTGGCACTGCACTCGATTTCTCGCCGGGCCTTAGCTGCCTTCCTGTGGGGCAGGGCTCGGGACCTGCAGCCCGCCATGCCTGAGCCTCCCACCCCCTCCGTGGGATCCTGTGCGGCCCAAGCCTCCTCGACAAGCGCCACCCCCTGCTCCACAGTGCCCAGTCCCATTGACCACCCAAGGGCTGAGGAGTGCAGGCGCACGGCACCGAGACTGGCAGGCAGCTCCACCTGCAGCCACCCGGGCGGGATCCACTGGGTGAAGCCAGCTGGGCTCCTGAGTCTGGTGGGGACGTGGAGAACCTTTATGTCTAGCTCAGGGATTGTAAATACACCAATAGGCACTCTGTATCTAGCTCAAGGTTTGTAAACACACCAATCAGCACCCTGTGTCTAGCTCAGGGTTTGTGAATACACCAATTGACACTCCGTATCCAGCTGCTCTGGTGGGGCCTTGGAGAACCTTTGTGTCCATACTCTGTATCTAACTAATCTGATGGGGCCTTGGAGAAACTTTATGTCTAGCTCAGGGATTGTGAACGCACCAATCAGCACCCTGTCAAAACAGACCACTCGGCTCTACCAATCAGCAGGACATGGATGGGGCCAGATAAGAGAATAAAAGCAGGCTGCCCGAGCCAGCAGTGGCAACCCGTTCGGGTCCCCTTCCACACTGTGGAAGCTTTGTTCTTTTGCTCTTTGCAATAAATCTTGCTACTGCTCACTCTTTGGGTCCACACTGCTTTTATGAGCTGTAACACTCACCGCCAAGGTCTGCAGCTTCGCTCCTGAAGCCAGCAAGACCACGAGCCCACCGGGAGGAACGAACAACTCCAGACGTGCCACCTTAAGAGCTGTAACACTCACCACAAAGGTCTGCAGCTTCACTCCTGAGCCAGCGAGACCACGAACCCACCAGAAGGAAGAAACTCCGAACACATCTGAACATCAGAAGGAAGAAACTCTGGACACGCCGCCTTTAAGAACTGTAACACTCACTGCGAGGGTCCACAGCTTCATTCTTGAAGTCAGTGAGACCAAGAACCCACCAATTCCGGACACATTTTGGTGACCATGAAGGGACATTCGCCTATCGCCAAGCAGTGAGACAATCACCGAGCGGTGAGACCATTGCCGAGCCGTGAGACAATCGCCTATCGCCAAGCAGTGAGTATCATCAGACCCCTTTCACTTGCTAGTCTGTCCTATTTTTCCTCAGAATTCGGGGGCTAAATACCGGGCACCTGTCAGCCAGTTAAAAGCAACTAGCGCAGCCGCCAGACTAAAGACACGGTTGCAGGCTTTCTGGGAAAGGGCTCTCTAACAACCCCTGACTCTTCGGAGTTGGGACCGTTGGTTTGCCTAGAACCAGCTTCTGCTTTGCCTGTACTTCTGGGCTGAGCCAAGGGTTGACAGAGAGGAAAGCCATGCAGCTCCAGGGGTCCCAACAACATGTTGGTTGACCCTGCGGCCATGAGTGGAACGCTCAAAAGCATATCACCCAAGCAAGACTCACCCATCTATCCTATCTATCCTGACCGTTGCCCCCTGGGTCCTAATGCCTGACAGACAAACTTCCTCTCACCTCTCTTCTCTGAGGTTAGACCCGTTTCTAAAAATTGCTACCTGTCTCTGGTGCTTTTCTAGTTTCTCCTATAAGAATGATTTGGTTGACCCTGCGGCCATGAGTGGAATGCTCAAAAGCATGTTGCTCAAGCAAGACTCACCCATCTATCCTATCTATTCTGACCCTTGCCCCCTGGGTCCTAACACCTGCCAAACAAACTTCCTCTCACCTCTTTTCTCTGAGGTTGGACCCGTTTCTAAAAATTGCTACCTGTCTCTGGTGCTTTTCTAGTTTCTCCTATAAGAATGATTTCTAGTATAAACTCCAGGACTCTGTTACCTTCTTTAGGCACCTGGGCTCACCAATCAGAAAGAAATAATTTTTGCCCAAAGCCCCGTCGTAGTGGGGCCTACTTGGAATTTTAGGATCCCTCCTCAGACTAATAGGCCTAACAAAAGCTATTCCTGAAGATAGGATATGGGGAGCCTCAGAAATTGTATCCTTCCTATTCATATAAGTGAGGACAAAAGGTGTCACTCTTCCAAACCTGGAGATCCCTTCCCTCCCTCAGGGTATGACCCTCCACTTCATTTTGGGGGCATAACATCTTTATAGGACAGGGGTAAAGTCCCAATACTAACAGGAGAATTCTTAGGACTCTAACAGGTTTTTGAGAATGCGTCAGTAAGGGCCACTAAATCCGATTTTTCTCGGTCAGTCCTCCTTGTGGTCTAGGAGGACAGGCAAGGGTGCAGGTTTTCAAGAATGTGTCGGTAAGGACCACTAAATCCGACCTTCCTCGGTCCTTCATGTGGTCTGGGAGGAAAACTAGTGTTTCTGCTGCTGCTTCGGTGAGTGCAACTATTCTGATCAGCAGGGTCCAGGGACTGTTGCGGGTTCTTGGGCAGGGGATGTTTCTGCTGCTGCGTCGGTGAGCGCAACTATTCCGATCAGCAGGGTCCAGGGACCGTTGCGGGTTCTTGGGCAGGGGAAGAAACAAAACAAACCAAAACCACGGGCGGTTTTGTCTTTCAGATGGGAAACACTCAGGCGTCAACAGGCTCACCCTTGAAATGCATCCTAAGCCACAGGGACCAATTTGACCCACAAACCCTGAAAAAGAGGTGGCTAACTTTTTTCTGCACTACTGCTTGGCCCCAGTGTTCTCTCTCTGATGGGGAAAAATGGCCACCTGACGGAAGTACAAATTACAATACTATCCTGCAGCTTGACCTTTTCTGTAAGAGGGAAGGCAAAGGAGTGAAATACCTTATGTCCAAACTTTCTTTTCATTGAGGGAGCATACACAACTATGCAAAGCTTACAATTTATATCCCACAGGAGGACCTCTCAGCTAACCCCCATATCCTAGCCTCCCTATAGCTCCCCTTCCTATTAATGATAATCCTCCTCTAATCTCCCCTGCCCAGAAGGAAATAAGCAAAGAAATATCCAAAGGACCACAAAACCCCCCCGGGCTATCGGTTATGTCCCCTTCAAGCTGTAGGGGGAGGGGAATTTGGCCCAACCTGGGTACATGTCCCCTTCTCCCTCTCTGATTTAAAGCAGATCAAGGCAGACCTGGGAAGTTTTCAGATGATCCTTATAGGTACATAGATGTCTTACAGGGTCTAGGGCAAACCTTTGACCTCGCTTGGAGAGATGTCATGCTACTGTTAGATCAAACCCTGGCCTTTAATGAAAAGAATGCGGCTTTAGCTGCAGCCCGAGAGTTTGGAGATACCTGGTATCTTAGTCAAGTAAATGATAGAATGATAGCCGAAGAAAGGGACAAATTCCCTGCTGGCCAGCAAGCCATCCCCAGTATGGATCCCCACTGGGACCTTGACTCAGATCATGGGGACTGGAGTCATAAACATCTATTGACCTGTGTTCTAGAAGGACTAAGGAGAATTAGAAAAAAGCCCATGAATTATTCAATGATGTCCACCATAACTCAGGGAAAGGAAAAAATTCCTTCTGCCTTCCTCGAGCCAGCTACGAGAGGCCTTAAGAAAATATACTCCCCTGTCACCCTAATCACTCGAGGGTCAATTGATTCTAAAAGATAAGTTTATTACCCAGTCAGCTGAAGATATCAGGAGAAAGCTCCAAAAGCAAGCCCTGGGCCCTGAACAAAATCTGGAGACATTATTAAACCTGGCAACCTCGGTGTTCTATAATAGGGACCAAGAGGAACAGGCCCAAAAGGAAAAGTGAGATCAGAGAAAGGCCGCAGCCTTAGTCATGGCCCTCAGACAAACAAACCTTGGTGGTTCAGAGAGGACAGAAAATGGAGCAGGCCAATCACCTGGTAGGGCTTGTTATCAGTGTGGTTTACTAGGACTCTTTAAAAAAGATTGTCCAATGAGAAACAAGCTGCCCCCTCGTCCATGTCCACTATGCCGAGGCAATCACTGGAAGGTGCACTACCCCAGAGCATGAAGGTTCCCTGGGTCAGAAGCCCCCAGCCAGATGATCCAACAACAGGACTGAGGGTGCCCAGGGCAAGCGCCAGATCATGTCATCGCCCTCACTGAGCCCCGGGTATGTTTAACTATTGAGGGCCAGGAAATTGACTTCCTCCTGGACACTGGTGCAGCCTTCTCAGCGTTAATCTCTTGTCCTGGACAACTGTCCTCGAGGTCCATTACCATCTGAGAAATCCTGGGACAGCCTGTAACCAGGTATTTCTCCCACCTTCTCAGTTGTAATTGGGAGACTTTGCTCTTTTCACATGCCTTTCTTGTTATGCCTGAAAGTCCCACACCCTTATTAGGGAGGGATATATTAGCCAAGGCTGGAGCTACTATCTACATGAATATGGGGAACAAGTTACCCATTTGTTGTCCCATACTTGAGGAGGGAATCAACCCTGAAGTCTGGGCATTGGAAGGACAATTTGGAAGGGCAAAAAATGCCTGCCCAGTCAAAATCAGGTTAAAAGATCCCACCACTTTTCCTTATCAAAAGCAATATCCCTTAAGGCCTGAAGCTCATAAAGGATTACAGAATATTGTTAAACGTTTGAAAGCTCAAGGCTTAGTAAGGAAATGCAGCAGTCCCTGCAACACCCCAATTCTAGTAGTACAAAAACCCAAACGGTCAGTGGAGACTAGTGCAAATCTTAGACTCATTAATGAGGCACTAATTCCTCTATATCCAGTTGTACCCAACCCCTATACCTTGCTCTCTCCAATACCAGAGGAAGCAGAATGGTTCATGGTTCTGGACCTCAAGGATGCCTTCTTCTGTATTCCCTGCACTCTGATTCCCAGTTCCTCTTTGCCTTTGAGGATCCCACAGACCACACATCCCAACTTACATGGACGGTCTTGACCCAAGGGTTTTAGGGATAGCCCGCATCTGTTTGGTCAGGCCCTAGCCCAAGATCTAGGCCACTTCTCAAGTCCAGGCACTCTGGTCCTTCAATATGTGGATGATTTACTTTTGGCTACCAGTTTGGAAGCCTCGTGCCAGCAGGCTACTCTAGGTCTCTTGAACTTTCTAGCTCAAGGGTACAAGGTGTCTAGGTCGAAGGCCCAGCTTTGCCTACAGCAGGTTAAATATCCAGGCCTAATCTTAGCCAAAGGGACCAGGGCCCTCAGCAAGGAACGAATACAGCCTATACTGGCTTATCCTTGCCCTAAGACATTAAAACAGTTGAGGGGGTTCCTTGGAATTACCGGCTTTTGCCGACTATGGATCCCCGGATACAGTGAGATAGCCAGGCCCCTCTATACTCTAATCAAGGAAACCCAGAAGGCAAATACTCATCTAGTCGAATGGGAACCAGAGGCAGAAACAGCCTTCAAAACCTTAAAACAGGCCCTAGTACAAGCTCCAGCTTTGAGCCTTCCCACAGGACAGAACTTCTCCTTATACATCACAGAGAGAGCCGGGATAGCTCTTGGAGTCCTTATTCAGACTCGTGGGACAACCCCACAACCAGTGGCATACCTAAGTAAGGAAATTGATGTAGTAGCAAAAGGCTGGCCTCACTGTTTAAGGGTAGTTGCAGCAGTGGCCATCTTAGCATCAGAGGCTATCAAAATAATACAAGGAAAGGATCTCACTGTCTGGACTACTCGTGATGTAAATGGCATACTAGGTGCCAAAGGAAGTTTATGGCTATCAGACAACCGCCTACTTAGATACCAGGCACTACTCCTTGAGGGACCGGTGCTTCAAATACGCACACACGTGGCCCTCAACCCTGCCACTTTTCTCCCAGAGGATGGGGAACCAATCGAGCATGACTGCCAACAAATTATAGTCCAGACTTACGCCGCCCGAGATGGTCTCTTAGAAGTCCCCTTAACTAATCCTGACCTTAACCTATATACTGATGGAAGTTCATTTGTGGAGAATGGGACACGAAGGGCAGGTTGCGCCATTGTTAGTGATGTAACCATACTTGAAAGCCAGCCTCTTCCCCCAGGGACCAGTGCCCAGTTAGTGGAACTAGTGGCACTTACCCGAGCCTTAGAACTGGGAAAGGGAAAAAGAATAAATGTGTATACAGATAGCAAGTATGCTTATCTAATCCTACATGCCCATGCTGCAATATGGAAAGAGAGGGAGTTCCTAATCTCTGGGGAAACCCCCATTAAATACCACAAGGAAGTTATAGAGTTATTGCATGCAATGCAAAAACACAAAGAGGTGGGAATCTTACAATGACAAAGCCATCAAAATGGGAAGGAGAAGGGAGAACAGCAGCATAAGCAGCTGGCAGAGGCAGCAGAAAGGAAAGAAAGATGGGAAGTCAAAGAGAGACAGAGAGGAAGAGACAAAGAAGAAGTCAGAGAGAAAGAGGGACAGACACAGAAAGTCAAAGAGAGAGTTAAAAAGAGAGGAAGAGACAAGAAGTCGAAGACAGAAAGAGAGAGATGGAAGTAGTAAAGAAAAAACAGTGTACCCTTTTCCTTTAAAAGCCAGGGTGAATTTCTATCTACCCAGCCAAGGCATACTCTACTTATGTGGATCTTCAACCCATATCTGCCTCTTAAACAGTTTGCAAGAAATAACGAAATCTATCCTTACTTTACAATCCCAAATAGACTGTTTGGCAGCAGTGACTCTCCAAAACCGCTGAGGCCTAGACCTCCTCACTGCTGAGAAAGGAGGACTCTGCACCTTCTTAGGGGAAGAGTGTTGTTTTTACAGTAACCAGTCAGGGATAGTACGAAATGCCACCCAGCATTTACAGGAAAAGGCTTCTGAAATCAGACAACGCCTTTCAAATTCTTATGCCAACCTCTGGGGTTGGGCAACATGGCTTCTCCCCTTTCTAGGTCCCATGGCAGCCATCTTGCTGTTACTCGCCTTTGGGCCCTGTATTTTTAACCATCTTATCAAATTTGTTTCCTCTAGAATCAAGGCCATCAAGCTACAGATGGTCTTACAAATGGAACCCCAAATGAGTTCAACTAACAATTTCTACTGAGGACCCCTGGACTGACCCACTGGCACTTTCCCTGGCCTAGAGACTTCCCCTCTGAAGGACACTACAAGTGCAGGGCCCCTTCTTTGCCCTGATCCAGCAGGAAGTAGTTAGAGCAGTCATCAGCCAAATTCCCAACAGCAGTTGGGATGTCCTGTTTAGAGGGGGGATTGAGAGGTGACAGTGTGCTGGCAGTCCTCACAGCCCTCGCTCGCTCTCGGCGTCTCCTCTGCCCAGGCTCCCACTTTGGCCGCACTTGAGGATCCCTTCAGCCCACCGCTGCACTGTGGGACCCCCTTTCTGGGCTGGCCAAGGCCGGAGCCCACTCCCTCAGCTTGCAGGGAGGTGTGGAGGGAGAGGCGCAAGCGGGAACTGGGGCTGCGCGCGGCACTTGAGGGCCAGCTGGAGTTCTGGGTGGGCGTGGGCTTGGCAGGCCCTGCCGGCCCTGGGCAATGAGGGGCTTAGCACCCGGGCCAGAGGCTGTGGAGGGTGTACTGGGTCCCCCAGCAGTGCCAGCCCACCGGCGCTGCGCTTGATTTCTCGCCGGGCCTTAGCTGCCTTCCTGTGGGGCAGGGCTCGGGGCCTGCAGCCCGCCATGCCTGAGCCTCCCACCCCCTCTGTGGGCTCCTGTGCGGCCCAAGCCTCCTCGACGAATGCCACCCCCTGCTCCATGGCGCCCAGCTGGGCTCCTGAGTCTGGTGGGGACGTGGAGAACCTTTATGTCTAGCTCAGGGATTGTAACTACACCAATAGGCACTCTTTATCTAGCTCAAGGTTTGTAAACACACCAATCAGCACCCTGTATCTAGCTCAGGGTTTGTGAGTGCACTAATCGACACTCTATATCTAGCTGCTCTGGTGGGGCCTTGGAGAACCTTTATGTCTAGCTCAGGGATTGTAAATACACCAATAGGCACTCTGCATCTAGCTCAAGGTTTGTAAACACAGCAATCAGCACCCTGTGTCTAGCTCAGGGTTTGTGAATGCACCAATTGACACTCTGTATCTAGCTGCTCTGGTGGGGCCTTGGAGAACCTTTGTGTCCATACTCTGTATCTCACTAATCTGATGGGGCCTTGGAGAACCTTTATGTCTAGCTCAGGGATTATAAACGCACCAATCAGTGCCCTGTCAAAACAGACCACTCGGCTCTACCAATCAGCAGGACGTGGGTGGGGCCAGATAAGAGAATAAAAGCAGGCTGCCCGAGCCAGCAGTAGCAACCCGCTCGGGCCCCCTTCCACACTTTGGAAGCTTTGTTCTTTTGCTCTTTGCAATAAATCTTGCTGCTGCTCACTCTTTGGGTCCACACTGCTTTTATGAACTTTAACACTCACCGCCAAGGTCTGCAGCTTCGCTCCTAAGCCAGCGAGACCACGAACCCACCAGAAGGAAGAAACTCCAAACACATCTGAACATCAGAAGGAAAAACTCCGGACACGCCGCCTTCAAGAACTGTAACACTCACCACGAGGGTCCATGGTTTCGTTCTTGAAGTCAGTGAGACCAAGAACCCACCAATTCCAGACACATTAGAATTACTATACTATTCACATAAGGTAAAAGAGTAGCACAAAAGAGGAAGGAAGCAGTTACCCTTTTGCAGAGCGAGGAAGATAACAAAAGTTTATAAAAAAGAAACCAGCAAGTTTTGAGTTATAGTATAAGACTTAGACAAAATACAATAGTAACAACAGATGCTATGAATCTAATGTGTACTAAGCACATTATTTGCACAAGTTTTTCAATGTAATCTCATCACAACCTATGATATAGGTTATATTGTTATGTATATATTGAAGACGTGGCACTGACACACAGAGAAATTCAGAATTTTGTCCAGAGACACATAGTTGGGAAGAAAAGGATGACATTTGATCCTTACCAAAGCCCTTGCTCCAAGGACAATACTATATTATTGCTCCTGTAAAGGGAGGGAGGACTTTCCTGGCAGAAGTGACATGTGTAACAGCCAGAGGTATGAAACAGCATAGGACTTTTGGAGAACTATTCATAATTCAGCATGCCTGGAGCAAAGGCTATATTTCAGAAGTTGTAAGGTAAAAAGTTTGATGGAATCAGCAGGAAAAAGACAAAAGGGATGGCACGTGCTTTAGATGTGAAAGATGGAATGGAGAAATAGACCTGGCCACGATAGTGAACCACAATAATCAAGATGAGAGAATGCTAGTAGATTGAATAAAGCAAAATAGTAAGTACAAAAAGACTGGTGGTGCTTAGCAAGATAATGATGACAGACAGCAGGCAGGATTTGGAGGTAGATTGGATATGGTGAATAAAGAACACAAGAATGAATGCCATATTTATAAGTTATGCCAACCTAGTAAATGCCAGTGCCACAAACAAGGAAACAGGGAAGAGAGTAGCTATCCCAGAAGTTAGATTCCTCCATTCTCCTGTCTTGGGCAGTTTCATGTGCATCTTTTGACATCCCTATGCCTACTGAACCCTTGTAAAAGCAATCACTATTCTTCAGAAATTTATTCAAGACAGATAAGCCTCTCTCCATGAACCTTTTTGCAGCCTTAGAGCAATGGTTTCCCTTTTGCAGAAAAGAAAGAATCTCCCTTTATCTCCAATCTTTACAATGTCAGTGAAAACAATCTAGTTTCATGGGTTTCCTTTTCAGCCTCTGGATCAGAAACTCCAGCAAGTTGCTTTGAAAACACTTGGCATTGTTTTTGTGAGACATTCAAATTGTTTCATAGACATTATCTCACCAATATTCATTTCATCCCAGTGAAGTAGGCCAAAGAACAATATATTCTTATCTTTAAAGGATAAAAAGAGGTTAAATGACTCATCTGAATAGCTGGAAATAGCAGCTCAGTCTCTGGGATTACCTCTGTGTATAAAAGCAACTGCCACATTACTTCATAAAGGAGTAGAAGTTAAAGGTTATTGATGTTTCACAACACTTGTGTTGTTGGAGTCATCATTTACTGGTAAACAAAGATATCAGAAATGGAACATGAATTGAAGATTGTTTTTTGAAGGTAGATAGTTTATTCTATGTTTCATAAACTGCTCTGACCCATGAAATTCTGTAAATAAGATTCTGAAGGTAATTTTCAAAATCAATGGAATATCCGCAGCATGTGGACAGAAACATTTACTGTGTTTAAAGTATTTTATGATAATGTATCACCCTTATGGCTACTAGCCATTATTTGAAGTTGGAGCAGTATAAATTATATATAATATGTAATGATATTATATTATCCAGATGTTTCTGCCATGCAAAAACATCATAAGAACTCATATTGTTTCTTCTTCATTGTACCTTACTAAAATCTTGAATGTGAAAGTGTAGTCCCCATTCCTAATGAAAAACAAAAATCCACTATTTTGGGAAAAGATACCAAATGATCACTTTTTCTTTCTCAGAATATCTTTTTAACATGGCATTTGAGATTCCACAATCGCTTGATTTTCTTTTGTACTTCTGAAGATTCATTCTTCATATGTTTCCTCATTTCTCCTCAAATTACTAAAATCTAGTCTTGAGATGTTCCAAGGCTTAGCCCTCATACCCAGTCCCTAAGTGACCTCACTGAGTGTCTATTCTCCCTTAGGCTCACTCCGTTCTATCTGTCCACACTGTGCCCTCTGTTCTCATCAGGCACACTGGGGGCCTTTGCACTTACTTGCTGCTTCTGTCATTATTTTTGATGATAGACATTCACTATAATTATTTCCTCACCCCATTCAGGCCTTTCCTATTCCTCCAAGTTAAACACTTTAAACTCCTCTTCCTACTCCCACAACCCAATCCTCTTTTTTTGTCCTTTTTTTCGCCTTTGAAGCTATTACTACTTAACATGCTAAACACAGATTTTATATAGCTTTCTTATAGTCCATCTATCCACTGCAATGTACAATTTGTGAAAGGAAGGACGTTGTTGTGTACTATACCTTATGCATAAGACAGTATCTAGCACATAGTCATCACTCAATAAATATTAAATGAATGAAGAAAAATTAGTTTTATGATTCACAGACTAAACCAAAATTTTATATGTTAGCGAGAATTTAAGCAATCTTATCATAGAAAAACAATCACTACTTGTCACAGATCCATCAAAAATATTGTGCTTATTCACTTTTATTAAATTAAACCATATCAAATTGCCAATAATTGGCTCATCTTGAACTATGAAAACATCCGTTTTATATAGTTCAACCTAAACATAAAAAGATACCCAGGGAAAAAATACACCACAAACTAGATAAATATCCTATGAATAAAATTGTTCTGTTTCTTCCTTAGTGAAGTTTATTTTCTCCTTTGACTCCCGAGGTTTATAAGTGTAATTCTCTAATTATGAAATCTGCAAACCAAATAGATACCTATTACTAGTATTAAAAAAAATCCACAAAATTGCCCATTTTTCAGAACACAACCCCATGTGATATAACCCTGCTTCTACCTGCAAGTTAAATGCTGATACTAAGTTGCCTAGCAGGGAAAAGTCTATCCCTGAACTCATATGTTTTCTTGTATCCTCAAGAAAAGATGATTAGTTAACAGGTTTCTTATTCATATTAGAGAAATACAGAGAAAATAAATCATATCTATTAAAGGTTTTAAAATCTTGAGTTCATTTTTTTTCCCAGTGTATCTTTACATTTTTCTTTTACGTAGTCTTTCCCTCAGCAAATCTAATTACTTCGGATTGGGAGAAACTATACTTTGTCTCTTTTTAAGGAGGAAAGGCAAGTGAAGGAGAAAATAAAAGGAAAGGAAAGAATGTCTTTACTGTTTTGTCCTTGAATGAAAAATGATCACCAGTGGGTTTGACACATATTAAAAAATAAAATGTAAATCTCATGCCAAAATCTCTTCCAGTATTTATTTTCCACTTTCACAAGTGTCTGTGCCAGTCTTATTCACTCTATCTCTTCTGTATAATATAAAAGCCTTCAAGTACATTCAAACCAATGGGATATGAAACTTTCACTTAGGGTAGACAGTGGAGTGTGGAAAAGCAGGAAATGCCTTCAGAATTGTGGGAGGGAGGTTTTAGGTAGATGTTAACCTGAGTGGACAGTGAAAAAGTGAAACTAACATTGATCACCTGTGATGCGATCATCATTGCACTAGCACTTTTCCAAAAAAATTTTGCGAGGTAAGATTTTCCCATCCTTGTTATTCACATAAATAATCTGAGGAGAATAAGCTTGTCCAAGCTAACATATATTTTGTCTATAATATTTATGTTGCCTGGCAGAAAAAATATGATAAAAGACAGTTTAAGGTAGTGTAACTGGTAAGTTAAAGAGCTAAAATTAGAACCTATTTCTGTTTGACACCAGATTTTGAATCTGTCAATGAACTATGCTGCAATCCCTGATATCAGATTAATGACAATGTAAGTATTTATTAAGGTTTCATTTTTCCTCCACCCAAAAGAACTTGAAGTAAGTAGATTCTGAAAAGTGTGGTCAAGGTTGTAATGTTTGCATCCTCTATAATCCAAAAGGAATTGAAATTGTTATGACCCATCCAAAAGCTGTTTTACCCTAAATTAAACCACAAAGTTTATAAAATGATAAAGTCCCTTTAGAAAAGACTTTAACTTCATGGAAAAGCCATCTATTTAATCCTGGAGTCTACTGGCAGTTTCTTCAATGACCATTTCTGTAGCTCACAAAATTCAGGAATCTATTTTATTAACTCTATAATTGAAATTTCTAGCCTGAACTGGTTCTGTCACCTCAAAAGGATGCTACAAAACCAAATCTAGAGTAAATCACCTTTTCTCAGGTTTTAGCTACTTGAATCCAAAACTGTCAGACATATCAAATACATATCTTTAGATGGTTTCACACATATGATTATCTTCTAAACCTATTTTAAAGCATATTTTAATGCATAAGTACAAATATAATACTTACATGTCATATATAA
Organism: Homo sapiens; assembly: GCF_000001405.40. Taxonomy (NCBI): domain Eukaryota; kingdom Metazoa; phylum Chordata; class Mammalia; order Primates; family Hominidae; genus Homo; species Homo sapiens. The sequence continues at coordinate 23,929,528 of NC_000011.10, read as the reverse complement.
TATTAAATGTTTAAAAAGCAAGTACATGCTTTTGATGTTAAGTCATTTCATGTATTGACTACATTATAGCTGTATCCATAAAATTAATTTGCTGCTAAAACATGCATGGCTAATTTATTAAGGCTAAGTGTTTTTGTTTTTGTTTTTACTTTTTTTAAAATTAAAGTTGGTTGGGCATGGTGGCCCACAACTGTTACTTCAGCAATTTGAGAGGCCAAAGCGAGTGGATCATTTGAACCCAGAAGTTTGAGGCCAGCCTGGGTGACATGGCAAAACCCTGTCTCTATTAAAAAACACAAAAATTTAGCTGGATATTTTGGTACATGCCTGTAGACCCAGCTAATCAGGAGGCTGAGGTGGGAGAATCCACTTGAGCCAGGGAGGTGGAGGCTGCAGTGAGATGTGACCACACCACTGCAAACCAGCCTAGGCAATGGGAGTGAAACTCTGTCTAAAAATAAATAAATAAATAAAATTAAAGTTGGTATGATAGGCAAAATTTTGTAAATGGGCCCAGAAAAATATCCTATCTTAATCCCTGGTATCTGGGAATAAGATTTTTCTGGAGTGTTTGCATACGCCCGATGTAATCACACATACCCTTAAAAGCAGAGAACTTTTGAGTTAAATCCATTGAAGTAGAGAGTAGAATGGCGGTTACCAGGGGTGTGCGGGGAGGGAGAGGGGACTGGGGAGATGTTGGTAAAAGGAACCAAAAGTTCAGTTAGATAGAAGGAATGAATTCAATTAATCTATTGCACAATATGGTGACTATAGTTAATAACAATGTATTATATTCTTGAAAGCTTCTAAGAGTAGATTTTAAGTGTTCTCATCACCAAAAAAATAAGTATGTGAGGTTAATGCATGTGACTAAATAGCACATGCTTTTTTTTTTTTTTAGATGGAGTTTTGCTCTTGTCGCCTAGGCTGGAGTGCAATGGCGTGATCTCAGCTCACTGCAACCTCTGCCTCCCAGGTTCAAGAGATTCTCCTGCCTCAGCCTCCCGAGTAGCTTAGATTACAAGTATGTGCCACCACGTCTGGCTAATTTTTGTACTTTTAGTAGAGATGAGGTTTCACCATGTTAGCCAGACTGGTCTCGAACTCTTGAACTCCAGTGATCTGCCTGCCTCAGCCTCCCAAAGTGCTGAGATTACAAGCGTGAGCCACTGTGCCTGGCCCTTATCATTTTTTTGCGATGAGATTTACTCATTCCACAAGGTATACATCAAAACATGTTATACATGATAAATATATACAATTTTTATTTCTCAATTTAAAAAGTAAAAAATTAATTAATAAAAGCAGAGGATTTTGACTGGCAGCAAAAGGGAAAGTAAGAGAGATTTGAAGCTTGAGAGGGACTCAGGTTGTTGTAGCTTTGAAGATAAAGGGGGCTAAATGAGAAGGATTGAGGTTGTTCTTAAGGAGCTAGAGATACCCCCACCTGGAAGCCATCAAAGAAATAGAGACCTTAGTCCTACGACTGCAGGAACCAAATTCAGTCAACAACCACAATGAGCATGAAAGAGTACTCTTCACCATAGCCTCCAAATAAGACCCCAGCCTGGCTGACACCAAGATTTCAGCCTTCTTATATGAAGTGTAACACAATTAGAGCACACTCAGACTCCTGATCTATATAACTGTGATTTAATCAGGAGATTTATTTTAAGCCAATATGTTTTTAATACGTTTTTGTTCAGGAAAGCTAATACATTTGGCAGGTCTAAAATGCGTGTTTTGTAGCTGGTTGAAAAGTCATAGTTAAGGAATGATCTTCAACATCTTGTTGAGTTGTGGCAATGGTGGAAACCAACTTCAATTGTAAACTCAAGAAAAAATGTGAAGTTATTGAGGGGGCTAGGTCAATCAGTTCATGCAACATGCACCAGAGAGCAATTGTACATTATATATTTAAGCAAAGCAAAGCTTTTATAGTATGAACTTTGCATTATAAAGTTTATCATCTGCAAAGAAAATGGGGTGATTGAATTTAGAGCCTGAGTTTGTTTTGAGTCTTTTTTCTATCATTTTGCAGATTGGCAGTTCTTGAGAAAAAAAAAAAAATTCTTAGCTTCAATTTTATCAGATAAGGAAATATATCTATGGGAATGGTTATTATCAGCATTAGAATAATTTGTCAACCTTCACAATCAAGTAGATCACACGTCTCGTTAAGAGTACCAACATAACACATTCTAAAGATTTTTGGGATCTGAGAAAAACATTTTTTTGGAATTACCTTCTCTATTAAAATGTATTTGAGCTTAAGAATATGCCGATAATAACAATTTGGATCTCTTTGTTTTCCAGTAGCAATTTGAATAATGTGAAACTAAAGAAAATTATATATGTGAAAGTGTTTTGAAAACTGTAAATGTCTATAAATATGCATCACTGTTTACATTACTGTTACTATCATCATAACTTCTATTTTATGTGCATTCAACAGATTTTATAAGGCAGTACTCGACCTCCAGCAAAAAGTTGCCCCCATAACTATCTGGAGTGACACAGTCTCCATTGGAAGAGTATGATTTTATTTCACTTTTGACCTCATTTACCATTCACATGATACACACTCTGACCGCTGACTTCATAGTCTTTTTCCAGTTACAATACAGCACAATGGGCCTTACAGGTAGGTGCTCTGATGTAATGTATCCAGATAATTTCTTACTCTTTTCTGCCTTTTGCTGTTTCTGATAGACACAAAAGTAGTTTGCATTTCAAAATGTCTAGCAGTCTTTTACATGAAGTAACTAATTCTGTTTTTCCCCTTAACTGTGTACTTCTCTATCACCAAATAACTTATGCATTATTCCGTAGAGGTCTGTATAAGGAGCTTCTTCAAACAAAAAAGCTACACTTTTCAAAATGTTCTCTTTGATCGGTGAGCTGTCTTTGCTTTTACAATAAAGATTGCCGGGGCTGGGTTCTGTTAGGATCAGTTCCTTTCTAGGCATTTTAGCTCACCTTATGTGATTTCTGTTTGACTTTAGCCACCAGTTTTCTAGAGGCGACAGATTCCCAGGACTATAAATAACTTAAGGTCAATATAAATAAAAATAACAAATTCAGATAAATAACTTGATTATTTAGATAAAACTTTTACTTTATTGTACAATTTTTTTTGTGTTACTTTTATTTTTTAGGTTCAGGGTACCTGTGCAAGTTTGTCATATAGGTAAACTCCTGTCATGGGAGTTTGTTGTACAGATTATTTTATCACCCAAGTAGTAGGTCTAGTACTCAGTAGTTATTTTTTTTTCTAATTCTCTCCCTGCTCCTACCCTTGACCTTCAAATAGGCCTCAGTGTCTGTTGTTTCCCTCCTTGTGTTCATGTGATCTCATCATTTAGCTCCCACTTATAAGAGAGAACATGTGGTATTTGGGTTTTGGTTCCTGTGTTAGTTTGCTAACAATAATGGCCTCAATCTCCATTGGTGTTCCTATAAAGGACATGATCTCATTATTTTTTATGGCCGCATAGTGTTCTATGGTATATATGTACCACATTTTCTTTATCCCATCTGTGATTGGTAGGCATTTGGTTAATTCCATGTCTTTGCTATTGCGAATAATGCTGCAATAAACACACCTGTGTATGTGTATTTATGATAGAATGACTTACATTCCTCTGGGTATATACCCAGCAATAGCATTCCTGGGTCAAATGCTATTTCTGATTTAGCTCATTAAAGAATCACCACACTGCTTTCCACAATAATTGAACTAATTTATGCTCCCACCAATAGTGTATAAAAGTGTTCCTTTTTCTCCACAACCTTGCCATCATCTGTTATTTTTGACTTTTTAGTAATAGCCATTGTGACTGCTATGATATAGTATCTCATTGTGGTTTTGATTTGCATTTCTCTAATAATTAGTGATATTAACCTTTTATTTATATACTTGTTGTTTATTGCCTGATTTTGTTGGAGCTACTTGGTCTCCCTTTCTTCGTGTTCTCTTAGCCTTATAAAATGTTATAAGGTTTGTCATGCAAAATGCCAGAAACTCATGCATGACCACCACCAGTTTACTAAAAGTGTTTGAAAGAGCAATTACTCTATAGCCAGGCCATTTATAACCCCAACTAAAATATCCAAAAACATTAATTCAAGGACTTTGAGAACAGAGGGAGTTTGGGTGAATCTGAAGCAGGCTTCTACTGATCAGAAGGCAAAAATTCGATTCTTGATTTTGAATCTTGGCTCTGAATACAAGTTATTTTATCACTTTTACAAAAATGCCAACATTTTTAGACCTCTGCATCCTCACCTAGTAAACAAAAATAATCATGTGTATAATCAACTCATAGGGATAATGATTAGAAAATAAAGATTTGACCATTCTCTGCTGAGTGGAGGTGAAATTATAAAAGTGACACAATGCTTTGGTATCAATATATTAACTATAAATATATTAACTAATATTAATTATGTATTACATAGTATTTAATATAAATTTTGTTAAATAATTATAATTTATATAATGATTATAGTAAAATATGTATTTTAGATATAGGTGGATGGACATGAAAGTTTTGATCTCAAAGAACAGAGCCAGCATAAAAAACGGCTAATAGGAGAAGAGATAAAGCTAGAATGAGAAAGGTAATCACAAGGATGTGTTTAACAAAAAACCCTGTCACATGTTCTGGATTCCTCGCTGACTTAACTTTGTGTAAAAAGCTAATCTTCTCTTTCCACATTTCTGCACTTTTAGTCATTATTAACATATTATTACTTATCTAGACCTAATTTTCCTTATTTGTAAAATATAGGCAATTGGAATAGATCCTAGATGCTATAATATTTATAAGAAACTCTAATCTTACAAAATGTTTGGGAAGGCAAAGGATTCTTTGTTAAACAGTTTGGGAAACACTTATACTCCTGTATTGAAGCTATATAATTTATATTTACATTAACATACTAACAGAAGTGAGAAAAACTGAAGTAAAGAAACCTATCTGTGTTTGCTTAACCTAGCTCTTATGAAAGTGACGCTTTTAAGACTTTAAGCCCACTCCTAGCCTTTCCTCTTACTATTTTAGTGCAAAGTCAGCCAGCACCTGCTTTCCTTTGCCTGAGGGCTTTCCTTGTCCTTAGCCCCAGTGTTTTGCATGCTCATAAGTGGGCCAGAAGTGCAGAGGAATTAACCCCATTGCCAACCTCAGCATCCCTTTACAGGAGTTGCTGTGCTGGTATATTCAAGATCTTTCATATACTGAGGGGTGTGCATGACACCAGCTTCTAGAGATTCCCCAAGAAATAAGCTTCAATTACCCTCAGTGAAATTTGGGGCCATAATATATTCTTTAGACTGATATTTCTTGTCTATTCTTTCCGATTTTATCACAACCCCCCAAATAAGTGATTCCCACTCAAGGTTGGCTTGGGGTGGGGTGGGAGTAGAATCAAAGTTAAGACACATATTTGGAAACTAGTTGGATACAATATCTTAGTGCACCACATTCAATGATCCAAATATATTAAGAAACTATTTCTGACAGTTTCAGGGCACAAGACTCCAGTACCTGTCTTCTATGTGTCACTTAATAAATGTTTGCTGAATAAATTAATTTCTGCACAGGGCAATACCAATAACTTTTCTTGACAAAGGAAAAAGCATAAATTAAGAGGACACCACTTTTAACTTTCCATCTCTTCAGACACTTAATGGACATATAGGCTGTATCCTGGCTGTTTGTTCACTGTCTCCTTCATTGGCCAATATTGCTTGGCCTCTTAGTATCTCTGATCTCAATTGTCTCCAGGGATGCAGTGTCTCAATGCCCTTTCTTCCCTCTCCACATTTTCAGCTAGTAGAATATGTAAGAAGCTTTCAGTTCCTCTATGTCCTTGCAATTCATTTTCAACAATTGGAGGAAAAGGCTCTCATTAAATCCAATAATAATGCCACTCATTGAGAGTCTACCCTTTGCACCATGATGTGTGTGTACACACACACCCACACACGCAATCTCATTAAATCTTCAAGGAAGTCATAAGGAAATATTGTTAGCTCATTTGGCAGATTAAAAAAAAAATGGACTCAGAGATTTTAAGTAATTCTCCTCAAAGTCATATAACTATTTAGTGGCAGAGACAGGTTTCTAAATGAAGCATGGAGGACCCCAAAGTTCATCTCTTACTCTCAATACTATTTGCCTCCTGTAAGTTATTTAGCTCTTTTATTATTGTTTTTAAGTAGCATTCATTAGTGTGCCTTTAATAAAAAGTTCGTAAGAGCAAAAATGACTCACATTTATATTGTTCATATAGCTTCAATATACTTTTACTTTAAAAAAAACTCAGACTTATTGAAGCATAATTTAAAACGGCAAAACTGCTTCCTTTTAAATATATAGTTAAAAGAGCTTTGATAAGTGGTTTAAATTGTGATTAGAAAAAAGAAGAAGTGGGCCAGGAGCGGTGGCTTATGCCTGTAATCCCAGCACTTTGGGAGGCAGAGGCAGGTGGATCACCTGAAGTCAGGAGTTCAAGACCAGCCTGGCTAACATGGTGAAACCCCGTTTCTACTAAAAATACAAAAAATTAGCTGGAGGTGGTGGCATGTGCCTGTAATCCCAGTGACTTGGGAGGCTGAGGCAGGAGAATCGCTTGAACCCTGGAGGCGGAGGTTGCAGTGAGCCGAGATTGCACAACAACCTGGACAGCAAGAGCAAAACTCCGTCAAAAAAAAAAAAACAGAAGTGATTTCAAATATTAGGTCTATAATTTGTGACTATGGCAAAGTATCTAAAATATTCTAAGCCTAAATTTGTTCATCCTTAGAATGATGTAAATAATATATTTTATATTTGTCGCTAACCAAAGTTTCTTGCAATGGGAATTAGGATAACAAAGTATACTTCTGTAGACTGGGTGTGTGTGTGTGTGTGTGTGTGTGTGTGTGTGTGTGTGTGTGTGTCTGTGTGCCCAGAAAGAGTTAATCAAAATTTAATGTTTCCCATTGAAAAAAAATTTAGAAATGAGGAGAACCTTGCTGATTTGCTGACTGATTGCTAGAGTCAAGGTGACTTTTAATTGAAGTGCTTAATTTCATTAGTGAGCTGGGTAACGCTACATGTCCTCGAAAGTGAGGTGGGGCAGAGATCCTGAGTTTTCAGTGTCCATAGTTCTGCTTCATAGTACATCGACTTCCTTCCCTTTCCTGTGTCTTACTATATATAACTTTCTCTCCTCTGTTAGCTTATTCCTTATTGGAAAGAAGGGGCTTTGTGAAGCTTGGGGTCTTAACCACAGATATTATGAAAATATTATTTCCCTGGTCTATGGTAGCATTTCTCCACATCCCAACTCCTCTAAGCTTTACAAACCGTCTTAAAATACCACTAAAGACATTTTAAATTATCCTGAGGTTAAACATTTACTGCTAATGATAGTTATCAGTTATTGCTGTCTTGTTTTGTGTCATTAGGTAAACTACAGGACATGTTCTTTAGTACGATATGAGTTGGTTCCACATTCATATTTGAAAATAGATACACTTGTGTATCAGAAATTCAAATGAGAGAGAGGGAAAGACGGCAGAGTAGAAAGTTCCACTAATTGTCCCTCCACCACGAACATCAAGTTACCAACTGTCTACCCAGACAAAATACCTTCATAAGAACCAAAAATTAGGTGAACACTCTCACAGTATCTAGTTTTATCTTCCTATCACTAAAAAAGGCACTGAGGCCAGGCACCGGAGCTCACGCCTGTAATCCCAGCACTTTGGGAGGCCAAGGTGGGTGGATCACCTGAGGTCAGGAGTTTGAGACCAGCCTGGCCAAAGTGGTGAAACCCCATCTCCACTAAAAATACAAAAATTATCTGGGCATGGTGGCAGGCACCTATAATCCCAGCTACTCAGGAGGCTGAGGTGGAAGAATTGCTTGAATCCGGGAGGCGGAGGTTTCAGTGAGCTGAGACCATGCCATTGCACTCTAGCCTGGGCAACAAGAGAGAAACTCCGTCTCAAAAAAAAAAAAAAAAAAAAAAAAAAAAAAAAAAAAAAAAAACCAAGAAAAGGCACTGAAGAGACAGAAAAAGACATTGTGAATCCCCTGATGCCACCTTTCCCCCACCCCTGGCAGCTGTGGCTGGTGCAGAGAGCACCTCTGGGCACTAGGAGAGAGAGAATACAGCAACTATGAGGCATTGAACTCAGTGCTGTCCTGTTAGAGCCTAAAGGAAAACCGATCCAAACACAGCTAAAGCCTGCCTACAGAGGAAGCATTTAAACCAGCCCTAGCAAGAAGGGAATCACCAATTCCAGTGGTCCAAACTTGAATACTTGTAAACCTTGCCACCAAGGACTTTGTATCTCCAAGTAAACTTGAAAGACAGTCTAGGCCATAAGGATTGCAACTCATAAGCAAGTCCTAGTGCTGAACTAGGCCCGGAGACAATGGACTAGGGGGCATGTGACATACTGAGGCACCAGCTGGGGCAGCCAAGGGAGTGCTGGCATTACTCCTCCTGTAACCCCAGCCTGCACAGCTCACAGCTCCAAAAAAGAAACCTGTTGTTCCACTTGAGGAGAAAAGAGGAAATAGTGGGGAGGACTTTGTCTTGCATCTAGGATGCAAGATGCAGCAGGATAGGCACCAGTCAGAGTAACAAGGCACACATTCCAGGACGTAGCTCCCAGAATACATTTGTAGAAACAACTTGGGCCAGAAGGGAACCTGCTGTCTTGAAGGAAAGAACCTCACCTGGCAGCATTCATCACCTACTAACTGAAGAGCCCTTGGGCCTTTAATAAGCAGCAGAGATACCCAGGTCCTACATGGAGGGCCTTGGATGAGCCTCTGATATTTGCTGGCTTCAGGTACCAGCATGACCACAGGGGAATAGAGAATCAAGAGGGTTCTTGGCATCTCTAATTCCAGGACTTGCCTCTTCAGTGGCATTTCTGTACCTGGCCTGGGCCAGAGGGGAGCCCACTCCCTTGAAGGGTAAGTCCCAAGCCAGGAAGCATTCACCACAAGCTGACTTGGGAGAACTTGGGCTTTAAAGGAATGTCTGTGGTAGTCTGGCAGTGCTCCTTGTGATTTGGGGTGGTGGTAGCTGTAGGGTGAGGCTAGTCTGCCTTTGGAAAGGGGAAGGAAGAGTTGGAAGAGCTGTATCATATGCTTGGAGTGCCAGCTCAGCCACAATAGAACAGAATACCAGGTAGACTTCTAAGGTTTTACTGACTCCTGGAAGGCACTTTTGGACCCACTCAGGGACTGGGGACCTTGCTGCCCTGAAGGAAGAAACACAGGGCTGGTTATCCACCTACTGATTGTAGAGCCCCTGGGCCTTGAATGATCATAGGCAGTATCCAGTAAGTGGTTATAGCAGGCCTTGAGTGGGACCCGGTGCTGGGCTGGCTTCAGGTTTCACCCAATACAGTCATTGGTGGTGGGCACAGGAATGCTTGCATCACTCCATCCCTAGGTTTAGGTGTCTTAGAACAGAGAGAGATAGTTCATTAGTTTCAGAGAAAGTAAAGAAAGAGAACAGACGTATCTGTGTGGTAATCCAGAGAATTCTTCTAGATCTTGTACAAGACCTTCAAGGTGGTACCTCTATGAGTCTCCAGGAACTACAGTGTTACTGGGGTTGGGGAGCCCCCTGAAGCAGATACAGCTTAGATCACAAAAGCCAAGTTATTTCAACTATCTGGAAAGCCTTCCCAAGAAGGATTACTGCAAATAAGACCAGAGAATGAAGACTACAATGAATACCTAAGTCTTTAATGCCCAGACACCAAAGAACATCTGCTAGCATCAACACTGTCCAGGAAAAAGTGACTTTACCAAATGAACTAAATAAGGCACCAGGGACCAGTCCTGGAGAAAGAGAGGTATGTGACCTTTAGACAGATAATTTAAAAGAGCAGTGTTGCGAAAACTCAAAGAAATTCAGGATAACACAGAGAAGGAATTCGGAAATGTATCAGATAAATTTAACAAAGAAATGAAAATAATTTTAAAAAATCAAGCAGAAATTCTGCAGCTGAAAAATTTAATTTGCATACTGAAGAATGCATCAGAGTTATTTAATAGCAGAATATATCCAGCAGAAGAAACAATTAGTAAGTTTAAAGGCAGGATATTTGAAAATACACAGTAAGAGGAGACAACTGTCAAAATAATAAAAAACAATGAACCGTGCCTACAGAATCTATAAAATAGCCTCTAAAGGGTAAATCTAAGAGTTATTGGCCTCAAGAAGGAGATAGAGAAAGAGATAAGAGCAGAAAGTTTATTCATAGGGATAAAAACCGAGAACCTTCCAAACCTAGAGAAATACATCATTATCCAAGTATAAGACGGTTATAAAATACCAAGCAAATATAACCCATAGATGACTATCTGAAGACTTTTAGTAATAAAACTCCCAAAGGTCAAAAATAAAGAAAGGATCCTGAAAGCAGCCAGAGAAAAGAAACAAATAACCTACATGGAGCTCCAATATATCTGGCAGCAGACTTTTCAATGGAAATCTTAAAGACCAGGAGAGAGTGGTATGATATATTAAAGTGCTAAAGGAAAAAAACTTTTACCCTAAAATAGTATATCTGATGGAAATTTCTTTAAACCTGAAGGATAAATAAACACTTTTCAAAACAAACAAAAGATAAGAGATTTCACGAATACCAGACCTGTCCTACAAAAAAATGCTAAAGGGAGTACTTCAGTCAGAAAGAAGAGGACATCAATGAGCAATAAATAATCACCTGAAGGTACGAAACTCACTGGTAATAGTAAGTATACAGAAAAACACAGAATATTATAATGCTGTAACTATGATGTATAAACTACTTTTATCCTAAGTATAAAGACTAAATGACGAATGAATAAAAAATAATAACTGCAACAACTTTTTAAGATATAGTTCAGTAAGATATAAATAGCAACAACAGAAAGTTAAAAAGCTGGGGGATAAAGCTAAGGTGTAGAGTTTTTATTAGTTTTCTTTTTGCTCAATTGTCTGTTTATGAAAATAGTGTTAAATTGTTATCAGGTTAAAATCATGGGTTATAAGATAGTATTTGCAAGCTTCATGGTAACCTCAAACCAAAAATCATGCAACAGATACACAATAAATAACAAGCAGGAAACTAAATCATATCACTAGAGAAAATTTCCTTCACTAGAGGAAGACAGGAAGAAAAGAAAGAAGGAAGAGAAGACCACAAGACAACAAGGAAAAAATAATAAATGGCAGGAATAAGTCCTTGTTAATAATAACATTGAATGTAAGTGGACTAAACTCTTCAATCAAAAGACAGACTGGGCTGAATGGATGAAAAGGCAGGACTCATTGATCTGTTGCATATAAGCAACATAGTTCACCTATAAAGACACATACAGACTGAAAAATATGGAATGGAAATAGATATTCCATGCCAATGGAAACCAAAAAAGAGCAGAAGACACTATACTTATATCACACAAAATAGTTTTCAAGTCAAAAACTATAAGCAGAGACAAAGCTCACTATATAATGGTAAAGGGGCCAATTCAGCAAGATAATATAACACTTTTAAATATATATGAACTCAACACTGAAGCACCTAGATCGGTAAAGAAAATTATTAACACTAAGGAGAGAGTTAGGCCACAATACAGTAATAGCTGGAGATCTCAACACCACACTTTGAGCATTGGACAGATCTTTCAGACAGAAAATCAGCAAAGAAACATCAGACTTCATCTGCACTATATACAAAATTGATGTAACAGATATTTACAGAAAATCTCATACAATATCTGGAGAATACATGTTTCTTTCCTGATCACATTCTTAAAGATGGACCATATATTGGGTCACAAAACAGTTTTTAAACATTTTAAAAAATTGAAATAATATCAAACATCTTCTTTGAACACAATGGAATAAAACTAGAAATCAACAACAAAAGGAATTTTGGAAACTATACAAATAGCATGGAAATTAAACAATATGCCCCTGAATGACCAGGTTTGGGTGGGGGGTCAATGAAGAAATTAAGAAATAAATGAAAAACTTAGTGAAACAAATGATGAGGGAAACACAAAATACCCAAACCTATGTGATAGGGCACAAGCAGCGCTAATAGGGAAGTTTATAGCTATAAGTGCCTAGGTCAATAAAGGAGGAAAACTTCAAATAAACAGCCTAAAGATGCATCTTAATGAAATAGAAAAGCTAGAGAAAACAAGACCCAAAATTAGTGAGAGAAAAAATTTAATAAAAATCATAGCAGAAATAAATAAAACTGAAATGAAAAAATAGAGAAGATCAATGAAAAAAAGTGTTTTTCTTTTTTGAAAAGTTAAACAAATTTCACAAACCTTTGGCCAAACTAAGAAAAACAGAGAGAAGAACCAAATAAATAAAATCAGAAATGAAAAAGTCATTGCAACTGATACTCCAGAAATTAAAGGATCATTAGGGGCTACAATGAGCAGGTATATACTCATAAATTGGATAATCTAGAAGAAACTGATGAATTTCTAAATACATACAACCTACCAGATTGAACCAAGCATAAAGTCAGAACCTGAACAGACCAGTAAGAAGTAACCAGATTGAAGCCATAATAAGTCTCTCAGTAAAGAAAGCCTGGGACCTGATGGCTTCACTTCTGAATTACATGAAATATTTAAAGAAGAACTAATGCCAATCCTGCGCAAACTACTTCAAAAAATAGAGGAGAAGGGAATACTTCCAAACTCATTCTGTGAGGCCATATTATCCTGATACCAAAATGAGATAAAGACATACCAAAAAAAAGAAAGCTACAGGCCAATATCTCTGATAAATATTAAATAAAAATCCTCAACAAAATACTAGCAAATAAAATTCAACAATGCATTAAAGAACACTCATCATGACCAAGTGAAATATATCCTGGGGATGCAAGGAAGGTTTAACATATGCAAATCAATTAATGTGATTGTATTCATCTGTTCTTGAGCTGCTAATAAAGACATACCCAAAACTGGGTAACTAATAAAGGAAAGAGGTTTAATTGGCTCAGAGTTTCAGATAGCTGAGGAGGCCTCACAATCATGGCAGAAGACAAATGAGGAGCAGAGTCACATCTTACATGGTGGCAGGTAGAAGAGCTTGTGCAGGAAAACTCCCATTTATAAAACCACCAGATCTTGTGAGACTTATTCAGTACCATGAGAACAGTATGGGAGAAACTGCCCCCATGATTCATCTCCACATGGCCCCACCCTTGACACATGGGGATTCTAACAATTCAAAGTGAGATTTGGGTGGGACACAACCAAACTGTTTCAGTAATACATTGTATCAAAAGAATAAAGAATAAAAACCATATGATAATTTCAATTGATGCTAAAAAGAATTTGATGCATTTCAACATCCCTTCACGATAAAAACCCTAAAAAAAAACTAGGGATAGAAAAAACATACCTCAATATAATAAAAAAAATGACAGACCTACAGCAAGAATCGTACTGAATAGGAAAACATCTGAAAGCCTTTGCTCTAAGATCTAGAACACGCAAGAATGCCTACTTTTACCAGTTATTCGACATAGTACTGTAAGTACTAACTTGAGAAATCAGATAAGAGAAAGATATAAAGGGCCTTCAAATTGGAAAGGAAGAAGACAAATTACCTTTGTTCGCAGATAATATGATCTTATATTTGGAAAAACCTTAGTAGTCCCACAAGAAAACTATTCAAAATGATAAACAAATTCATTAAAGTTGCAAGATACATAATCAACATTCAAAAATCTGGAGCATTTCTCCAGTGAACAATGTGAAAAAGAAATTCAAAAAGTATTCCCATTTATAATAACTACACATACAATTAAATACCTAGGAATATGAAAGATCTCTGTAATGAAAATTTTAAACACTGACGGAAAGAAATTAAAAACACCAAAAATATGAAAAAAAACTACTTCGTGTTCATCAATTGGAAGGATCAATAATGTTAAAATGTCCATACTACCCAAAGCAATCTACAGATTCAATGCAATTCCTATTATAATACCAATGACATTCTTCACAGAAATAAGAAAAAGAAAATTAAAATTTAAATGGAACCACAAAAGACCCAGAAAAGTCAAGGTATCCTGAACAAAAAGAACAAAACTGGAGGAATTACATACTCTGAGTTGAAAATATACTACAGAGCTATCATCACCGAAACAGCATGTTAGTGGCATAAAAACTGACACATAGATAAATGAAACAGTATGGAGAACCTAGAGACAAATCCACACACCCACAGTTAACTTATTTTTGACAAAGTTACCAAGAATGTACACTGGGGAAAAGACAGTCTCTTCAATAAATGGTGCTGGGAAAACTGGATATCTATATGTAGAAGAATAAAACTAGATCTCTATCTCTTGCCATATACAAAAATCAAATAAAAATGAATTAAACACTAAAATCTAAGACCTCAAACTATGAAATCACTACAAAAAAATTAAGTAAAATTTCCAGGACATTAATCTGGGCAAAAATTTTGTGATCAATACCCTGCAAGCACAGGCAACAACAGAAAAAAAGGGGATCACATAAAGTTAAAAAGTTTCTGCACAGCAAAGGATACAATCAACAAAGTGAAGAGGTAGTCCACAGAATGAGAAAAAAATATTTGCAAACAACCCATCTGACAAGGGATTAATAGCCAGAATATATATGGAGCTCTAACAACTCTATAGGAAAAATACTAATAATTTAATTAAAAAGTGGGTGAAAGATTTGCATAGACATTTCCCAAAAAAAGACATGCAAATGAAAATCAGGCATATGAAAAGGTGTTCAACATTACTGATCATCAAAGAAATGCGAATAGAGACTATAATATCATCTCACCCCAGTTAAAATGGCTTATATCCAAAAGACAGGCAATAACAAATGCTGGCAAGTATGTAAAGAAAAAGGAAACTTCTACACTGCTGGTGTGAATGGAAACTAGTATGATCACTGTGGACAACAATTTGGAGGTTCCTAAAAAAAAAATAAAAAAATTATGCTACCATATGATCCACAATTTCACTGCTAGATATATTTCCAAAGAGAGGAAATCAGTGGATGGAAGAGATATCTGCATTTCTTTGTTTGTTGCAGCATTGTTTACAATAGCTAAGAAACCTAATTGTCCATTAACAGATGAATGGATAAAGAAAATGTGCTACCTAAACACAGTGGAGTACTACTGAGCCATAAAAAAGAATGAGATGCAGTCATTTGTAACAACATGGATGGAACTGGTGATCATTATTTTAAGTAAAATAAGTCAGGCACAGAAAGAGAAACATCATATGTTCTCACTTATTTGTGGTGATATGGTTTGTCCCCACCCATAACTCATTTGAATTGTAATTCCCACAATTCCCACTTGTCCTGAGATGGAACAGATGGGAGGTAATTGAATCCTGGAGGCAGGTCTTTCTCATTCTCTTCTCGTGATAGTGAAAAAGTCTAATGAGATCTGATGGTTTTATAAGGGTGAGTTTTCCTGAACAAGTTTTCTCTCTTGTGCTGCCATATAAGACATGGCTTTCGCCTTCCACCATGATTGTGAAGCCTCCCCAGCCACATGGAAGTATGAGTCTATTAAACCTCTTTTTAAAAATAAATTACCCAGTCTCAGGTATGTCTTTACCAGCAGAGTGAAAACAAACTAATGGGATCTGAAACATGTGGGATCTGAAAATCAAAACAATTGAATTCATGGACATAGAGAGTAGAAGGATGGTTTCCAGAGGCTGGGAGGGGTAGTAGCAGACTAAATGGGGAGGTAAGGTTGTTTAATAGGTACAAAAAAGTACAAAGAATGAGTAAGCCCTACTATTGATAGTACAGTACGGTGACTACAGTCAATAATAACTTAGTTGTACATTTTAAAATAACATTTTAAAATGAAAGTGTAGTTGGATTGTTTGTAACTCCGAGGGTAAATGCTTGAGAGGATGGATACCTCATTCTCTATGATGTCATTATTTCACATTGTGTGCCTCTATTAAAATATCTGATGTACCTCATAAATATACATACCTACTATGTACCCACAAAAATTAAAAAGTAAAAAACAAATAAGAAAAAAAATAAATTCAAGCTCAATTAGTTGTCTTATATTCTTATTTGTTAAATCTAGCAACCCCAGGCATATTATGTTCCAGAAACTGTGTCAGTCATTGCAAATGTGATATTTCTTTTGATCTTCACAATGATACTGTGATGTAAATGCAGTTACTACTCTTATTTTGTAAATAAGGCTTAGAGATATTAAGTAAAAAGGTCAGAGTTATACAGTTATTTAGAACATATTGGGTGACACAATTCCACTTCATAAAGGAAGACTGGAAAGTGCTTTTTTGGATGTTTTTTATAATTATTGATTATAATAGATTCTCAAACTTTCTTTAACTTTTATTTTTAGGTACATGAGAAGGTGTTTCATGGACAAAAAAAGTCTTGGTTTTATTGTTATATAAAACTTAAATTTCACTTTATAGATTTTAAAAATATGCTTACATTTTTAACATTATTTTGAAACAAATTTTGACATAACTAATTGCAAAAATTGTACAAAGAATTATTGTAAGACTCCTCACCCAGCTTCACCCAATGGTACAATTTTACTTTCTAGTTTTATAATTCTACTGTAGTTATTAAAACTAGAAAATTAGTATTAATACAAAGTAATGAAGTTTTGCCAATTATATCACGTATGTAATTGTTTATTATTTAGAATTCAATGTGGAATCACACATTATTTAAATTGTTATGTCTCTAACTTAGTACAATTTGGGACAGCTCAGATTTTCATTGGGTTTCATGACCTTGACACATTTGTAGAATAGTAACAGTTATTTTAAATAATTTATATAGAATAAAATAAATATCTGTATCTTTCTACATATACATGTATATGAACCTATTCTGTTATAAATAAGTAACTGGAAAATGCTCTGTTTAAAAGCATAATACCAATAAACAAATAGAGAAGAATAATGGAAATAGATATTCAGCATGTGGCAAAATCTATATTAATAATTATTTCAGTTTGATAAACATCACTGGATGCTAAAATTACTGAGTGAAAGTACAAGAAGAAATAGAATAAAGTTCCAAATTATTTACCCATAGGTATACATGATCTTTTTTTTTATTTTTGAGATGGAGTCTTGTTCTGTCACTCAGGGTAGAGGGCAGTGGTGCTATCCTGGCTCACTTCAACCTCCACCTCCTGTGTTCAAGTGATTCTCCTGCCTCAGCCTCCTGAGTAGCTGGGATTACAGTTGTGCACAAGCACATCCAGCTAATTTTCATATTTTTAGTAGAGACAAGGTTTCACCATTTTGGCCAGGCTGGTCTCGAACTCCTGACCTCGTGATCCTCCTGCCTCGGCACCCAAAAGTGCTGGGATTACAGGTGTGAGCCACCACACCTAGCCGGCATACACCATCTTAACCAAGTGATCAATAAATTAAACATTTTAAAAAATGTAACTGAGTAGTTGTATCTTATTTCAAATATATATAAATATATATATACGCATACATATGCTTAGTTTCTTGTGGCCTTTGGACTGGTTTAGCAACTTAATGCTTCTCATTTATTAATGAATTAACTAAAATTATTTTATATTTGAATGAGAGCCATCATTTTACCTTTTATAAATTATCTGTCAATAGCTTATATTAATCTTTTTATTTTCCCTCAGATTATTATTTGAGATTATTATTTGCATATTATTTCCCTAAGTCCTGATATGTTGTGTCTGTTTAATATCAATTTTTCTTATTTAAACCTTAATTTTAATGAAAATATATTGCAATCTCAAAACTGTGATTATTTCATGTTGAAATGAGAAGACCATACTCAAATACTTAAAGCATTAAAATATAGCCAGATCATTTCATACATGTAAGCATTTTGAAACCAGTACCCTAAATAGAATTTTGGCAGTTATTAACCCCACTGAGAAAAATAAATACTTCTGGAAAACAGTTATAAAATAATTCTCGGAATGACAATATTTAGTTTCTCACTTTGAATGAAGAATGAGAAAGCATGGTGATATTTTATTGTTAATGACAGTCAAATGTTACAGCTGATTCTTACCCTTAGACAACTTAGGTTTCACTTAGAACAAGTGAAGTCATAAAAATCATCCAAGATAGTGAAATACACCAAGCACACTGTATTGTCTTTAAATACTGGCCACACCTGAGAGCACATTTGCTTTAAAAGCCTATAAAATTACTTGATTAGAGGTTTTAATGGATTTGCCACTTTACTAATTTCCTTAGGGCAGAAAAAGTACAAATCTCAGGAAAGAATATTTGCAAGTAGAATTAAATCAACAAATTTTCCACCTTTAAAAACAGTCTTTTTCTATTTTTTACAATATATATCTACTACCACGTTTAGGTTTCATAATTTTCATCTACAAAATACTAAATATTGTGGATATTTAAAATATTTTTGACATAAAGCGTATGTGATTTTTTTCTTTCAATAGTCAAAGGCACATAGATCAAATAACAATAAAGACAAGCTCTAAGAAATGATACAGGAAGATTTTTAATAAATTTA
The DNA here is from genome assembly GCF_000001405.40 of Homo sapiens. Classification (NCBI taxonomy): domain Eukaryota; kingdom Metazoa; phylum Chordata; class Mammalia; order Primates; family Hominidae; genus Homo; species Homo sapiens. The sequence goes on along the minus strand of NC_000011.10, from coordinate 23,910,926 downwards.
ACATAAGTAGAATGAAGTGTTCCTGTTTAAATTTTAAAGTCCAGATAATTATCTTGTAGCCAATAAAGAAATGTTCTTTTTTATTGAAAAATTCACTACTTATTAGGCAAGAAATAAGAATTATTCTAATACATATATGTATATGTGGTATGCATGCTTATCATGCATCATACAGGTACTTACACACACGGTAAAAAATCTGCAGTGAGAAATGATGCTGCTCTTAAAATCAGTCCTTAGCATCTCAAGGTCTTAGAATAATGTGTGAGTCCTATTTTCTGTCTTTTCATTTTCATACATTTCTGCACAATTATTTCTGTCATCAGCAGTTTGCAACATGTGTATATCTTTATTTCATTTCTTTCTGTGTAGCATTTTGTTGTATGTCTGTGCCAGTGTTTTTTATCCATTCTCTCCTTGATGAGCATTGAGCTGTTTTCATTTTGGAGTACTTTTTGATAAAGTTGTTATGAACATTAATATGTAAGCCTTTTGTGTACATATACAATTTCTCAAATGTTTACTTTGCAGTAGTAATACTTGGTTATTGGATATTTGTAAATTTAGTTTTATTAAAAACTACCAAAGAATTGTCCAAAGCATGCACCATTTTGCACTCCCACTTACAATGTATAAAACCTCCAGTAGCCTAATATCTTCCTTAACTCTTAGATTTATAAGATTTATACTTTAGCCATTTTGGGAAATGTGTAACAATACTCCTTGTGATTTTAATTTGCATGTTCCTGATGGCTAGAGGTGACTGGCACATTTTCATATGCTTCATAGCTATTTGTACCTGCGGAAGTTTTTTGTTTATTCTTTTATCATGTTGTCTTTTTCTTACTGTCTCATAGAAAATATCCATAAATGAAGGATACGAGTCCTTCATCAGATATATTTATTAAAAATATTTTCTTCTGATTATAGCTTTCACTTGCTTAATGATATCATATGATAAGTAGAAGTTTTAAATTTATATACAAGTATAATATAAAATACAATATATAGAGACATATAGGGACCTTAGACACTCATGAATTATGAATGTACATATATAGTATATGCTATTAACTTGTGTTCTGTTTAAGAACAATTTTTCTACACTAAGTAATAAGGACAACTTCTAATGTTTTATTCTAGAATATCAATACTTTAGACTTTCTCACGGACATCTCTGTTCAATTTTGACGTTTTTCTGGCATAATATAAGGGTTGAGTTTGCTCCATCTGCCTAGTCATTTGTGGCAGCAGAGTTTATTTTCTTCTTCGTAATCAATGAAATTTTTTTTTAAAACATTAAAGATATAAAGTAACTACATATTTAATATATAGTTAAGTTAAATGTGATATTAATAGTCATATTAAATATATAGTCACTTTATTTTAAAAATATTTAATATTTCCTTAATAAACATTTTAAATAAATATGTGTCACTATATATAGTGATTATATCTATTTATATATGTATGAAGTGACAATAAAGTATATATATGTATATATAAAATATATATATTTATGTCTCCATCTCTATTATCTATTCTGTTCCATTGATTCATGACTATACTTACGCTAACACTTCATTGTGAAAATAAAGATAGCTTTTTTGTATGTTTTAAAAAATACATGTTTAAGTGCTCCAAGTTTATTATTTATTTTAAGATTATATTTCAATGTCTTAGTAGAACCTGATTGTTAATGTATCTAAGAGTCTTTTTAAAATATTGCTTAGGATTGTGTTGAATCTCTATACCAAATTGGAGAAAATTTTTTCACTCAACAATAGAAACCAAGTTCCACCTTTAATACTTTGCTTAGAAATTTATTCAACTGGAAGTCCTAGCCAGAAAAATCAAGCAAGAGAAAGAAATAAAAAGCATCTGAATAGGAAAAGAAAAAGTGAAACTATCTGTCCTCACTGATGATATTATTCTATACCTAGAAGATCATCAAAGATTATGCCAAAAGGCTCCTATAACTGATAAACAACTTCAGTAAAGTTTCAGGATACAAAATCAATGCACAAAAATCAGTAGCATTTCTATACATGAATAACGTCAAACTGAGAGCCAAATAAGGAACACAACCCCCTTTACAATAACCACAAAAAGAATGAAATACCTGAGAATACATGTAACCAAAAAGGTGAAAGAACTCTACAAGGAGAACTACTCTGCTCAAAGAAATTACAGATGCTGAAAACAAATAGAAAAATATTCCATGCTCATGGAATGGAAGAACCAGTATTGTTAAAATGGCCATACTTCCCGAAGCAATCTACAGATTCAAGGCTATTCCTATCAAACTACCAATGTTATGTTTCACAGAAGTAGAAAAAAAACTATTCTAAAATTCATATGGAACCAAAAAAGAGCTCCTATAGCCAAAGCAATCCTAAGTAAAAAGAACAAATCTGGAAGCATCATATTACCTGACTTCAAACTCTAAGCCTACAGTAACCACAACAGCATAGTACTGGTCCAAAAACAGACACATACACCAATGGAACAGAATAGAGAACCAAGAAATAGTCACACACCTACAACAATCTGATCTTCAACAAAATTGACAAAAATAAGCAATGGGGAAAGGATTCCCAATTCAATACAGTACCTGATGCATAGCTGGCTAACTATTTGCTACCCTTCATCACAGAAGAAAATCAACTCAAGATGAAAAAAATATTTAAATGTAAGATTTTGGACTATAAGAATCTTGGAAGAAAACCTAGGAAACAACATTCTGGACATTGGCCTTGGGAAAGAAATTATGAATAAGTCCTCAAAAGCAATTGCAACTAAAACCAAAATTGACAATGCAAACCTAATGAAACTGAAGAGATTCTGCACAGCAAAACAAAACATTAACAGTGTAAACAGACAACTTACAGAGAGGGAAAAATACTTGCAAACTATGCATCCAACAAAGATATAATATCCAGAATCTATAAGGATTTAAACAATTGAAAAAGTAAAAAACAAATAACCTCATTAAAAAGTGGGCAAAAAACATGAACAAACACTTCTCTAAAGAAGACATACAAGCAACCAACAAACATATCAAAGAATGCTCAATATTACTAATCCTCAGAGAAATGCAGATCGATACCATAATGGGATACCATCACATACCAGTCAGAATGGCTATTTTTTAAACCTGTATTTTAGTTTCAGAAGTACATATGCAGGTTTGTTATATAGGTAAATTGCACATCGTGGGGGTATTGTGTACAAGTTTTTTCTCATCCAGGTAATAAGCATAGTACACAATAGTTAGTTTTTCAATCCTCAACCTCCTCCCACCCTCTGCCCTCAAGTAGGCCATGGTGTGTATTGTCCCTTTGTTGTGTCCATGTCTGATCAATGTTCTGCTCCCACATATAACTGAGAACATGTGGATTTGCTTTCCTGTTCTTCCCTTAGTTTGTTTCGACTAATGGCCTCCAGCTGCATTCATACTGCTGCAAAGGACATGATCTCATTTTTATGGCTGTATAGTATTTTATGTTGTATGTGTACTGCATTTTCTTTGTCCATTCCACCATTGATGGACGTCTAGGTTGATTCCATGTCTTTGCTATTGTGAATGGTGCTGCAGTGAATATTCACGTACATTTGTCTTTATGGTAGAATGATTTGCATTCCTTTGGTTATATATACTCAATAATGGGATTGCTGGGTAGAATGGTAGTTCTGTTTCAAGTTCTTTGAGGAATTGCCAAACTGTCTTTCACAAAGGCTGAACTAATTTATGGATTTCCCAGCTGATCTGACAACCTACTATTTTCTAACATGTGCAACCAGTAAAAAGTAAATTTTCAATTTTGCCACCTGTCAGGCCCAAAGTTACAGGTATTCAAATATCACCCAATGACACTTCCATCTTTAGTTGGAGTGGATTGCTTTCTAGCTTATCTTTACTTTGGGTGAAACTACAGTTCTATTAATTTAAAAAAAAATAATGTTTTGTCTGAACTTCATAATTTGTATCTATGTGAGGCTTATCCTGACCAAATTACTCAACAATTACTGGAAGCTGAATTCTCATTGCTCAAATTTTTGTAACCCTACACGTATTCCCTTGCAGTCAATATAATTTTCTTTGCCTATGGCTAGGTGGAAACTTAACTACAGTCTATGTAACTAAGGTATTTAAAGAAAAATACAGTAGAAATTGAGGAAGCCAAACTGTATTCAAAAATTTTACAAGAATCTGTTAATTATACATATAAACAACTAATGATTTTTCTGTTTTCCAAATTCTTCTTAAGACTACAAAATATCCACTAATTATTTTTATATGGCTCCAAAAACCCATAATTGTTGTCTCCCTTTTTAATTTTAACTATTTACCCATGATTTCCTTTTCTCTATAATTATGGTACATTTTGGACTTTATCACAGAAAAAAAATTTTGCAATGTCAAATTAATCACTTTAGTAAGCAGGTCTGGGTATTGGGGGTGGAATAAAAATAAAGGATAAGACAAAAGACTTTTATATTCTGTTTTCTGGAAGCTCTCAAACATTACTTTTGGTTGCTACCTTGTGTTTTTCTATAGAGTACTAAAAAGATTGTCGAGGAGGTCTCATTTAGTGAAAAATTGAGGCTCACTATACTTTTAGCTCAAAGGATCATTATATGTCTGCACTTACTCTCAGAAACAGGAATTTGCAAAAATAAATAAATGACTAAATAAAGTGAAAGCAAGTGTAGTTATAAAAACACATACATGAATTTATGACATGTACTTATTACCTCTAGTGCCAAGTGGGTCAAACTGAATGAGCTGATCCTCAGACTTTATAGACTCAATGGGGCAGTGGAGGTGGGACTTCTCTGTAAATATCAAAGTCTCCTTTTATAAGAGAATATAAAAATACTATTTCTGGTCTCCCTTTGACATTTCCTATGTTCTCTGTAGGCATGGTAATGGCAGCTCCTAGCTTAGTGCTGACAAATACAAGGGAAAATAAATGGTAACCCAATGTAAACCCAAACATCACAAAAATTGTGATCCAAAAAATCAAAGGTGAGCAGGTGTTTGGTCTTTTTATATCTATTACTTATGATCAATATGTTAAGTCCACAAAAATCTAGAATCTATGTTTTAAAAAATGGTCTATAAAATAGGATATTACAAAAGAGTATTAAAATGTAAGTTATGCCTTGATCATTGTTTATGTAATCTGAAGAAGTCAACATTAACAGACAATAAATTAAGCATAAAATGTCGCTGATCCTTTTCTGTGGTAGACAGTCTCTAAATGACTTCTAGCAATCCCTGCTTTCTAGTATCCATTCCCTCATGCATATAATCTCCTCACTTTGAGTAGGGGCAGGACTAGTGACTTCTAACCAATAGAGGTAATAAGCTTTTACTTCTGAGATTAGGTTACAAAAAGACCCTGTTTTTTGTGTGTACATCTTTCTCTTTTTCTTAGAGTCCTCACTCTGGAGGGTAGTAATCTAACATACTATTAGCTACTCTATGGAGAGTCTCATGTGGCAAAAAATTGAGGTCTCCGGGCAACAGCCAGTTAGGACCTATGGCCTGACAATACATGAGTGTACTTGTAAGCCAATCTTTTATTGGTCAAAACTCGACGTGACTGTAGCCCTAACTGACCCTTTTCATCCTTGCGAGTAATGCTGAGCCAGAATTATAACAAAACCAATCCCAGAATCCTGACTCAGAAACTGTTAGATAATAAATATTGTTTTAAACTACCATGTTTTAGGAGATTTGAAATGAATGCCACAATAGATAGCAAAAATGCTGCTTTATTAAGCATCGCCTAGATTTCCTTAGTTGAACACAATAACTACATTAATGATCAAGATAACCTCCTTTCTGTTATATTGCCAGCTGAAAACTAAGATTGTGTAGAAGGGTTTTCAGGTGGAGGAGCTGCAACAGATAAGGTTAGTGATAATAGCAAAAAAGCAAACATTCATTCATTTAAAAAATACTAAGCATCTATCATTTTCCAAAAATTATGAAGAGCTCTCTAAAAGCATGACACTTGCTATCATGAATATTTCAGACTAATAATGAGCAGAGACAATTATAGTATAGTGTTATGAATGGGGTGCAAGAGAAAACTTCCTATAATGAATGGTTGATGAGTTTCAAGGTTATAATCAAGAAACAGCTAATGAAAGTTCTTCTCCAATTTGACGACAGTAAGTTGATATATAACATGAAGAAAGAAAGAATAGAGAATTAGGTAAGAAAGCAAGTTCCTAAACATGGGATTAACAAGAAAATGCATAGAAATCATTTGATCTTAGTAAATAAATCAGTAAATAATTCAATATATCTATAGATTTTTGTAACGGAGATAAAGGATAATTCTAACGAACCTACTTTGGAGGGTTACAGGAAGGCTCAAGGAGATCACAGATGTTTAGATGCACTTAGCAAAAAAGCAGATTACACAAATATTTATTATATTACTAATAATTTACTAAAGCCAAGACACTCTAAAAGAAACCACAATATGAAAGTCAGAAACTATCCTTAAGAAACTTATTCAAATGAAATGCAGAAATAAAAAAGTGGTTAGCAAGAATAACCACTACAGTGAGCCAATACATAGTTGATCAACATTTTCTCATCAATGCTCAAGAAAGTTGGGGGCACACTTCTGGAAAATGATCCTGGATCATTTTATGATCCAGATTGATGTAACTCACTTGAAATTAACACAATGCATATTGAGTACCCTGGAAAAACACCAACTCCAGGCACTGCGGATACAGTAATTATCAAGTTATATAAGACCCGTGACTTCAGGGAGATTACTAGATTACTTTAAAAACACTATTTATTTTGGTTTATGGACTTATTAAAATCTAGATTTGAAATCTGGGGTTATCAATTATTTGGCACATGACTTTGGCCAGTTCAGTTGAACAATCAACGTCCTATTTCCTCAGATATAAAATATAATAAATAGCACTTACCTTGTATTATTCTTGATAAGCTTTAATGAGATAAAGTATTAAAAATGCATCCTGCTCATGTTTGGTATTTATTAGACATGTAATACAGTATTTATTTTTATTTTTATGGATAAGTAATAGTTATAAATATTTATGGGGTACATGTGATATTTTTATACAAGTATGTAATGTATAATAATCAAGTTAGGTTAAATAGGATATGTATCATCTTAAGCACTTATCATTTGTTTATGTTAGGAACATTCCAAATCCACTCTTTTAGTTATTTTGAAATATAGAATAAATTATTATTAACTATAGTCACCCTACTGTGCTTATGAACACTAGATCTTATTCATTTTATACAACTCAGTTTTTGTATCCATTAACCATCGCTTCTTGATCCCCACCTTCCCACTACCCTTCCCAGGCATTGGTACAATCATTCTACTCTCTAGCTCCAGGAGTTCAATTTTTGTCTCTCACATGTGAATGAGAATAAGTGGTATATATATTACCTCTTAGGAGTGTGTTTATCACGCATTTTTCTAGCTTGTAAAAGGTATCCTTCTCAAAGCTTTTAGCCAAGAATATAGACGCCTAGTGACCCTGGAGTGTTTTAAACACAAATTCCTTCAGAATCACTCCTCATTACACAAATGTACAGAATTCCACAACGTACTTGCATTGCTCTGATGGCTAATGTTTCTCATGACTCTGTAATGAGTCACCACCTTTATTCACCCGGCAAATTCTTCACTCAAAGTCAAGATAGTGTCTAAAATGCTCCATGACGAACCCATGTCTGCACACTTCCTTTTCATCCAAACTGGGTCATGTGCCCCTCAACAGTATTTCTATCATGCTACAAATAGCATCTATCTATCTCTGCCACCTAGATCCCATAGATCTGTGCCACTCTGGACCGTGAATGACATTTTCTCTTGGTTCCATGTTTTTTACACCTTTCTTGACTTCTGGTTCAAAACCTGAGCTTTGAGTTCAAATTCTGCCTTACATTCTGCATCACTAGGAAAAAGACTAAACTTTTTGGACCTCAATGTTTTCTCGCTTCTCACATGAGGATAACAATAATAGTTTTCTGTAAAAATTACATATCATTATATAGAAAGAATAACACAGCACCTTGGGGATATTTAATAAATTAAAGATGTTGATATTATAATCACCAACATCATATGAATATATACACAGCTAAGAAAAATATGGGAAAATGGCAGACAATTGTGACTGCTGCAGTTCAGAACCAGTTCATCGCAGTAGTTAAATTTAGATTCTGATGTAAGACTAGTTGAGTGAATTCATTTCTTATTAACTGTGTGCTGGTTGATGCAGCATCCCATTTAAGCCTGTTTCCTCACCTTAGTCTGAGAGATAATGATAATAATTTCCACCTCTTTAATTTGGTATAAAAGCAAAATGAAATAAGGCACGTTAAACTCTTAGGACAGGACCACAGTAACTAGTCAAAAATATATTAGCTATAATGAAGGTGATACATTGCATCCGATTTTTAAATATCTTTATATAATTACTGTCCTTTGTGTTTTTTTAAAATTTTTGTTTATTTTTATTGTATATACTTAAGGTACACAACATGATGTTTTGATATATATAGTGCAGTACTTACTACAGTCAAGCAAATTAACATATCCATTATTTAACATAATTGTGTGTGTATATGTGTGTGTATGTGGTAAGAGCATTTGAAATATACTCTTACAAAATTTTCAGGATACAATACAATATCATTAACTTTAGTCTTCATGCTCTACATTATATTTCTAGCTTTACTCATCCTATCTAACTACAACTTTGTATCATTTGGCTAACATCTCATTTCCCTTCACTTTCTTCCTTGATAACGACCATTCTACTTCCTATTTTTGTATATTCATTAAAAAAACTTCACAAATCAGTGAGATCGTGTGATATTTGTCTTATGTGTCTGAATTATTTAATTTAGCATAGTATGTTCCAGGTTCATCCATGTTTTCACAAATGGGAAGATCTCCTTTATTAAAGCTGAATAATATTCCATTTCAGATATCCGCACTTCCATATTCATTGCAGTGGTATTATACACAATAGCCATGATATGGAAACAACTTAAGTGTCCATCTGTGGATGAGTGGATTAAAAAAATGTCCAATTTATTGATTTAGGCTGCATGCACTTTCAAAACATTTTTACAGTTCTTTTCTCTGTAGCATTTCCCCATTTTTGGTAATGTGGTCTTCTGATAAGTTTTGTTGGGGAGTCGATTTAAAATTCCCTAATAGAGGTCATTTGATATTTATCTATTTGTTATTACTTTTTAATTATTTAATAGTATGAACATGCACTAAGGTCAAACTAGCCCATGAGGAATTCATGGCTAGCAAAGTACATTTTCTCATTCCTTTATCTGAAATCTTCAGATTGCAGAAAAATGAATTTCAGATGATATTTCTGTTTGGAACTTCTATAATAATAACTGTCATACTTAATTCTAGATATTTACTCAAAATTATTTTAGAATCCAGAAGTCTTTACATATTAATACAAATTGGTAAATCAGATCTTTTGCCACTGGGGAAACCAAACTCACCTGAAAGTTATTTTAATTCAAGTTGTCTCCAAATATTGTCTATAGCAATGTGTTGGGGCTGGGGATGTAAGAGGATGGTGTCTGTTCTTCATTAAAAATTTCTTTCAGCTACTTGTCAGATTTTAATAGTTCTAACACACACACACACACACAGAGAGAGACAGAGAGAGAGAGAGAGAGAGAGAGGCATAAGAGTTCCTCATCCCTTGAGTTGCTTGCCCTTGCTATTTTTTACCTCAAATTTTATCAGGGTCAAGCAGCCACTGTCATAATTATAAACCATTGCATTTTTAAAAAAATCTAGAGCAATGGTTGTCTTATTTAGAATATTGTTATTATTATTATTCCTTCAAAAAGTGGCTAATAATAAAGCATGTTTATGACATATTTTATTTTGCAATAAGCTTTTGTAAACCACTGAGACCATAGCAGCCACCTAAAAAAATGCTTCACAGATCTTTGCAGATATAAAAAACAGCTCTATTTTTCAAAGGTGGCAGTACTAATTAATAAATACATCTTATTCTCATCTACAGTGAGTTTCAGTTATAATTACTCCTTTTCACCTTTCTTTATGTAGGTCTTTAGAACTGATCACATCTGTGTCCTTTCAGAGGCATTGGAATAGTTCATTGTTAGGAACCACAGTATTTCTTTCTGACATTGTAATTTACACTGACTAGCAGTAATCAGCCAGTAATCAGACTGTTATTAATGCTTCCAGGTTTTCTTTCAATCTCTCTAGTAAAATCACATAAAAAATGGCAAGCCACTTTTTCATTTTCTTCCGATTATGCAACATCTATCCATAATTCAGTTTGTTTTTCCCAAGTATGTATGGCAATCAGCACAACTCGAATATTGTTTCAAGTGATTGCAGCTTTTCATAATGGTGTCATTTACTGAGAACATACTGGGTGCTAAATGGTATTTTTATTACACTAACACACTGATTTATCCTTTAAAACAGCCCCATGAAGTATGAACATTAGCCTTGTTTCACAGCTGAGAAATTTAAAACACAGTAACATTAAGTAACCTGCCCAAGGTAACACTTTTATTAAAATAAGAGGTATCTCAAGTATTTGAACACAGGAAATGGTCTGACTGGTATATTCTATTTTATTTGCTTATCTGGATATATTATAAATGACTATAGATGAAATTCCTTCAAGAAAAGTAGAAAGGAAATCTAGATAGCCTCAAGTGAGGTAAATTTGGGTGTGACATTGTGGAATTATGTACAGATAACCACTTTCCAAAGGCACACAAAGAAGATGTATTTAAAGACTTATGGTCCTCTTTTCTTTCAAAAATAGAAAAGCCCATCCTCAAATTCATATAGAATTTCAAGGGACTCTGAATAGTCAAAACAATATTGAAAAAGAATGAGCAAAGTAGGAGGACTCACATTCTCCAGTTTCAAAACTTACAAAGCTGCAGTGATCAAAACAATGTGGCACTGCTATGAGGGATAGACACACTGACCAATGGAATAGAAATCAGAGTAGAAATAAACTCTCACATCTATGAACAATGGATTTTTGATAAGGGTTCCAAAATCATTCAATGATTAAAAAAAATAATTACTGGAGCAATGATGATGGAAAAATTGTAAAAAATTAAATCAGACTTCAACTTCATCTATCAGAATTAATTCAAAATCAATCAACAAACTACGCATCAGAGCTAAAACTATAAAACTAGCAGAATAAAACTTAGGCGTAAATCTTCACAACCTAGGATTTGGCAATGGATTCTTGAATTTAATACCATAACTACAATTAACAAAATAAATAAAGTGAACCTCATACAATTTTTAAAAGTTGTATCCAAAGGAACATTATTAAAGATGATACATCGAATACCCATATACACTTAACCTCATTTTATTTCATGTTAGTATCACACAAAATCATGGTACAATTGCTCAAATACTTAACAATGATTCAACACTATTAAATAATATAGCTTTATTCAGAATTGACCAGGTTTTTTTTTTCTATTCTAGGATCCTGTCCAGAATATAATATTGCATTTTGTTACTACAGCTGTTTAGTCTTTTCCAGTCTGTGACATATACCAAGGCTTTCCTTGTATTTTTTTTTGAGAGATGGAGTCTCGCTGTGTCACGCAGGCTGGAGTGCAATGGCTCAATTTCAGTTCACTGCAACCTCCACCTCCTGGGTTCAAGTGATTCTCCTGTCTCAGCCTCCCGAGTAGCTGGGACTACTGGCACACACCACCACACCCAGTTAATTGTTTTTGTATTTTAGTAGAGACGGGGTTTCACTGTTTTGCCCAGGCTGGTCTCAAACTCCTGAGCTTAGGCAATCTGCTCACCTCAGCCTCCCAAAATGCTAGGATTACAGGCATGAGCCACTGTGCCCTGCCAGCTTTCCTTGTTTTTTAGTAACCATAAGAGTTTTGAAGAGTACTTGTCATATATTTTGAATAATATCTCTTAATTTGGGTTTGCCTGATGCTTTCTTAAGATTAGACTGGAGTTAAGGAATTTGGAGAACAACAAAATAAATATGAAGTAACTTTTTCTTCACATCATGTGAAGGGGTACCTTATATCAAAATGGCGTATCACTAGAAACATTATTGTTTACTTGTTAAGGCAATTGACTACTGGAAGCTCTTTCAGCTTGACTCTGTGTCCTGTCGACATGCTCCAATCTAAAATGTAATTTGTACTTTACTGACTTTTGCTTTACTTTTTGATGTTATAACTTAACTGATTTACCCCACTGTATCATACCCAAGAGCAGTGGTTCTTAAACATTAACATTTACTATTGTCTTTGAAAATATTATGAAATGTATGAATAGCCAACACAGAAGAAAAACTGCACTCATGCACATCCAAAGTTTTACCCCCAAAAAGGGACAGGAAGTACTGCCCCCCTGAAACAATTTTGTGGGTCTCTGGTAACCTATGTGGGCACCCACTAGCACACTACAATTAACAACTGCAAATCCCTGCCCTAATCAGAGTAATTTGGATTCTTGCTAGATGTGTTTCAAAAAATAAATAAGGGTGGCTCTCCTGATAACTGTACTGCTAGAGGTGTGCAAGTAGCCACAGCTTTTATTTACATCTATATGTTATTTGTATATTTAAACATATTTTCATTTGTTGGCATCGAACACAGTCACAGAGGAGAAAGAGGAAACTTTTGGGAGAATGTTGGTCAGATTTATGTTCACAACAAATTGAGTTCCCCAAAGGAGGTAGTGAGTTAAACAGATGCTGCGGTGTCTGGCTTATCTCAGCTGCTGGGTTAATCATATCCTCAGAATGTGAGACACTACAGTAACCATGTGCCAGGGTCTCATCCTCTAGTTAAATGTTCCCACCTTGGGAAGGAATATAAATTTATTTCCCTGGCAAGACCGTTTTCTTTTGCCCTGAAGTTAACTATGATTATCATTTCCTAGAACCAGATCCACTTCCCATTTTAATAAGCGCCTGTCAGTGTCTCTAAGAATGACTGTGAGGATCAGTGGAATAGCATTTCTGAACCACTGTGAGCTCCTGAAATGAAAGGATTATATAAATGAAAAGTGATAGTTTCACTACTATAAAGGTGCCTTTGGATATTTCTGCATGTACAAGCAGTGGGATCATGCAGGCGGTATAGCTTTTTCATTTTCTCTTTGAAGAGTCTTTTCTGAGCTGGACACAAAGTACGGAATGACAGTCTGAAACCACACAGCATACCAGGATTGCCAAATCAACATAGCTTCCTCAGTCAGATACATGAAGAAGAAGATTCCTTTCATATGTCTAACAGGGTGGGAAGCAATGAATACTGTCTATACTTGGGAAATATATTTTTAAACGGACATACAAAATTAATCAGAAGGCTACACGTTGATTAGGTATCGACAGGGTCATTTTTTTCTTGTAATTAATTGTATTATCTTCTATGCTGCACAAAGCCTTTCTGAAATATTCTGCCTCTTTTAAAAAACAAACATGTTTTATTTATATTGAAATTAATTGTAAAAAATCAGTTTCAATTATGAAAAAAGCAACATATTCTATATTAATCATAGAAAAATTAACAAAGTATTTATATTTTTAAGTTTTCCAGGTTATCTCATAAATAGAAAAAAAGGGAGTTGCTATGGATTAAATTGTGTCCTCCCAAAATTCATATTCAGAATAGGGCCTTTAGGAGGTAATTAAGGATAAATGAGTTCATAAGTGTGAGGCCCAAATTAGATGGGGCCGGTGCCTTTATAGGAAGAGGGAGATACACTAGAGCTCTCCCTCTCTTCACCATGTAGGAACATGGTAAGAAGGGAATTGTTGGGAAGCCAGGGAAAGAGCCTTCACTAAAAACTAAACACTGCCAGAACCTTGATTTTTAACTTTCCAGCCTTCAGAACTGGGAGAAAGTTAATTTCTATTGTTTAAGCCACCTAATCTGTGGGATTTTGTTATGAAAGTCCTAGAATACTAAGACATTAGTAGATGTAATCATGGGAAAAGATAGAAGAATGCAGAGAAGTTGTCTGTATCCATGTGTGATGGTTATGTGTCAACTAGACTGGATTAAGGGATGCATCAATACCTGGTAAAACATTTCTGGGTGTGACTGTGAAGATCTATCCAGAGGAGATTAGTATTTGTATTGGCAAACTGAGTAAAAAATCTTGCCTTCTCCAATGCAGATAGACATCATCTAATCTGTTAAGGGCCTGTATAGAAATAAAAGTTAGAGAGTGAATTTGACCACTCTGGATGAGCTGAGACATTCATCTTCTCTTTCTCTGTGTCATCAATACTCTGGTTCTTGGGTTTTCAGACACAGACCAGGACTTACATCATCATCCCTTTAATTCTCAGACCTTTAGACTTGGACTAAATTATACTATTGGCTTTACTGGTTCTCCAACGTGCAGACAGCAGATTGTGGGCTTGTTAGCCTTCTTAATCATGTTAACCAATTTCTGTAATAAATCTCCTCAAAAAATATGTATGTATATATATAATATACATATTCTCATACACACACATAAATATAGGAGATATATAGAGTATATGTATATATATCATATACATTTGTATATATGATATATATACAAATATATATATTCTATTGGTTATGTTTCTTTGGAATACCCTAATACACTATTGCCTCTGAATCTCTTTTCATTCTTAAACAGAAGCGTTCAACATATACCTGATCAAAAACTTATGAGGCAGTGTTATGGTCTGAAGGTGTGTGTCCCCTCCAAAATTTATGTTGATACTTAGACCTAAATGCAGCAATATTAAAAGGCAGAGCTCTTAGTAGGTAATTTGGTCATCCTTATGAATGAATTATTGCCTTAAAAAGGGGGTTGAGGGGGCAAGTTTATCCCTTCTGTCTCTTCTGCCACGTGAGGACACAACATTCTTCCCCTGTGAAGGATGCAGCATCAAGGGACCATCGTGGAAGAAGAGAGTAGCCCTCACCAGTCACCAGACACCACACCTCTCAGTGCCTTGATCTTAGACTCTCCAGTCTCCAGAACGGTGAGAAACAACTATCTGTTTTTAAATAAATTAGTCTGTGGTATTTTGTTATTGCAGCACAAACAGAGTAAAAAAGCAGTTAAAATGAGAGTTTGATAAAGGGATGCAATGAGCAACAACAAAATGCAAAAGAACAATGGAAATTTCTTCCATGTGCACTTTAAATATAACTTGCTTCTTTATGTTTATTTGATAAAGACAGAATCCACATGGAAATGCTTGTTTGGTGGGCTCACACATTTTCTCACTCTCTGGTAATTATTTAACTGTCCACTACACATTTTTAAAAGCATTCTATTTATTTATTTATTTGAATATATTCAGAGGTAGAAGTGTTTTCTTATTACATGGATGAATTGTATAGCAGTGAAGTCTGAGATTTTAGTGTAACTGTCAATAAAATAGTGTATATTGTACTCAATAGGTAATTTTCATTCCTACACTCCCTCTCAGTCTCCCTGCTTCTGAGTCTTCAATGTCCGTTATACTGCTTTGTATGTCATTGCATACCCATAGCTAAGCTCCCACTTAAAAGTGAAAACATGTATTTGGTTTTCCATTCCTAAGTTACTACACTTAGGAAAATGGTATCCAATTTCATCCAAGTTGCTGCGAGACATTATTTCACTCTTTTCTATGGCTGACCAGTATTCCACTATAAATACAAGTGCACGAGTGCACACACACACACACACACACATACACACAGGTATGATGTATATATATTATATATATATGCGTACATATATGCATATATATGTGTGTATATGTATGCACATATATATGTGCCACATTTTGTTTATCCACTCATCAGTTGACGGACACTTACATTGATCCAATATCTTTACAATTGTATATTGCACTGTGATAAACATACATGTGCCGGGGACTTTTTTTTTTGGGGTAGATATCCAGTAGTGGTATTGCTGGATTGATGGTAGATTTAGTTCTTTGAGAAATCTTCATGCTGCTTTCATAGTGGTTGTGCTGATTTATAATCCCACCAGCAGTGTATAAGTGTTCCCTTTTCACCACATCTGCACCAACATCTATTGTTTTCTACTTTTTGATAATGGCCATTCTGGCTGGGGTAAGATGTTATTTTATTGTGATCTTAATTTTCATTCCCCTTGTGATTAGTGATGTTGAGCATTTTTTCTTGTTTCTTGGCTATTTGTATTTATTCTTTGAGAGATGTTTGTTCACGTCATTTCCCTACTTTTTAATGGGATTATTTGGTTGTTGTTGTTGGTTTTTTTTTTTCTGCTTTCTTGCTGATTTTAGTTCCCTATAGATTCTTGATATTAGTCCTTTATCAGAGGTATAGTTTGCAAACACTTTCTTCCATCCTGTAGGTCTGTTTACTCTTATGATGAGTACTTTTGCTTTGCAGAAACTTTTTAGTTGAATTAGGTTCCACTTATTTATTTTTGTTAAAATTTGGTTTCAATTCCTATCAAAATACCAACAACATTTTTCACAGAATTCGAAAAAGCAATCTTAAAATTCATAGAGATCTAAAAAAAAGAGCTCAAATAGCCAAAGCAATCCTAAGCAAAAAGAGCAAATCTGGAAGCATCACATCACCTGCCTTCAAATTATACTACAACACTATAATAACCAAAACAGCACGGTGCTAGTATGAAAATAGACATGCAGACCAATGGAACAAAATTAAGAATTCAGAAATAAAGCCAAATACTTAAAACCAACTGATCTTCTATAAAGCAGCAAAAACATACACTGGAAAATGGACAACAAAAAACTTAAAACTCTTAAGAATCAAAGGTCAGTTGTGAACTTTGCTGTAACATTTTTTAAAAATGCATTATTTTCTCCTACATGTCCTCAAATGTTATTTATTGAAAGACTTGATAATTTAATACCTGACAATTAGATTCATGGTGATAAAAAATGTTATAGTCAAAGCAACTTAACTAAAATGCTTTCAGAGCCACTAGCTCTGACCTGAAACCAAATAACAAATAAATAAATTGTGGTACTTTCACTGTTATCTTATGAAAGAACCAATAGGTCTTCAAAGCATGCATGTCAAACAGGAATTATTCAGACGGAGAAATTATAAATAGCCAATAGATTCAATCAGAGGCCTATAGGCCATGATATTCAGTGATTAGTTGACTACATACACACTACAAATTTTTCTACATGTATCACAATAAAGAGAAAACCTATTTTAAGAGTTTCATTTAAATACTTTCAGTAGTTTCTAAATCACCTAAACATTTGACATTGTTGCACTGAGTTAAAATTTGTTTCTATCATTAAATGTAGATCATGTTTTACATCAAAATTTCTGTTAAGCAAAGCCAAGTTACTGGAATTCTGGTGTGTCAGTGTGTTCTTCTTGTATACTTTGAGACTTTTATCCATTTTCAAGCAACAATTCTCAATCGTTATCACAGAAAGAATACACAGGACCTTCAGCAATGCATGAAGATTAGAAAAAAACTTAATGTAAGACAGACGGAGTGCTTCATACACAGTGTATAAAAGCTCCATATATTTTCATTGGTTTCCAGTTTATTCTTCAACAACAAAGCTCTGTATGGAGTGTGAAAAGATTGGATAAATCACTTCTATTCTTATTGCAGTGGTGTTACCTCTGACCATACCATGAATTTGAACTGTCCCATGACAGAGGGACCCAGAGCATTGGAGAGCTTTGAGGTGTTGTTTTGAGAGTGTATCTTCTTTTGTTAAGTAAAAATACTTTCATTTCATTAATGCTTTGTCTCTGAGTTTTCCTTTCACATTGCATATGTTAACATATGAGATATTCTACCTTCTGCTTTAGACAAGGGTGTGTTCTTACATCTTTCAAAGGTTTGTTCATGTACTTGTGTTCCAGCTCTGAGAATATCGTTGCTTCGTTTTTCTATCCTTACCACTGTCAGGCCTCTGAGCCCAAGCTAAGCCATCATATCCCCTGTGACCTGCACGTACACATCCAGATGGCCGGTTCCTGCCTTAACTGATGACATTCCACCACAAAAGAAGTGAAAATGGCCTGTTCCTGCCTTAACTGATGACACTGTCTTGTGAAATTCCTTCTCCTGGCTCATCCTGGCTCAAAAGCTCCACCACTGAGTACCTTGTGACCCCCACTCCTGCCCGCCAGAGAACCCCCCTTTTTCCTTTACCTACCCAAATCCTATAAAACGGCCCCACACCATCTCCCTTCACTGACTCTCTTTTCGGACTCAGCTCGCCTATACCCAGGTGATTAAAAGCTTTATTGCTCACACAAAACCTGTTTGGTGGTCTGTTCACATGGACGTTCATGAAATTTGGTGCCATGACTCGGATCAGGGGACCTCCCTTGGGAGATCAATCCCCTGTCCTCCTGTTCTTTGCTCCGTGAAAAAGATCCACCTATGACCTCAGGTCCTCAGACCCACCAGCCCAAGGAACATCTCACCAATTTTAAATTGGGTAAGCGGCCTCTTTGTACTCTCTTCTCCAACCTCCCTCACTATCCTTCAACCTCCTTCACCTTTCAATCTTGGCGCCACACTTCAATCTCTCCCTTCTTTTAATTTCAATTCCTTTGGTTTTCTGGTAGAGACAAAGGAGACACGTTTTATCCGTGGACCCAAAACTCCAGCGCCGGTCACCAACTGGGAAGGCAGCCTTCCCTTGGTGTTTAATCATTTCAGGGACGCCTCTGTGATTATTCACCCACGTTTCAGAGGTGTCAGACCACGCAGGGACACCTGCCTTGGTCCTTCACCCTTAGCGGCAAGTCCTGCTTTTCTGTGGAAGGGGCAAGTACCCCAACCCCTTCTCTCCATGTCTCTACCCCTTCTCCGCCTTTCTTGGGGGCCAGAAAGCCCCAACCCCTTCTCCTTCACCCTTAGCGGCAAGTCCCACTTTTCTGGGGGAGGGGCAAATACCGCAACCTCGTATCTCTGTGCCCCTATCCCTTATTTCCGTGCCCCAACCTCTTATATCTCTGCACCCCGATCCCTTATTTCCGCGCCCCAACCTCTTATATCTCCATGCCCCAATCCCTTATTTCTGCACCCTGACCTCCTTTCTCTGTGCCCCGGCCCCTTTCCCGCTTTTCTGGAGGGTAAGAACCCCCAAACCCCTTCCCTCCCTGTCTCTACTCTCTCTTTTCTCTGGGCTTGCCTCCTTCACTATGGGTAAACTTCCACCCTCCATTCCTCCTTCTTCTCCCTTAGCCTGTGTTCTTAAGAACTTAAAACTTCTTCAACTCTCACCTGACCTAAAATCTAAGCATCTTATTTTCTTCTGCAATGCTGCTTGACCCCAATAAAAACTCGACAGTAGTTCCAAATAGCCAGAAAATGGCACTTTCAATTTTTCCATCCTGCAAGATCTAAATAATTATTGTCGTAAAATGGGCAAACGGTCTGAGGTGCCTGACGTCCCGGCATCTTTTACACATTGGTCCCTCCCTAGTCTCTGTGCCCAGGGCAACTCGTCCCAAATCTTCCTTCTTTCCCTCCCGCCTGTCCCCTCAGTCCCAACCCCAAGCGTATCTGAGTCTTTCTAATCTTCCTTTTCTACAGACCCATATGACCTCTCCCCTCCTCCCCAGGCTGCTCCTCGCCAGGCCAAGCTAGGTCCTAATTCTTCCTCAGCCTCAGCTCCTCCACCCTATGATCTTTTTGTCACCTCCCCTCCTCACTCCCGGTCCGGTTCATAATTTCATTCCGTGAGTAGGCCTCCCTCACCTGCCCAGCAATTTCCTCTTAAAAAGGTGGCTGAAGCTAAAGGCATAGTCAAGGTTAATGCTCCTTTTTCTTTATCAGACCTCTCCCAAATCAGTGAGCATTTAGGCTCTTTCATCAAATATGAAAAACCCAGCCCAATTCATGGCTCATTCGGCAGCAACCCTGAGACGCTTTACAGCCCTAGACCCTAAAAGGTCAAAAGGCCATCTTATTCTCAATATACATTTCATTACCCAATCTGCTCCCAACATTAAATAAAACTCCAAAAATTAAATTCCAGCCCTCCAACCCCACACAGGATTTAATTATCTTGCCTTCAGGGTGTACAATAATAGAAAAAAGTTGCAATTCCTTGCCTCCACTGTGAGACAAACCGCAGCCACATCTCCAGCACACAAGAACTTCCAAATGCCTGAACCTCAGTGACCAGGCGTTCCTCCAGAACCTCCTCCCCCAGGAGCTTGCTACAAGTGCCAGAAATCTGACCACCAGGCCAAGGAATGCCTGCAGCCCAGGATTCCTCCTAAGCCATGTCCCATCTGTGCAGGACCCCACTGGAAATCGGACTGTTCAACTCACCTGGCAGCCACTTCCAGAGTCCCTGGAACTCTGGCCCAAGGCTCTCTGACTGACTCCTTCCCAGATCTTCTTGGCTTAGCAGCTGAAGACTGACACTGCCTGATTGCCTCAGAAGCCTACAGGACCATCACAGATGCTCTAGGTAACTCTCACAGTGGAAGGTAAGTCCATCCCCTTCTTAATACGGAGGCTACTCACTCCACATTACCTTATTTTCAAGGGCCTGTTTCCCTTGCTTCCATAACTATTGTGTGTATTGACGGCCAGGCTTCTAAACCGCTTAAAATTCCCCAACTCTGGTGCCAATTTAGACAATACTCTTTTAAGCACTCCTTTTTAGTTATCCCCACCTGCCCATTTCCCTTATCAGGCCGAGACACTTTAACTAAATTATCTGCTTCCCTGACCATTCCTAGGCTACAGCCACACATCATTGCTGCCTTTTCCCCCAGTTCAAAGCCTTCTTTACATCCTCCCCTTGTATCTCCCTATCTTAACCCACAAGTATAAGACACCTCTACTCCCTCCTTAGCGACAGATCATGCACCCCTTACCATCCCATTAAAACCTAATCACTCTTACCCCGCTCAATGCCAATATCCCATCTCACAGCATGCTTTGAAAGGATTAAAGCCTGTTATCACTGGCCTGTTACAGCATGGCCTTTTAAATCCTATAAACTCTTCTTACCATTCCCCCATTTTACCTGTCCTAAAACCAGACAAGGCTTATAGGTTAGTTCAGAATCTGCCCCTTATCAACCAAATTGTTTTGCCTATCCACCCCGTGGTGCCAAACCCATATACTCTCCTATCCTCAATACCTCCCTTCACAACCCATTATTCTGTTCTAGATCTCAAACATGCTTTCTTTACTATTCCTTTGCACCCTTCATCCCAGCCTCTCTTCGCTTTCACTTGGACTGACCCTGACACCCATTAGGCTCAGCAAGTTACCTGGGCTGTACTGCCACAAATCTTCGCAGATAGCCCCCATTACTTCAGTCAAGCCCAAATTTCATCCTCATCTGTTACCTATCTCGGCATAATTCTCATAAAAACACACGTGCTCTCCCTGCTGATAGCGTCCGATTAATCTCCCAAACCTCAATCCCTTACAAAACAACAACTCCTTTCCTTCCTAGGCATGGTTAGTGCAGTCAGAATTCTTACACAAGAGCCAGGACCACACCCTGTAGCCTTTCTGTCCAAACAACTTGACCTTACTGTTTTAGCCTAGCCCTCATGTCTGCGTGCAGCGGCTGCCGCTGCTTTAATACTTTTAGAGGCCCTAAAAATCACACACTATGCTCAACTCACTCTCTACGTTTCTCATAACTTCCAAAATCTATTTTCTTCCTCATACCTGATGCATATACTTTCTGCTCCCCAGCTCCTTCAGCTGTACTCACTCTTTGTTAAGTCGCACAATTACCATTGTTCCTGGCCCGGACTTCAATCCGGCCTCCCACATTATTCTGGATAACACACCTGACCCTCATGACTGTATCTCTCTGATCCACCTGACATTCACCCCATTTCCCCATATTTTCCTCTTTCCTGTACCTCACCCTGATCATGCTTGATTTATTGATGGCAGTTCCACCAGGCCTAATAGCCACACACCAGCAAAGGCAGGCTTATGCTATAGTACAAGCCACTAGCCCGCCTCTTAGAACCTCTCATTTTCTTTCCATCCTGGAAATCTATCCTCAAGAAAATAACTTCTCAGTGTTCCATCTGCTATTCTACTACTCCTCAGGGATTATTCAGGCCCCCTCCCTTCCCCACACATCAAGCTCGAGGATTTGCCCCCACCCAGGACTGGCAAATTAGCTTTACTCAACATGCCCTGAGTCAGGAAACTAAAATACCTCTTAGTCTAGGTAGATACTTTCACTGGATAGGTAGAGGCCTTTCCTACAGGGTCTGAGAAGGCCACTGCAGTCATTTATTCCGTTCTGTCAGACATAATTCCTCAGTTTAGCCTTCCCACCTCTATACAGTCTGATAACAGACGAGCCTTTATTAGTTAAATCAGCCAAGCAGTTTTTCAGGCTCTTAGTATTCAGTGAAACCTTTATATCCCTTACGGTCCTCCGTCTTCAAGAAAAGTAGAATGGACTAAAGGTCTTTTAAAAACACACCTCACCAAGCTCAGCCACCAACTTAAAAAGGACTGGACAATACTTTTACCACTTTCGCTTCTCAGAATTCAGGCCTGTCCTCGGACTGCTACAAGGTATAGCCCATTTGAGCTCCTTTTTGTTAGGCCCCAGTCTCATTCCAGACACCAGACCAACTTGGACTGTGCCCCAGAAAACTTGTCATCCCTACTATCTTCTGTCTAGCCTAGTCATACTCCTATTCACTGTTCTCAACTATTCATACATGCCCTGCTCTTGTTTACGCTGCCAGTTTACACTGTTTCTCCAAGCCAGCACAGCTGATATCTCCTGGTGCTATCCCCAAACCGCCACTCTTAACTCTTAAAGTAAATAAATAATCTTTACTGGCAAGGCTATGCCGAACCTCCTTAGGCACTCTGTAATTAGATGTCCTAGGTCCTCCCAATTCTTAGTCCTTTAATACCTGTTTTTCTCCTTCTCTTATTCCGTTTAGTTTTTCAATTCATACAAAACTGTATCCAGGCCATCACCAATAATTCTAAATGACAAATGTTACTTCTAACAACCCCACAATATCACCTCTTACCACAAAATCTTCCTTCAGCTTAATCTCTCCCGCTCTAGGTTCCCATGCCACCCCTAATCCCGCTGGAAGCAGCCCTGAGAAACATCGCCCATTCTCTCTCCATACCACCCCCAAAAATTTCCACCGTCCCAACACTTTACCACTGTTTCATTTTATTTTTCTTATTAATATAAGAAGACAGGAATGTCAGGCCTCTGAGCCCAAGCTAAGCCATCATATCCCCTGTGCCCTGCCTTAACTGATGACATTCCACCACAAAAGAAGTGAAAACGGCCTGTTCCTGCCTTAACTGATGACATTGTCTTGTGAAATTCCTTCTCCTGGTTCATCCTGGCTCAAAAGCTCCCCCACTGAGTACCTTGTGACCCCCACTCCTGCCCACCAGAGAACAACCCCCCTTTTTCCTTTACCTACCCAAATCCTATAAAACAGCCCAACCCCATCTCCCTTATCTGACTCTCTTTTCGGACTCAGCCCTCCTGCACTCAGGTGATTAAAACTTTATTGCTCACACAAAGCCTGTTTGGTGGTGTCTTCACACGGACACGAATGAAAACCACTGTCTTGCTTCTTTAATATTTTTTTGTTGCAGCTTTCCTATTTGCCCAAAACCATAGCTGTCTTTCTTTTGAATTTATTATTTGATAGTATACTTTTGCAAACCAGGAAGTATCTGATACAGGTCTTAATCGATTTAAATATTTGTTTTGCTAAGGTTAAACACCATCGCCCATAACACAGCCTCAGGAGGTCCTGAGAACATGTGCCCAAGATGGTTAGGTTACAGCTTAGTTTTATACATTTTAAGAAGACAGACGTTATAGACAAAGATGAAAATCAACATGGAAGCTATATATTTGTTTGGCCTAGAAAGATGGGACATCTTGAAGCAGAGGGCTTACAGGTCATAGATGGCTTCAAAGATTTTCCAATTAGCAATTGGCAGAAAGAGTTAAGTTGAAGGGGCGGGGGGTGGGGGTGGGGGTGGGGGTGGAGGGGGAGTTGTTAAAACCAAGGTTTTTTTATGTAGGTAAAGCTTCCTTGTAGCATGCTTCAGAGAGAATAGACAGTAAATGTCTTTAATTAGACCTTAAAAGGTGTCGTACTCTCTGGGAAATACCTAGTAAAGGAAGGAGATTCTCAACAGAATGCAAATTTCCCCCCCAAGAGATAACTTTGCAGGTCTTCTTCACAATATGTAAAATAAACATATTTTGGGGTAAAATGCTTTGATTTACTTTAAAGCCTGCTATCTGGCATGTGATGCTATACAAGAGTAATGTTGGAATTTGTTATCTTATTGCTCCAGAGTCTGTTTTGTGAGTCTTATGGTCTCTATTTTAATGTTAATTCTGGTCACTTGTGCCTAAAGCCCAAAAGGAAGAGGATACAGTGAGGCATATCCAATGCCCCTTTCCCGTCATGGCCTGAATGAGTTCTTCAGGTCTCCTTGGGACCCCCTTGGCCAAGAGGGGCATCTATTCAGTTGGTCGGGGGGCTTAGAATTATATTTTTGGTTTGTACTTTTACAGTCCTAAATAGTATGTTCCATTGTTGGAACTCTTAGGGCTTTTTTTGTAGTATAAGTTAGAGACTAGTAAAAAAAACTCTGCAATTTCCCAGGAAATTTTACTTGAATTTAAACTTTGGTTCCCAAATTTGTAAGTTCTCCAAAACAAAATTCAGGCAAATGTAAGTATTTTTCATTACTTTTACTTTATTTCTTGGTTCTCAAATGGTTCTAATTATGTAATCAATGTTATAAACCACCAGCTTCAATACACATGAGACCATCCTAGGGCAACCAGCCTCAGCCAAGGGGTTGTGAAAGGAAAACAAATCTTTGGATCCCAAAACACTAAGCCAAATAGAAAACTCAAGCTGGGAACAGCCTAGGAAAAACTCGCCTCCCGTTTTGTCAGAGGTATTTGAACCAGAGCAACTCCATTTTGAGTGAGGGCTAGGAAAATGAGGCTTGGACTTACTGGGCTGCATTCTCAGAAAGTTAAGCATTCCTAGCCTCTAGATGTTTACAGTTATGAGAACAAATTAATAATGTTTACTAAATAGACCCAGACTTGGGAGTGTCCAGATATCCTGATATCTGGACAAAAAAGGCATTCCTAATTTTGCTTTAAAGATAATAATACCGATTCTTGCAAAATATAGTAATTAAGAAAATTAATCCTTTATCACAAACCCTTATAGCAGAATACATCTCCCCATATATACAAGCATTGTACCTAGGGTGGACATGTTCCTCTTCTTACTTTCAGGAAAGTCCTACTCTGTCTATGGAGTAGCTGTCCGTTCACCACTTTATTTTCTTAATAAACTTGCTTTTGCTTTGCCCTGTGGACTCGCCCTGAATTCTTTCTTGTGCAAGCAAGAACTCTCTCGGGATCTGGATTGACACCCCTTTTCTGTAACAATTCTATTTCTTTTTTTTTTTTTGCTTAACAATTCTATTTCTAAAAAGATAACTGCTAAGATACAAAGGCTACCTACCTCCCTCACAAGGAATCTTCTTGTGGACAAAGGACAGACAGAATTCAGTAATCCCTTTGCTACTGAGATAAATGCATATCTCATTGCCTGTTTTGGAAAGGCTAATAAGAAACTCAGAAGAATGAAACCATTTTTCTCTTATTTATCTATGACCTGGAAGTCCCCTCCCCACTTCAAGTTGTCTTGCCTTTTTGGATCCAACCAATGTACATCTTACATATATTGATTGATGTCTCATATCTCCCTAAAATGTATAAAACCAAGCTGTGCCCTGACAACCTTAGGCACGTGTCATCAAGACCTCCTGAGGCTGTGTCATGCTCATGTGCCCTTAACTTTGGCAAAATAAACTTCCTAAATTCACTGAAATCTGTCTCACATATTTGGGATTCACATGGTTTAGACCAAAAGAGCCACCAAGAAAACCCACAAGGCCATAATCAAATTTAAAAAATGTTGAAAGGAGGAAAGATAACTCAGAGTAGCCAAAAACATACTCAGAATAAGACCAGAGAGCAATAAAGTCCTCATTCAGCGCTGCCTTCTGAAAATAGTTTCCATTGATGCTGGCAATAAAAAAGTGAGTACAATACTTAAAGAGAACTATGAACTATAATTACATATGAACATTAGTTAGCTATTAAAAGAATAGATGTAATTCATGACTATACACAGAAAAATCATCACTGTGTATCTGACTTTTGAGCAGAAATTTTGTTTACTTAGAGCCTTTTTGTTTTGCCAAAGGAGGTCTTGCATGTATTGCCTTGTTGACCTCC
Source organism: Homo sapiens (assembly GCF_000001405.40). Lineage (NCBI taxonomy): Eukaryota > Metazoa > Chordata > Mammalia > Primates > Hominidae > Homo > Homo sapiens. Next base: position 23,884,529 of record NC_000011.10, on the reverse strand, counting down.
AATTTCTCCATATTTCTCTGAAACTTGCTACCATCATGAATGCCAAGAAACTTTCCCAAATACAGCTGATGTCATTGAATATTGTTTGTTCTGTCTGTTGCACTAAGTGCTGGCTTTGCCCTAAAAGTCCAAATTCAGTTTGTACAAAAAAAAAAAAAAAAAAAAAAACCACCACCAGCAGCAATAAACAGGCCAAAAAACAAACAAACAAACAAAAAACAGACATACTTATTTAAATGCAAACTCTGATACCTACTAACCATATAACTTGGGCTAGCTAATTAATCTCTCTTAGCTTCTGGGTTCTTTTTTAATTTTAAAAGTAAGGATATCACACCTTGTTTGATTAAAGGTTGCATTTTTAATACAAAATTTCTTTTAGATAGATACCTTGTGCTTATTATATTTAGCAAACTACATTGATTGGCTATTATAGTGTGAAATATAAGTTGAAGTCAATGGTGAATTCACGGTTTTATGAGGACTCCTAAAGAAATGAATGGCTGGATTTGTGTATGAAAAAAAGTAGTAATAAGAGGTGACAGCGTGCTGACAGTCCTCGCAGCCCTCGCTCGCTCTCTGCGCCTCCTCTGCCTGGGCTCCCACTTTGTTGGCACTTGAGAAGCCCTTCGGCCCGCCGCTGCACTGTAGGAGTCCTTTTCTGGGCTGGCCAAGGCTGGAGCCCACTCCCTCAGCTTGCAGGGAGGTGTGGAGGGAGAGGCGTGAGCGGGAACTGGGGCTGCCTGCAAGCGCTTGAGGGCCCGCTGGAGTTCTGGGTGGGCGTGGGCTTGGTGGGCTCCGCACTGGGAGCAGCCGGCCAGCCCTGCTGGCCCCGGGCAATGAGGGACTTAGCACCTGGGCCAGTGGCTGCGGAGGGTGTGCTGGGTCCCCCAGCAGTGCCAGCCCACCATCGCTGCGCTCGATTTCTCACCTAGCCTTAGCTGCCTTCCTGCGGGGCAGGGCTCGGGACCTGCAGCCCGCCATGCCTGAGCCTCCCACCCACTCCATGGGCTCCTGTACGGCCGGAGCCTCCCCAAGAAGCACCACCCCCTGCTACACGGTCCCCAGTCCCATAGACCACCCAAGGGCTGAGGAATGTGAGTGCACGGCGTGGGACTGGCAGGCAGCTCCACCTGCAGCCCTGGTGCGGGATCCACTAGGTGAAGCCAGCTGGGCTCCTGAGTCTGGTGGGGACGTGGAGAGTCTTTATATCTAGCTAAGGGATTGTAAATACACCAATCAGCACCCTGTGTTTAGCTCAAGGTTTGTGAGTGCACCAATGGACACTCTGTATCTAGCTGCTCTGGTGGGGCCTTGGAGAACCTTTGTGTCCAGACTCTGTATCTAACTAATCTGATGGGGACGTGGAGAACCTTTGTATCTAGCTCAGGGATTGTAAACGCACCAATCAGCGCCCTGACAAAACAGGCCACTCGGCTCTACCAATCAGCAGGATGTGGGTGGGGCCAGATAAGAGAATAAAAGCAGGCTGCCCGGGCCAGCATTGGCAACCAGCTCAGGTCCCCTTCCACACTGTGGAAGCTTTGTTCTTTCACTCTTTGCAATAAATCTTGCTACTGCTCACTCTTTGGGTTCACACTGTTTTCATGAGCTGTAACACTCACCGCGAAGATCTGCAGCTTCACTCCTGAGCCCAGCGAGCCAGCGAGCCCACGAGCCCACCAGGAGGAACGAACAACTCCAGACGCGCCGCCTTCAGAGCTGTAACACTCACCACAAAGGTCTGCAGCTTCACTCCTGAGCCAGCAAGACCAGGAACCCACCAGAAGGAAGAAACTCCGAACACATCTGAACATCAGAAGGGACAGACTCCAGACATGCCACCTTAAGAGCTGTAACACTCACCGCGAGAGTCCGCGGCTTCATTCTTGAAGTCAGTGAGACCAAGAACCCACCAATTCTGGACACAGTAAGAATCATATTTCTTGAGCAAAGAGGGAAAAAGTGAAAGGTTCACTAAAGAGGTAGTGCTGGGTGGGGAGTGGAAAGAAGAGAGAAGAGAAAAGAGAAAAATGCAAGGAGATAGAGAGATGACTGAGCAATTGGCTAAAGAACAAGAACTAGGCAAAAAAATTGAGCAATGGAAAATTGCCAGTAAGAACAGCCAATAAACTTTCAAGAGCAAAGATGTATTATAAGGTGTTAAATTTTCCATTTATTTATGAACTATGCTGTCTCATGATTAGACAATATTTTCAGTAATTGTCTTATTTCTTTTGGATATGAAAAACCACTAAGGGAAAGTAAAAGCTTCATTGAGGGGTTTATATAAATATAGATTAGATAATAAATAAGGTTACACAGAGAAGAGCAAAGAAACATAAGTGGAAGTAAGACATTTTAACAAGAGTTTCTTAGGAGAAAAAGAAAGATTCTAGAAAATTTTAAATGATATTGATTAGAGAATACTGGATTTTCGTTTGCATATGACATCTGATTGGGGATCAAGATAATTTTTAATTGGTTTTTTTAAAAAGAAAACTGGAACTCTTGGGGATACCCAAGCCAATAATATTTCTGTTAAAGATATATGTGAAAATTATTTGACACACTGTAAATGTTCTTTCAACTCTTTATCTGTTGTTCTCAAATATGTAGTAATTTTCAAAGGGAGTATCGTCGTTCTTATCACCATCATATTATTTTAACAAAAGCATTGTACATAACAGAGGCATAAATTGTTAAAATGCTGGGGCCCTCAAAATATGTCTATTTTGTCACTCATCCGCAAAGGGAGTGCCAAGTACAGTTTACCACACAACTAACAGGGGAAAAATTCTCCATTGCTCCAGGAGGTAGTCTCATCCTGAGGGTTACACGCACTAGTTTAGCATAACTCAGTACTTTCTAAAATTCGAAGCTTCAGGACACTTTTATTTGTGTAGCATTGTGAACACATATTTCGGTTAAAAATAATAATTTCAACTAGTAAGTTTGTTATATTCCTAGTTGCCTATGTCATATTCATTTAGAATACTCATTCATGCGTACATCATAATTATGAGTTATTGAATTAACATTTTCACTGATTACATTAATAGCCAAGCTTGAAAATGTAGTGTCACTTTCTAACATTGCAGATGAGGGAATAGCAAACACGTATTAATCAAGAAGAGCAGTTTCTGCAATTGGCAATATTCTAATCACTGAATTTTCAAGATTTTAGTTGTAATTATTTAGTATCAGTTTCAAATTATTTGCAACATTTTAATTGTAATTGTTTAGTATCAGTTTCCAAACTATTTGCAGTATTTTAGTTATTGTTTAGTATCAGTTTCCAATTGATTATTTTGAAGCATGATCAATTCACATAGTATTTCTTTGTCACTAGCTTATTCCCTTCATATGCTTTCAAACATGCACAGCTGTTTCTTAGTACCAGCTACAGTGAATCTATCACTGTAGGTCTACTTTTAGCAGACATTGAAACCAGAAGCTTCAAAATTCTTTAGGCTCATAACTTCAGAGAACACTCTACCTAGCTCTGGATTTCCAAAATTTTATAAACTAGTTCATTAGTCTTCAGATGCAGATAGGACTTGTCCTCTACAAAAGAATAATTATAAAAATGTTGAGCTATAAAGAGAGGGATTTGGAGAACTGTTAGGGAAAACAAAACATGACTGAAAGCTCCCTCCACAAACCCACTTGATTTTTTCTCCTTAGTCTTTTCTTCCATTGCCTATTGTATTGTATTTTAGTGGCAAGTACAACCCACTTTAACCACAAAAATTTAGAAAGAAGATAATTTATTAAAACAAACAAGGTTTTAAAGTAATCACTGCTGTCTTTCCTCCACACAAGGAAGATATTAAAAACCTGACATTTCTGAGTCTATAGTGATAATTTGCAAGGTTTTTAATTCAAATAAAATTATACTGGACTTTGTTGGAAGTGGCTGAATCATGGGTGTAGTTCCCCCATGCTGTTCCTATGATAGTGAATGAGTTCTCACGAGATCTGATTGTTTTGTGAGGGATTTTTCCCCCACTTTGCAATTCTTTCATTCTTCTCTCCTGCCAACTTGTGAAGATAGATGTGTTTGCTTCTCTCTCCACCATGATTTTAAGTTTCCTGAGGCCTCCGCAGCCCTGCAAAACTGTGAGTCAATTACATCTCTTTCCTTTATACATTACCTAGTCTTGGATATTTCTTCATAGCAGCATGAGAACAGAATAATACACTGTGGGTGCTATGTCAGAATAGTTAACTACACATAGAATTGCTGTGGTATGAGTGTGCTCATTTATAATTTTATATATACAGCTTAATTACTCTCTCTAAATTTTGAGTTATATTCCCAGCGAATCAATAGTGTTTAAAAGTACCTTTTCCCCTCATCCTAATTGTCAGGCCTCTGAGCCCAAGCCAAGCCATCGCATCCCCTTGCAATTGCCAAGCCATTGCACGTATACGCCCAGATGGCCTGAAGTAACTGAAGAATCACAAAAGAAGTGAAAAGGCCCTGCCCCGCCTTAACTGATGACATTCCACCATTGTGATTTGTTCCTGCCCCACCTTAACTGAGTGATTAACCCTGTGAATTTCCTTCTCCTGGATCAGAAGCTCCCCCACTGAGCACCTTGTGACCCCCGCCCCTGCCCACCAGAGAACAACCCCCTTTGACTGTAATTTTCCATTACCTTCCCAAATCCTATAAAACAGCCCCACCCCTATCTTCCTTCGCTGACTCTCTTTTTGGACTCAGCCTGCCTGCACCCAGGTGAAATAAACAGTCATGTTGCTCACACAAAGCCTGTTTGGTGGTCTCTTCACACGGACGCGCATGAAACTAATGACAGCTGGCTCCAGTCCTCTTGAATTTTGCTAATCTGGTTATTAAAAAGCGTACATAATTAAAGGTTTTGTTTTGTATTTGTTTTTGTTTTTTTGAGACATGGTCTTGCTCTGTCACTCAGCCTGGAGTGCAGTATCATAATAGTTCACTGTAGCCTCTACCTCCCAGGCTCAAGTGATCCTTTCAACTCAGCCTCACAAGTAGCTGGGACTACAGGCACATGCCAACATACCTGGCTAATTTTTGTAGAGATGGGGTTTCACTGTGTTTCCCAGGCTGGTCTCAACTTTCATATTTCTGTAATAATCACTGAGGGTAAGCAAATTTCATATAATTGGCCATTTGTATTAATTTTTCATTTCAATCATTTACATTTATTTGTGTATATCTATTTTTACCACAATTTTAATTGAAATGTAAATGTTTCTTATATCTCCACTTTGTCCCAGTAGAGTCAAAATATAATATAAATAAGTAAAGAGCAGGAGACATCACATTACCTGACTTAAATTATACTACAAGGCTATAGTAACCAAAACAGTATGGTATTGATATAAAAATAGACACATAGATCAATGTTACAGAATAGAGAACCCAGAAATAAAGCCATATACTTACAATCAACTGATCTTTGGCACAGTCAATGGAAATATACACTGGGGAAAGGACACCCTATTCAATAAATGGTGTGAGGAAAATTGGCTAGTCATATGCAGAAGAATAAAATTGTACCCCTATATCTCACCATATACCAAAATTCACTCAAGATTAATTAAAAATATAAATGTAAGACCAATATAAAATTTGATTTTCTTTTGCTCCAAGGAAGGATTATAGGATACAAGATAAAATATGAAATAATTATCACACCATGCAGTGAAATATATTGTAGAGATTAAGGCTCTAACATCAAGATGTTCCCATTGTTTTTAGTTGTATAAGTAATGGTGCAACCATTATAAATCAAATTTCTGCATGTGTTGCTTTGTTTCATTTTCATGGACAAGGCCAATACATAGTATTGTGGAGTAGTCAAGACGACAAAAGGCTTGTGCTTGAGAACCTTAATGAGATGCAGCCATTTTGGTGGCTTGTGCAACATAACTTAAAAAAGTATAGCTTCACTATGAAAGTCCTAATTTTTGCAAGAACATTGGATTGTCCTGAGAGTTGTCAATTCTAAAAGAAGCTGTTTAACAAGTGTTTGGATGCAAGTAAATACGAGGACAACAATTGGAAAGAAAAGGCTTCTAAAATATGTGTATATGGCTATAGATTATTTTAAAATTACATGATTAAAACAATGTCATGACATTTTTAGAAGGTACAGCATACTGTTTAAGTTATTTTTTTCTGTATATAATCATTTTATAATTAGTATCATAATTTTTCTTCTATAATGAACTAGGAAAATTAGCCTTTTAATTCTCAATCCCCATCAACCACTAGTGTGCACCACATTACAAAGTTATGGTTCTTAGGGAGACAATACAATTATAATAAAAACAAGGCTTTATTTTTCTAGCTGAGTTTCACTGAGTTGTATTGGTTCATGGAAAATTCCATGCCATTGATAACAAGTTATATGCTTCTTTAAGACTAACACTGGGAAATATTTTCTATAGTTCAAAAAGCACCAAAATTAGAACAATTTTCTAAGTTTTCATTCACCATTTCCAAATTTTTGGCCTGCATGACTGAAATCTGTCCCCTTTTATCTGAAAGGGCTTAACTTATTCCCCAAGTTTCCATCAAAAGAAGGCACTTTCTCGTTCTATGCCATTGCTCAAGGGGAGGGATTTATACACTTTATCTTTCAGTCTTTTGCTTTTGGGAGAAGATACATGTTTATAGACCTAATACTTTTTACATCTCATTCCCTTTTTAAAGAAGATAACAGATACAGGCTAAGATTTAAGGATAATTATGTAAAAATTTTAAAAATACTAATTTTAAAATGATGAGAAAATATAAAACTATCACAATATTCAACAAAACCCCAACCTAATATTTTATTCAGTTATCTACTATAACTCTTATATTATTCCTATTGACTCATGAAAAACTATGCATAGGAGCTTTTTCCTAAAACACTTCACTTCATTTTAGTTCATTTAACTCTGCCACGACTTTTTTTTTTTTTATATACTTTAAGTTTTAGGGTACATGTGCACAATGTGCAGGTTTGTTACATATGTATACATGTGCCATGTTAGTGTGCTGCACCCATTAACTCGTCATTTAGCATTAGGTATATCTCCTAATGCTATCCCTCCCCCCTCCCCCGACCCCACAACAATCCCTGGAGTGTGATGTTCCCCTTCCTGTGTCCATGTGTTCTCATTGTTCAATTCCCACCTATGAGTGAGAACATGTGGTGTTTCGTTTTTTGTCCTTGCGATAGTTTGCTGAGAATGATGGTTTCCAGTTTCATCCACGTCCCTACAAAGGACATTAACTCATCATTTTTTATGGCTGCATAGTATTCCATGGTGTATATATGCCACATTTTCTTAATCCAGTCTATCGTTGTTGGACATTTGGGTTGGTTCCAAGTCTTTGCTATTGTGAATAGTGCCGCAATAAACATACGTGTGCATGTGTGTTTATAGCAGCATGATTTATAATCCTTTGGGTATATTCCCAGTAATGGGATGTCTGGGTCAAATGGTATTTCTAGTTCTAGATCCCTGAGGAATCGCCACACTGACTTCCACAATGGTTGAACTAGTTTACAGTCCCACCAACAGTGTTAAAGTGTTCCTATTTCTACACATCCTCTCCAGCACCTGTTGTTTCCTGACTTTTTAATGATCGTCATTCTAACTGTCTACCACGACTTTTAACTGTGTTTGTTTGTTTGTTGAGACAGAGTCTCACTCTGTCGCCCAGGCTGGAGTGTAGTGGTGCGATCTCAGCTCACTGCAAGCTCTGCCTCCTGGGTTCAAGCAATTCTCCTGCCTCAGCCTCCCAAGTAGCTGGGACTACAGGCACCCACCATCACGCTTGGCTAATTTTTTGTATTTTTAGTGGAGACGGGGTTTCACCCTCTTAGCCAGGATGGTCTCGATCTCCTGACCTCATGATTAGCCCGCCTCGGCCTCCCAAAGTGCTGGGATTACAGGGGTGAGCCACTGCGCCCGGCTGACTTTTACCTGATTTTTATCTACAACCACTCAACTTCATCAGGACAAGAAATGTCAGATACTGTAAGACATGATCCGAATTCACTGGCATGTATAAAATAAGACTTCATACACAGATGTGCATTCTGTGTGTTGCAAGGAACATAGAAATTCTGATTAATTCCTGATTGTGTCTGGAATATTTCAACATGCACATCTGTGTATGAACATTAAATTCTGATTATTTCTGGATTTCTGATTTCTGATTATTTCCACCAAAACAAAAGTATAATATGTTTATAGATGTATATGCTTCAACATTAGGTACATTCCTAGCAAAAGTGAACTTTGATGGTGACTGGACTTCTGTGTGAATTGAATCCTCTGTTTGTGAGTATACTGTATTAGTCTGTTCTCATGCTGGTATGAAGGAATACCTGAGACTGGGTACTTTATAAAGAAAAGATGTTGAATTGGTTCACAGTTTTGCGTGGCTGGGGTGGCTTCAGGAAGTTTAAAGTCATGGTGGAAGGCACCTCTTCACAGGGCGACAGGTGAGAGAATGAGTGCCCAGTGAAGGGGAAAGCCTCTTATAAAACCAGCAGATCTCACGAGAATAATTCACTATCACAACAACAGGATAGGGAAAACCACTCCCATGATTCAGTTATCTTCACCTTTTCCCTTCCATGACACATGGGAATCATGGGAACTACAGTTCAAGATGAGATTGGGGTTGGGACAAAGCCAAACCATGTAATACACTCTGGATGCTTATGAGATTTTCCATGTATCAGGTTCTCTTTCTGTACACTTCAAACATTATTCCTGACACAGAGCCAGACCGTATCACATGCTACAGCCAACACTAGGAAGAATTTGTCAGTAGACAATTGAGGAACCACAAACAAGATTCAGAAATATAAACGCAAAATGCAACCAGAATCCTAGCACTAGCTAGCAGATGTTAAGTCTCAAGAGTCTTATTATCAAAACTATAAGATCGAAGACTAGGCAAATAACATTTTAGACATTCTTATAGAACAAAATATTTATAAATTTTTACTGCCTGACTTTTAAATCCACATTAAATAATTTATATTAACTCAATGACATTGGACCAGTTACAAACTCCCATATGCCTATTTTCCTTATTGCTAAATTGGGGATTGTAATGATGAATTGGTTGTGAGGATTACATTAGATTACATGAATATATAAAATGTTTAGCAGAGTATGTGCTACAGATGCTCAACAAATGTTAACTATTATTGTTGCCATTGTTGCTGCTATCTTAATCTATTTTTGGTTCAAATAATGTGGAAGTGGCATGGCGGGGAGGAGCTGTACTTAACATGTGAAGAGCCCCTGAGAGTGAAAGGCATTGATAGGTAAATAGAAAATGATAGAGATTGAAGGAATAGCCAAGAGGCAGGAACCTATCTCAAGGCAACAAAGTACAGAACATTAAACAGAGAAATTGAAAAGTGATGGCTTTCATAAGCCCATTTATAGAGCAAATTCTATGCATTATAGATTATCCTAAAAGCTTCAAATATCCTTATGTCTTCATACCTCTTTTGGGCATTGCCATTTATATTTTTAGTTTATGTGTTTCACAGTAAAATTAGCCTCAGTGAAATTGTGTAGATTACGTATACATGAACAATATATGTTTGCACAGGAACTATCCCATCACGTCTGTGAGCTACAGTGCCAGTGTAGTAAATCAACAGAATCAGCTGATTGGATAACCAGGGACCCAGTGGGACATTAGAGAATATAGAGTATACAGACTTAGCAGAGAGGTTTAGGAGCACAGATTCCAGACAAACCACTTCAGTCCCAAACCTGCCTCTAGCATTTATTGTCCCTGTGACCTTAAGAAAGTTATAAAACTCTGAGCCTCAGTTTTTTTAGTTTTTTAATCTGTACAATGAACCTAAAAATCAGTGCCTCACAGAGATACTGTGAAGATTAGAAGAGTTCATGTGTACAAAGTGCCAGAGAGTGTCTGAAATACAGCAGTTTGCTTGATGATGAGATTTACTGCTGACTTTGACAGTGATTCTTAATCTTTTGAATTTCATAGGCAAGTATATATCTTCCAAATATGTTTTTAGAGGCAACATATGTTTCCTAACTTTTGATTTTTCCAAGCAAGAACATTTAAAAGTAACACCCAACTCCTGTCACCACTATTTCAGAAGACAAAGGATATTTTAACACAAAGAACTTTGGAAAAGTAATTCTCCTAAAAGGAAAGATCACCCATTAAATTGACCAAAGTAGTTTAATGGAAAACTCTGGGGTACATTGTTTCTATTTTCCCTTTCTCATTTATTTAAATGAGACGTACGAAGCCTTCATTATAAGCCAGTTTTTAAGCACATCCCAATTAATCCTTTGACCATACAAATAGTAATAAAACTTCCTCTGCAAAATTCCAAATATGAATCCCCATGTCAAATTTCTCTGCATCTCTGAGGAGGACTGAGGAAATAAGGAGAGCCTCTAGCATGAAAACTTCAAGGTTTCCAATTATGAGATAAGGAGGTTGAGACCCAGATATGTTAGGATGAATTTTTAAATGTCCAAAGAACTTGGAAATATTTAAATGTCCACAGAAGTGGACATTCTATAAAAGTAGCAGAATTTTGGATGTCACTATGCTGAAAGGTATGAGACCATATAACTGCAAACAGAAGCTAATATTTGGGAAGTCAAACTCCTAAGAAGTATTGGATTGTTTTCTACAAATACCAGATAAGGGACTATTTGGATGGGCCACACAGAATGAATTCAATGGGAGAAAAATACACATATATTTTGGACAGAAACAGAGTGGGAGAATGATTTTGAAAAGATGTGATGCTTAACTTTACAAAGGAAAAAGGGACTTCACAGCACATACTGAAGCTCCTCTTCAAGTACATCCAATAACTAACTTGGGAACATTCTGAGTCTGCCTTTCAATCGCTTTTGTTTAGACAACTGTCTGGGAAGCAACTGTTCCAAAAACTAAACGATACCACAGTTAAACAGAGAATATGGTTTAGTGAAAGGAAATTAAAAGCTGAAATATTTAAATGAAAAAAAATCAATTCAGTGAATTTTCACTTTGCAAATCACATTTTTCCTTTCCAAATGTGGCTAAAAACTTGCCTACCAATGTATTGTAAGACAACGATTCACTGACCCTTATTGCACAGTGAAACAAAGGCATAAGAGGATGCTTGCCAATCTCAGTAGTCAGCCCTCACTGTATCCATGGCTTCTGCATCGATGGATTCAACCAACTGCTGATGAAAAATATTCTTAATTGCATCTGTACAGAATATGTACAAACTTTTATCATGTCATGATTCCCTGAACAATATAGTATAACAACTATTTATATAGAATTTACATTGTATTAGGAATTATAAGTAATCTAAAGATGATTTAAAGTATGTTAGGTGGTATGTATAGGTTATTAATTCATTCAGAAACATTTATTGATCATCTATTTTCTATAGGGCACTATCATGGTAGTAAAAACTGAGGATTCACCTCAATAAAAAAAATAGTTTCAGCTCTCAAGAATAAACACAGTATAAACTATTTATCAGAATACAGGCAAAAAGACTTTTATCAGGATCAGTGTAAAATGCCTGATTGCTTCATTTTGCCAGCTGCCTAGATAGAGCCAATTTATCAAGACAGGAGGATAGTAATAAAGAGTTTAATACATGTTGAGATGGCTGAACAGGAGTCTGGAGTATTATTTTCACTCAAATTAACACCTCTGAAAATTCAGAGACTAGAGTTTTTCAAGGATAGTTTGGTAGGCAGAGGGCCAGGGAAGAGGTGCTGCTGATTAATTGGGGATGCAATAATAGGGGTGTGGAAAATGATCCTTTTGCACTGAGTCCACTTCTGGATGGGGGCCCCAGGACCTGTTGATTCTTGAGTCTCGAGTCCAGATGAAGTCATCCAGCTGTCAAAAGTGCAAAAGTGTGAATAGATATCTCAAAAGGCCAATTTTAGGGTGTACAATAGTCATATTGTTTACAGGAGTAATTGGGAAAGTTACAAATCTTGTGACCTCTAGAAGAATGGCTGGTAACCACTTAACTATGCCTACATCTTAGGAGAATTCAGACCTCTCTGGTAATTTTAACCTTGTATCTTTTATTAGTTTTATAAAGGTGGTTTAGTTTTGAGAAGGGCTATTATCACTTAAACTATAAACCAAATTTCTCTCAAAGTTAGCTTGGCCCATGCCCAGGAATGACCAAGGGCAGTTAAGAAGTTGAAGACAAGGCAGAGTTTGTTAGATCTCTTCACTGTCATAATTTTCTCACTCTTATAATTTTTTCAACAGCAGTTTCAATTGCTTGGTACAGAGAAGGTGAACAGCGAAACAGAATCAGAATGGGTAAGTGATCAGGAAAGTCTTCTTGAAGATGAGGGCTGAACAAGTTACAATATGAGAGAGGGTAAACTCTATACCCATGCCACAGATAGAAGTCACAGCAAGTACAAAAGTACTGAGGAAAGGAAGCATGGTGCTTTTCAAAAATTGCAACTTTTAAAATATTGATTGGAGAAAGGACACGTGTGAGGAAGGTGTGAGGGATAGAAAGAGTTGATAAATAGGTAGGTGCTGAATTATAAAGGAAAAAAGAACTTGAATTATATTCTGAAGGTCATGGATATCTGTCTACCATTTTCACCGGCCCCGTAAGCATCAATCTGTGAAGGCTAAATTTATACTTGGAAGAAAATATGAGAAATTGATGATCTCAGACGGGTAAGGTTTACAAAAAAGAGTTGTTAATTTAGAAAGGGCCTCAGAAATGCAGCACAGGGTAAGGCTGCTAGGAACAAAAGTGCACAATAAGTCATTTCTATTGTCCAGCATAGATGCAAATATCCTAATGTATTTTAATATAAAATATTATTAACTATACCACTATCTGTTGCTTCGATAATCCTTAGCAAATTCTATTAATATATAGTGCTTCATGGAGTTGGCACTTTTGGGTGAAGGTGGTTAAGGGAAAAGTGACTGTGTTTGCTTTGAGTTAACCTGGGGCTAAGAAAAGAGAATAGCTTCAGTAAAGAGAGGGACAATAGAATAAGAGTGACTAAGAAAACATAGGCCCTTAAGAGCCCCAGAAATATTAATAGAATATGGTTGTTGGGATTTAGATTCAGGCTTTTGGAACATTTTTTTTTTGTTTGTTTTCTTTTTCCTATCAGCAAGAGAAAGCAAATAAAGGGACATGAGCAAGACTAAGCTTCAGAGAGATGAGTTTGGCACTTGGGTGTAAGATGGATTGAAAGGGAAGAGGAATGAAAGGCAATTAAAGAAATCACAAGAGAAAAGTTTTGACAGATTTTTTTTAAAGAAAAATTAATGGATAGAGAGAAGAAAGGAACATAGGAAGATAAGTAAAATATTAAACAGACAGAATCACCAGGACTTGACTTGTGCTATAAAAGGCACAAGTGAAAATGGAGTCAGATATGACTTTGGAATGTTACTGTCAGTTTAGATCAAGAAGTTAGGTTACCATTCTTGGTGTGGAGAGGAGGTGATGATGAGGGTATGATGGGTTCAATTTCAAATGAATTGACTATTAAATGTCGGTTGGAAAGCTAGAAAATCAACACACATGCCAAGAAAAATCAAATTTCGGATGGGTTGAGGTGGGTCACGTTAGACCTATCGAAAGAGGTGATTGATTTCTCTAAAGAAGAAAGTTGACGCTGCTGGAAGGGTAAGGTATGTGTCTGACAAAAGTAGATGCCAGTGGGGAAGAATGAATGAGGTGTAAATGAGAAAGACAAATCAATCTCTTTCTAACTAAAGCCAACAGCACAGGTCATGCAGTGCTGAGAGACAAGGTCTGATTCCATGGAAATACGTTACTCCTATAGGAAGATGTCTGAAAGAAGACAGAAAAGAGCAATTCAAATTTCATGACTTGTAAGGCTTGGCACCACTGGGCATTACCAACAACAGATAATCATTACAGGATGGCTGACTTGGAGCAGGGAATTAAGGAGAAAGGAAAAGGAAAAAAGAAAACAAGAAAAAGAAGAGAATAAAATAAGAGTACTGGATAAAATTCCTTTCTCTAAGCATGCAAAAGGGAGGAAAAGCTTCCCTGATGCTCTTATGGCAGAAAAGGAGCAAGGCTTATTATCTCCACATTTCTAAACCCGCTCCCAGCTTCCCTGGGCTGCTTGTGTAGCAGCGCTAAACTTGCTTAGGAGGCAAACATGTCAGATAGTTTTTAACTCTTTTAAAATATATCACCCCAGGGCCTCCCCTTCAGAGAGGAAGGTTAACAATGATCTGAATGTGCTTCCTCAGTAGGATTCACCTCCAGTACAACTCAGACTTCTCCAGGCCCCAGCTATCCTTTTACCCCTTCAGTCCACACAAGGCAAAACAAATGGTCAATGAAACAAAAGTAAGCATCTCAAGGCTGAACAGGGAATAAGCCAACTGTAGAACCTTTGTTCATCCCCTTCTCTACTTTCTGCCTGTAGCATTCCTAAAGTTAGAATATTCAACTGTGTTTTGAGATTATTAACTGAAAAATTCCTGCTGTGAGGTCAGTGATAACAAATCTCTCTGCTCAAGACACTAAAATTGACTTTGGGTCATTAAAAATGCATATGATATTTACAAAGTGATTACGTAATAGGTGACATTATCCTCAGTTAAAAAATAATTGTAGCTTGGAGACTAAATTCAGTTTGAACCTGGATCAACCTGACCCTGAAATCCATTTTTTTTCACTCCCCTGAACTACTTCTGAGCAGGAAACCACTTGTCATGCACAATGAAGATGTTGAAATTGATAAACACTCTATAAGATTGTGATCACATTATTTTTCTAAAAGACCGTGTTTCTGAGGTATCTACTATCTTATATGCATAATATCATTGTTTTGAAGTTTTTATGTTCTTCTGCAAGACTTAGGCAACCAATAGCTATACAGTTTAAAAGGAGAGGTGATAATTAATTCTTCCTCTGAGGTTACTAGAGGTTAAAGGAAGATAATTCTCACCTTTTTATGGTTTCTGTGGCTTTTGTTTGCTGTCTTTTCCCTTTATAAACTGAAAATATAATTCTAAGCCCTTCAACCAACTGAAAGGACCCCTACTTAGCCAAGGGGATTCCAAAAACCTGAAAGAGAACAGTTCAGGCCATTAAGAGACAGTGTGAGGTCCACACATGTCTCATTATACTCTCCATCCTTTGGAGTTTAGGCCAAACTGACCAGTGTTACCAAATCACCAGTGGTTCAGTCTAGGCCCTACTACTTGCTGCACAGAAAGCCAGTCACTGAGAAAAATGAGTATTGCCAAGGAAGAAGGCTTTAATTGGGTGCTGTAGCCAAGGAGATGGGAGATCAGTCTCAAATCCAACTCCCTGACTGACTGACATTAGGGGTATATTGTAGTGAAGAAATGCAACCATTTGTGGGAAGATGAGAATTAAAGAGGGATGAGGAAGAGGAGTTGGTTAACAGAAAACAGTTTTTCTGTTATATAATCATGACAGGTAAGGGCTTTGACATCTTATTGTCCAAATGCAGTAATCCGATAAGTCTTAGCTCCTTGCTACTTTCTGGGAGACCTGATGGTTGGTTTCCTGAGAAAGGAAAGACAAATAAAAGACAAATATTTGTCAGATAAGACAAATATAACTCTCTCAAGTTTTAGGACTGGGAGGATCAATTTCTAGTTTGTTGAAAAAAAATTCATAAACATCGACTCTGGAACAATTAGGTCAGTCTCACCAGTATTAACACTGAAACAGGGATCTTAAGACTGACAAAACAAAACAGACTCTTTGTAGCAAGAAGATACCAAATTCCAACCTGATTCTAGTATAACATACATAACAGATAACAGGCCCTGAAGAAAGTCAAAACATTTTACCCCCAAATATATTCCTTTGACATACTTTGAAATGGCCCTGCAAAGCTGTCTCTTCTGGTGAAAATTTACAACCTGTAGAAAATTCCCTCCTGTTTCCAGTTCATTCTTGATTCAGGAGAGATATAATAAAGAGTATGGCACCTTTTAAAGGCTGATAAGAAAAATTTACCATCTATACTCTCTGAAGCCTGCTACATGGAGGCTTTTTTTACAGAATAAGAACCTTAGCTTCCATAACCCCCTGGCTACCTTAACCCCAAGCATTTTATTCTTCTGGTTTCAATTTTAAGCAAAATGTAACTCTTTTAACCAATTGCCAATTAGGACATTTTTCAATCCACATATGACTTAAAAGCTCCCACTTGGAGATGTCCCACCTTTCTGGACCAACCCCAATGTATACCTCACATGTATTGATACCTCACATGTATTAATATGTTAGTACCACTAGTTTATTGCTAGAATTGCATTACTCTCTAAATGTGTAAAACCAAGCTGCAACCCAACCACGTTGGGAACATGTCCTCAGATCTTCTCAAGACTGCTCTGGGCAATGGTAACTCATATTTGTCTCCGAATACATTTTTAAGGAATATTTTACTTATTTTGGCATAAGCAAGGTGTTCATCAACACCTTACTACCTACCTACTGTGTTCAGAGATGACGGTAGGAATATACTAGAAATATATAGAGATACATAGGTAGATAGAGATAGATATACATATAAATAGATGTATAGATAGATGAATCATTGTACCAAAGTGTTGCAGTTGAAGGAAATCAAATATTTTACCACCAAATAGATTTCTTTGACATATTTTGAAATGGTTGCTATAGGGCCAGCAGACTGAGGTGGGAAAAATTTGTATCTATAGAGAATTCCCATTAAGGCTTCTAGGAATTCCCTTTCTAGGACTTTCCTGGATCTAAGAAAGATTAACTTAGTCTGACACCTTTAAATATCTTAAAAGAGGCTGGCCTTGGTGGCTTACGCCTGTAATCCCAGCATTTTGGGAGGCCGAGGCGGGTGGATCACGAGGTCAGGAGATCGAGACCAACCTGGCTAATACGGTGAAACCCCGTCTCTACTAAAAATATAAAAAAATTAGCCAGGCGTGGTAGGGGGGCACTTGTAGTCCCAGCTACTCAGGAGGCTGAAGCAGGAGAATGGGGTGAACCTGGGAGGCAGAGCTTGCAGTGAGCAGAGATCTCGCCACTGCACTCCAGGCTGGGTGACAGAGCAATACTCTGTCTCAAAAAAAAAAAAAAAAAATCTGAAAAGAAACATTGATCATCTATTCTATCTGAGGAGGTCTACCTATGAGGCTTTATCTAAATAACAAGGCCAATTTTGATAGCCAGGCCTTTTACCCTCTCCCTCCCCGTAACTTGTCTTGCCACTAAAACTACATTTATCACCATGACCTGTTTTTGGACATGCTTTGCACCTACATTTCTTTTCTATAACCTTGAGATGGTACATAAGCTTCTGTATCTTATTAGGGGGTGGGTCTTTATTCTGAAGACTCCCAGGTTCCCAGGTATATACATTAAATTAATTTGTATGCCTTTTCTCCTACTAATCAGTCTACCTAATGTTGGTGATTTTTCAGCTAAACTTTAGGGGGTAAAGAACCTTGACCCCCACATAATAATGGCCACCAATAAATCATGCTTCCATCTGTGCATGCCATAGCATAGTCCTCACCCTCACTGATCTTGGGCTTACTCATATGATTTTCTTTGGCCAGTGAGACTTCAGCAAACAAGACATAAGCAGAGGCATTTGCACTTTAGGGTTTACCTTCTTGGAACGCTGTCAGTATGTGACAAAGCATGACTAGGACTACCTTGCTGGAGATAAATGGCCCAGCAGATTAGTGGTGAGTAGGCAGATTAGTACAGCCACACAAGTGACCCAGGAACACTGCCTAGAAGAGCAACACAATTTTGTGTAAATTACATGGATGTTATTTTAATCCATGCAGTTTTGAGGTGTTTTGTTAGGCACTACCAGTTTATTGCTACAATCACATTACCCTCTTTACCTAGAATGAGTTGTTTTTGTTTTTTCTTAATCAATTTATGACCTGTTATCATGGAGAGGTAAATCACTTTCACTACGATAAGAACAATTAGCTTTATTGTTAACAATCTTTAGTCATCAGCATATATGCAATGTTTCATAGAATATAAAATGTATTACTCTTTATTTTCCTACAACCAATAAACTCTACTTTATTTATTTGCATTACACATTATTCTAATATGTATTTTTAGTTAAAACGCAGACCATCCAAATGCAAGCAGTAACGTTTCCAGTGTTCCTATAGTCGGAAAAAATTGATTCAGCACCATTCAACACTGTTTTCTTGGACTTTTTTATCTTCACAACATTTTAAGTCTATCTCAGAAGAAAGCAAAGCCAGTACTGAGATTATAACAATAGGACTTGTTTGTGAAATATTCTGAAGCTGCCTTTGCAAGTAAGAAAATTATGACAGTGAAAAAGATCTGACCTAACCAGCTAACTTTGTTCATTCCTGGGCATAGTCTGAGCTAACTATAGTTGGAATCTAGTTTATAGTTTACCTTTAAAATAAAAATAACAGCTCTTTATGAAAACAAACCCCCTTTTTTCTTGGGGACCACATTGCCTTTATGCAACTAACAAATTAGCACAAGATTAGAAATTCTGGTTTAGGAGTCATGTAGCCAGAGTCCACAAGATTCCCAACCTCCTCAATTGCTTCTAGAGATGACATCACTGTTGCAAAACCTAAGATTGGTGTTCGAGATATTTTTCAGATCCTGTATCCTAATGGAACAGCTGTCACTACCCAGACCTGTAATCTGGCTTAACCAGTTTTGCAGTCCCACCTAGGAACAGAAGACAGCAAGAAGAACCCACTTCAACCCCTTATGATTTCATTTCTGACCTGACTAATCAGTACTCCCCACTCTCTAGCCCCTTACCAGCCAAATTACCCCTAAGTAACCACAGTCTCTGAATACTGGGAGAGACTAATGTGAGTAATAAAACTCCAGGCCGCAGTTTTGGTAAGCAAGAATGGAGTCAACAAAATAAATGTGGCACTGAGAAGTCCTAAAAAATGAAAGGAATCTAGTGTTCCTAAGCACAAGACATTTTGCCTTCCATATAAAAGAACAATGTATGCTGATTCACAGGAGAAAGTTCCAAAGGTTAACGGTTATTGGGAGCTTCTCAGTTATTTTCCCAACATGAGCACCAGTGAAAAAGTGGCTAGCTTCCTAGACCGACCCAAAAACTCTAATTAGCCATTATTGCATACAGATAAATAAACAATATACGTATACATAAAAACAAATAGAGAATTTAACAAATTATAATGCCTGCTAACCAAAATTTCTGAATTTCTTTTTAATTCCATTCTGTCTGATAAACAATCACACCAGAGGAATCTCCACTGAATCTCTCCACTGGAGAGAAAAAGGCAGTGAATGAGCAGAAGAAGGAAAAGGAGTAGGGGAGAGAAAAAGTACTATTTTGAGTCAAGCTATAAAGATTTACTTCTGAACTTGACCAAGGGACATATAATCTGATAATAAAAGTGATCAAAATAAAGTTTGCAAGAATAATATTTGAACAAAGATTGCCCATGAACAACTGGCAATCAATGCATAGGCACACGAATTTGCATCCATACATGTATACATATTGATATGGTTTGACAGTGTCCCCATACAAATGTCATCTTGAATTGTAGTTCCCATAATTCCCACATGTTCTGGGAGGGACCCCGTGGGAGGTAACTGAATCATGGGGGTGGTTACCATCATGCTGTTCTCATGATAGTGAGTGAGTTCTCATGAGATCTGATGGTTTTGTAAGGGGCTTTTCCCCTTTTGCTCAGCACTCGTTCTCTCTCCTGCCAGCCTGTGAAGAGGTTCCTTCTGCCATGATTGTAAGTTTCCTGAGACTTCCCCAGACATGCAGCACTGTTAGTCAGTTAATCATCTTTGCTTTATAAATTACCCAGTCTTGGGCTGTTTTTTATAGCAGCCTGAGAATGGGCTAATACAGATCTGCATCCACATATAGTTTTGAACTCTAAAAAAAAAGCACTAAAGAGAATATATTTGCTACTTTGCACATCTTAAATTATTAAAAAGTAAACTTTGTCTTCTACCATGATTTCTCACTTCTCATTGGATTGTATATTTAAATGGAGAATCAGATACACCAAAATTGTATATAAATATGATCATACCTACAGGAAAGCAAGCTAGAAAAAAGTGTTGCCTGATGAAAGCAGGCAATGCAGAAATCAAAGTGTTTTTAAGAGATGATTTGCAGAAGCAACTTGCAGTGCCTTCATACAATTCACATTTCATAGAGCAGCCAGAACAGAAGTAAACTTAAGTTACTCAATCTGAGGAAATTGTGAACCACACTATCTTAAGAACTTAGAAAACCATGTTACCTCACCTTAGCTCATCATCCATGTTCATTGCTATTGTCGTTGTTGCTGCTGCTGCTTTTGATTTTGTGCAGAGTATTGTTGTTTCCTTATCATTGAAAGGAAAGGGGAATGACCACTACCGTTTATGGAGTTTCTTTTTAGATGATGAAAATGTACTAAAATCAATTTGGATGATTGTTGCACGACTCTGTGAAAATTCTAAAAACCATTGGATAGGACAATCTAATTGGGTGAATTGTATGATACATGAATTATATCTCAATATAGCTACTTTTAAAAGAAAAAAAAGTGTTGTACACCCAAACAGGCCTGGCCCTGGTCTTTGGGAACATTACAAAAGGGCAGAATTGGTGATTGTATTTCACTCTGCAGTGCTGCAATCATCATACAAGGTAAATGTATTTAAAGGATAAATTTGTATCAAACCCATAAAAAGATGCATGTTAAATTCCCAAGTCCAGTTGGGAAGGGAGAGCAGGGTAGATACAAAGAAGTATGGATGCAGGCTAGGACCCCAAAACCAAAATATAAGAGGTAACTAGTGAGAAAGTGGATTTCAAGAAAAAGACATTGGTCCACAGTGCAAAAAAGGACTAATGATTCCAGTGCCGAGGAGATATTCTGAGGGAAAAAAAAAAATAGCCAACAATGTTTCTGGTACATAGTCATGTAAAATGGTTATTTTCCTTCAAGGAAAAAAAATAATTTAACATGTGTGACTATTCATAAAATAGTATGCTAAAATAAAGAGTGCTCATCAGCATCAGATACATCAGAGCTCGAGAAAATGAGACATTCAATGAATTTAACAATTAGGAGTTTAATGGTTATGTAAAATTTCAAAACCAAGAGAACAGTAACAGCTAACTTAAAGTAAATTGGTGATTGAATGTGTGCTAAAAATATGAGTATGAGAAGAAAATCTTTGATCTCTGTAGCATGATTTTGAGATGAATGAAGTAAATATAAGCATAAGTTAATATAAAAGTTTTTTTATTTTAAGCTGGAGAAAAAAATAAAATGAATATGTTCATATGAAGAGATAAAAGAGTCAGTAGAGAAAGCGGAGTCAAAGATGCAGAAGAAATAAATCTACTCTCACAAACAAGACTTTGCCAAAGGCAAGATGTGGGATTCAAAGCAAAGAATAGTTGGTTCAGACGCCCTTAGGAGGAATAATCAGAGTTGGAGGAACTCAATTGGCTTCTAATACTGTTTGGGGATTTCTGGAGATGAGAGACAGGTGAGATTCCCATGGAAACAGAGGAGAAAAGGTATATAAATAAGATTGCCCATCCAGCAGGGTTTCTTTATGATTAAGGTAATCATTTCCCAGGAAGAAAGACTCAGACCAGTTGTCTACAAATAAGAGCATGCAGATCAGGAGATAATAAGACAACATGACTCATTTAAAAGTGTGAGAATCTATTTATGCATTTGTAATTATGATGGACTACAATTTTTTTTCTGTGTTGTTCTCTAAGCACTTTCTTATATGCATATAACATTATGTTGTATTCAGAGACAAAAATAGAGTAAATAAATCTGGAAATTTGAAAAAGAAGATTCTAAGTTAAAATCACAGTTCTACCCAGACTATCCTGGGCAACATGGCAAGACATGTCTAAATACATTTAAAAAATTATTTACTCCATTTTTTGCCTCTGAATATAAAAATTCTGAATATAATATATTAATATATATAAGGAAGAAAGTGCTCAGAGAATAACATAGAAATATCATATATAGCCACAATAATTACAGCTACTCGGGTAGAATGAGACAAGAAGATTGCTTGAGCCCAGGAGTTTAAGGCTGCAGTGAGCTATGATCCTGCCACTGAACTCCAGCCTAGGTGACAGAAAACGATTGTTTCTCTGCTTGTTTGTCTCTAAAAAACAAGTGACAAACAGACTGCTTGTCTCTAAAAAACAATTTAAGAAAAAAAATCACAATTCTGTGATTCTGTAAGTTACTCATTATTTGATCTTGGCCAAGTCATTTAGTGAGCTGCTTCTAACAATACCTACGGCTATTTAAAAGATTGAATGAAAATGCTTATCCTAAATGCACACAATAGTTGTGTATTATTTTCCTTGAAGTTTTGCTTTTATTAAGTAAACTTAAATAAATAATTATAATTTCAACTCATTTATCATGATTATTAACACATTTTGCTTAGGGAGCCTAATTTCACCACACACTCTTACTGGTAAATTTGCAATAACTTCCGAAGAGCCCCAAGACTTCAGTGGGAGTTTTGCCTCAGTAAACAAGAACATGTTGGACTCATTATGTATTTTAATATAAAATGATATAAATTCCTCCCGGCATTATGTAAGTATAAGAGTGAATTCAATACTTATCCAAAACTGAATTGCACAATATTTAATATGTGACACGTCTTTGAATTACAAGTGCAAGTGATCCACATTATAATTTTGCTGAAGAACCCATTCCCGGCCGGGCGTGGTGGCTCATGACTGTAATCCCAGAACTTTCGGAGGCCGAGGTGGGCGGATCACCTGAAGTTGGGAGTTTGAGACCAGCCTGACCAACACGGAGGAACCCCGTCTCTACTAAAAATACAAAATTAGCTGGGTGCGGTGGCACATGCCTTTAATCCCAGCCACTCAGGAGGCTGAGGCAGGAGAATTGCTTGAACCCGGGAGGCGGAGGTTGCGGTGAGCCGAGATTGTGTGATCGCACTCCAGCCTGGGCAACAAAGGCGAAACTCCGTCTCAAAAAAAAAAAAAAAAAAAAAAAGAACCCATCCCCCTACAACATATTTTGTCTATCAATAAACTTTGTGTATACAAAATGGAATGTGTGTGTGTGTGTGTGTGTGTGTGTGTGTGTGTGTTTCTGATAACTAAAAGGGGAGAAAAGCTTGTCACGTATTTTTTGAAAGCTGAATTGAAGCAATAATTCTTCACTAATTTTCAATTTCTGTGATGTCTTACAGTCATTAATGACATTAAAGACCTTTAATAGTCACTAAGATTTGCAAAAAAAAAAAGTATAATAAGATGAATCTAAAGTTCAGGAAATGTGGCTCTTCTTACACTGATCTATACCAAAGAAACAAACAAAAACCCCCCAAAAACAAACCAAAAAAACCCCACAAAAATAAAACCTAAACAAAATGAAGCATAGACAAACAATAGAAGCCTCTGTTGTGTACCCATTGAACTATTCCTGCAATGAAAACAGCATCCATGGAGGCCAATTAGAGTCTTTGTTGTAAATTTCTTTGAAAAAAGAATCTTAAATGAAGAATTAATTTGGTCACAAAAGACAGAGAGCAATTTAATATGGTAAAGTGGTTTAACCTTTATAAGAAAAGTTCATAATTTAAGAATATATAATATGTGTGTAATTTAGAAATCTAACAGTCAATTCTTAGTCTTGTAGATTTTAACAAGATTGGAGAAATAACTTTTATTTAGTCAGTCAATAATGTATATACAACAAGGATATTCTTACGTGCCAAATACTATGTTGTTTTGGCATCATTTTTTTACTCAACGATCATTTGATTTGAGGTATTAGCCCCATCTTAAATATGAAAACAATTGGTTTAATTGGCAAGGTAGTTTATACAAGATCACCTAGAAGACTCAAAACAAGGGCGGTTTCACTTCAAAGTCTACATTTAAATAAGCATTTTACATTGGCCTTTGGACAATGATTACATGTGACAAAGCTCTTCTATTAAATAATATTATTTATAATTTGTTTGGTTCTGGATTCTTTATAAATCATTTGCATATTTCATTTTATCAGAGAAAATGATTAGATTCATTTTAAAAATAAAGACATTTGCTGAAGTAGATGAGCGGGATTTTACAATTCTAAGACACAGTTCTATTTAATTAGTTTGTCAATCAGAATATCTGGTCTAACTTCATTAACAAATTATTCAAATTTTATTCTCAACATAAGACTCAAGCTCAGTCTTATTTCAAGTAGAAAAATCAGCTGAGGTAAAGAAAAGGAGCTTTGAGATTGCTTTAATGCCTCTGCTTTAAAGAGATTTAATATTGAATAGCAACTCCACATATAAACAACCAAAAGCAACGGTTGACCAATAGAAATGGACAATTTCATTAAAAAAACAAGTAAACAATAAATATTTTCCTTATCCCAACTTGAACCTGTGTCTAAAATCAAGATATCTTTGGGTAGCTTGTTGTTTTCTCTCCATAATTTCAAATTCAAACTTCTATACACAAAAATAAAAATTTCACATATAAAGAAAATATTAAAATAATATGAATATTAGTAGAAAACGTTTAAGAGAATTGAGATATGTCAGCCAGGTATATGCAATGATGCTGAGGTTTGGGGTATGGATGGTCCCATTATCCAGGTAGTGAGCATAGTACCAAATAGGTAGCTTTTTAGCCCATTCCTAACCCCCTGACAGCACTCTGCAGTGTCTATTTTTTCCATCTTTATGTGTATTCGATATTTGGCTCCCAATTATAGGTGAGAATATATGGTATTTGGTTTTCTGTTCCTATTTTAATTCACTTAGAATAATGACCTCCAGCTGCATTCATGGTGCTGCAAAGGACAGGTTATTGTTTTTTATGGTTGCATAGTATTCCATGGTGCATATGTACCATATTTTCTTTATCCAATTCACTGTGCATGGGCACCCAGGTTGATTCTGTATCTTTGGTATTGTGTATAGTGCTGCAGTGAACATACAAATGCATGTGTCTTTTTGATAGAACAATTTATTATCCTTATGGTATACAACCAGTAATGAGAATGCTGGGTCAAGTATTAGTTCTGCTTTAAGTTCTTTGAGAAATGTCTGAACTGCTTTCCCCAGTGGCTGAACTAATTTGCATTCACACCAACAGTGTATAAGCCTTCCCTTTTCTATGCAACTCTGTCATTCTCACAGGAGAGATAGTCTATCTCATTGTGGTTTTGATTTGCATTTCTCAGATTATTAGTATGTTGAGCATTTTTTGATATGTTTGTTGTCCACATGTGTGTTTTCTGTTGAGAAGTGTCTGTTTGTGTCTTTGCCTATTATTTAATTGGATTATTTGTTTTTTTTCTTGTTCATTTTCTTAACTTCCTTGTAGATTCTGAATATTAGGCTTTTGTCCAATGCAGTTTATGAATATTTTCTCCCATACTGTAGGCTGTCTGTTTACTCTTTGAATAATTTCTTTTGCTGTGCAGAAGCTCTTTAGATTGTTTAGGTTCCACTTGTCAATTTTTGTTTTTGTTGCAATTGCTTTTGGGGACTTAGCCATAAATTATTTGCCAAAGCTGAGGATGAGAAGGGTATTTCCAAGATTTTCTTCTAGGACTTGTAGAGCTTGAGGACTTATATTTAAGTCTTTAATCCGTTTTGGGTTACTTGTCTTATAGGGTGAAATAGCAGGGGTCCAATTTCATTCTTCTGCATATGGTTAGCCAGTTATCTCAGCACAATTTATTGGATAGAGAGTCATTTGCCCATTGCTTATTTTTGCTGATTTGGTTGAAGAGCAGATGGTTCAGCTTTATTTCTAAGTTCTTCATTCTGCTCCATTGGTCTACATGTCTAAGTGCCATGCTGTTTTCGTTATTGTAGTCTTATAGTAAGTTTGAAGTTGGGTAATGTGATGCCTCCAGATTTTTTATTTTTGCTTAGGATCTTGTTGGCTGCTTGGGCTCTTTTTCAGTCCCATATGAATTTTAGAACATATTTTTCTAATTCTATGAAAAGTTATATTGGTAGTTTGAAGGTATAGTGTTGAAACTGTAGATGGCTTTGGGCAGTATGGTTATTCTAATGATATTGATTCTTCCAATCATTGAGCATGGAAAGTTTTTCTATTTGTTTGTGTCATCTCTGATTTCTTTCAGCTGTGTTTTGCAATTCTCCTCGTAGAGATCTTTCACCTCTTTGATTAGATGTATTCCTAATTTTTTGAGGCTTTTGTAAATGGTATTATGTCCCTTATTTGGCTCCCAGCTTAAATGTTATTGGTGTATGGAAATACTACTCATTTTTGTACATTGATTTTGTATCCTGAAAGTTTATTGAAGCCAATTCTCAGTTTCAGGAGCTTTTTGACAGGGTCTTTAGGGCATGGGGGTCCAATCTTTTGGCTTCTTTGGGCCACATTGGAAAAAGAATTGTCTTGGGCCACACATAAAATACACTAACATTAACAATAACTGATGAGCTAAAAAGAAATTGCAAAAAAAAAAAAACCTCACAATGTTTTAAGAAAGTTTACAAATTTGTGTTGGGACATATTCAAAGCCCTCCTGGGCCACATGTTAGGTAAGTTTGCTTTAGGCTTCTCTATGTATACCATCACATTGTCAGTGAGGAGAGATAGTTTGACTTCTTTTCTTAGTTTGGTGCCTTTTACTTCTTTCTTTTGACTGATTTCTCTGGATAGGACTTCTTGTTTTCTTGTGTAGGTAGAATCTCTATGTTATTTCTATTACTTAAATACATTTATTAATTCAGTAAAATATTAAGCAAATTATCAGCAGAATGAAAATTATTTTAAAAATAAGTCTGAAAAAAGCATTTAATCTGGTTAATAAAGAGAAGAAACTAGTTTTTAATAATAAAATGTTTTTAAAATTCCATTTTATATGTGGACAATAATAGTTCAACAAAATATAATAGAAAAAATATGGAAACCCCACATTTGTTAGAATTCCATATGTGATAAAGAGATGCTCTCAAAACAGTGAGGAAGTGCTGGATTATTCAGTGAATGATGCTTGCACAATATTTTAGCCATTTCTATAAGGTATAAATTTGGCATTCTCTTTTACATAAACCAAAATTGATTACAATAGTGTCAATGTGTTAAATACAATAAAAACAAAGCTTAACATAATAGAAGGGTATATTTTTAAATAATCTTGTGGTAGAAATACTTTCTCTAAAGGTAATTAAACTTACTAGTATCAAAAGTATAAGATAAATAATTTTTAACCATATAGATATTTGTAAATATAAAAAAAGACTAAAAATTAAAAGAAGATAAATAGAAGAATTTTAAGACAAATTTTGTTGGTATCAAAAATGTTACGAATAATATAAACAATTATTTAGACTATTGGGCAAGGAAAAATGAAAAAAAATGCTTGCCATTCCACAGGAAAAGGAATCAGAATTGATACAAATGTATGAGCATCTATTTAATTTACTTCAATTAAAGACATGCAAGTAAAATATATAATTGAATAATCTATCGAAGAGCAGACTCTTATTTCTCTGTGCTGTCAGAGTTGAAGGAAAACAGCTTGGCAGATGTGTACATTTGTGCAATAGTTTGGGAACACAATTGTGCAACATTAATTAAAACATACTGCATATCCTCTGACTCAGCAGTTTCTCTCCTGGCAATGTATCTCACAAATAAAATCAATAAAAAAGCCAAAAATACATATGCAGTGATGGCCATTTCAGCATCAATTTTACTGGTAAGAAATTTAAACATCACAATTTCAACAAAATCAGACTCTTGACAAAATGTACAACACAGAAGTAAATTTATTTCTAGGAAGTGACAGAAATTAGAAGCAAAAAAAAAAAAGGAAAATGAAGAGCACAAGGAAAACAAGGAGAGAAAAGAAAGAATAATGTTTAAGTGAGTAAGCAAATTTAAGGGGAATATACCTAGTTTTGATCAAAGTGTGCTAAAGTTTGTTTCTAGAAAATGAACAAAATTTGGGGAAAAATGTGTAAGAAATTAGAGTGGTTACCTCTAGAAGTGAGGCAGACTTAATGGGGAGGAAAAGATGAGTTAACCTCTTTATTCTTTACAGTATTCACTTGTAAACATTATAAACATTTTTTCTTTAAAAATAAAAGATGAGTTAAAACTATTTATTAAGACTTTGCTGAAATAAGAGAGAAGTTTCTATCCTAAGATTAAGTTAAAAAGATATGGATACTAAATTTTATATGAAGTATTGTCTCAAGAACTTCAAAATTCACATAGACCTGGACGTGGTGGCTCAAACCTACAATCCCAGCACTTTGGGAGGCCACTATGGGTGGATAGCTTGAGTTCAGGAGTTCTAGACCAGCCTGGGAGATGTGATGAAGGCTGGGCTACACACACACACACACACACACACACACACACACACAAATATATATATATATATGAATTAGCCAGGCGTGGTGGCATCCACCTTTAGTTCCAGCTATTTGAGAGGCTGAAGTGGAAGAGTTCCTTGAGCCTGGGAGGCAGAGGTTGCAATGATCAGAGATCACACTACTGCACTCCAGCCTGGGCAACAGCATAAGACTTCATCTCAAAAATTAAAAAAAAAAAAAGTGCACATAGAAAAAATATCTGAAATGAATAGCCAAACATGTTACTCATCATTGAGAGTTACAGAAGACATGAATGATATTTTTCTCTTATTTCAATGTTTACGTTTTTATCATTTCCACAATCAATACTCACAACGTTATAATAAAATATATTTCACCAAAATTACATATATATAATTAGCTCAGGCTGCCGAAATAAAATACCATAGACTGGGTGGCTTAAACAATAGAATTTTTTTTTTCAGTTCTGGAGTCTGGAAGTCTGATATTAGGGTGCCAGCATGGTCGGTTTCTGGTGACTTTCTTCCAGTTTTCAGACAGGCTTCTCACTGTGTCCTCACAAAGTGACTGAGGGAAATCTCTCTCTCTTCCTCTTTTCATAGGGACATCAATTCTACTGCATTAGGACCTTGTCCTTATGACCTCATTTAAACTTAATTCCTCTCAAAAGCCCTATCTCTAAATACAGTCACATAGTGCTTCAATAGATGCATTTTAGAGGGAAAAATTACATCCATATTTTTCAGACTATGCATATAAATATATAAATTTATTATTAAGACACATTATTGATTACCTGCCATGTAGCAGACACTTATAAATTATGGATATTCAAAGATGAAAAAATTATTTAAACTACCACTGATAAATTAATATTAAAATATGTTGAAGAATGGGAGTAACATATACCATTTAAATATTAAACAAGAAGGAAGAGAAAAAGAGAGTTTTTCTAGAAAATAAACATAATGACATGTTATTCTTCTGAGAGAAAAAAAGATTAAATTCAAAGTCTACTCAATAAATTTTTATACATAAATAACCATAGGATTACTTTTTAAATATACAACTTCACACAGTTCTATCAACGGAGAGTATAAAGTTGGCCCTCCAAACCTGTGGATTCCACATCTGTGGTTCAATCAACTCTGGAACAAAAATATTCAAGTAAAAAATTGTCTCTGTACTGAACATATATAGACCTTTTTCTTGTCATTATTCCATAACAATACAACATGATAACTATTTACACAGCATTTACATAGTATTAGTTATTACAAATAATCTATAGATGATTTAAAGTACAAGGAAGGATGTGCATAAGTTATATGCAAATACTGGCCTATTTTATATCAAGAACAAGTATATCCTCAAATTTTGGTGTCTGAGGGAGGCCCTGGGACCAAACAACTGTACTTAAGAAATGATATTGCATGAAGAATCTGGTTACGTAATGGAAATTAAACTGATAAATGACTAAATAGAATAAAAGTTTATGTACTCTTCATGTTGAGTGTTAGGCCTTATCAGTGTCATACTATGAAAATTATATTTTCACATTAAACAATATATTATTGTAACTAGGCCCCTTGAGATTTCAGTACCCCAGAATTATTAGTCATTTACATAATGAAAATTCTGATTAGGCCCTTGCCCACTTTGACATGTTAACCACTCTCTTTTTGTCCAACATCCCTTTTTCCCACAATATGATGATAAACTGCTGATTGACTGTTCTTTGTCAGGCAGCAGGATATAACTTCAGTGTTATAAAAAACATTTGCAGAAAGAATGAATATCTTTACGGAAGTCAACCACCTGCTCATGCCCAGAAGTCTGATTGTTCAATGTGTTATCTGAGATTGAAGAAACAGACTTTCTCCTCGGTTCCCTGAGATTCCCCCTCCTTTACTCACTAGCTATATAAAAATTCCCCACTTTCATTTTTTAAAGATAATTCAAGAGATCTTGTTTTTCCGCCTTCTCAGCTTGACCAAATAGATTTTTGTCTAACGCTAAGCACCTGTGTGTCACTGTCTGGCATCAACTGCACATAGGGTACCCTAGTTTGAATTTGGGGTTCTGTAGAATTATTCCAAACAGAATTGAACAAAGCAAGATTGGTCTCCAAGTGAATATTGGTGTTTTCAGTATTCCTATGTTTCTGACTTCAAACCCAGCACTGCTTCCAGGAGCACCAAGTAAAATTTTTGACTACCAAAAAAAAAATGTACAAAAATAAAAATACGCATTCAGCTTTTCTAAGGAAAAATGACTAGAATATATTGTACTTTTTCAGTTTTCTTTTATAACCAAATTTGTAATTACTATATTCATTGAAAATGAATTGATATTGATAAAATATGTTTTATTAATATTTTATTAAATTCCAGAATACAAGCCACAAAACATTCAATGTATTGCCCCTCCATATGCTTGGGATTCGATTCTAAGATATTATATATTTAATGTTCACTGTACATGGTCAATGATAATTTTAAGGATATCTAATGAGTAAGGAAGATTATCAGTTAAATATTCTCTTTGAATGTAATATTCAATGACTTCACTGAGACAGGAGTTTTTAGTTCCAAGGACCTGAGACAAAAGTATACCTAATACTTAAAAAGCTAGAAAAAGATTATTTGCATATTTTATGTAATACTAACAAAATATGTCATGAGATATTGAGCATTAGACTAATAAAACCAGAAGGATTTTGCTATTGGAAGATATTGCAAAATGTATGACCTTAAATGAAAACAAAAGATCCTATTCTTCCACTCACAAATACATATGTAATGTACAATATATAATACATATTTTTATATATTAACCTAGAAATATTATATATTTATAACATATAAAATATATGTCCAAATTATATCTATTATAAATATAAATATGAATATAAGTATCATATTTAACATTTAATATACTTATATATTATGATTTATTATATTTAATAGATTATCAAAGATAAATATATTCATATTTAGATTTATAATTTAATGTTTATAAAATATATAGCTCTATGTTATATAATTATATTCATAGTACATACATACAATATATATTCATATAATTATATTTGCAATAGAGCAGCTCCAGGCAGAAAGCATCTTTAATCCAGATTGAAATAAAAAACACTGGGAATCAAAGTGTGCTGGAATAAAATTGAAAGTAACAGGACACAATAAATATTTTCAGAGGAAGTCAGTTTATGATTGAACAGAACGATTAATTTTCTTTAATTTTTGCTTTAGAATAAGGCAAAACATAGATATTATTTTTGCTAGCTTCCCTGTTTTACCATTAGAAACCTGTAGTCTGAGAGACTCTTGTCAAGGTCACACAGATCATGTCAGACATAAAAACTGAACTCAGGTCTTCTGATTCCTAGGTCTGGTGTACTAGTGTACTGTCTTGCTGCCTGTTATCAAGAGATTAATGAAGCTCTTTTTCACTGAATATCTAGACTAAGCTTTCTGAAAATGAAATGAGCGAGTTAATAAAAAAACTTAAATGAACTGAAATGCTGGGGTAGCCAAATTACCTAACAAATATCTGGAATCATTGTTTTGAAAATGCTTAACATTTAAAAGTTAGCTGTCCAGGAAAGTCTGGGTGATAGCCCATTTCACCTGTGCAAGAATGATATTTTAACATGTTTCTTTCCTTTGGTGTCTACCTACTTTTGCCTATGTTGTTTCTCATAAGTGAAGATGAATTGAAGATTGTTAAGTAGACCATAAAGTTACAGTATTTTGCAATTTTGAAAAAAATATAAAATTACTATTTGATTGTGGAAGATGTAAAAGAAGCATTCTGTTAAACATGGCTCTATGCTTCCTTCCAAATTTTTGTATAAATAGGTAGGACTTTTAGCAATAAAAAAGAAAATTAAGCTTTACTAAAGCCTTTTTTTTTTTTTTTTGAGATGGAGCTTTGCTCTTGTTGCCCAGGCTGGAATGCAATGGCACAATCTCAGCTCACCGCAACCTCCACCTCCCGGGTTCAGCCTCAGCCTCCCGAGTAGCTGGGATTTACAGGTGTCTGCCACCATGCCCAGCTAATTTTTTTGTATTTTTAGTAGAGATGGGGTTTCACCATGTCAGCCAGGCTGGTCTCAAGCTCCTGACCTCAGGTACTCCACTCGCCTCAGCCTCCCAAAGTGCTGGGATTACAGGTATGAGCCACCGTGCCTGTTTTGAAATATTTCAAAACAATAAAAAAAAAAATGGAAAGATGTGTACAATAAACTCATGAAAGATCTTCATCTATTGTCTTAAATTGTTAAAGATTTTCCTCATTTGGGAAGCATTTGTTTTTCATGAGCCCTATTATTGAGATGTGTAAATACAGAGTCCTAGGAGAATGTGAACAAAATTCACGTCAGCACAAATAAATGATGATGATCTGTCTACATCGGATGAGCCTTCAACTAAAATGAAAATTGATCCATAACCCAGTGTACTGAAAACTACAGCTGTGTAGACAAGGAAAGAGGATGGAACAAAAAATGTATGTGTTAACTTGGCAGCTCCAGCTGTGCTAGGTGACATCTGATCCACACATCTGTCTGCAGCCCATTGAGCAGGCTCATGGAAACTCCAAAATGATGTTAATTATTTCAAAAAAGCAGCAGGTGTTGAGTGTGCATCTACATTGGAAGAATCCTCACGAAGTTTCATTTAACTTCACAGGCCAACATTTACAAGATTTTTCTCCTAATTGGCAATCACTTGACAATGAGGCTGAGTAGCTCAAGCTGAAAATTTCCTGGGATTCAGTATTCAAGATTGCCTACAGATTGTGGGGAATTGCTGAAGGAGAAAGTAACAAAGCATATTGCATTTTTAGTATATCACAGCATCAAGCACTTTCTGGTACATCGTTCAAAAATCTAAAAAGAATTAGATCCTTTAGATTCTTTTTAGAACAATAAAAGTCAATTTTTAATAATTTATAACATATCCAAATATCACTTGACAATTAAAATCTGTGCTCTCTCAGACACTTATGTTTTCTCTCTGGAGGGATTATCAATTCAATGCCTTAGAAAAATTTATGAATAAAACAAATTATGTGTAAGAAAAATAACAGAAGTATAATTTATGAAAACATTTTTATTTATTATAGCATAAAAGAATATAGAATGTACTTATATAACATTAAAGATCACAGTAATTACTAAGAATGTATTTAGATTTCTAATAAGATTTTCTGTAGGTGCCTCATGGACATATGATTTCAATTCAGATCTTAATTTAAACAGTACAATTTCATGTCCCTCATAAACTTAAATAAACTGAAGTCTTTGTTGGAAACTAAGTAAAAATAATGAAGTTTGGAAACAACTTGTATCAAAGAGCATAGTAAAACATGTACTAGATAGAACTGGGGACCTTGCTTAATTGATTATTCCTGGTTGAGGGTTTCAGTAAAAACTATTTCAGAAACAATTTATACACTTCACACAGAACATGAGTGAGCATTCTGATGTAAACAAGCCACTCCAGAGCAGTGGTTCTTAATGCAGTGTCCTTGAATAAAAATCAGGAGATCCATGGATTTGAATAAAAACATGTTATATCTTTATTTTACTTACCTCTAATTAATATTAGTATTTCCTACCATTATAGATAGAGCAAAGCCAACAGTTGCATTAGCAGCACTTGTGATTTTATTCCTAACAGAAATCAGAGAAATGTTCATATAAAATGTGATTGTTACAGTAGAAACCTCAAAATATATTTTATATATTAATGACTTTAAAATGACTACAGTTATTACACTTATTGCTATATCTTATCATTTAAAATATTTTGATAACTTTATATCAATATATTTGATTATAAAAACTATTTATATAAGCCGGGCACGGTGGCTCATGCCTGTAATCCCAGCACATTGGGAGGCTGAGGCAGGCGGATCACGAGGTCAGGAGATTGAGACCATCCTGGCGAACACGGTGAAACCCCATCTCTACTAAAAATACAAAAAATTAGCTGGGGGTGGTGGTGAGCGCCTGTAGTCCCAGCTACTTGGGAGGCTGAGGCAGGAAACTGGTGTGAACCCAGGAGGTGGAGCTTGCAGTGAGCCAAGATCACGCCACTGCACTCCAGCCTAGACTACAGAGCAAGACTCTGTCTCAAAAAAAAAAACAAAAAAAACAACTATTTATATAAAATGCTTCATGAATTTTCATGTTATCCTTGTGCAGGGGCCATGTCCACGTTAACCTTCTATCATACCAATTTTAGTATATGTGCTGCTGAAGCAAGTATTGATGCCATTTTTAATATTATATATTATATTTGTTCATTGATATTCTGAGAAACGTCAATATACTTCATCAAACTGACAAAGTGGTCTATAGCACAATACAATTTTGAGATCCCCAGCTCCACTACAGAACTTTCCTCTTTCTCTCATACTCCAAATTTGATACCAGCTTGACTTGTCCTCTCTACTCTCAGACTGTATCTCGAATCCATCAACTTCAACTACTTTTAATCATTTCCATTACTACTCTCTTAGATCAAACACTTGTATTAGCACTACTACAATAGCATTTTTACCAATCTTCTTGCTTCCATCCTTGATTTCTATAGCAATGTAATCTCAACCGGGGGTGATTGTGACCCTCTACTTGCCAAGGACATTTAACACATCTGTAGATTTTTTTGGTTGTCAAATGTACTGGGGTGCTACTACTATCAATTAAGTAAAGGCTAGAGATTCTGTTAAACACGATACAATGCATGAAACCTACTTACACAACAAAAATTTACCTGGTCAAATGTCAGTAGTGCCTAACTTGAGGAATCCTGCTCTATAGTCTTCTCCACATAATGATCATAGTAATATTCTTTAAAAAAAAAAAAAAAAAAACAAAACCCAAAACCAAAAAACAAAATGCAAGACCAGTCAGGTTCCATCCTTTCATAAGTCCCTTTCCACAGATTCCCTTAACTTTTAGAAGAAAATCCATTACTCCCTCCTGTGTCCTACAAAGTCTTGCCTGTCCTAGCCCTGACTATGTCTGTGAATTTCTCTCCTCACTCTGATCCAGCTACACTAGCGTTCCTTCTGATTTTAAGAGACCCCACGCTTTTTCTTCACTTAGAGACATTTGATACCTAAATTATAGAATTTAAAATGTTCTACTTCCAGATATTTTTTGGGTTACTCATTTCTTTTGGGTATCAAAAGTCACCCCTCCTAAAATAATAGCTCAGGAAGACCTAGGAAAACTAGAATGCTGTTGCAGTCAAGATATTTCTTCTGTGAACACGTTCAATCCAGGATCATCTTTATCCACTTTCAGAGATTGAGACTATTTGAAGTTGAGCTGCTGACTCAAAGAGGGTCCAACTGGTTCATGCTTCCTCCTAAAGTGTAACCTATTAGAAGTCCAATCTAGAGTAAGGATGGTCAATTAGGCTTTTCTTCTAGGATCACATGGCCTAGCATGGCTGGAAAAAGCCCAGTTTAATCTTTTAAATCTCTCAGCTGTCCTATCTCTAACTTAATATGCCAAGAGATATTTATACTGTCGCTTAACTCTACAAGTGATATAGTTTGGATATATGTCCCCACCCAAATCTCATGTTAAGTTGCAATCCCCAGTATTAGAAGTGAGGCCTAGTGGGAAGTGATTAAATCATGGGTGTCAATTCCTCATTAATGGTTTAGTACCATTTGCTTGGTGCTGTCTTCACCATAGTGAGTGACTTGCCCTGAGATCTGGCTGTTTAAAACTATGTAGCACATCATTCTCTCTATCTTACTACTGCTTTCTCTATGTGATGTACCTGCTTCTCCTTTGCCTTCAGCCGTGACGGTAAGCTTCCTAAGGCCTCCCAAAAAGTATGTACTGACATTATGCCTCACAGCCTGCAGCACTGTGAGCCAATTAAACCTCTTTTCTTATTAATTATTCAGTCTCAGGTACTTCTTTATAGCAATGCAAAAATGGCATAATATGTCAGAATTAATAATAAAGGGAAAAGCCTTAAGTAGGAGAAAAAACACTATAAAACTAATACTATAATCCAAATATTCTTGATACAACTAGCAGGAATAATGACCATGGTAATAAGAATGAGTAAAAATGTTTTTTAACAGAACACTGACTGAGTCTTTATACGTGAATACAGGAGATTAATAAAAAAGAGGTCACTGTGAATGATTAGATCTAAAAGACCCAGAGTATAACATTCACAGAGAGGGTAGAAACATTCATAGGGAGGGTACATTTTAAGTAGAATTGGTTTGCCTATTTATTTAATAATCCATTCAATCAGTGTGTGTGTGTGTGTGTGTGTGTTTAATACCTGCTATACGCCAGCCTTTAATCAGTGTGGATTGCAATCATGATTGAGGGAAGACCCTGCCCTTCAAGTATGCAAATTCTACTGGGAAAGACAGAAAAGTTAATAGAAAATTAAAATGCAGTATATTAAGCTGTACAATAAGGATGAGTATGAAATATCACAGAGGAGGAGCAATTACCTCAGGAAAAAGAAACCTGAAGGATGAGTAGAAGTTAATTGGGAGATAGTTGGTGATAGGCCCTGTTTGGAGATTGCAGAGAAGGAAGCATTTTAGCCCTAGGGAATAGAAAATGTTGGTGACATCAGGGCTTTCAGGTAAGCACAAGTCACTCAGTATGTATAAGAACTAGTAAACACCTGAGGTTTGGTCTAGGTCCTGCTGCTCATGGCACAGAAAGCTAATCACTGAGACAGCAATTATTGCCAAGGAAGCAGGGTTTAATTGGGTGCTGCAGCAAAAGAGATGGGAGATCAGTCTCAAATCCATCTTCCTAATTGACCCAAACGAGAAGCTTATGTTGCAGAGAAGAAACGTAACAATGAATAAGAAAACAGGAACCAGAGAGGGCCAAGGAAGCATTTATGATGAATGCAGCTCATTGTCCAGCGCTCATTGTCTAGATGTGGTGATCTGGTGAGTTTCACTTCTTTGATACCTTTTGTGAGAGGGCTGACGCTCATTTCCTGAGGAAGAAACTCAGATAAAACAAATGTAAGCTTCGAGCTTTAAGGACCTATTTCTATGTTTATTTAAAAATCCTGTTTATGTGATTATTGGATTTGTTTCACTATGATATGAGGTAAAAAATAATAATAGAAAAAAGCAGGTTAAAAAATCATGTTTTGAGAAAGCAAAGCAAGATGACCAAATAGAACTCTCCAGCAATCACTCTCCCTGCAGAAACACCAAATTGAACAACTATCTACACAATGAAGCACCTTCATAAGAGCCAAAAATCAGGTGAGGACCACAGTATCTGGTTTTAACATCATATCAAAAAAAAAAATAAAAGAGAGACCCTGAAGAGGGTAGGAAAGACAGTCTGGCATTGCTTACACCATCTCCCCCATCTCTCAGTAGCATGTGTGGGGACAGAATCTGTCTGCTTGGGGGAGGGAGACTGAAGTGGGTATGACACTTTTTATTGAAACTCAGTGTTGCCCTGTCACAGCAGAACACGACATAGGGCAGAATTTTGCCAATGCCTAGAGAGGGAGCATTTAGAATAAGACAACCCAGAGAAACATACTCCTCTGCTCCAGTGGTAAAGACCTGAGTTCAGCCTAGCCCCACTAGAGAGCTAAAGTGCCATACATGCGGTCATGAGTAGATCTGAAAGGCAATCGGACCACAGGGACTACAGTCCTTGGACAAATCCTGGTGCTGTGTTGGACCTGGAGCCAGTGGACTTGAGGTGCACACAACTCAGTGAGACACAAGCTGTGACAGCCGAGAGAGCTTGTGTCACCCCTCCCTTAACTACAGACAGTGCAGCTCTCAGAAAGACTCCTATCATTTATGGAAAGGAGAGGAAAGAGTAAAGAGAACTTTTGCTGGCACCTATGGGTACCAGATCAACCACAGTAAAGCACTAAGCAGATTTCTGAAGCCCTCAATTCTAGGCCCTTGCTCCTAGATCACATTTTCAGACACCGCCCACCCCCCCACCCCAACTTCTTCCTACCCTGTCCCTGAACCAAAGGAGAAACTGTAGCCCTCAAGGGACACTGTCCTGGTAGGACGCACCATCTGCTGAGTAGAGAGCCTGTGGACCTTGAATAATCATTAGTGGTAGCCAGGCAGTAGTCACCATAAGCCTTGGGTGAGACCCAAGCCTGTGTCTACTGTGCAGGCTTAAGGTGTGATCCAGCACAGTCCCAGCTGTGGTGGCCACAGGAGTGCTAGCATCACCCCTCCAACAAAACCAGACAGCCCAGCATGGAGATGGAGGCTCCTTCTGTTTGGGGGAAAGCGAAGAAAGAAAATGAGAGACTTTGCCTGGTAATCCAGATAATTCTCTTGGATCTAACCCAAGCCCACCGAGGCAGTAAATACCTCTGTGAGTCTGCAGCAGTCACATTGTTACTGGGCTTCAGGTGCTCCCTAGAGCAGATACAGCTGCAGTGACCAAAGACATCGTTCACAAAACTATATTCCCAAATATCTAAAAGGCCTTCTTAAAAACCATGGGTACAAACAAGCCCAGACAATGAAGATTAAATTAAATGCCTGTTTAAACTGTTTAATGCCCAGATATCAACAAACATCCGCAAGCATCAAAAATATCCAGAAAAACATGACTTCACCAAAGGAACCAAATAAGACATCAGTGATGAATTTTGGAATGACAAAGATATATGATATTTCAGACAAACAAATAAAAATAGTTATTTTGAGAAAGCTCAATGAACTGCACAACACAGAGAAGAAATTCAGAATCCTATCTCAGAGAGATTTAACACAGATTAAAATAATAATAAAAAAGGAGAAATTCTGAAGCTGAAAAAAACAAATGAAACTGAAAAATACATTAGAGCCTCTTAATAGCACAACTGATCAAGCAGAAGAAATAATTAGTAAGATTGAAGATAGGCTATATAAAAGTACACAGTCAGAAAAGGAAAAAAAGAAGAAAAAAGAAGGAAGCATGCCAAGATCTAAAAAGTAACGTTGAATTAAAACAATTAAAGTTATTGGTCTTAATGAGAAGGTAGAAAAAGAGACTGGGGTAGAAAATTTATTCCAAGAAATAATAACTAAGACATTTTTAAACCTAGAGAAAGATACTAATATTCAGTCACAAGAAGGTAACAGAATACTAGCAGATTTAACCCAAATAAGACCAATTAAAGACATTTAATACTCAAATACCCAAAGGTCAAGGAAAAGGAACAGTTTCTAAAAGCAGCAAAAGAAAAGAAAGAAATAACACATAACAGAGCTTCAATACTTCTGGCAGTAGACTTCTCAGTGGTAATCTAACAAGCCAAGAGAGTGTCATGACATATTTAAAGCGCTGAAGAAACACAATATTTTTTTCCTAGAATATTATATCCACTGAAAATATTATTGAAATATGAAGAAAAAAATTAAGGTTTCCAGACAAACAAAGGCTGAGGGATTTTTTCAACACCAGATATCTCCTACAGAAAATGCTAAAGGAAGTTTTTCAATCTGAGAGAAAAAGACATTAAAGAGCAATAAGCAATCATCTGAAGGTGCAAAACTCAAAGGTAACAGTAAGTACACAAATACAGAATTCTCTAACACTATAATTTAGTGTGTAAGCCACTCATATCCTGAGTAGGAAAACCAAAAAAAAAAAAAAAGGAAAACTAAAAGAAAAACCTATCAAAATAGTAGCTACAACTTTTTAAAGGGATAGGTAGTATAAAAAGACAAAAAAAGAAACAACTAAAAGTTAAAAAGCAAGGAGTAATGGGGCTCAACTGAGTTTTTATTAGTTTTCTCTTTGCTTGTTTGTTTTATAATCAGTTACATAATCATCAGTTTAAAATACTTGGTTATGTTATTTGCAAGCCTCATGGTGATCTCAAATAAAAACACCTACGACAGATACACACACACACACACAAGCAAGAAATAACAACATACTACCAGAGAAAATCACTTTTGCACAAAGGAAGACAGGAAAGATGGAAGGAAAAAAGAAGACCACGAGATAGTCAGAGAACAAATAACAAAATAACAGAAGCAAGTCCTTGCCTATCGATAATAACATTGAATGTAAATGTACTAAACTGTCCAGTGAAAAGGCATAGAGTGGCTAAATGGATAAAAAACAAAACCTGACTCTATGCTGACTATGAGAAATTAACTTCAACCATAAGGAAACACATAGAATGAAAATTTAAAAATAAAAGAAGAAATTGTATACAAATGGAAATCAAAAAAAGCAGAAGTGGATACACTATTACCACACAAAATAAATTTTGAGGCAAAATTTATAAAAAAGTACAAAGAAAATTACTACGTAATGATAAAGGGGTCAATTCAGAAAGGGATATAACAATTGTAAGTACATATGCAGCCAACATTAGAGTACCCAGATACATAAAACAAACATTATTAGAACTAAAGAGAGATAGACCCTTCAATAAATAGCTGGAAACCTCAGTACCTCATTGATATGGTCTGGCTCTGTGTCCCCACCCAAATTTCATGTTGAATTGTAATTTCCATTCAAAGGAAGAGGGGCCTTGTGGGAGGCGACTGAATCATGGGGGCAGACTTCCCCCTTGCTGTTCTCATCATGGAGTTCTAATGAGATCTGGTTGTTTGAAAGTGTAGCACTTCCTCCTTCTCTCTCTCTCTCTCTCTCTCTCTCCCCCTCTCTCCCTCTCTTTCCCTCTCCTGCTGACCATGTGAAAATGTGCTTTGCTTCCCCTTTGCCTTCTGCCATGCCATGATTGTAAGTTTTCTGAGGCCTCCCCAGCCACGCCTCCTGTACAGCCTGTGGAACTGTGAGTCATTTAAACCTCTTTTCTTCATAAATTATCCAGTCTCAAGTAGTTCTTTATAGCAGCGTGAGAACAAACCAATATACCCACTTTCAGCATTGAATAGATCATTCAAACAGAAAGTAAACAAAGAAACATTGGACTTAATCTGAACTATACAACCAAATGAATCTAATAGATATTTACCAATAGATATCAACAGCTATAAAACACATACTCTTTTCCTCAGCACTTGGATAATTTTCAATGATAGACCATTTGATAGGCCATAAAACAAGTCTTAAAATGATTTTTACAAATAAAATCCTATCAAGTATCTTCTCTGACCAAAATATAATAAAACTAGAAATCAATGACAAAAGAAACATTGGAAACTATACAGATACATGAAAATTAAACAATATACTGCTAAATGGCCAATGGCTCAATAAAGAAATAAAGAAGGAAGTTTTAAATGTTCTTGAAAGAAATACAATTGAAAATACAAGATACCAAATCTATAGGAGACAGCAAAAACAACATTAAAAGAAACGCATATAGCAATAAGCACCTACATCAAAAAGTAGAAAAATTTCAAATAAACAACCCAATGATGTTGCTTAAAGAATTAGAAAAGCAAGAGCAAGCCAAATTCTTAATTAGAAGAAGGAAAGAAATAATAAAGATTGGAGAACAAATAAATGAAATTGAAACAAAAAAGTCAGTTGGGCCAGGCGCAGTGGCTCATGCCTGTAATCCCAGCACTTTGGGAGGCAGAGACGGGTGGATCACGAGGTCAGGAGATCGAGACCACAGTGAAACCCCATCTCTACTAAAAATACAGAAAATTAGCCGGGTGCGGTGGTGGACGCCTGTAGTCCCAGCTACTTGGGAGGCTGAGGCAGGAGAATGGTGTGAATCCAGGAGGCGGAGCTTGCAGTGAGCCAAGATCGTGCCACTGCACTCCAGCCTGGGCAACAGAGCGAGACTCTGTCTCAAAAAAAAAAAAAAAAAAAAAAAAAGAAACCAAAAAGTCAATAAAATGAAAAGTTGTTTTTTTGAAAAAAAATTGAAATTCCTTTAGCCAGACTAAGATAAAAACAGAGAAGACCTAAATAAATAACATCAGAGGTGAAAAAGGAGACATTACCACGGACCACAGAAATTTAAAGATTTATTAGAGATTACTGTAGGCAACTACTTGTGGAAAAAAGGGAAAAACCTAGAAGAAATGAACAAAGTCTTTGACACATACAACATACCAAGATTGAATCATAAAGAAATTCAAAATGTACATACACCAATAACAAGCAATGATATTAAGGCCATAATGAAAAGACTCCTGTTAAAGAAAAGCCAAGGACCTGATGGCTTCACTGCTAAAGTTCACCAAATCTTTAAAGAAGAATTAATACCAATCCTATTCAAACTATTCCAAAAAATTGAGGATAAAATACTTCCAAACTCATTCTATAAGGTCAGTATTATCCCCAAACTAAAATCAGACAAAGACACAACAGAAAAAGAAAGTTAAGGCCAATATATCTGATGAAAATAGATGCAAAAAATCTCAACAAAATTCTCAGCAAACCAATTAAAACACATTAAAAAGATTGTTTATTATGACCAAGTGGGATTCATCCCAGGGATGCAAAGATGGTTCAACACACACGAATCAATCAATGTGATATACCATAGACATATAGACCAATGGAACAAAATAGAGAGCCCAGGAACAAATTTACATGTCTACAGTGAACTCATTTTCAACAAAGATGCCAAAAACATACACTGGGGAAAGGGTAGTCTTTTCAGTTAATGATGCTGGGAAAACTGGAATCCATATGCAGAATATGCATATATACTGGCATATAGAGAATGAAGGACAAAAAACATCCAATTATTTCAATTGATGCTGGAGAAACATTCAGTAAAATTCAACATCCTTTTGTGATAAAAGCTCTAAAAACTGGGTATAAAAGGAACATACCTCAACACAAGAAAATCAGTCTATAACATATCCACAGCTAGTATCATATTGAATGAGAAAAAAGACTTTCCTTTAAGATCTGGAAGAAAAGAAAGATGCCCACATTCAACATTGTCGTTTATTATAGTACTGGGAGTTCTTGCTAGAGCAATTTAGAAAAAGAAAGAAAAATAAATAAATAAATAAATAAATAAATAAATAAATAAATAAATAAATAAAGAGAGAGAGAAGGAATGAAGGAAGGAAGGAAGGAAGGAAGGAGCATCCAAATTGGAAAGGTAGAAATCATATTACACTTGTTTGCAGATGATATGATTTTATATTTGGAAAAACGTAGTGACTTCGCCAAAAAACTATTAGTACTAGTAAACTAATTCAGTAAAGTTGTAGAATACAAAATCCATCCAACATGGATGAAACTGGAGAACATTATGTTAAATAAAATAAAGCAGGCACAGAAAGAAAAATTGTATATGTTCTCACTCATACGTGGAAATTAATAATTAAAACAATTGAACTGGAGATAGATAATAGAATGATGGCTACCAGAGGCTGAGAATGGTATTGGGCCAGGGGAACTTGGGATGGTTAATGAATGCAAAAATATAGATTAAATGAATAAAATCTTGTATTTGATAGCACAAGGTCTCTATAGTCAACCATAACTTATTGTATATTTTAAAATAAATAAGAGTGAAATTGGAATGTTTCTAACACAATGAAATGATAAATGCTTGAGATAATGAATACCTCCATTACCCTGATGTTATTATTACCTACTGTATGTCTGCATGAAGGTATTACATGTACCCCGTAAATAAAAGCACCTGTTATGCACTTATAATTTTTTAAAAAATGCAAGTTTTTAAAAAATTATGCTTGGACTTAATTTTGATGACTGAAATAATTTGTTTTGATATATGCCATTACCTAACCAAAAGTAAATAAGTAATTGTCCTGCAAAGATAAAATACCCCTTTAGCAATAGTATGTTTTTGGTATTAATGGATTTATCATTCTCATCTTGACATGAGCTACTCAACCTGAAGTCTGAATAGAAACCTTAAGTAGTTATAACAAGTTCTTGTACATTTGCCTTTATGACTTGGCAAAATGAATGTGGACTTTTGAACCCAACAAATTGTTGCTAAAATCTCAGTTCTACTTCTCCTATATTTGAATGTGAGCAAACCATTTAGTCTTCCAAACTTGGATATAATTTCTAACTAGACTATCTTCCTAATGGTTATATCATAGAAGAACTAAATGAGAGGGTGCCTGACAACTAAGGAACACTGAAAAATTACAGATT
Organism: Homo sapiens; assembly: GCF_000001405.40. Lineage (NCBI taxonomy): Eukaryota > Metazoa > Chordata > Mammalia > Primates > Hominidae > Homo > Homo sapiens. The sequence continues at coordinate 23,839,958 of NC_000011.10, read as the reverse complement.
CAAAAGTCAGCCTCTGAGGCTTCTAAGAAAATAAATGAAAGAAATTTTAAAAAGTTACAAGGGAAAAAAGTCATTTCGAAAAGCTAGCACTAGTCACTAAATTTCAAACAATGAATCTTGACATTGCAAACTATATATATGTTTCCTCTTGAGATTTCACGCACGGCACACACAGTTAGCAAGGGGTCACTTGTCTCTGCACTCATTTTCTCATGATCTGCCTTTGAAAGTCTAATATTGCATCTGCCACTTTATCAATTTTTATGCTATTATCTTTTAAAATGCCCTTTTAAATACCTTCCATCTAAGATTATGACCTCTAGTCCCTGAATGTTTAACAATAATTTGCAATTTAGCACTCTCAATTCATTTCTAGATCATAATCCAAAACAGCCACTGTGCCTCTAATTATTCCAGAAACAATAATGGAGAAAAGACATAATAGTGATATCGTTATTTGAAAACATAGCACGACTGCCATTTCCCAAATCCCTAGTTCAGGTGCTCCAGGTAACTGTAATCAAGTATACTTAGACTTCTAATCATTTGAATATACTTAATAAAGTACCATTGTTTTTCTTTACAATTAAGGTCCCTTTTGACATAACTGAGTTAAAGGACTTAGCATAGTCGTATGTTAACTGAAATAAAGTACAACATAAAATAAAAAAATCTTAAAAAATTATTTCTATAATTTATTGTTACTGCCCTTAACAATGAAACAAGTTCAAATACACTAAAAACAAAATTTATTTTTTGTAGAAAATTACCTTTTAACTTTTATATATGCTTTTTACTGTTTAGACTTTTTATTTTATTTTTATTAGAATACATATATATGTATATATGGAATGTATTAAAGCTAAGGTCACAGAATCTCCTGCAGTAAACAAAAATCTGTATCTCTTTATTTCTCTATAAAAATAATTTGAACATTTATAAAATTCCCACTGCTTGTAACATCTAAAAATAAAACAAGAAATTAGGTACAAACAAAATACAAAATATAGTTATGATAAATATTGCATGTAATAGTTCATAAAAAATTAAATTTCTCTACCAGGTTGGTGAGAATGAAGCTTTTAAAAATATTTCTGGAGAATCATTTAGCAATGTGTACTAAAAGATGAAAAATTGAGTGTATTATTTTACTCCACGATTTCTGATAATATATCTTAATAAAGTATTAATTTATTTTTATGAAATGCCTGTAAAGACATTGAGCCTAGAAAATGTTTACAATAGTTAGATTAAGAAATTATTCAAATAAAGCATTATAGCCATAAAATGGAAGACAAATTATTAAACACTGAGATTAAGATTTAAAATGGATGGAAAATTACATAGTTCTCCAGAAAATCCTAAAAAACCCTGGACTGAAATAAGGTAGTCACCATAAACAAAAAATATGTAAAAGGATGGATATAAGAGGTGAAGATTAAGGATGTCTTTAACATTCTGGGTTCTTTAAAGCAGAGTTAATCTTATTTCTGAAGAGAGGGGGCATACAATGGTCCATGTGGACTGTCACCCAAAACATAGGAAATGCCACTTGGGACTTGAACTATATGTTGTAAAAGGCTGCAAGGAATGTATTTTGCTTATAATTACGGTTATCTGTAGAAAATATACATGTCCTGGGAGAATGCACCCATGAATATTCATGGGTCATGACCAAAATAGTGCAGAAATTAAAAATATTTCAACAAAAACATACAAGTAACTTTAAAAAAAAAATCCAGCCTTCAAGGCCTTTGTGCTTTTTGAATAAATCATGTCTAAGTTATGGGAACTTTAGGGATAAAAAGATTACGTCTGGAGAATCCAACTGGGAACCAGCCGAGAGGCAGTACAAAATTGGAAATTTAATCCTCACATAAATATTTTTAAGTAAAACTCATTCCAAGTTACCTATGTGGTTATGAGAGATCTATTCAGACCTGTGAAATGTTCCAAGGACCTGTGATTGAGTCAAGGTTTATAGAGAGAGTAATCCTCAAAATAAAATTGTCTCTCTAATGGTATAGGCAAGAAATGTTCTTGGTATAGAAAGTCAGACTGCCCCAACACAGCAATTCGGGAGCCTGGAAATAGGAATACTTACCCAGCCAGGCTTTGCTATTTCTATGAACATGACTCTTCTGCAGAGTCTGACTCTGTCCATCAATATGTCACACTCCTATGGGAGGAGTTAAGGCAGTGCATTTTGTTTGCTGAATATAAAGATTTATTAGGATCAGATATGGCAAGACATCAAGTTAAGTTTGTACTTTCTATATATTTTTTTCTCCTTAATTTTAAAAAGGAAAACAAATATTGTCCGCCATTGACATAGGGAAAGTTTTTTGCAAAGTGAAAAACAGATCCTTCTTGGCCAGCAGTTGTAGCCCAGAAGATACTCTTGGAGGTTTCTGGTGTGCTGAAATGCCATTTGGATCCTTATGAAAGTATCATAAATAAATGAAAATTAATTTCTTCTAGTATTTAAAGAAGTGTTAGAGAAGAAAAAATTTCTCATTTACACAAATTTCTGCTCCAGAGGATTTTATTAGTGCTTTTATTATTTTTATTTTATTTTATTCCCAAAGAACTTACATGTTCAATCACCAGAGTTTACAGAGCCCTTGAAAAGATTTCTCCACTGCAATATATAATATACTGATGAACAGTTGCTGACTTCTTTTGCTATGGTGCATTCTTTCCTAGTGATTCTGAAGTTTTCATTTATGGGTTAGATTACAAAATTAATCTTTCATCCTAAAATTGCTCTATATAACTGAATATGTCTGTGGTAGGCAGAAAAATGTTCCTACTCCAAAGATCTGCACATTTTACAGATGGCTTTAAGGTTGTGGATCCTAAAATATGAATGTTATTCTGATTATCTGAGTGGGCCCAATCTAATCACTTGGATCATGAAATGCAGAAAACACTTCCTGGCAGGAAAGAGGAAAGCGATGCAACAGAGGAGGAGGCAGGAGACACGAGGCAGAAGAGGAGGTCAGTAAGATGTATAAAGTTAACTTGGCCCACAGTGCTAGCTTTGGAGATAGAGGGGCCTCCAAATAAGAAATGCAGGAGGCCTCTAGAAGCTGAGAATGATAATCAGCAAGGAAATGGGGACTTCAGTCTTATAGCTACAAAGAAGAAAGTTAGGTGACAATCTGAATAAGTTTGCAAGCAGATTCTAACAGTCTTCCCATAAGAGCATGGCAGGCCCACACTTTGGTTTTGCCATTGTGAAACTTGGGGCAGAGAAACCATTCAGAAATGTGAGTTAGAAAATGTGCATTGTTTTAAGTTGCTAAATTCATGGTAATTTGTTAGAGTAGCAATACAAAGAAAACTAAAGTGTCTAAAACCATATGTTGACACAATTCATATTTATATTTAGCAGGAATTCGAACAATATTCATGTAAATAAATGTATGAAAACTGTTACTAATGGGTGGAAGGGAAGGTACTACAAAGATTAAGACAAATTTCAGAGTCAGTACATTCAGTAAACCCTGTATCATATACTATTGGAGGTAGTGGCCAATAGTCGGAGAAAAGAGCCAGGAGAAAAAGAGAAAAAGAGCCAGGAGACTGAATGATTATTTTTATCATGTCAACTGTCCAGATAAGGAGAAGCAAAGATGGTGGCAAAAATCAAATTAAACAGGAGCTTATAAAGTTGAATGGTAATGTATACTATAAAATGATTTGGTTTCAGAGTGGGTAAGAGGGATGAAAGGGTAAAATCTATCAAGTTCAATGTCTGCATAAGTACAGAATGGCAATGCTATTAATAAAAATAGAAAAGGAAAAGTATCATGGGCTTACAAAAGCAAGTTGTTTTCATCTCTGTGCACAGCGAATTGGAGCTGACATGCGTTTAAACAGAGAGGGCCTTGAATCAGGAATGAACATAGATTTGGAGATCAGTAAGAGTTTAGGTCAGGGATACAGAATTAGAGGTCATAATCTTAGAGGAGATGAATGAAACTACGGGACTTGTACCAAGAAGATAGCATACCCAAACATGGATTCTCAGAGGAAGAAGGAGGATGACACAAAATGTAGAAAACAAAAAGATAAAATAACGAGATGAAACCTTAATAAACGTCAAAGAAAGTGAGGCTATTTAGTTTGGGAAGTGACCTTAAAGCAATTTGCTTTATTACAGTAAAGAAAGTAAAGGGAATTCACAGTGCTTCAACCATGGGGTACTAAAGAAGAAATAGGTGATATAAAAATAGAATTCTTTTTTGTTTGTTTAAGAATTTGTCTGGAAGAACAAAGCTGCAATTGATAACTGTAAATGGTAATAAGACTTCAATATAGCAACTTCTCAGAAATAATAGCAGATAATAATAATGGGAAACATGATCCTTGATATAAAATATATAAAACAAAACAGCATATTAATAACAGTTCTGAAGTTAGAAAATAACATTTTAAAAGTTAAATAACAAAAGCCACATATTTAAAGTGTTGTTCATTTTGTTTCTCACCAGTAGATTCCTGTGGAAGTGATATTCAATCAACAAAATGTTGGCATAATATGACATTACAATAATATGAAGTTGGGACAGTTAAATATCAAATGAGAAAACATTGTATCTTAGTATCTTCTTATTATTTTTGTTATCTTTATATTGGATCATTTGGATTTATTTCTTGAGTTCATTCAGAATTTATATATATATATATATATATATATATATATATATATATATATATATACATATATATATAAAAAATCTCCCTGAAAAATCTTGAAAAGGCACAACACTGCCACATATTAAATCCATGCATATCTCATTATATTGCTCTCCACTTTATTGTGCTTCACATATCATTGTGTTTTTTAAAACCTGAAGATTCGTGGCAACCCTGCATCCAGCAAGTCCACTGGTATAATTATTCAAACATTGTGTGCTCACCTCGTGTCTCTGTGTCATATTTTGACAATTCTTGCAATATTTCAAATTTTCTCTTTACTATATCTGTTCTGATGATCTGTGATTAGTGATCTTTGATGTTATTATTATAATTGTTTTGGGGCACCATGAGTCATGTTGTATAAAATGGTTAACTTGGCTAGGCGCAGTGGCTCATGGATGTAATCCCAGCACTTTAGGAGGCTGAGGCGGGCAGATCACCTGAGGTCGAGAGTTGGAGACCAGCCTGACCAACATGGAGAAACCTTGTCTCTACTAACAACAACAACAACAACAACAAAGCAAAATTAGCCAGGTGTGGTGGTGCATGCCTGTAATCTCAGCTACTCAGGAGGCTGAGACAGGAGAATAGCTTGAACCCGGGAGGCAGAGGTTGCGGTGAGCCGAGATTATGCCATTGCACTCCAGCCTGGACAACAAGAGCAAAACTCCATCTCAAAAAACAAACAAAAAAAGATGGCTAACTTAACCAATAAATGTTGTGTGTGTTCTGACTGCTCCACCAACTGGCCATTCCAGTCTCTTTCCCTTCCCTTGGACCTCCCTATTCCCTAAGACACAGCAGTATTGAAATCAGACTAATTCATAACCCTACAGTGGCCTTTAAATGTTCAAGTGAAAGGAAGAATCGCATCTCTCGCTTTAAATTAAAGGCTAGAAATGATTAAATTTAGTGAAGAAGGCATATTGAAAGCCATGAAAGGCAGAAAGCTAGGCCTCTTGCACCCAACAGTTAGCTGAGTTATGAATGCAAAGAAAATGTTCTTAAAGAAAATTAAAAATGCTACTCTAGTAAAAACAAGAATAAGTAAGTGAAACAGCCTTATTGCTAATATGAAGAAAGTTTTAGTAGCCAAGAGAGAAGATCAAATCAGCCATGACATTCCCTTAGGCCAAAGCCTTACCCATTCTACCAAGGGTGAGAGAGGTAAGGAAGCTCTGAAGTAAAGCTTGAAGCTAGTAGAGGCTGGTTCATGAGGTTTAAGGAAAGAAGCCAATTTTATTACATGGAAGTGCAAAATGAAGAAACAGGAGCTGATGTAGAAGCTGCAGCAAGTTATATAGAAGTGCTAGCTAAGGTAATTGATGAAGGTGACTACACTAAATAACAGATTTTCAACATAGATAAAACAGCCTTACGTTGGAAGGAGATGTCACGTCAGACTTTATAGAGAAGAGAATTCAATGTCTGGCTTCGAAACTTCAAAGGACAGGCTGACTCTCTTGTCAGGGAATAATGCAGCTGGTGACATTAATTGAGGCCAATGCTCATTCACCATTCCCCAAATCCTAGGACCCTTAAGAATTATGCTAAATCTATTCTGCCTGTGCTGCAGAATAGATTTAAAATCATTCTGTAGCCATAGATGAAGAATAATTTTGACTTTCAAGTCTTATTATTTAAGAAATACATTTGGTAAGCCTACATCTGTCATATACAGTGATTCTTCTGATGGATTTGGACATAATAAACTGAAAGCCTTTTGGAAAAGATTCACCATACAAGACGTGAAAAAGAATATTTGTGATTCGTGGGAGGACGTCAAAATATCAACATTAACAGACGTTTGGAAGAAGTTAATTCCAGCTCTCATGGATGACTTTGAGGGGTTCAAGATTTCAGTGGAGGCAGTAACTACACATGTGGTGGAAATAGTAAGATAATGACAATTAGAAGTGGGGCCTGAACAGGTGACTGAATTGCTTCAATCTCTTGAACAAACTTGAATTGATGAAGAGTTGCTTGTTACAAATGAAAAAAAAAAATGTTTTCTTGAGGTGAGTCTACTCTCAGTGAAGATAATGTTAATATTATTGAAATGTCAGCAAAGGATTTAGAATATTTCATAAACTTAGTTGATGAAGCAGCAGCAAGGTTTGAGAGGACTGATTCCAATTTTGAAATATCTTCTACTGCAGGTAAACTGATATCAAACAGCAGCACGTGCTACAGAGAATTCGTTTGTGAAAGAGAGTCAACTGATGTGACAAACTTAATTGTTGTCTTGTTTTAAGCAATTGCCACAGTCATTCCAGTCTTCTGCAAGTACCATGCTGATCTGTCAGCAGTCATCAGCATTGAGTCAAGATCTTCCCTCCACCAGCAAAAGGATTACAGCTCTCTGAATGATCAAATGATTATTAGTAATCTTAGCAATAAGTATTTTAAAAATTAAGGTAGGTACATTTTTAGACTTAATACTATTGCACACTCGATAGACACAATATGTGTAAATGTAACTTTTTTATGTACTGGAAAACCCAAAAATATGTGTAATTCACTTTTTTGAGCCAAACCCACGATATCTCTGAGGTCCAATAGTGCTGCCCAGTCTAGTGCTGTCCAACAGAAATATAATGTGAAGAACATATAAATATGAATCTCTTATAACCGCATTTCAGCAGCATAAAGACTAACAGGAGAAGTTAGTTTTAATATATATTATACTTAATCCAATATATCAAAAATACTATAATTTCATACTTAATTAACATAAAAGTATCTAATAAAATGTTTTTCATTCTTGTTTTTATGTAACTCTTTGAAATCTAGTGTTTATTTTACACTTTAAGACATCTCATCTCAGACCAGCCAAAGTTCAACTGCTCAATAGCCACATGTAGTACTGTACTAGACAAAACTAGTGTATATAGTTGCCTATTTCCAATAGAATATTTTATTTCAAGATGACCATTGTATAATTTAAAATTTTGAAAACATTTTAAAAATCACAATTAATGGTGGGATTTAATATTATAATGTTTTAACTCTGTTTTAAGGATTTTCACCTTTTTGTCTTTCTCCAAGACTAAAATTTAATTCGTCTAATGTTTCAGACTGTTGAAGTTTAGACCATTCATATTGTCCTTTATAAACATAGTTTACCAAAGGTAATTTTTTGTAGTTTCCTATATAAATGAATTAAATGCTAACACCATTCTTTACAAATTTATCTAAACCAAGTTCTGAATATTAATGTATTGCTGTGTTCTTTAAACTTAACTAATGTCTACCAGCCTCAGTACCTATAAGAAGGGCTTATTGGTGTTGCAGTTCTTGAGTTATCATGTTCCTTATCCTCGAACAACTATAGTAGGTAAAAAAGTTTGGGGGCCACACTTTCTCTCACATATAGATATAAATCATCTGGCTTCTGTCATTGGGTGTTGTTAGGCCATTGATTGTGGCCATCTCATTATCTATTAGCCGAATTTTGTTGCCAACTCAATCCTGGATTTTGTTTTCAAATTTACAAATGCTCATCTATTGTGTTTATATATAAATAACAAATAGCCTTGGTATGATAGTATCAGGATGCTCTTTTTGTCCCACTCAATATGCTGTATACATTTCCACTATATGTAGACACTGCATGTTGCTACGTTGGAAGTGAAAGGCTAGCCATGTTGTTTCACTCATTAGAGGTGACTTAACTGCATTGCTTTGGTTCTGAACATATGTTTTTATTTTATGTTGGACCTTCAATAATGTAATAAAGCTATAGCTTAATTTTTTCATTATGGATTTTTTTTCTCTAAAATATGTTTGGCCCTTTAAATCTGAAGATTCTTTTTTTCTCTCAAAAACTATTTTTAAAATTATAATATCTTTAAAAATATTTTAAATATTAATGTTTGTTACTAATGTTTCTGTTGGAACATTTTTGGCATTTGCATCTTTCTCCTTATCATTACTTCAAGTGAATTGTTTTATTTAATAAAATACAAATCTATTTATAGGAGGAACTTCATTTTTCAATTTTAAGTTATCTCATTATTTTAATTTTACTTTATATATTACTTATCTGATGGATTTATTTTGGTTATCAGTTTGTTTTCTTAGTTCTGCAATCTCCATTTTTATCTCTGTTGTTTTATCGTTATATCTTTGAGATCTTGTCGTAGTGAATTATATTTAACAGTAAATTCTCTTGTTGAAATTTTTTTGTGTCTCTGAATTTTACACTTAAAGAAGTTAATATTTTGTCTTACCATTTCTCACCTGTCTCCTGCATGTAAATTCTATTCCTTTTACTTTTTTTTCCTTTAGATTATTTTCCTAGATAATGTCTGTTTTTAAAGGAGATTTAATGTAATCTACTTTCTTTATTATACTACGTGGGAAACTTTCATTACTTCAGTGTCATCTTACCTGCAGCTAGTTTGCCTTCCTTGCTGAACTATTAACTTGTGTGTGTGTGTGTGTGTGTGTGTGTGTGTGCTGTGTGTGTGTTGTGTGTGTGTGTCTACATGCAACCAGTGAGGGATAGATCATTTGAAACTCTGAAAATACTTTATTGGAGAGAATATTTTTCCTATAGCATTTTAAGTGTCTTGTTAAATTTTCCCCACCAAATAAGAGTTATATCTCACTGCCATGGAGGGATATTCTTGGAGTTTGCACTATACCCCTGATTCAGCATGCATAACTAAAGCATCTGCTTTTATTGGAAGAAGTTAACACAGGATGTTAATTTTTATTGTTTTATCCTGCTAGTAACTACAGTCAGAAAACATCACCAAAAATATATGAAAAAAATTAAAAATATATTTTATTTAGGTTTATTATTTCAATATATATTGCCTATATATTTCCTGTCTACTAGATAAATTTTTATGATAATTTTTGCAAAAATATTATATGGTCTTTGTTAAATTACATTATACTGAATAAAAACATGATGAGCCTTAAATAATTCTTGTTGCTTTCAACCTAAATTTAATTATTCTGTATTACCAGAATAATTATGCAAAGAAAATTTAATCTGATAATGTAAATGCACATATGTAATAAAGAGACATACATCTTCAGGAAGAAATATTAATTAGATTCCATAGTGCTGATAATGTTATATGTGTTATAAGTAAGAACGTCACTATTAAAATCCAATTGGTATAATTTAGTTCAAAGAAGAAATCAGAGATGTACATAATTAATTTTTTCAAAAATATCAAAGAAGAAATAAGGAATGTACATCATTAATTCTTTAAAAATATACTTACTGAGCTCCTACTCTGAGAACAGCACTTTTCAAGATTCAGAGTAGATAGCAGACAATTAGGTACATACAGTCTTATACTCCAGAATAGGTGGTAGATAACATGTAAGTAGACAAATAAATATGCAATATACTTACAGACTTTATGAAAAATAATGAGTCAGGACAGAGGATATAGAGATGTATGTAGCCATTTGATATGTTACTTTTCAAAGACAACTAAATGTGTTTATTTGTGCATTTATTTGATGAAATAGTTTGGAGGATTTAGTTTGTGCAAAATATTTTCAATTTATCTGCTTGAGAGTTTGGGTATTTTAAGAATATTTTTATAAAGTATAAAACTTATACAATATAATACAATATTTTGTGTATTTAGATAAATTTTAGTACACCATCAACTAAATAGTGAAAAAACATAGAATAATTGTACTGATGGAATAAAAACAATGGCACAAAATTAGAGAAACACCAGCTCATATGAAATCTGTTGAAATACATTCAGATAGGAATGGCTATTATTTAGATAAGCAGTGGTAATTTAGTTGATGCCAGCATTAACAAATTACATGTTAAATAATGGCATATAAATGTGAATACATTAAGTTTTGAAATTGCTGACATTCCGAATTTATTTTTAATAAAACAAGAAGTGCTTTGCAGAATTTGTTTTTTTTCTGCTGAAGCTCATTGGGTGTCCTGAGGGAAGGTGCTGCTACACACCTTTTTAATGAGACAACAAATCACTATTTTTTCATGACAAAGAAAATCCATTATTGAAATACTTATCTGGTACAACATGATTATACCAACTTGCATCCTTCGCTATTTTTCAAGAGATAAGTAAACTTGATTAGATGATTCAGTCTTGCAAAGCTAACACTTTGTTGAAGAATTCAGAATTCAATGAGAAACTTCATACAAAGTTTGGGCTGACTAACCAAACTGAACTTTTATAATTTTTTATGAATTAATTTAAAGATACGCAATACAGTATCTGAGATTTTTTAATGGATATACTTGAACGTACGGAAATATTATATGATATACTTGTAAAGATACAATCTGAAAAATAAACTAAACTTGCTGAGAATCTATTCACCAACTCCTAAATGTAAAATTTACTAATTCAAGTAAGTGGGCAATTTGTATTAATACCTCAAATTTGAAAGCAAAATGACATTTTATTTCAATTTTTAAACTTCTATGTGAACTAAACACTGAAAGTTTAGAAAGTACATAGTGTTATAATTTATAGTAATTTATGATGAGAATACATTTCAATATTCTATTTTACAACAAGAATGTGACATACAATGGTTGGCTGTAATATTTTCTTAATGGTGTATATATATATATATCTCCAAATGAGAAAGACATTGATTAAAAAATGCAACTGTTACCTAGAAAATCTAGTTTAAAAACATTATTAAAATCAAAATGATTTTAAAATAAATTAATAATTGGCTTTACAATAAGCAAATGTTAAAACTGTATGATAGATGCACTTTTAATTACATAGAAATATGTAATTATTTGGTTATATTGGTGCCTCACATATGACTTTGTGAAAAATAAATTATTTCTCAGCTAGAAAAGTTTGAGAATCAGTTTTATGGCAAATATGGAGCCATTAAAGCATTTTGCAAAGGACCATATTTGAATTTAGATAGCTCCTTAAGGCTGGAGAGTGAAAAGTCTAACAAAGTAGGTATGATGGGAGCCTGGGAGTACAGTCAGAACTCTATTATGAAATTGCAGAGCCTAAGTAATGAGAATCTAAATTATGAGGATGGTAATAGAAATTTAGATGAGGGGAATGACTCAGATGAATTCAGAATTATTTTTACAATGAAATCAAGATGTCTTTGCTGATTAGAAGCAGGGAACAAACGTATAGACTGCTTTATATTAATATGGCATCAACATTTCCAAGATTGACCATATAATTAACTATTGAATAAAAATCACGACTAAAAAAGTATTCTCACAAAACCAAACACCACAGCTTTGTGTCTCATGTGAGTAGTGAAAGTTTCTCACCAACCTCAGGACAGATTTTGCCTAAACCCAAAATCCTCTTTCTATCTCAAGGCAAATACAGAGCCTCTTCAACATCTCATCAAACTGAAACTATGGATGGACTAAATAATAACGTGCTGAGTGAAATGATCCTGAACCCTGAGGGAATATTGTAAGGCAAATGGAATTAGGTAGCCTAGGTGCATTGTCCTCATCTCACCATTAGTTGGCTAAATAATGACCCTCATTATTGCAAAATACATATTTAAGATTGAATAGTTTCTACATCATCTTTGTTGCTGCCTTTCCTCAAATACCCCCAGTGATGGGGAATTTTCTTTTTCTCGTAGTCACACAATTTAATTAAAAATAATTGTAAATATTAGAATGCTCTCTTTTGATTCAAACTGAAATGGCCCTTCCCCTCAACAAGTGATCCTGGATTTACCTATATTCCAGAGCCATACAAAACAAGGTCTAATTTCTCTTTATTTTTATACTGATTCCAAATATTCATGCAGTTTTCAAATTTACCCTGTCAGTTTAATAATGACTTCTGTAGATTAAATATGAGAGCTCCTAAGTCCCTGCACTGATGTCTTAGGAAACATGATTATAGACCTGATCTTTGTCCTTTGTGCTACACAATGTGTCTGCAACTCTCCTAGCACCTTACAAAAAATTCAGATTTTCCAGCCAATTGTCTTATTGTTCTGCTTGAGTAGGAGATATTCCTTGGCTCTTTCTCGTGTTTGTATCATGTCACTCACTGGCAGCCAGGCATACTTACACACTACTAGGCTAGAAATTTCAGATAAGGGCTAAAGGGACAGCATGAGGGGAATCAGTAACAGTTTGCCTTCCCTGGGAGCTTTGACAAAACATACTCAGATGCTGCTTACAATTTGGCAGTGAAGAGTAAGTGCTTCATCAATTATTCCCCTGTTCATGCTACATCAAGAAGAGGGAACCTCTCCCCCTGACCCCAATATCTACAACCTGTCTATTTATGCACAGCCACCCAAACCATATGAGAACAGCTGGAGTGAGTAGTTAAAATAGTAGCATGTTTATTTGCAAACAAGACACTTAAGCAGGGTTGAATATGCAACACTAACACTCATGCCACGTTTCAAGACAGCTAAATCCACAAGCACTGGATGACAGAAAACTCACAAAAGACAGGTGTAATTCTTGGCTAGGCTATGCCAATGCATAATTTTTTTTGATAGTTCTTTTTCATTAGAACAGCACTGGAATTGTACTTGTCATGAAAAAACAAGCATAAAAAACTTGACTTTGAAATTACCTGCATTATCTGTACTCTAAACAATAATAATCCTTGAACGTTTTTCCAAATTCCTCAAATTATTGACTGAGAAATTTGCTCAGTACCCAAGAAATGTATTTTGACTTGTTGTCTAGGAAAATCTCACTTAAATATAAGAAACATACTGATATGGTTTAGCTCATCTCAAATTGTAACTTTCACATGTTGAGAGAGAAACCTGGTGGTAGGTGATTGGGTCATGAGGATGGTTTCTCCTATGTTGTTCTCATGATAGGGTGTGTGTTCTCACGATATCTGATGCTTTAAAAGTGTTTGGCAGTTTCTCCCTTGCTATCTCTCTGTCTCCTGTCACCATGTAAGAAGATGCTTGCTTGTCATTCACCTTCTGCCGTAATTGTACATTTCTTGAGGCCTCCCCAGCCATGCAGAACTGTGAGTCAATTAAACCTCTTTTTTATAAATGACCAAGTCTTAGGTACTTCTTTATGGCTTGTGAAAATGGTCTCATACAGAAAATTGGTACTGAGAGTGGGGTTTAGAGACCTCCACCTAGAATTCAGAGGATGTACGGAAATGCCTGGATGTACAGACACAGCTCTGCTTCAGGGGCAGAGCTTTCATGGAAAACCTCTACTAGGGCAATTCAGAGGGGAAATGTGGGGTTGGAGCCCCCACACAGAATCACCAATGGGGAACTGCCTAGTAGAGCTGTGGGAAGAGGGCCATCATCCTCCAGGTCCCAGAATGGTAGATCCACCATTCTGGCTTGCACCAAGGGTCTGAAAAAGCCATGGGCATTCAATGCCAGCCCGTGAAAGCAATCACGGGAGCTGTACCCTGCAGAGTGGGCCTTGGGAGCCCATCCCCTGCATCAGTGTGCCCCAGATTTGAGACATGGAGCCAAAACATATTATTTTGGAGCTTTAAGATTTAATAAGTGCCCTGCTGGGTTTTGGACTTGCATGAGGCCTGCGGCCATTTGTTTTGGACAATTTTTCCCATTTTGAATGAGAACATTTAACCAATACCTGTATCCCCATTGTATGTTGGAAGTAACTAACTTGTCTTTGATTTTACAGGCTCATAGGCAGAAGGGACTTGCCTTGTCTCAGATGAGATTCTGGACTTGGACTTTTGAATTAATAATGGAACGAGTTAAGACTTTGGGGATGGTTAGGAAGGCATGATTGATTTTGAAATGTAAAAATGACATGAGATTTTGGAGGACCCAGGGGCAGAATTATATGGTTTGGCTTTGTGTCCCCACTGAAATCCCATCTTAAGTTGTAATCCCTACATGTGGAAGGAGGGACCATGTGGGAGGTGATTGAATCAAGAGGTCTGTTTCCCTATGACGTTCTCATGATAGTGAGTGAGTTCTTATGATATCTGATGCTTTGAAAGTGTTTGGCAGTTTTTTTTTTTTCTCTCTCTCTCTACTGCCATTATGTAAGAGGGTGCATGTTTCCTCTTTGCCTTCCACCATGATTGTAAGTTTGGTGGGGTTTCCTCAGCCATGTGGAAGTATGAGTCAATTAAACCTCTTTTCTTTATAAATGACCCAATATCAGGTAGTTCTTTATAGCAGCATGAAAATAGACTAATATACATACATTCTTTAAACATCCTACCTTGGCTATATTCAAGAACTTTAGTACTTTATATTGAATGTTTATTGTGTTATAATTCATTTCTCAATAGTATTTTGTAGATACCATTACCTCTGTTTTGTGGATAATACAAAGTGAGGCTGAAAAAGCCAAGCTATCTGCTTACAGCAAAAATAAAAATAAAAAATAAGAACCAACAAGTGGTAGAACTGGGATTTGAATTTCATTTAACTTAAAGCTCAAACCGGTGTTCTTGTCAATGTACACACTGTTACGAATTTGATTTCACAGTATCTCCCATCAAACCAATTTTTTCTCTGCAAGTGAAAGCCCACGTCAATTTACTGGAACATGTGTTTCTCCACAAATTTCTAAGTACACACAAACAATATGCATTAAAGATAAAGTACTAAGTTATCCAGTGTTTTTTTTAAAAAAAAACAAAAGTATCTTTTCAATTGAAAAATAATTTTCCATAATACAATGGCTATCATATTTTGTTTTGTCTTATTGAATCCAAGATAACTATGAAGTCAATCTGTTTACTCTGAGTCCTGAATACCTACTTTATCTATGATTAGCAGGAAATAATTTAGTGCTAATAAT
Source organism: Homo sapiens (assembly GCF_000001405.40). Taxonomy (NCBI): domain Eukaryota; kingdom Metazoa; phylum Chordata; class Mammalia; order Primates; family Hominidae; genus Homo; species Homo sapiens. Next base: position 23,824,483 of record NC_000011.10, on the reverse strand, counting down.
TATTAATAATATTAACTTTTGTATTGTTTGATTATTTAGTTTTTATTCTGTGCTGTTGTTTCTTTGTGAGAAGTAATAAGAAGCAGGTCTTTCTTTTTACTATCTTACCAAATAAAAACTCAGCTGATACTCTCTGAGTAATCCAATTTCTAGTAGTTTAACTGCTTCTCAATGCTTATAAAAATGCATCGTGCAATATTCAAATACTTTAAGACTTCTGTGATGTCTAAGGTAAAAAAGAACCAGCATCGATATCAACAGGACCTAAGTGGAATTCTGGCTTCAACATTTTCTAGATGTATCACCTTGAGAAAATATTTGACATATTTATTTATATGAGTATATAAGCATATGTTTATATTTAACATATACTTAATCATATATTTATATTTTATCATCTAAAGTAGAGGTTCTTTACATCATGAAGTTGAGTTGAAGATAAACGCAATAACATGAAAAACAAGTATTGTCTCTTTTTAATTTCATTTTTACCAGAATTAACAAATATGGTTAACCTCAGGAAGAAAAGCTTTAGATGTTAAAGAATTTCTAATTTAAAAAGTCACCAAAACAAAGACACAAACAAAATTTAGCATAAATCTATTATTATGCTAAAGATTCAGGGGGGGAGTCAGTTTCATGTCCTTCTAGTGTTCTTTCTATTCTTTTCCCTTTCATAAATATTTTATTTGTCTAACTCTGCTTACAAAGTGTTTTCATGTTTCATCTGTCTTTAAGTATATACTAGCTATTATAAAGCCTACTGGCATTGTATACAATCATGATTTGTATTCTCACCACATGATTTGCCTACCTATTGCCAATTTCTTAATCAAAGAAGAAAACATGTTTACAAAGTAAAGGATAGAGATGGGAAAGACACGGGATGAGGGAAAGTATACAAACAGTAGTATTATCAGATCATCAAGCATTTTCTCTTTTCTTCACATTGAAATTAGAAAATATGAGACAGCTCTCTTGAATATTTTGGAAACCAACTAACTCATTTATATAAAGTTCTCTTATTATAAAATTTGTATCTGCATAATTGTAAAAATACGAACTGTCAAGACTGAAGCCACTCACGTTTTCTCAAAATACAAATTGGTCTTGGTTTCTTTATTATACAAGATACTGAAATTAGGCCACAGCACCTAGGGTGGGAGAAGTGAGGGGGTGAAAGTTCTAACTCAAGATGAATATTTGACTGCTGCTGTAACACTGTTCAAATATCAATTTTCAAAACAAACAGAAACACACTTTGTTCAATACATCTAATTAACAAAGTGCTGAGTAATTGGTCTCTAAATAACTTGTTTGTATTTTCCTTGAAGTAGAATTTCAAAAAAATTAGAGCATGCATTTCTTGGCTGTTTTCATTTCATTAGGGCTAAATTTTGGCATTTTGCTTATAAGTATTTCCTGGGAGAGTATTTTATGTATAAAAGTATAAAAGTATGCATAAACAACAAGCATAAGTATATAAAATAAACATATGTGTTGTGTTAGATTCTATTTTCTCTTCCTTTTCCATCAATCCTTAACAAATCAGGGTTTGCATATCAAATCTATATAATTTTATCCCTTATACCTTATATAACAAATCATTAATTCTAGTAGGCGATATTGCATAATGATTTAAAGTAGATGTAAGACAAACCTGTTCAAATCTACATTCTACAGTCATTACTTGTATAACCTTGGACTAGTTACTTCATAGTTTTGAACCTAAGACTCCATGCATCTCTGTAGCCTCTGCTGCTATAACAAAATGCATTAGAGTGGGTAATTATAAATCATGGAAATTTAATTCTCACAGTTCTTGTGGCTGTTATGTTCAAGATCAAGATTCTGGCAGATTTGGTGTCTGGTAAAAGTCCAGTCTCTGCTTCCAACATGGCACCGGGAACACTGTGTCCTCCAGAGGGACAGAATGCTATGTTCTCACATGGCTGAAGGAACAGAAGGCAAAAGGAGCGAACACTTCGTGAAGCCTCTGTTATAAGATATTAATGCCATTCATGAGGGTGAGGCCCTAATGATCTAATCACCTCCCAAAGGCCTCATCTTCTAATACCATCACTTTGGTAATTAATTTTCCACATATAAATTTTGGAGCTGACACAAACTTCAGAACACAGCAATGTATAAACTATGTACAACAATAGCACGGTATTCTTAAGGTTGCTACAATGAATATATGGGACCTCCCTTAAGATCTTAGCTAGGCACAAAGGAAGAGTGGGACAAATGTAGGCTCCTCTTGTTTATCATTAAGCTCAGAGTAACTAGATTGAGCACAAGTGTGATGAGGCAACAAAAAATAAATGGGACCAAAAAAAAAAAAGGATCGAAAACTGAGCTGAATATTTTATACTTGATTTTCAAAGTAACAGGTGGTTGTAGAAATTAGGAAAGTGTTTTATTTGTAAGAGACCAAAAGCCCAACCACCAGAGTCTTCACATATAGGGGTATTACTTCCTCATGCGGTGAGAAATAATGATGTGTGTTACTGCTAGCATCATTTTTGTTGCTCCGTAATATCATCAGACTCAAGCTTTCCTATGTTTAAGCTTTACTATTTGTGGTTTTTAAATTTTTTTCTACATTGAATTTCTTGCTTGCAATATGACTCTGGCTGCAATAAAACCTTTTTTATTATTACATGTCTTAAAAACTTTCTTCATTTTGTGGACACTTCTCTCCAATATTCAGGGAACTTTTCATGGTTACATCTTGCCATCATGACAACTGTTTGATTTTGCTTATGTCTCCTCTAAAGCATTAAGTATTATTTAAAAATAATTATCAGATAAAATTTCACATATTTCGTATACATTGGAGCACCTGTCTGTAGTCTCTGTATACTAGAAGATGTTCATTAAGAATGCTTTAAAATGGTGCCTTACATTGTCATTTGTATCTACCAAAATGCTGATTTCTCATCTTTCTCCTTTTGTGTATATTGAAAAACATAAGAGTCCAAAAGTTCCCAAACTTTATTTAATTCAGGTCTATGAGTCTGTGCTTCTCAGAGAACAGATTGCTTTTGGAAATTTTTGTCAAAACGTGGTAGTAAAATTGACAAAATGCATTTAAACTAAAATACAAATTTGATTTTATTCTAAAAGGTGATTATTTGGCTCTAAGATAAAATGAATGTATACTTATAGGATATAGTATGTGGGATATATCATTTTCACATTAAATGATAGAAAATTATATATCTCAAATTTGGATATAAAAACAAATTCCTGTTTCAGCAGACCAATAAAAATTAAGGTCCTGTAACAAACTTCTATATAGCACATGTAATGACATGGTAAGTAGTCCCTATGGTCTTTTCCACACACCAAGTTGTACTTTGAGTCAAGGCTTGAATTGTTAGTCATGACAAGTATGAGTACATATTCAATATCATAGCTTTTAATTCATGTAAACATAATTAGATCTAACAAAAAGTTATCTTTTATCTGTATCAGGAAATTTCATTGCCATTATTATATGAATGGTGTAGTATTTTCACATTTGTCGTTACTCTACAAATAATTGAGTCAAGTTCAGGACTTTAGAAACTGTGAAAATGGCTGTGTCATTTACAAAACCTGTAAGTTTCATTGATTGCTGCCCTCCTGTCTCATTCTGTAGCTGGATAAAAGGTTACTTCCTCATTGATAAAGGTCTACCAGGAAGCATAGCAGTAGAAGCTATTGGTAAAATGTCTGAAGGGGGAAAATGCAATTGTGATATACTGTGGAATTGCAACTGGGGATCTGTTTTAAGACTTCACATCTGAGAAGTAGCTTTAGCTGTTTTCTCCCACTTATAAGTCAGTGTTTTATATCATAGGTTATTGCCACAGGATGCTGCAATGGCAGTTCTCAAATTTCTTATAGTCTCTTTTCGACTACTCTTTATCTTAACTGCAACATCGCCTTTCCCCAAGACCACATCTTTTCATGTTTTCCCAGCAGAGGTTAAAAATAGAAATAGCCGCCACTTTTTTGAAGGATCACCAGTGCCCAGTCCTTTACTCAGCATTTCATTGATAGTGTTACATTTATCAGAATAATAATTCCCTGAGTTTGACATTATTATTCCAATTTTATATAACCTGAGACTCAGAAGACCTTAATAACTTGTGTGATGTTAGAAACCTAGTATGTGGGTTGTACATCGCATTTGAGTTATAAAACTTGCTCTTTACCTTTGATTTGTCCTCTCCCCACATACCATAATGCCACCAAATGGAAGAAACATCAGTATTTTCCAGGTCTTAATATTGCTTCGTGTTCACTCTGCTTCCACCTTCTCATGCATGAAAAGCTTTTCATTGTAAATCTTGTGTTATCTTGCTAAGTTTCTCTCTGTCAACTTAATGATGTCATCTGCTATCTGCTGGTCACTCTCTATACTGAGTCTTTGTTCCTGGTCTTGGATGATTTTAATATCCATGTTGACCACCTACTTTATACCTCCATATTAATGTCTCTTAATTAATGTCTTCAAGGGCCTGAAAATCCACTCCAGCAAACTATACTCACATATATGCCTAGGCTTTGTCCTTAACACAAAATGCTTCATATATGAAATATTATACTCCAGCATCTCACTCTTAACACAACTAGTTGTTCCATCTCTATTACTTTTACTGCTTATTTTCTTTTCCTCATCACTATATTTCACGTGTTGACATTTTTAAAATTTTAATCTATTAACTCATTTTTTCAATTACTTTTTCAATAAAGCAAAAGCATAAAAACATCAAAAATGCCATCTGTTAATTTTTAAAAACTACATGCTAGAAACTTTATATGTGATCACAGATGAAGATCATAAAAGTGAAGCAAAGTACCCAAGTTCAAACAGGAAGTAAATGAGTAAACAGGATAAAGAAACATGTCTGCCTTTGTGATTCCAAAGTCATGTTTCTATCACTACACCATGTTGCCATTATGGCAACAATAAGAGGATATAATAGTTCAGTAACCTTTCACCAGTTTTTGGTGGGGGCCAAGTAAGAAAACTCTTCCTCTAAATAATCATTTATTTCAAAAGGTTGAAAATTGATTATTCGGTTGGGGGGAAGGAAGGACAAAAAATTGAGATATTGTAATGGTTTTTTGACCTCTAAAAGAGAAAGTTGAGTATATCAAACATTAATTTTGTATATCAAAACATAAAAATGAGTCTACCAAGACATTAAAATTTGTATAGTGAGTATATCAAAACATTAATGATATATCAAATCATAATGAGAATATCAAAACATTACAATTTTATGGAGAAAACATACTTAAAAAGTTTAACTAGGGGATGAAAAGCCATGGAGAAACACTGCTGTTAGGTCACATTTCAAACTACAGCTGAGACCCCAATTTGTGTAGAATCTATCTGTACTATTTCAGTTAGTTACAATTCTAATTCACTTCAACTTTTACTTTAATCTTTATTACTTCTTAGAATACTCAATCTTTCAGCAAACAATCATAAGCAAAATCACACACGTTTAAACACAGAATTAATAGATGACCTCACATCTTACCTCATAGAGAAAACTAAAGTTTTAGGCAAGATATTTCTCAATAGTTTACCCCTCCTTACTTGCCATCCTCTTATATGAATCTATACCCATGCTAATATCTTCTACCTGTCCCGGTAGAAAATGTCTTACTTCACTTGCAATCTGAAATTTCAAAACCTCAGTGTTTTGACACATTGACCCTTGTCTCTGTTATATATATATATATATATATATATATATATATATATAATATATATAATATATATAAAAATATATGTATATATAACAGAGACATATATATGAGATATGTGTATATATATATATATATATATATACATATATATATATATATGAGAGAGAGAGAGAGAGACTGAGTCTTGTTCTAGCTCCCAGGTTGGAGTGCAGCAGTGTGATCTCGGCTCACGGCAACTTCCACCTCCTGGTTTCAAGTGATTCTCGTTCCTCAGCCTCCCGAGTAGCTGGGATTACAGACACCTGCCACCATACCCAGTTAATTTTTTTTTTTTTTTTTTTTTTTTTTAGTAGAGACAGGTTTTCACCATGTTGGCCAGTCTGGTCTCAAACTCCTGACCTCAGGTAATCCACCCTCCTCTGCTTCCCAAAGTGCTGGGATTACAGGCATGAGCCACTGCCCTCAGCCAATATATTTTTACTTTTTCTTTTGATATGAATTTTCTATGTTCCCACCCAAATCTCATCTTGAATTGTAGCTCCTATGATTCCCACATGTTGTGGGAGGGACCAGGTGGGAGGTAATTGAATAATGAAGGTGGGTCTTTTCCATGCTGGTCTCATGATAGTGACTAAGTCTTGTGAGATCTGATGGTTTTATAAGGGGGAGTTCTCCTCAACAAGCTCTCTTGCCTGCCACCAAGTAAGACATGACTTTGTTCCTCATTTGCTTTCCACCATTATTGTGAGGCCTCCTCAGCAACATGGAACTGTGAGTCAATTAAACCTATTCCCTTTATAAATTACCTAGTCTCACGCATGTATTTATTAGCAGTGTGAGAACAGACTAATACAGTAAATTGGTACCGGTAGAGTGGGTGCTGCTGTAAAGATACCCAAAAATCTGAAAGCAACTTTGGAACTGGGTAACAGACAGAGTTTGGAACATTTTGGAGGGCTCAGAAGAAGATAGAAAAATGTGGAAAAGTTTGGAACATCCTAGAGACTGGTTGAATGGCTTTGACCAAAATGCTGATAGTGATGTGGACAATAAAGTTGAGACTAAGGTGGTCTCAGGTGAAGATGAGAAACTTGTTTGGAACTGGAATAAAGGTGACTCTTGCTATGTTTTAGCAAAGAGACTGGTGGCATTTTGCTCCTGTCCTGTAGATCTGTGGAACTTTTAACTTAAGAGATTATTTAGGGCATCTGGCGGAAGAAATTTCTAAGCAGCAAAGCATTCAAGATGTAACTTGGGTACTGTCAAAAGCATTCAGTTTTATGTATTCACAAGATGTGGTTTGGAATTGGAACTTATGTTTAAAAGGGAAGGAGAAGGGAAGCAGAGTATAAAAGGTCAGAAAATTTGCAGCCTGAAGATGCAACAGAAAAGAAAAACTCATTTTCTGCAGAGAAATTGGAGCCAGCTGCAGAAATTGGCATCAGTAAAGAGAAGCCAGATGTTAATCACCGAGGGATTAACAATGGGGAACATATCTCCAGGGAATGTCACAGGTCTTCACGGCAGCCCCCGCCATCACAAGCTGGGAGGCCTAGGAGGAATAAATGGTTTTGTGGTCCGGGCCCAGTACCTTACTGCTTTATGGAGTCTTGGGACTTGGTGCCCTGCATCGCAGCCATGACTACAAGGGGCCAACGTACAGCTCAGGCCATTTTTTTCAGAGAGTGAAAGCCCTAAGGCTTGGTGGCTAACATGTGGCATTGGGCCTGCAGGTCCACAGAAGTTAAGAATTGAGGTTGGGGAACTTCTGCCTAGATTTCAATGCCCAAGCAGATGTGTGCTACTGGGGCAGAGCCCTCATGGAGAACTGCTGCTAAGGCAGTACAGAAGAAAAATGTGGGGTGTGAGGCCCCATACAGAGTCCCCACTGGGGCACTGCATAGTAGCGCTGTGAGAAGAGTGCCACCATCCTCTAGACCCCAGAATCGTAGACCCACCAAGAGCTTTCACTGTGTGCCTGGAAAAGCTGACGACGCTCAATGCCAGCCCATGAAAGCAACCAGGAGAGGTGCTGTACCCTGCAAAGCCACAGGGCAGAGCTGCCCAAGGTAACGGCAACCCACCACTTGCATCAACATGACCTGGATGTGAGACATAGAGTCAAAGAAGGTCATTTTGGAGCTTTACAATTTGACGGCCTTGCTGTATTTTGGACTTGCATGAGGTCTGTAGTCCTTTGGTTTTGGTCAATTTCTCCCATTTGGAACAGCTGTATTTACCCAATGTCTATACCCTCAATGTATCTAGAAAGTATCTAAATTGCTTTTGATTTTACAGGCTCATAAACTTTAGGAATTTCCCTTCTCTCAGATGAGACTTTGAACTATAGACCTTTCAGTTAATGCTGAAATGAGTTAAGACTTTGGGGGACTGAAGGGAAGGCATGATTGATTTTGAAATGTGAGGACATGAGATTTGGGAGAGGCCAGGGGTGGAATGATATGGTTTGGCTTTGTCCTCACCCAAATCTCATCTTGAATTGTATCTCCTATAATTTGGAGCTACAATGTATCATGGGAGGGACTCGGTGAGAGGTAATTTTATCATGGGAGCAGGTCTTTCCTATGCTGTTCTCATGATGGTGAATAAGTCTCATGAGATCTGATGGTTTTACAAAGGAGAGTTCCCCTCCACGCACTCTCTTGCCTGCCACCATGTAAGACATGACTTTGCTCCTCATTCAACTTCCACCATGATTGAAAGGCCTCCCCAGTGATGTGGAACTGCGAGTCAATTAAACTTCTTTCCTTTATAAATTACCCAGTCTCAAGTATGTGTTTACTAGCAGCATGAGAACAGACGAATACATCTTTCAGCCTCTAGTACCTCCATGCATATGCATATGCCATCATTGGTTATGTTTGTTTGCAAATAACAATGCAACTATTACTGTCTTAAAATTTTTATTTTATTTTTTTTTTCACACAACAGAAACTCTGGAATTAGTGGTTGATGTCATTGGTTTAGTAGCTTAGCAATGTCATGGGCTATTTCTCAATTATTTTGGCCTTTACCTCATAATATCAATATGCAGCTGCAGCTTCATAAATTATACCTCTTAGAGGCCTCCCACAGAATTCTACTTTGGTCATGTTGACCAAATTTATTTCATGCATGGTTATTGAAACTGCATTAGAGGCTAGAAGGGTGAATAATTTTTCATGCCCCAATAGTGGAAGCAAAAGAGAAGAGGAGAGTTGAACAAGAGTACAGAGGTAGTACAGTCTACAATACCTAACACACCATTTATGTATACTCTGGTGTCTTCTGTCTTTATTAAAAGGAGTATTATACAAAGGAGTACAGTGCCAGATACAGAATTTTGAATAGTTCCTGTGCGTTCAACCTTGTTTCCTTCTCCTTACTGTGTGGCATTTGGTGTCTAAGTCTTAGCCTCTACAGTGTGTGAATGAACAATCCACTTTCCTATTTTCTGGATCCTTATCTGTGAACATGCTGAGTTGTGACTTCCTCTGCTTTGAATTAGGAATTATTAATTGTTCTTCCTGACTTAAATAACAGACTATTATGCATGCTGTTATTCTACCTCATTTCCTTTGCAATTATAAGTGTCTATATATTTTTATTCCTTTAATAACACTTTTATTTGTTTTTGGTAAATAAAAAATAAAAGTTTGTTCAACATGCCGTCTTTATCTGGAAGTTTCATACATTTATACTGGTATTTTACGTATCTGTATCTGTGAGAAGACCGTGAGCCCTTGAGGGCAATGACAATAATAAGTTGATGTTTTTTTAAATTTTTAAATCTTCAGAACCAAGCTTAGTGTTTAAATGACACTCACTCACTTATTACAAGATGAAAGAGAAAGAGAGAGAGAGAGGAGAGAAGAAGAAGATAGAAGAGGAAGAAGGAGAAGGAGAAGAGGAAGAAGAAGAAGAATAAGAAGAGGAAGAGGAAGAAAAAGAAGAAGGAGGAGAAGGAGGAGAAGGAGGAGATGAAGAAGAAGAGGAAGAAGAAGAGGAAGAGGAAGAAGAAGAAGAAGAAGAAGAAGAAGAAGAAGAAGAAGAAGAAGAAGAAGAAGAAGAAGAAGAAAAAGAAGAAAAAGAAGAGAAGAGAGAAGAGAAGAGAATACAGAGAAGGAGAAGGAGAAGAAGCAGCAGCTGCAGAAGGAGGAGGAAGAAGAAGAGGAGGATGGTGGAGGAGGAGGAGGATAAAAGGAACAGGAATAGGAGGAGGAAAAAGGGGGGAAGGGAGGAAGGAAGGAAATTTGTAGATTGTAATTCAGAGGCTTCACTTGGAAGTTATAATTATCTTTTTCAAACTTTGAGAACCATTAAAGTGAATTTCAAGTCTCTGGCCATCAGTTTTCTTCTCAATAAACTTGAAATAATACTGTCTGTTTCATGTACCTCAACTGATTGATATTCCTAAAATGAGATCAGATAATAATTCTGAGCATACTTTTTAAATTTTAAATAGTTACAAAATTTCAGGAGTTATTCCTCTACAAATTTTAACTTCAGCCATTGCTGTATTAGGACATTAACAAATGGATGAATATAAAATGACATTTGACAAACATTCATTTCAAACCTACCATGTGCCAGGCTCTATTCATGAGGCTAGAGATATAGCGGTGGTCACAAGGACCAATCCTAAACCACATGGCACTTATCTTCCCTTACTTTACACTGGAGGGATATAGGGAAAATTGTTTCTTAAGTCATTACAGCTCTTCATTACAGCTGTTTATACTAAAGACTAACACGTTATATCATAGCGTGTTTTTATATGAGTCTGTGACTTACCAACCAAATGGAAAGAAAAGGAAAAATAAAAATCAAACGTTTAAAACATTCTAGCTAGCACTAGAGTCACCAAACTCTGGCTTTATTCAGTTCAAGTAACTTTTATTTTGATAAATTTTTTAAACCTTTGTGTATTTTATAAATATTCTTCTCTCTGATTTAGTATATTTATATTCTACAGTATACTCAAATTAGGATTTTACTTCTTATCCCTTTTTAAATATATCACTAGTAAAGAGATGCAGCATTTAGTCCAAATTCTTCAGATTGGAATGGAAATTGATGACAATATATGTCCCAAGCACAACTGACACTTATTGCAAAACAATACCTCTCTTTCTCTCAATTTTAATCCATGTATTTTAGAACAATTTTATATATGTTGAGGAAATAATTAAGGAAAAATGATCACATACAATTATTTCAGGACTGGAATAAGGCTCCATTAAAAAGTGAAGAACAGAGAAAAGATGAACAATGATTGCAGCTTACTGCTTTTCATAAGCTATGTCAAATATTTTCTCACTTAGGCTCTGTGCCGATTGTTGGAGGTAGACATTGTTAGTCCTATAGTTTCTTAACTAATGAGGAAACTGAATTCTCAGCAAGATTAAATAACTTGCCCCAAATTTGTCTGTGACTACTAGCTCTTGGAAAAAAATCTACTGTATCCCAACCAACACACCTACCTGCTTAGTGTGTATTAGGAGGTCTTTATTGTATTCACAAATGACCTCTTTAGAGAAGGCATAAGAAATACCATAAGCAAAGAGACTACAAAAAAATCCCACAATATTAATTCACTATTTTTTTCACAAATTTCACGTTAAGACAAGCAAAAGACACATATTTTGAAGACAGTGTTTCATTAAGAAGAGAAAAAAGATAGCATACCACACTATTATGTAATCCTTCTGTGTTAGACTGGAAATTTAAAAATACTTTAAAAGAGCTACACTTAAACAGAAGATTATTCAATTTACACAAAGGGAGAGAAAGTAAGTGAATATAAAAGTACAATGCTTTCAAGAGTGAGGGTCTTGGAATTGTAACTATTGACAGATAATTTTAAACACCAGCCAGTTTTTAATTCTGTTTTTTTTAAATCCAGTATGGATTATGTGCCCAGTGCCCTAGATGCTAAATGGGAAATGACATGTTTACAAGTCAGTAGATAGGAAGCGTGGTATTGCTGGTAGGATAAGAGTATTACATTCAGGCAGATGCTAGTTCAACTTCAGGCAGTGTGCACTCAAGTAGGTTATTTTTTTCTCACTGAATTTGTATTTTGTCTGTAAAACAATGATTTAAAAAGATAAAATTTAGAAAGAGCTTATCAGAGGGTCTGATATGTACTTAACCTCATCATATCAACTGTATCTATTCTTTTATTTATGACATTATATACTGAACACAAGACAACAAAGCCCTTGCCTAAGGAATGTGAATCCAGAAAGAAAGACATACAAGGAATTAGGTGATTACAGTGTAAAATGAAGATATGATGTAAAAACATGGTGCCAGGAGAACATATAGATGGGTCATTCAGATATGCCAGAGCATCAGCAGAAACATTCAAGAAGAGGCAATGACTAAACTGAATGAGGGATGAAAACAGATGAAGGATACAGGAAAGTATTCTCAAACTGGAGGAACTGGGAAGTGGCCAAGTCAAAGCATATTGCAGTGGTCGGTCTGCTGCTGCTAGTCTCTAAAAGTGAATCCTGTGGATGAGAGCTAACAGAAGCTGGAGAGGAAATCTCATTCATCCATTCATCTTTTGCCTTAAAGAGATAGGGAAATGTGAGAGAGAAAATACTTAAAGCACCAATCAATGAGAACAGTGCCACAGCACTGAAGCAAGATCCACAAAGACCCTGCTCATTCAGGGACTAATAGTTGGGAGCTAGATGATGGGAGTTCTAGGGATGGAGGATCAGGATGGTGTACAGGCTCTTGGGGAGCTCAGCACAGAAGCTATTTAAAATTGCCATAGAAAAATTTCAACACTTACCAACGATAATAATATTGCTTTTGTGTACTAGATAAATGTCAGTCCCGGAATTAAGTTAAAAGACTGGTAAATTAAATTATGGCTTGAATTTATTTTTGTTTAAGGTTACTTTATTGTAATTTAACATTTTCTCTCTATCCTTTCTGTGTGTATGTGTTTGCATGTGTTCCACAGGATCTGTACATCAGCTAGCAATGGACAGGCCAGGTTTCAAAAACGAAATTTCTTGTTTTATGACATTGAATAGTGAATAAAATTTATGGTATAAAATTTGTGACGCTGGCATGATGAAGACTGTGTCATTCATCTAAACTGACTTACAAATCAGTGACAATCACATTTGGATATCATTTAGCCATTTCCAAAACACTTTCACGTTATGAAATGTAATCTCACATTAATGTAGTGTGGTAGATGGAGCAGCTATTCAATAATTTATAAACACTCTTTAAGTGAACTTTCATTGCTGCCATATCACCAGAAGCAAAGAGGGGCATATATTACCATTATATTCACTTTGTAAAGGTGTTACTTGAAACTTGAGAGATAAAATGTATCTTGACAGGCAAAATGAGTTTGGCATCCCCAGACTGAAAAATCCAAAGAAATATATGTGGACATAAAACTTTGAAATGAAAGAACTTTCACAAGTGTTCTCATTTCAGTCTTTATGATTTTTAAAAAGGCCAGAAGGTTACTTTTCTCCAAAATCTCTGAAGCACACAAATTTTGGAACTAGATTCTCATCTGAAAAGCTTCTTTTCAGTACACCAGTTTAACATGGAGTCAAAGTTTAAAATTTGGTTTCGGAATCAGTAATTAAAACTATCTATTTAGTAGAACTTTGAAACTGGAATTCACAAAATATTTTTGGTTAGACAGGAGGCAACAACAAGGATTCTAAACTGGAACAAATGGAAGACTACTGTGTGGATAAAATAATTGTCACTGTCAGTAAAATTATTTCAAACCACTCTTATGGTCTTTGTAAAAGTTACTACTAATATTGATTGCACTAAACAATTACTGAGGGGCTCCGAGGATACAGAAGATAAGACCTCTGTATTCACAGAACTATGTCTGATATAGCACATACATATGAAGGAGAATTATGAAAAATATTATAATTGAGGTTAGAGAAAAACACCTTAAAAGTCAAAAATAAAAAACTCAAAGATAGTGGACATACTTTCTACTTGTGTATTCTTGGCAATTTATTTTGAAGAGTTAGTATCTACAAAATATTATATGTAAAAATATTATAAATTGTTACAAAATAGATACAATACTAGTAAAATATAAGAGGAGTAAGAGAGAAAAGGGGGAAAGAATAAACTCATTTGTTAGTCAATAACTGAAAGTTAAATGCTTACATTAAATAACACTAGTGGATGATTGATGCATGCAGAAAAAATAAAAACTAATTTTAAAAATGAGCAAAATAGCTAGTTTAACATAAAATAAGCTACCAGGAAGCTAAGAACATTAAAAAGATGTACAACTAATAGCACTAGAACAAAAAAACAAAACTCCTTAAATATCTTCAAAAAAGTGTTTGTGAATTATAGAGCAAAGGATACGCATCTTCTAGAGAAACGTAAAAAATATAACACAATATACATAATTTAAACATGGTGTGACACAGTTGAGATCAGAAAAATCAGTCATACAAATAAAGGTTAAAGGGCTTAGTTTATCCATTAAAAGACACATTCTTCCATTTGACTTACAAATCAAGGCTCAACTATGCACTGCACACGAGAGATAAACCTAAAGCAAAGTGCATTAAAAAGGCTAAAAATAAAGGAATGAATAAGGTGTGTGAAAGAGATAAGAGAGCATTGGTAATGATTCTGAGGGTAAATAAAGTGGAATTCTAGCCTAAAAAATATAATCAGTTGGACAGATCTTAGAGGTATGTCAAATGTTACACCATAATAATGAAGAATACAACTTC